>NC_000009.12:76970552-77595552 GCF_000001405.40 Homo sapiens
CCCAGGAAAGCACTGGGCAGTGCCCCTGTCTGGCTCCCTTCCTGGGCCCCTTGGCAGCTTCCCCACATCCAGTCATGCCCCCTCCCCCAAGTCAAGGACTTGATTGAGCACTAGATGAAGAATGTGGTCCCTGCCAATCAAATTGTCCTGGGTAGCTTTTCACAGGGTGGGGCTCTGCCCCTCCACCCAGCCCTCTGGCTGGCATTGTGGCTTTGAGCTTCTGGCTGCCTCTGCTCTGGGCCTTCCCCCAGGCAGTCAACAGCAGTGCCAAGGACCTGACGATTCTTTAGTGCCATGGTAAGCTGATCCCCATGCTGCCCATATAGTTTGGGGCCCTGATGGCCGAGAAGCTCCGTTCTGTTGTCATACCTGCTGGGGTCCAGCTCGAGACATATCCCGGTGTCATGCACAGCTCTTGTCCTTAGGACATGGCAGCTGTGAAGGAATTTCTTGAGAAGCTGCTGTCTCCTATCTAACTAGAGTTTCTAGTCCCCAGTGCAGTCCCTACCTCATGGGGGACCCAGCAAACAAGCTGGAACCTTGGCACCATCTTGGATCTGAGCCTGTTGAGCCCCTGTCCCCACCCTTCCTGACCTGTTCTCTTCCCACAGACCTCTGGGGCAGGTGGCAAGGCCTGGCCAGCCCTTCCTTACTGGCCTCAGCCACTTAGCTCTATCTGCAGCAAGGGTGGGCTGCTTTCTTACCCCATTTCCCTGGAGGCAGGCCCCCCTGGCAGCAGTATTGGAGGGGCTGTAGGCAGCTGGAGAAAGGGCCCTAGCTGCTGACCCACTCACTCAGGACCTCACTCACTAGCCCTGCTTTGGGTCTCCTCCTGTGACCTCAGGGTTTGGCCCATGGGACCCTTCCAGGTCCCTGCCCCAACTGATTCTGCCCAGATAATCATGTGTCTCTCCTCCCTTTACTCCAGCTGCTTCTCAATCATAAACACGGCCATGGCCCCAGGGCCCCCTTGCTGCTTTGGGCTCCCCATCCCTGGGCAAGAGTGTTGGTGAGGAGGTGGAGTCTTTCAAGGGGGTCTTTCCTCAGCTGTTTCCCCTCACTGTAGGGCTAGGCTCTGCCTCCCCCTTACCCTCTTCCTGCACAGTTCTGGAGCCTGCTGACTGAGGTTCAGGTCTCCCCCAGCTGTCTCATCCCCAGTTTGTCCCACTCTAAGCATGGAGGCAGTGGGAAGGAGTTGTGTCTCATCTTCTGTCTCCATGTGTTTTGGGGTGTTTTTCTTGTTGTATCTTGAATTCTGATAAAATTAAAGAAATCATTTCCTCAAAAAAACTATACCAAAGGAAATACAAAAAGAATGGGGGAAAGTGGGATAGAACATCTGAGATCTGAGGAACAATATCAAACAGTCTAACACATGTGTTATTGGAGTCCCAAAAGAAGAGAAAAAGAGATGAAACAAAGACACTAGAAATATTTAAAGACATAATAACCAATGATTTTCCAAAACTGATTAAATACATCAACTTCAGGCAGAATAAATATAGGAATACCAGCAAACCTCAGCAAGTTAAAAAAAAATTTAAAAATAAAAACAACTAGCCGTACCGTAGTCAAACAGCTAAAAACCAATACTGAAAATAAGCTTTAAAGTAGTCAGAGAAAAATGACATATTATATGCAGGAATCAATGAAACAAATGATGCCTGACTTGTCATCAGGAAAAAAAGGCAACTGAATGACATTATTAAAGTGTTGAAATAAAAAAACTATCTACCTAGAATTCTATATCCCACTAGATGATCCTTCAGAAATTATGATAAAATAAAGACATATTCAAAAAGACAAAAGGTTAAATAATTCATTGCAAGCCCCTGCATCACAAGAAATTCCAAAGGCTGGAGTTGAATTATCCCAGAGGGGAGCCCTGAGGTGTAAGAAGAAGTTAGGGGCACCCAAAAAAGCAAACACCTGGGTTAGTGTAAAATGGCTTTTCTTACCTTTATTTTAATATTTTTTAATTTCTTAAAATACTATTCACTATCTGAGGCAAATATAATAATATCTTGTTAGTTAGAAAAACCATCCATCCATTTATGGCCCCCAAAGTAAGCATTTATCCTGACTTTTCTATATAAACTATATCTCAGGGTAACCAAATAGTTGGGAAGGGGAAGTTTCTCTCTCAAAATATGCCAGTTAATAAAAAAAAAGAAAAAATTAAAATATCAATATTTTACAAATTCTAATAAGGAGGAGATGTAGGAAAATATCATCAGTGACTGCTAACAGAACAAAAGAGAAACAACCAAGAATTCTATGACTTGTTGTACATATACTCACCACCACCTACAGAAATACTCTTGGCTGAGCTGGTGGCTCATGCCTGTAATCCCAGCACTTTGGGAGGCCAAGGTGGGCGGATCACCTGAGGTCAGGAGTTCGAGACCAGCCTGGCCAACATGGCAAAACCCCATCTCTAGTAAAATACACAAATTAGCCAGGTGTGGTGGCAGTTTCCTGTAATACCAACTACTCGGGAGGCTGAGGCAGGAGAATCGCTTGAACCCAGGAGGTGGAGGTTGCAGTGAGCCAAGATTGTGCCACTGCACTCCAACCTACGTGACAGAGTAAGACTTCTTCTTGAAAAAAATGATAATAATAAAGAAATATTCTTGTCAAAAATAATTTAATCCAAATCTGAGTTATCCTCTAGAGTTGATAGGCTCTAGCTCTAACTACCAATTTACAGAAAATACAGAGGACAGACTATTCTCCCTCTCCAAGGCATCATCTTATGTGAATACATGTGGCTGCTTACTAAGAACATTTTTTTTTTTTTGAGTCTTGCTCTGTCGCTCAGGCTGGAGTGCAGTGGCATGATCTCAGCTCACTGCAACCTCCACCTCCCGGGTTCAAGCAATTCTCTTGCCTCAGCCTCCCAAGTAGCTGGGATTACAGGTGTCCGCCACCACACCCGACTAATTTTTGTATTTTTAGTAGAGACAGGGTTTCACCACGTTGGCCATTCTGGTCTCGAACGCCTGACCACAAGTGATCCACCCACCTCGGCCTTCCAGAGTGCTGGGATTAGAGGCATGAGCCACCATGCCCAGCCACTAAAAACATTCTTAATCACTGATTTTTTTTCTTTAAAAAAAAAGAAAGGTGTACATTTTACATTTTTATGTCTTGTCCTAGGATGCTTAATATTAAATGTGTTGAATGCCAATCATATGCATTTAACACATTCAGTGGAGTTAAATTCCCTTCAAAATGGCACAAATATCTTCTCAGTGCCCTAGGGCTAATGCCCAAATTATAGTGTGATGAATCTAGAGAAAAATAGCTCCAGCCAAACCAAATAAAGGCCACACCAGCCTTCACATGCCACTCAACCTGAACCTGCCAGAAGGATGCTGCTGAAATATGCACCCATTCTTGACCCCACCAGCCAGCTCACTCAGCTCCAATTGCCATCTAATTTATCAGTAGGAATATTAATAAACAGAACATATTATAGCATCTAGCTATGAAATGACATAATTTAGAACTCATGCTACAAGATCCATTCACACATCCTGTGTAGTAATGTAAGTACACTTACCTATTTACCCAGAGGTTGAAAATACAAAGTGTTGACTGCACAGTGACTCCACTGAGAAAGCATCATTCCAGGTGATTTGTATGTTCACACATCTTTCTCTCATTCCAATCACCGCCCCTTCATCACAGTAATTCTCATTAGAATGAAAAATTAAGAGCCAAGATTTAGGCTTGGGTTACTGGCATCGATTTTAAGTAGAAAGTTTAATTTCTACTACAACTTTATTGTACTAGAAATTTTCTAGTAAAACTGAAAAAACTGGGGATTATTTTCTTTAATAGAAATCCAGAAGAATAAAATGCAACCCACCAACACATGAGCTATGGAAATACGTAAAGAGAACTCACAACAGCTGCAGCATCCTTAGCCATACTGGCTGATGGATTCCAATTCATCCACCACAACTGATTTAATATGAGAGTATAATTAGTACTGCTGATTACTATCTGGTGCCAGATATCCCAAATGCCCCACCTTCATGCTAATTAATCTTGAAAACTTTCCAAGCTTTCCTCTACCCTGCCTGCCTCTGTTCCCTGCATCGGTGCACACATAGCGTTCTACTCAAACAAACAGTGCAACAAGAACAGCATCACTAGGTCTTGCACACAGTTGGCACTCAGTAAATGTTTGTTTATTCAAATCACTGCTCCTTCATCACAGTAATTCTCATTAGAATGAAAAATCAAGAGCCAAGATTTAGGCTTGGGTCACTTTAACAGGCATTAATTTTAAGGCCATGGAAATATATGTGATCAAGTTGATAGTAAAAAGCAATCTTTAGAAAATCTAAGGAATCATCAAGGGGTAACTTTGTCAGAATACCCTACATTTAGACACTGAAAGATGAGAGGCTGTGTACCACTAAGGATGTATTCATATGTCACTGATCTGAATGAAAACAGCAGAAATCTAACAGAAACAAGGCTGTGATGCTATTAAAACTTAGGCTACGGGACTAAAGACAATGTAGCCTCTAATCTTTTCTATGAATACAGTTTTTACTGAAATATTTGTGAAGTAACTAAATGCATTTGATAAAGGATGGAGCAAGAATTATCTTCAACAAAGATACGGTTCACAAACCTTTTCATTCTGTGCTCCCTTCCTCAGTCTGCCCCGCTCCCTACAGCCTCATCAATCCAGCATTGCTTCTGCATTCTAAGTAATCCCCCCGACCCCAACAAAACATAGTGGGTTTTTGCCAGGAGCCACCCTTACAAAACAGCGGGTTAGAGTTCTTCTTATTAGAGTGGTGGTGTTAAAGATAGGAGGCAGAGGAAGATAGCAAGAACAAGCCCAAGAATGGGAAGAAGCAAAGTCAAAACGTCCTGTTTGAAAAATCATTTCCCTATCAACTGTGGGGGGTTTTGTAGCTCCTATTCACGCTTCCTAATGGAAGACACACACTACTCCTCTGTGGAACTAAACTTTCTATTTGAGAAACAATAGCCTTGATAATTCAGCTTCTTAATAATTCTTCCTTAAATAGGAAAAGAAAAGGAATGGTTGAGGACTGGGATTCCCTGGCATTTTTAATCTGCAGCACTAGCTTCACTTGAGAAGGCAGTGCTTTTAAGTGCTAAAGGCAGTTCTGGTGAGATAAACTTATATCACTGAGAAAATTTAACACATCTTCTCACCACCTTGTTTGTCTTCAGATGTGCCCAGCAGCGTCTACAGGAATGGCGTTGGGGCTTTAACATATGGGCAAGAAAGGGTACGATTGGGCAGGATCATTTTACCCATTCATAAGCCTTATTTTTTATTTTTTGGAGACAGAGTTTCGCTCTGTCGCCCCAGCTGGAGTGCAGTGGCACCATCTCGGCTCACTGCAACCTCCGCCTTCCAAGTTCAAGTGATTCTCCTGCCTCAGCCTCCCGAGTAGCAGGGATTGCAGGTGTCCTCCACAACACCCAGCTAATTTTTTGTGTGTTTATTTTTAGTAGAGACAGTGTTTTGCCATGTTGGCCAGGCTGGTCTGGAACTCCTGACCTCAGATGATCCGCCCACCTCAGCCTCCCAAAGTACTGTGATTACAGGCTTGAGCCACCCACCATTCCTGGCCCCCATTCATAAGTCCTTAACTCTTCAGCATAGTACTTAGACCCCAATGCAGCCCTCTCAGGCACCTCTCTGCCTCATCTTCACCAAGTCCACTTCTCCTTCTCCCCTTTGCTGTAAGCATTTCCCAAATCTCAGTTTTTGTCCCACTCCCCCAGTGCTTCTCTCTCCACATGTTTCCCATAGTAAGCTGCAGCAGTCTCAGAAATCTGACCTTTGACTCTGATTCTCACCTCTTTATCTCCAAAATCAGACATATTTACTAAGCATTGGCCAGTGCAGTGGCTCACTCTTTGGGAGGCTGAGGCAGGAAGATTGCTTGAAGCCAGGAATACAAGACCAGCCTGGGCAACATAGTGAGACCTTGTCTCTACAAAAAATTTAAAAATTAGCCTGGCATAATGGTACATACCTTTAGGCGAGACCCTGTGTCTAAAAGAAACAATCTGATGTGTTTGTCCAAAATTAAAAATGTCATCTCCATCTGCAAAAGTATGGAGAAATTATAAGGCAAACATTAATCCAGAAAAATGTTATAGTTATTACACATTGACACATATAAATATATAATATGCATGTGTACATATTATATATGATATATAAATACTATAATAATAGACAATATAAATATGATCTATAATAGATAATTTACAAAAGAAGAAAAGCAGATCTCTACTATATATTTGGGAGAAAAAATAAACTTGAAGAAATGCAAATTCAAACAATTTAAACAGAAAAATTGCCATAACTGTGGATGATAATTTATGCACAAAATGCTCATTGTGCCCTTGCCATAGTATCAAATTGGAGATCTTCTAACTGCACAACACTAGGGTAATGGTTCGGTAATTGTGGTACAGTGTACACTAGGATTTATGGTGGGCTTTGGGGGATCATCATATATTTCATAAACAACATGCATTGTCCCAAACAGTGGAGATTTAAACTGCTTGAGGTTTTCAGGTAAATATGAAGGACAGATATGTAGACTTCTGCATGCTTCTAAAACTCCATTAAAACAACAGTAAAGGATGAATGACAAGTACAAAGAGAACTATAGAAGGGATAATAGTGGATGTGATATTTTGATAAAATTTCAGGAGTGGAAAACAGATGGAGAAATTAGATTTGATTTGGCAGAGCTGAAAGAAGCTGAAATGCAAGTGCATATGAAGGAAGATACCAATGAGAAAAAGCTGATCTACCCCCACAGAACCCCTGAAAGACTCAGGAAGTGGCAGTCTAAATAGCTAAAAGAGAGGTTTTTGAACGTTCTCACCACAAAGAAATGCTAAATGCATGAAATGACGGATACACTAAATACGCAGATTGGATCATTATGTAACATATACATGTATCAAGACATCAAATTATACTCCATACATAGGTACAAAGCATCAAAGATTTTCTAAATTAAAAAAAGAAGAAACTGGCAGTCTCAGCCTCAGTGGGGGAGAAGCATGTGGCAAAATACTGATTGGAAATCCCTAGGGAAAACAATAAAAGTCCCACATCCCACCATCTCTTTGAGCAGTCAGGCAACCACCCTCAACTGTTCCCCAAAAGAGACAGGAGATTTAATATCCAGAGAACTGAAACAGAAAGACTCTGTACTTGAAGACTCAAGTACGGCAGAGGGTTGTGATGATGATGCCTCCGATTAAAAATGGGAATTAATTGACAGTCTGCACACTGAGCTGCAAGACCCTCAGCTCTCTTCCTCAGCTTTCTGTTCAAGAGAACCAGCCACCAGGCTTATTAATACATCTTCCAGGACTGGATTCCAGGACCGGACTCCAGGACGTTTCTCTGGAAGAACTGAATGGTCCCAAAGAATACATCTATAGGCTCAGGCATTTAGGACCCCCCCAGGTTTCACCCACCTGCACAGAGATTCCAGTCAGCATGTTAGTGCCTCACTCTGAAATATCAATGCACAGCCACAAACCACTAGACGTGAGGAAAGCCTTCCTTATGAAATAGACAGACTGAAACAAACAGAAAAATGTAGCTCGGAGGAAACAGAGACAATGCAGAAAATAGAAGAAAACTACAAAACAAATTGATAACTTCAGTGAGATGAGATGTTTCACCAATGAAATAAGAACAAAGGAGAAACAAGAAAGAAAACAAGAAAAGCTATAAAAGATCAAAATATAATGGCCAAAACTGCCTAATGAATCGTCAGAATCTTGTCTGAACCATATATGGGATTTCTACGTGGATTCTGTTTTAATAGAAAGAGACTCACTAATAAAAGAAAAATTTTAATGTTTTGCTCTATACAATGCATTACTTCCAGCTATTTAAAAATCACACCCAATGGAGTTCTTAATAACGTGGGAAAATGCTTATAACACTGAGTGAGAAAAGCAGAAAAAATTTATTAGGTATTAAAGGCATGTTTTCAGGCATTACAGCTATATGCAGGCATATTTTTACCTGTGTATTTGTGCATATTGCTTTATGGATGTGTTGACCATCTCCCTAGATGCCTAGCATTTTTACTTTTCACTCTCTCTCTCTCCACCAAATCTAACTTGTCTCTGGAGTGGGAAAGCTTTGCTGTCTCAATCATGGAAGTGCACATGATCCAGTTTCCAGATTGACAACTATTTTTGTAGAAACTTACTTTCCTCTGATAATTAAAGAGTAGCTTTAAACAAAAGAGCAAAATAAGACATAAAAATACCTTCCGAATATAAGTTTCTGAATAGGTCCAAATAGGACAGTTTACCTAATATGTTCCCTGGGGTCTTGCTCACGTCTACTCAGTCCTGTTTTACAGATGATTATTACTGGCTGGTGCGGTGGCTCACGCCTGTAATCCCAACACTTTGGAAGGCCGAGGCGGGTGGATCACCTGAGGTCAGGATTTCAAGATTAGCCTGGTCAACATGGTGAAACTCCATCTCTACTAAAGACACACAAACAAAAATTAGCTGGGCATGGTGGCGCATGCCTGTAATCCCAGCTACTCAGGAGGCTGAGGCAGGAGAATCGTTTGAACCTGGGAGGTGGAGATTGCAGTGAGCCGGATATCTTGCCACTGCACTCCAGCCTGGGCAACAGAGGGAGACTCCATCTCAAAAAGAAAAAAAAAAAAAGGTATTACAAGCGTGGGGATCTAATTTTCAAATTCAAAGCAAGCTAGCAGCAACCATTAAGCAAAAATTGATCAGCATTGAGGCATTAAGACAAAACACTACTATGTAAAGACAGGAAAGTAGTTTCTATAATTGTTATTCAATATAATCAAAAATTTTAAAAATAATTCTGAGCAACCCATGGACCTGCCAGTAAGGAAATGGATGAATCAATTATAACAGATCTATATAATGGAGTATGATGCAACCATGAAAATGGAACGAAAAGGATCTCAGTATACCAATGTGGAGTGATCTCCTGGGTGTGTTATTAAGTGAAAAAGTCAAATTGTGTAACAGTACGCTACATTTTGTAAAGGAAAAACAAGACTAATACATACTTGTCTGTTATTGCAAAAATAAACATGGAAGGATAAACCAAAAACTAATGATGAAGTGATCATCTATAGGGGACAGAGGTGGAATCAGGTAGAAGGGATAAAAATGAAAGTGAGACTTCTCTGAATATCTTCACCTAATTTTAATTTTTGATTCTTATGTTGACATACATAACTCAAAGATAAAATTTACTGAAAACAAATTTTTGTTTGTTTGTTTGTTTTTGTTTTTTTGGGGTTTTTTTGAGACTGAGTCTCACTCTATTGCCCAGGCTGGTGTGCAGTGACGTGATCTCGGCTCACTGCAACCTCTGCCTCCTGGGTTCAAGCGATTCTCCTGCCTCAGCCTCCCGAGTAGCTGAGATTACAGGTGCCTGTCACCACGCTCGGCTAATTTTTGTGTTTTTAGTAGAGACAGGGTTTCACCATGTTGGCCAGGCTCATCTTGAACTGCTGACCTCAAGTGATCCATCCACCTCGGCCTCCCAAAGTGCTGGGATTACAGGAGTGAGCCACCGCACCTGGCCAATAAATGTTTATATAAAACAAAATGAAACAAATTTATATAGATATCAACATTTTCACATAATCACAAAGAAGAAAAAAATATTTCAAGTGACTTTTAAGCTTAATACACTGCTATACATTTTTAGTTAGGTGTGTTATGAAGACAAAAAGAACTACAAGAAATTTTAATTTTCACTTAGTTTGTAGTAGTAGTAATATTGGTGCTGTTGTTTTAAATGTTATAGAGTGAAGCAAATAACAGTAGTCCTCTTTTATCCATGGTTTTGCTTTCCACAGTTTGTTACTTACTGTCAACCCCAGTCCAAATAAATTGAATGAAAAATTCCAGAAGCAAACAATTCCTAAGTTTTAAATTGTGTGCCATTCTGAGAAGTATGATGATATCTCACACCATCCCACTCCATCCTGTCCAGGACTTAAAACATTGCATTGTTCAACACATCCATGCTGTATGTGCTACCTGCCCATTAGTCACTAAGTAGCTTTCTTTGTTATCAAATTGAAAAAATGTAGTATATACAGAATTTGGTATGATTCACAGTTTCAGGAATCCATTGGGAGTTACGGAGGCTAAAGTAACTCCATCTTGGATGCTAATCTACCATGTTGACTTCTGATTAATCCCAGTTCCTGGAATGCCTCTTTATCTACTGTTCCTTGTGTAGGAGCATGTACTTACTGTAAGCCCTGCCCCTAGGTCAAAACAACCTTGATGTTATCACACAAATTATTGGCTGTGACATACATAGCATACTTGTCTTTTCCTGGTAGGTTGCCCTATAGAACATGTATACCCTTTTCCTACAGTATATAAACCCCCAGTCTGTGGGGTAACAGTGTAGGGATCCACCCACTGGAGGCATGGCTGCTGTTCCCAAGTTTCTATTAAATGTTTCTTTCTGAGAAACCTGATTTGTCAGCCTCTTTCTTCAGCCTCTGCTCACCATGAAACAGGAATCTTGGAACATATCCCCCACACAGAAGAGAGGAGTACTGTAAATAAATTGTTTAGTGATATTGGTAACTAAGATTTTTAGTGTAACAGAAAGATATACAAATATAAAATCAAAGAAGGTAAGAAATAATCTATAATGTTGAATTTAAATTAGAAATATTATTATGAACTCATGTTTTCTTCTTTTCCTTAATTGGTTTTATATAATTTGCATGTAATTAAATTCACCCATTTTCAGTGTATAATTTTTGATAAATGCATACAGTAATCAGCATCACAAACAATATGTAGAATATTTCTCTCACTGTAAGAAGTTCCCTTTTAACTCCTTGAAAGCAATTTCTCCCTTCTACCCTCAGCCCTTGACAAACACCGTACTGCCCTCATGAAATGAGTTAGGGAGGAGTCCCTTCTTTTCAATTGTTTGGAATAGTTTCAGTAGACATGGTACCAGCTCTTCCTTGTACCTCTGGCAGAATTCAGCTGTAAATTTGTCTGGTCTTGGACATTTTCCGTCCAATTTCAGGACGTGTTGTTAGCCTATTCAAGAATTCAATTTCTTCCTGCTTCAGTCTTGGGAGAGTGTGTGTGTCCCAGAATTTATCCATTTCTTCTAGATCTTCTAGTTTATGTGTATAGAGGTGTTTATAGTATCCTCTGATGGTAGTTTGTATTTCTGTGAAGTCAGTGGTGATATCCCTTTATCATTTCCAATTGTGTCTGTTTGATTCCTCTCTCTTTTCTTCTCTATTAGTCTAGCTAGTGGTCTATTTTATTAGTTTTTTCAAAAGAACAGCTTCTAGATTCATTGACTTTTTGAAGGGTTTTCTGTGTCTCTGTCTTCTTTGGTTCCACTCTGATCTTGGTTATTTCTTGTCTTCTGCTAGCTTTGGAGTTTGTTTGCTCTTGGTTCTCTAGTTCTTTTTGTTGTGATGTTAGATTGCTGATTTGAGATCTTTCTAGATTTTTGATGTGGGCATTTAGTGCTGTAAATTTTCCTCTTAACGCTGCCTTGGCTGCATCTCAGAGATTCTGGTATGTTGTCTCTTTGTTCTCATTAGTTTCAAAGAACTTCTTGATTTCTGCTTTAATTTCATTATTTACCCAGGAGTCATTCAGGAGCAGGTTGTTCAATCTCCATGTAGTTATGTGGTTTGGAGTGAGTTTCTTTTTTTTTATTTTTTTTTATTTGATTGCACTGTGGTCCAACAGACTGTTATGATTTCAGTTATTTTGCGTTTGCTAAGGAGTGTTTTACTTCCAATTATGTGATCAATTTTAGAGTAAGTGCCAAGTGGAGATGAGAAGAATGTATATTCTATTGTTTTGGGGTGGAGAGTTCATAGATGCCTATCAGGTCCACTTGATCCAGAGCTGAGTTCAGGTCCTGAATATCTTTGTTAATTTTCTGTCTCAATGATCTGTCTAATATTGTCAGTGGGGTGTTAAAGTCTCCCACTATTATTGTGTGGGAGTCTAAGTCTCTTTGTAGATCTCTAAGAACTTGCTTTATGAATCTGAGTGCTCCTATGTTGGGTGCATATATATTTGGGACAGTTAGCTCTTCTTGTTAAATTGAACACTTTACCATTATATAATGTCCTTCTTTGTATTTTTTTTATTGTTGTTGATTTAAAGTCTTCTTTGTCAGAAACTAGGATTGTGGCCCCTGCTTTTTTCTGTTTTCCATTTGCTTCGCAAATTTTCCTCCATCCCTTTATTTTGAGCCAATGTGTGTCTTTGCATGTGAGATGGGTCTCTTAAAGACATACCAATTGGGTCTTGACTCTTTATCCAGCTTGCCATTCTGTGTCTTTTAACTGGAGCATTTAGCCCATTTACATTTAAGGTTAATATTGTTATGTGTGAATTTGATCCTGTCATTATGATGCTAGCTGGTTATTTTGCAGACTTGTTTATGTGGTTGCTTCATAGTGCTGCTGGTCTCTGTACTTCAGTGTGTTTTTGTGGTGGCAGGTAATGGTTTTTCCTTTCCATATTTAGTGCTTTTTCAGGAGCTCTTGCAAGGCAGGCCTGGTGATGTCAAATTCCCTCAGCATTTGCTTGTCTGAAAAGGATCTTATTTCTCCTTAGCTTATGAAGCTTAATTTGGCCAGATATAAAATTCCGGGTTGGAAATTCTTTTCTTTAAGAATGTTGAATAGTGTCGTTTCTGTATCTTGGCTATTGTAAACAACGCTGCGATGAACATGGTAGTACAAATATCTTTTATTTGGTCTTCCCCCAATCTCCTCTGGCTTGTAGAGTTTCTGCTGAGATGCCCACTGTTAGTCTGATGGGCTTGCCTTTGTAGTGACCTGGCCTTTCTCTCTGGCTGCCCTTAACATTTTTTCTTCCATTTCAACCTTGGAGAATCTAAAGATTGTGTGTCTTGGGATTGATCTTCTCATGGAGTGTCTTACTGGGGTTCTCTGGATTTCCTGAATTTGAATGTTGGCCTGTCTTGCTAGGTTGGGAAAATTCTCCTGGATGATATCCTGAAGTATGCTTTCCAACTTGGTTCCATTCTCCCTGTCACTTTCAGGTATTCCAATCAGTCATAGGTTTGGTCTTTTTACATAATCCCATATTTCTTGGAGGTTTTGTTCATTCTTTTTCCTCTATTCTTGTCTGCCTGTCTTATTTCAGAAAGATAGTCTTCAAGCTCTGAGATTCTTTCCTCCACTTGGTCTATTCTGCTATTGATGCTTCTGATTGCATTGTGAAGTTCTTGTGTTGTGTTTTTCAGCTCCATCAAGTCAGTTCTGTTCCTCTCTAAATTGGCTATTCTGGTTATCAGCTCCTGTACTGGTTCTTAGCTTCTTTACATTGAGTTAGAACATGATCCTTTAGCTCAGTGAAGTTCATTATTACCCACCTTCTAAAGCCTACTTCTGTTAATTCAGCCATCTCAGCCTCAGCCCAGTTCTGTGCCCTAGCTAGAGATGTGTTGGGTCATTTGGAGAAGAAGCAGCACTCTGGCTTTTTGAGTCTTCAGTGTTTTTGCGTTGATTCTTTGACATCTTTGTGGGCTTATCTCCCTTCGATCTTTGAGGTTGCTGAACTGTGAATAGGGGTTTTGTGGGGTCTTTGTTGTTGATGTTGTTGTTATTGCTTTCTGTTTGTTTGTTTTCCTTTAACAGTTAGGCCACTCTTCCATAGGGCTGCTGTGGTTTGCTGGGGGTCCACTCCAGATCCGAGTCACCTCAGTCCCTCCCTGGACGTATCACCAGCGAAGGCTACGAAACAGCAAAGATGGCAGCCTGCTCCTTCCTCTGGGGGCTCCATCCCAGGGGGCACCAACCTGATGCCAGCCTGAACGTTCCTACAGGAGGTGTCTGGAGACCCCTGTTAGGAGGTCTCACCCAGTCAGGAGGAACAGGGTCAGGGACCCACTTAAAGAAGCAATCTGGCTGCCCCTTGGCAGAGCAGGTGTGCTGTGCTGGGGGGAGCCCTCCTCATCCAGACTGCCCAGACTCTCTAGAGCCAGGAGGCTGGGAAGGCTATGTTAGCTAAATCACAGACAGGGTGGCCACCCCTCCCCCGGGGACTTCGTCACAGGGAGAGATCAGATGAACTCATGATTTTTAAAAATAGATTTCCTAGTTCTGACCGTTGAAAGAGTCTAGAAGTACCAAAACTCCGGTAGCAATTAGCATACCTAGTATCTGGATCTTGGCTTCTAAATACCATTCCCCAATAAAAGGAATCAAATATCCTCAGTAAAAGGTTGAATTCCAAGTCTGGGGCAAGGAAAGGACAAGATGAGACATCTTGTTTTGCCAGAAAGCAAGGAAGCCTTTACTAAAGAAATGATAAGGGCATATCAGTAAAACACAGCAACCAGTTTTCAGGGCTTCTACTTGGCAAATTTGGGGAAATTGTAGCCTCAATAAGTATAATGAATTGTTAAATATTGAATAAATGAAAAGGCATAAGTCCACATACAATACTCAAAGGAGGCAAAACAAAACAAAATTAATTTGGCACCATGGAAGATTATGACTATTATTTTAACTTTCAACTCCTTACTCTGAAAATTGGAAATTAAAACAAAAGAACTATTTTCCCTGCTTCCTAAGAGCAATGGTAGTTAATCTCCAGGTGATCTAGAAAAGCTTCTTCAGAGAAGAATGTCGGCTAATAAGTTTGCAACCCCCAGTGAAATAATTGATTCAGAAAATGACTAAATCAATGAATGTTAAAATCATTAGTTAAAAGATTGCTGGGAAAAGGACAGTGTCATATATCTCCAGTTGCTTGCTAATTGCAAAGGGGAAAATGGGCCTTTACAATCAGAGATCTACTTGTCACAACAAAACCAAGTAACTTAGCATCATTAATAGTGAAACAACCTGGCATTTTGTGCCTCCTGATGTGGTGCAATATGAAGTACACAATAACATTTATAAAGTTATCTGGCCAAAATATTCTACCTGAATCTCATCAAGGTTTCAGAGCTGACTTCCAGTTTATAGTAGCTACAAGCAAGAGAGGAACTAGTTAAAAGATAAGATATTGCATCAGACACACTTATGTATCAGATCCTCTCGGCCTCATCTGTCTCCAGGGACATTGTGTTCAGCTCCAGGCATCCTTGCAGAAACCAAGTCTGCCTGGGCTCCAGAAGACTTTATGTGGGCAGCACCCTACAGTGCTGCTTCTCATCCCAGGCTTCCCCCGAGACAGAGATATGAAACTTCGCAGCCAGTTCCAGGCTTGCTCATGCACAAACTGAAAGGAGGGCAGGATTCACTCTGTAGGGTGCACATGACTCTTGCATCGGTGGAGTATGAAAGCCGGTGGATACATTCTTCCCTGTTGTCTCCTTCAAACAGATCATCTTAAGAAACAGCCATTGACATGCTGTCTCAGATGATCCCACAAGATAAAGTAGCCAACCTACTTAATAGTAGAGAACGGGAAGCATGATAACACATAGTCATATCACCTCACTCCCCTTCCCTGCCTCATTACCAACTGTACACACCCACACCTGCTCCCCAGGCCTGAACTTCCAAGGAGAATTGTAGCATATAGGCCTTGCCTCAGGTTCTAACATCTGAGGAACAATGCACGTTAAGAATGATCCTATGGGTGGGGCGTGGTGGCTCACGCCTGTAATCCCAGCACTTTGGGAGGCTGAGGCGGGAGAATCATGAGGTCAGGAGATTGAGACCATCCTGGCTAACACTGTGAAACCCCGTCTCTACTAAAAATACAAAAAAATTAGCCAGGCATCGTGGCGGGTGCCTGTAGTCCCAGCTACTCGGGAGGCTGAGGCAGGGGAATGGCGTGAACCTGGGAGGCAGAGCTTGCAGTGAGCCGAGATAGTGCCACTGCACTCCAGCCTGCGCAACAGAGTGAGACTCCGTCTCAAAAAGAATGACCCTATGAGGCAACATATCTAGAATGCAGGATAATCCAAATGACAATAGGCCTTGACTTAAATACGTATATATGTATATGTGTATTTACATATGTATATGTATATATACATACACTCAGCCAGGAGCGGTGGCTCACACCTGTAATCCCAGCACTTTGGGAGGTGGGGTGGGTGGATCACCTGAGGTCAGGAGTTCAAGACCAGCCTGGCCAACATGGTAAAACCCCGTCTCTACTAAAAATACAAAAATTAGCCGGGCATGGTCATGCATGCCTGTAATCCCAGCTACTCGGGAGGCTGAGGCAGGAGAATAGCTTGAACCTGGGAGGTGGAGGTTGCAGTGAGCTGAAATTGTGCCATTGCACTCCAGCCTGGGCGACAAGAGTGAAACTCCATCTCAAAAAAAAAAAAAAAAAAAAAAATATATATATATATATACACACACACACACACACATATATATGTATATATGAATGGATGAAACAACTAAATGTAATGTGTGAGCTTTGATTGGATGCAGTTGAATAAAACCAGCTATGAAAGGTATATGGGAAATAACTAGGAAATTTTGAATATGAAATGGATATTAAGTAATACTTGGAAATTACTGTTGATTTTCTTAGATATGGTCATGGTTTAGCAGTTACATAGAAGAAAGTCTTTATTGTTAGGAGTTATATGCTGAATATTTAGGGCTGATGTGTCATAACATCTGCAACTGGCTTCCAAATATTTCAGAATATGTATATATTTTTTTGAAGGAAAGCATTTATACCTTAAAAGATAAATACACAGCTAGATGTCCCCCAAAAAGTAAAGCAGCTGTTCAGAAGTACTCATTCCTCAAAAGCTACAATTTCACTATAGAATTTAGTCCACCCACCATGTGTAAGCGTGAAGGATTGTGAGAGGGCCTTTCAAAGGAAAGATGAGATGGCTCCACCTGGTATGTTGGAATAAGATGCGAGAAAGAGAGAGAGAGAGAAAGAGAGAGTTGAGGGGTGGGGGAAGATTTTTCTAAAGGAAATACTAAGATTTTCTTCTAATTATCCCGAAATTTTAAAAATAAAAGTTTTCACTTAAACTGAGAAACTTGAAGATTTCAGTGTGTTCAACTGCAGGTAAGAGCGCTAGACTTTCCTCGAACAGAAACTGGTTACCTGTGAAGCCCTATACAACATGCTGTGAGCACAGTGCCTACAACACTAAAGGCCAAATGACAGTTCAAGCTGAATCTGGCTCAATTTCCTAGAAAAATGGCACCATCTGCTGGCTGGGCAAAGGCAAACTTTATAGACCTGGACTCTGGTAGGTCAAGGAAATCAGTACCATACTGCAAAACTTTCAGGATTTATCTCTGTGATTGGAAAGAAGTCTGAGTACATTCTATGGATAGTCATCCCTTAGGCAGAGGAGAGAGATAATCTCTCTCATTTCATCACATTAAAGTCCCATAAGAGTTTCCTGGGATGCTTCTGCTTGTTCTTAGCAGAGAATGAGAATGTCAACCAGCCTATCAAGGATAATATGACCAAAGTACCCCATCCTTTTACCCTGCCACCTCTTCATCCTCCAGCCCCTGTCACTTTCTAAGATTCTAATATTTCTGCTCTCAACTCTGTTTTGCTTTTGTAGAAACATCCGATAATATGGTGATCAGTTCAACAGAATGACATATTCACCATGTCCCCAAGGAGGAGATGACTGAGATTTCAAATTCTCAAGCAGCCTCAATGCAGCCAGAGATTTAAGAGGGCTATGTGTCCAGAAGGAGACTCTGGGCAAACGCAGAATGGATTCAGATTACTCAAATTCCTGTCAGATTTCTTAACCTGGTGGGCTATACCAAACCCAAAAACTTTAAGCAGCCTCTACTTTTGCTTATTTTCTCCTAAGCCCAACCTTGGCTTTCTTTTGAATCTCTATGAGCAGAGACATGGCTCCTTAAGAAAGGAGACACTTCAATCCTGTTATAGGCTAAACTGTGTCCCCCAAAAATTTATGCATTGTGGCCCTAACCCCCAGTATTTCCAAATGCCTATATTTGGAGATAGAGCCTTTAAGTTAAATGAGGTCATTAGTGTGGGTTCTAATCCAATATGACTGATATCTTCATAAGAAGAGGAGATTCGGACCCAGACACACAGAGAGGGAAGACCATGTGAAGACACAGGAAAAAGGGCATCTGCCAGCTAGGAGAGAGGTCTCAGAAGAAACCAACCCTGCTGCCACTGCGATCTCAGACTTCTAGACCCTAGAATTTTGAGAAAATAAATTTCTGTGATTTAAGTCTGTGGCACTTTACTTTGGCAACCCCAGCAACCTAATACAAAAGTCCATCTTTTAACAGTAGCTGAGAGAGGGAAAGGGAAGTGATGGAAATTGATGTGAAGAAGAAGCATGTCATGGAAAGAGGGGGCTTTGAAGCTTCTCCCTCCTGCCCAGCCTCCACCCACTATGGCGCATGGTGGGCTTTTGAGGACTCCATTAGGTCTTTGACCCACATCAGAGGTCCTCTTTCTTGGAGCTGAAATAAGGTTGAGAAGCTTTGAACTTCCTCTAGCTATTCGAGAATGTAGCCAGCAATTAACTTGTTTATTGCCCTTTACATACCAATTAGCAAACAACCATTTGTTGCTGAGCAATGTGTAAAGCTCTGAACAAGGAAGAACTTACATTTCTTATAAGTTAATTACATTTATTTCACCTTTTCCAATTGCAAAAGCAAAACATTTTTATCAATGAAAGCAAAGAAGATATAAAATATAAAGGAAAGATTGTCATCTGTAATTTCCATCCTTAGACAACTATTATTTACTGTTTTAATCTGTTTTATTTCAGTCATTTTTCTACACATATGTTTAACCAATTAGGTTCATATACATAGTTTCATATTCTGCTTTTTTCACTTAACATATTGATAAAACAGTTTTCTCATTTTATTAAGTATTATTGTCTTCTCTATCTTCTTGAGACTTGTGTGATACAGAGAAGTGAGGTCAGCAATAAAGATCCAAGAGGGGGTCCCCAGCCCCATGCAACCACTACCAACAAGCCAGTGAAAGGGCATGGGCTCCATGTCATTGATGCAATGCACATTTGCTGACCAGTCCCCTGTTACTGCTATAGCAGCCATTGGCAAGACAGCCTGCTGCAACCAACGTGAGCAGTGATCACAATGACCATGACCATGCAAACACAGAGAAACAGTCTCTCTTTGTTCAATTCGCTTGATAGAGGTTTAAATCATTAAACAGTCTCCATATCTCCCTATTTAATTCTCGTGTCTCATGACCTACTTTGCCTTTAGACTTTCACACTTCTTTAATGCAAATTCACCCTGCTTTGACACCACACTAACATAGAACCAAATTAAACTCTCTTAATAGCTTTCTTGGTCTCTGGAGAATGCAGGTCTGTTTCTGTCCAGACCCTATACCCCATTTTCTCTGCCACAGGTGGATATAGTTCTTTTTTAAAAATATTTTTTAATTTCAATAGTTTTGGGGGTACCAGTGGTTTTTGGTTACATAGATGAATTGTATAGTAGTGATGCCTGAGATTTTAGCGCACCTGTCACTCTACCCAATATGTAGTACCCAATATGTGGTTTTTTATCTCTTGTGCCCCTCCTATCCTCCCCCTTGTGAGTCTCCATAGTCTGTTAAATCACTCTGTATGCCTTTGCGTACTAATAACTTAGCTCCCCCTTGTAAGTGAGAGCATATGGTATTTGGTTTTCCTTTTCCGAGGTGCGTCGCTTAGAATAATGGCCTCCAGCTCCCTCCAGGTTGTCGCAAAAGACATTATTTCATTCTTTTTATGGCTGAGTAGTATTCCCTGGTGCATACATACCACATTTTCTTGATCCACTCATTGGTAGAAATTATTCTTGAAAGGTCTTTCTTTTTTTTTTGTCATTTTTTTTTTCCTTTTTGTGGAGAACGGGGTCTCTCTATATTGCCCAGGCAGGTCTCGAACTCCTGGGCTCAAGCTATCCTCCTGCCTCTGCCTCTCTGAGAGCTGGGATTACAGGCATGAACCACTGCACCTGGCTTGTGAAAGGTCTTTCTAAGAAATTTTAAGACTTGCCTTTCCTTGCCCTTTTCTCCAGTTACCTTGCCTGTACAACACACTTAGATAACACTGAGACCAACACCAACCTCCCCTAAACACACACACACACACACACACACACACACACACACACACTATACCCAGCTGGCCTCATCTCCCTTCTGAACTCAAGGGAGCTTTAGGAGTTTCTTCAACCCTACTCCATTTCTCCACACCTCTTCTTCTCCCTTTAGAGCATGCTGTTCTAAGTACTTTACAGTGATTAACTCAGTTAACTCTCACAGAAACCCTTTGAGCTAGGTACCATTATCCACATTTTAAAAATAAGAGAACTCAGAGGAGCAGAAGCAAAAATGACTAACACAAGTCCAACCGAAGCCACACAACTAGTAAGTGGGCAAATCAGAACGTGGAGTCCACATTCTTGCTTTAGAAGCTTGTTGCACTTGGCCAGGCTTGGTAGCTCACGCCTGTAGTCCCAGCACTTTGGGAGGCCCAGGCGGGCGGATCACGAGGTCAGGTAATCGAGACCATCTTGGTTAATATGGTGAAATCCCATCTCTACTAAAAATACAAAAAATCAGCCAGGTGTGGTGGCACATGCCTGTGATCCCAGTTACTCAGGAGGCTGAGGCAGGAGAATTGCTTAAACCAGGGAGTCGGAGGTTGCAGTGAGCCGAGATCACACCACTGCACTCCAGCCTGGGTGACAGAGCAAGACTCCATCAAAAAAAAAAAAAGAGAGAGAGAGAGAAAGAAAGTTGTTGCACTTAATGGCTACAATGGTTAACACGTGTTGAGAACTTACTCTGTGCTAGATATTCTGTAAACAGAATCTCATAACGACCCTATCAGATAGGAACTATTATTAGCTCCATCTTACAGTTGAGAAAACTGAATGTATTATAGTCACTTCACCCTCTTACCAAGTCAATCATTGGCTTCATTGAGTTTTTTTGTTTTGCTTGGTTTTTACATTTACTTTTTATTTTTTATTTTATTTTTATTTTTTTGAGAAGAAGTCTTGCTCTGCCGCCCAGGCTGGAGTTCAGTGGCATGATCTCGGCTCACTGCAACCTCCGCCTCCCAGGTTCAAGCGATTATCCTGCCTCAGCCTCCCAACTAGCTGGGATTACAGGCATGCACCACCACGCCTAGGTAATTTTTGTGTTTTTAGTAGAGAGGGGGTTTCACCATATTGGCCAGTCTGGTCTCAAACTCCTGACCTCAGGTGATCCACCCACCTGGGCCTCCCAAAGTGCTGGGATTACAAGCATGAGCCGCCACACCCAGCCTGGTTTTTACATTTATTTTTAATATTTATATTTACATACAGTAAAATTTACTTTTTTGGATGTGCAGTTCTATTGCCAAATACAGAGAGGCCTATATCCACAACTACAATCAAGATAGAGAATAGAGTGACTCCCTTCCATGGCACTAACTCCTGGCTAGCTCTCCCCTTCACACCGCCAGACCCAGTGGCAGCGGCGAGGGACTTTGACTCCCAGGATGGGGGTGGGGATGAGTCCTCAATGGGAACCCTGGTGCAGAAGGTGCGGGGTGGTGGCACTGTCAGCAGGGACCACTGGGAAGTTGAGGATGAGGACATCAAAAATAACTGGGAAGATAATGACAAAAAAGAAAAAAAACAAAGAGGAAGCAGAAGTAAAACCAGAGATTAAAATTTCAGAAAAAAATAAATAGCAGAGAAGATAAAAGAGAAAGAACAACAATAGAAGAAAAGGCAAGTAGAAATTAAAGAGAGGTTAGAAGAACCTGAGAACCTAAAGTTCTAAAACCCAGAAGAACAGAAGAACAATTTAACAGATAAACCGTGCTAAAGAAATTATAGGAAGAGTCAGACCTCAAATTAGCAAAGGAAATTTTCATAGTTAATAATACAGGCAGGGCCCAGTGGCTCACACATGCCGAGGTGGGCAGATAACCTGAGGTCAGGAGTTCAAGACCAGCCTGACCAACATGGAGAAACCCCATCTCTACTAAAAATATAAAAAATTAGCCGGGCGTGGTGGCGCGTGCCTGTAGTCCCAGCTACTTGGGAGGCTGAGGCAGGAGAATCACTTGAACCTGGCAGGTGGAGGTTGCAGTGAGCTGAGATCACACCAGTGCACTCCAGCCTGGGCAACAGAGCAAGACTCCATCTCAAAAAATAATAATACAGTTTATGGAATAAATGCTATGAACCCATCTTTAAGAGATGACTTTACAGAGTTTGGAAAGTTACTAAAAGATAAAATTATACAATATGAAAAGTCACTATATTATGCCAGTTTTTTGGAAGTCTTAGCTGGATATGTGTGTATTTCACTGGAAATTGATGACTTGAAAAAGGTTACCAGTTCACCAACTGTGCTTTACGGTGAAAAACAAAAGCAAGCAAAGCAAAGCCAAAAAGAAGAAATGTGTGGTTCCTGGAGGGGGGTTAAAAGCCACCATGACAGATGACCTGGCAGGTTATGGTGGTGATGATGAAGCAACATCATTGTCTGGGGTAAATACCTGAGATTCATTGTCTCACGTCCACGGAAAACTGGATGTGGACATACAAAGAGTGAGGTGCACAGTGGAAGTTTAACAGGTAAAAGAAAGAGAAAAGCTCTCTGCAGAGAGAGGGTGCCTGGAGAAATGGGTTGCTGCCTCCACGGTGAAGGGCAGGAGGTTTTATAGATGAGCTTGGGGAGGCGGTGTTTGATTTACATAGGGCGCAAAAGATTAGTCGGACCAGGTGTGCCGTTTGCATAGCGTGTGAAAATCTGGCCATCCCCACTCTCATCTTTTATTATGCAGATGGGTTCTCTACCTGGCCGGCACCATGTTGCCTATTCTTTTACTGTACCATGGTGACAAAGAAAAGGGAAGATGAACTCTCCATGTTGAACATACCTGGCCCTCAGGTAGCCCGTTTGCATTGGCACAGCTGCCGGCATTCCCACCGTCCAAGCTTCTGGCTTGCTTATCCATGTCTGCAGCTCAATTTTTCAGGCTGCTCTTTGTTAGAAAAGAAATTATTTGGGGGCTGCCTTTTTTTGTTAAAAGGGAAATTCTGCCGAGGAAACTTTTACCTTCACTATCTTCCTGGATAACTTACTTACTTTCTTTTTTTTTTGATAGAGTTTCGCTCTTGTCACTTAGGCTGGAGTGCAATGACACAATCTCGGCTTACTGCAACCTCTACCTCCCAGATTCAAGCAATTCTCCTGCCTCAGTCTCCCAAGTAGGTGCAACTACAGGCACGCGCCACCACGCCCAGCTAATTTTTGTATTTTTAGTAGAGACGTGGTTTCACCATGTTGGCCAGGATGGTCTCGATATCTTGACCTCATGATCCACCTGCCAAAATGTTGGGGTTACAGGCGTGAGCCACCGTGCCTGGCCTCCTTTTCCTTCTTAATACGATCTAGTATCTAAAAATAAGAGTACCAAGCCCTAGAAAAGTCTTCAAATAGCCCAGCCTGTGGGCTTGGTGGCTCACACCTATAATCCTGGCAGTTTGGGAGGCCAAGGAGAGTGGATTGCCTGAGCTCAGGAATTCAAGACCAGCCTGGGCAACATGGCAAAACCCCGACTCTACTAAAAATACAAAAAATTAGCTGGGCGTGGTGGCAGGTGTTTGTAATCCCAGCTACTCAAGAGGCTGAGGCAGCAGAATGGCTTGAACCCAGAAGGCGGAGGCTGCAGTGAGCCAAGATTGCACCACTGCACTCCAACCTGGGTGACAGAGTAAGACTCTGCCTCAGAAAAAAAAAAAAAAAAAAGCCCAGCCTGTACATCAGACCCTTCTCTACATTTTAATGTGATTATTTGTATAGGCTTCTTACTAGTGAACCACCCTGAATGTTTAGAATAAGCTTCTTTGGTCATGGTTTACTTTCTTCCAATGTGCTGTTACAATCTACTTGCTGGTATTTGACTTAGGATTTTTGCATCAAGAGTTTTAAGCGAGGTTATTCTGAGGTTATTTCTTCCTTGTGCTTTTTTGGTCAGGTTTTTATATCAGTGTTATGCTAGCCTAATACAAATAATCACGAGGCCTTCTTTCTCTGTGGCATTAGATAGCTAAAATAACTCATCCATCTTTTTTCTTTTCTTTTCATTTCTTTTTTGAGACAGGGTCTCGCTCTGTCTCCAGGCTGGAGTGCAGTGGCATGATCTCAGCTCACTGCAACCTTTGCCTCCCCAGTTCAAGTGATTCTCCTGCCTCAGCCTCCCGAGTAGCTGGGACTACAGGTGAGCGCCACCACACCCGGCTAACTTTTGTATTTTTAGTAGAGATGGGGTTTCACCATGTTGGCCAGGATGGTCTCCATCTCTTGACCTTGTGATCCACCCATGTTGGCCTCCCAAATGCTGGGATTACAGGCATGAGCCACTGCGCCAGGCCTCCATTCATCTTTTGTTTTTTTTGAGACAAAGTCTTGCTCTTGTCCCCCAGGCTGGAGTGTAATGGTGCGATCTCAGCTCACTGCAACCTCCACCTCCCCGGTTCAAGCGATTCTCCTGCCTCAGCCTCCAGAGTAGCTGGGATTACAGGTGCCCACCACCAAGCCCAGCTAATTTTTGTATTTTTAGTAGAGACAGGGTTTCACCATGTTGGCCAGGCTGGTCTCGAACTCCTGACCTCAGGTGATCTGCCTGCCTTGGCCTCCCAAAGTGCTGGGATTACAGGCGTAAGCCACCACGCCCAGCCCATTCATCTTTTCTATAAAGGTTTGTCAAGTCACTTTTTGACAAGAAAAATGAGGGGTTTTTTTATACAAGATGGAGCTATAGGTTGTCTCTGCTCAGACAGGCTTTCCTTAATTTCCACCCTTCATTTTATTTTCTTTTTTGTTTCTTTGTTTTGTTTTGAGATGGAGTCTTACTCTGTTGCCCAGGCTGGAGTGCAGTGATGCAATCTCAGCTCACTGCAATCTCCGCCTCCTGGGTTCAAGCGATTCTCCTACCTCAGCCTCCCTCCTGCTAGGACTACGTGCACGAGTCACAATGCCCAGCTAATTTATTGTATTTTTAATAAAGATGGGGTTTCACCATGTTGCCTGGGCTGGTCTCAAACTCCTGAGCTCAAGTGATCTGTCTGCCTCAGCCTCCCAAAGTGCTGGGATTACAAGTGTGAGCCGCCGCGCCCAGCCTTATTTTCTTCTCGCTACCCTCACCCCCTTCCTTCTGCTCCTTCCAGGAGTCTCAGCAAAAGCTTCCTTTTTACAACTTGCCTTTTTAGTACTCTTCTAATTTTACCTGGAAAATGCCATTTATAGTATATTTACCCTCCCTATTTGTATGTGTCATATTGCTGAGTTAGAAAATCACAAAACTTTTCATCAACGTGGTTGTTCCAAGACAATGTTTTGTTGTGGGAGAGGTAGAGGTGGTACTCTGAAGCTATCCTAAATGTCTATAGGATGTTTCTCAGCAAGCCACATGCATCCTAATTCCCCTCTCTGGTTTTGGGTGGTTCAATATTATAAAGAGAAGCATTGGGGGAGCAAATATAAGACCACAAATATTTCATGCAATATCAGTTATGGCTATAGAAGCAAAGGAAACAGAGAACAGAAATAACTCTGTGAGCTAACAGTGTAGGGATGGTAGGCAAGGGTAATTTCTCAGATGAAATGTCCCTTTAACTATGCTTACAGAGAGGGCCTCAGAGGCAAATCAGGTTATGGCTTTTAAAAACTCACTACTATTTTTAGACCATGGCATATTATAAAATAATTTATTTTTGACAATTCTATACAGTCATCCGTTGGTATTTTAGGGGAATTGATTCCAGAACCCTTCCTGGATACCAAAATTCCTGATGTTCAAGTCTCTTATATAAAATGGCATAGTATTTATACATAACCTACACACACCCTGTTGTATACTCCAAAGAGGCCCTTTTGACATTTTTGTACAATTCTTCTCTAGGGTAATGACCATTAAAAGTTAATTTATTCTAAAGGTTAATGTAAATAAATTTTGAATGTGAATCTATTGTATTTGCTTCTAAGATCACACAGAGATCTCTTGTTTATGCCCCCCTTTTGTTGGCAGTAAGATCTTTTTTAGATTACAAAAAAAATAAAAAGAAAGAACCTTCAAGCTCGCCCTAATAAGAAATCTCTTTGCAAAGTCATATCTAAAGTCATAAGTCACTTTAAAACTCAGTCCACCACGGGAACATGCTGAGCTCTGGAACGAGGTGGTGCCTGCGGTGGCCTGTGTCCCAGAGGCCCCTTCAAGGTGCTGGCCCAGCTCTGCAGCTCATCTGTTGACTCCTGCTCCCTCTGCTGGCCCCGCTGCTCAGTGGCCATCCCCAAAACAGTATGTGTGTCAGATGTACGATGGGCCTCAGGAGACAGCAAAGACTGGTCCTTTTGGGGAAACTGAGTCCCAGTTGGTGATGGGCCTTGCTCAAACTCAGTCAGTGGCAGGGCCAGCACTGCAGCCAGTCTTCCCACTGTTCCCCAGTCCTCACAATTACACAATTACTCATGGCTACTCAAATATTTTAGAGCTTGGTGGTACTCCTCACCTATGAGCTGCTTTTCCAAAAACAAACACATTTCAAAGTGCATATATTATTAATTTATAATGTACAAATAATGGTTGACATTTTGACTGAGTTAACCGAAAGATTTTTTTTAAAGGATTCTGTTACTGATGCTGGTGATACACATAACAAAAATAATGAATCCCAAAAACACTGCGCTGAGCAAAACAAGCCAGACATAAAATAGTACATGTGTAAAGTTCCATTTATTCCTTTTACATGAAGGTCCAGAACAGGCAGAACTACCCTATGCTGATAGAAATCACCTCACTGATTGCCTGGGACAGGAGGAACTTCCAGTGGGCCCAGGGGAACATTTTAGACTGATGCAAATGTTCTAGATCTTGATTGTGATGTTGATGGCACAGCCACACACACTTGTCAAAACCCATTGAACATTTGTCAAAACCCATTGAACTATACATTTTATTTTATATTATTTTATTATTTTTTCTTTTTGAAATAGGGTCTCACTCTAGCCCAGGCTAGAGTACAGTGGCATGATCACAGCTCACTGCAGCCACGATCACCCAGGTTCAAGCAATCCTCCCACCTCAGCCTCTTGAGTAGCTGAGACTACAGGCACGCACCACCACATCTGGCTAATTTTTGTATTTTTTGTAGAGATGAGATTTTGTCATATTGCTGAGGTTGGTCTTGAACTCCTGAGCTCAACTGATTCTCCCACCTCGGCCTCCCAAATTGCTGAGATTACAGGCATGAGCCACCTCACCCAACTGAAGTACACATTTTAAATTAGTGCATTTGTATTTGGTGTAAATTGTACCTCAATAAAGTTGGTTTTAAAAGAAAAAAACTTCTGGGCTAGTCAAATCATAAACTCTAATCAGTTCTTTCAACCTGAATATACCTGGACCTATTTTTTAAAAGAACAAAAAAAGGTCAGGAGCAGTGGCTCACACTGTAATCCCAGCTCTATGGGAGGCCAAGGATCACCTGAGGTCAGGAGCTCAAGACCAGCTTGGCCAACATGGTGAAACCCTGTCTCTACTAAAAATACAAAAATTAGCGGGGCATGGTGGCATGCACCTGTTAATCCCAGCTACTCGAAAGGCTGAGGCAGGAGAATTGCTTGAACCCAGGAAGCAGAGGTTGCAGTGAGCCGAGATGGCACCACTGTACTCTAGCCTGGGCAACAAGAGTGAAGCTCCGTCTCAAAAAAAAAAAAAAAAAAACCAATAAACAGACATCCTCTTGCTTCAGTATTTGGCCACATGCTTTGATTTCCTGAAAAAGAATAAAAACCTAGATCCAAAAAGCAGGGTCGGAGGGAAATCATAGTTTCCACATGTTTTCTCATAAGATAATTGAGTGCCAAAGACAACACGCCAACAGGAGAAATAAAATTATGGCAAGAGCATGATGCTGGGTGGGAGGTCTTTTGAATCCCCAGCCCAGCTCCTCACCAAGGTGTGTGCTCTGGGGTGGAGGCTCAGCTGCCAGACACAACTGTGACTTGGAGTTTCTGTTCCACCTCAAACTTTCTCTCATGTGACAGTGGCTACACTGCACGGTGACCCCACTTTGATTGCCACTCTTCATAAGCCATGCACCACGACTTTCTTTATGGCTCCAGGTCCTATGTGTGTGAATTAGGACTTAGATGGAAGAAAATCCAGTTCTGGATTCTGGGTTCAAATTTGCTGGTAGAAAAATAGGGATTTGTTTATTTATTTTAGAGACAGGGTCTTGTGTTGCCCAGGGTGAACCCAAACTTCTGGGCTTAATCGATACTCCCACCTCAACCTCCCAAGTAGCTGGGACTTCAGGCACCTCACCCAGCTTTGTTACAAACTCTTTAACTCATGTATTCCTTACAGCAACGTTCTTTGCGAGATACTGTTATCACCCCTATTGTACAGATGAGGAAATTGAGATAGAGAGAAGTTCAGTAGCTTCATCAACATTATAGAAGGGACAAAGCCAGGCAGCAAACCTAGGCTGTCTGTCCTGATAGCTCATGCTTTTAATCAGCATGTTACAGTGCCTCTCCACACTGCAGAAGAAAATCAAGATGTGGACGCTGTTATGACCTGAATGTTCCTGTCCTCCCAAAATTCATATGTTGAAATCCTGTCAGTCAAGGTGATGGTAGTAGGGGTGGTTCCTGGGGAGGATGATTAGATTATGGGGGTGGAGCCCCCATGAACCAGATTAGTGTTTTTATAAAAGAGGCCCCAGAAAGGCCTTCAGCCCCTTCCACCATGTAGGACAGACAGAAACGATGCTGTCTAGGAGCCAGAAATCAGGCCCTCGCCAGAGGCTGAATCTGCCAGTGCCTTGATCTTGGACTTCTCAGCCTCCAGAACTGGGAGAAATGAATATCTGTTGTTTATGGGCTACCCTGTTATAACAAATAATAGCCCAAACAACTAAGACACTTTAAACCCTCACTACTCAAAGTGGGGTCCATGGATCAGCAGTCGCAGCACCAACCAGGAGCTTCTTAAGTATGCAGAGCCTGATCCTCCCTAGACCTACTGGCTTAGAGCTGGCATTTTAACAAGATGGGCAGGTGGTTCACTAAAGTTGGAGAAGAGCTGCTCTAAACAAGAAAGTGTTCAGTTTCTCTTGCTTTGTTTTGCTCTGTTTTTGCTTTTCTTTTAGTCCCAGGCTCCTCTGAGAATCTGATGAAAGTCATGGATCCCGGGCAAAAAATTGTGCACAGGATTTTGAAGAGGAGTTCATAGATTCATGTTCATGAAACCCTATTGTGGAGGATTTGAAGGTGCTGAGGACCAGTCCTTTATGCTTTCCATGCATTATTACATGTAGTCCTTATAAACCCACTGTCATTAACATGGGAACTTGGAGAGGTTAAGTAGCTTGCCCTAGTCATAGCTAGGAAGTGCTGACACCAGGGTCAAACTAGACATTCTGCCCTCAGGGCCCAACTATAACGCTTTTCTGCTGAGAGGGGTGACTCAGCTACAGTGATTCTGGGGAATATCCTGATACGACTTTCCCCTTCTCTGACAAGTTCATCCTCTCCACTACAGTATAGTTCCCATGAAGGAAGCGCCAATGGAGTGATGAGGTAGGGGCCACTGCCTACAGAGGAAGCTTGGCCGGATGGCAGGTGGATCCTAGCAATCCACGTGATGGTGGGTGTCCTGGGAAGGTCTCCTGTGTATCTGCCTGACACATTTCCAACCTGTCCAGCCTCAAGCCACGTGCCGATGCATAACTTTCACCTATATCACTCTCCTACTCTCAACCGTGGTTGGCAAAGAGATTTCCTTTCATGGGCCAACTGATTGATTGGTAGTGGCTGCTTGGTATTCCAATATTAAAGAGACGCCAGTTGAGGACTGTGGTAGATTAGTAACACCTGCCCCCCAGTGGCACAGGATAGCACAGTAGTAGGAACCACCTGGTCCATTAAATCACTGCTTAATTCCCTTGGCTTTCCATTCTTTTATTTAACACACCTGTACTAAGTATGAATTCTGTATACACAGCCAAAGCACTCTTATCCATCCTAACGGAATGACGAACTTAAACTGCCTGACAGAATGAAGTATTACTAACAAGCACATACACCTTAAACATTTCATTTTCAATTAAAACACTTACGTACTTACAAATTAACCACTTTTAGAAGAAGGGCTAAGTCCCTTTGCTTCTGGGCCCACTCTTTTGGAGTTTCCCATAGAATTTTTTCACACCAGACTCAAAATGCACCGTTTTTTCCTTTCTTTCTTTCTTTTTTTGAGACAGGGTCTTACTCTGTCACCCAGGCTGGAGTGCAGAGATGTGATCATGCCCCACTAAAGCCTCGACCTCCTGGGCTCAAGTGACACTCCCACCTCGGCTTCCTGAGTAGCTGGGACTATGAGTGTATGCCACCATGTCCAGCTAATTTTTATTTTTTGTAGAGAGAGGGTCTCCCTATGTTGCTCAGGCTGTTCTCGAACTCCTAGGCTCAAGTGATCCTCTCACTTTGGCCTCCCAAAGTGCTGGGATTACAGGCATGAGCCACCACGCCCGGCCAAAATGCACTATCTTTTAAAGATCCTTCCAAAGCAATATTGCTGGCAGTATCTTAACAGATTCCCAGTTACTATCGGCTTCCCCACACCTCATCCAAAAGCAAAATTTATGGGAAATTTATATATGTTTCCAAGCATTCAACTTAGTTTTCATAGAAATAATCCTTTTCTTTCCCCCTCATAAAGTTACCAAACCACACATTTCATCAAATTATATAATTACGTAACAAGTATAATTTGTACAAAGAGATTTGGGCAGAAACACAACTAATTACTGGAGGTATGCTACTCAACCAGCTGCAAAGGGTTTTACGGAGAACTGGAGAGCATTAGTTACTCTCATGAGCCAGACAAGTGATGGCCAGTTAGCAGAGTTTTGGTTATACAACGCAGAGCCCTCTCTGGTGACACTCAATTAAATGAGACTCTCTATTAGTCAAAATTTCCATGTACAATGTTCCTAATATGTCTGTAAGGCATTAAAGTTCCTGATGTAGGATGGGCACGGTGGCTCATACCTATAATCTTAGAACACTGGGAGGGCGAAGTAGGCAGATTACTTGAGTCCAGGAGTTCGAGACCAGCCTGGGCAACATGGCAAAACCCCATCTCTACAAAAAATACAAAAATTAGCCATGCACGGTGGTCCAGGCATGGTGGTGTGCACCTCTAGTCCCACCTACTCAGGAGGCTGAGGTGGGAGGATCGCCTGAGCCCAGGGAGGTTGAGGCTGCAGTGAGCCATGATTGCATCACTGCACTCCAGCCTGGGTGACAGAGTAGGACCCTGTCTGAAAAACAAAACAAAACAAAGAGATCCTGCTATGACTTGGAATTATAAAATGAAAAGGAACAAAAGATTAAAATATGTTCAGATAATCCTTCCTGATGTCTTCACCTTTTTTTGCAGGGAGTCTTTTGACATCATTTTAAACTTATGTTCTCCCATAAGAACTCTTGTAATTTAGCTTTTGTCAAATCTGAAACAAGGAGAGGTTAAAATATATACAAATTAAAGTAAGTTTGTGATCTCCATAGTGTTGTGATAACTTTGTTACATGTAATACCCTGAAGAAAATATTGATCTTGGCAACTAAAAACAGAAACCAAAAATAACAGTGGTTAAGACAAGAGAGATATTTGGGTTTTTTTTGTTTTTGTTTTTTTCTTCTCACAGAGATAGGCAGTCTGGGGCTAGAATAGCAATTCCAGGTTCATCTGGAATGCAGGCTCTTTCTTTCTGTCCAACAGCCTTACTTTATGACTTCCATCCTCAAGTTTGCTTCATGGTCTCAAGATGGCTGCTGCAGCTCTAACTATTACGTTAGCATTCAATGCAGGATGAAAATAAGGGAAGGCCACAAACCATGTGCTTCCCTGTCAATTCAGGCCCCTTAGAAAAACTTTCCTGGAAAGCCCCACCTAGTGACCTCTGCATACTTTATCACTGGTGCTCTTATCTGTAAGAATATCTAAAAACATCATTTTATAGCTAGGCACCAGATTCAACGATTTAGAGTTCTTGTTACTGAGAAAGAGGGAAAGACTGGATAGTGAGTAGAGTAGACAATCAACAATGTTTCCCATAAAATATAATCTGGCCAGGCACGGTGGCTCATGCCTATAATCCCAGCACCTTGGGAGGGTGAAGGAGGAGGATCACTTGAGCCTAGGAGTTCAAGACCAGTCTGGGCAGCATGGTGAAACCCCATCTCTACAAAAAACATGAAAATTAGCTGGACATGGTGGCACATGTCTGTGGTCCCAGCTACTAAGGAATCTGAGGTGGGAGAATCACCTGAGCCTGGGAGGTCAAGGCTGCAGTGAGCCATGATCACACGCTACACCACTGCACTCCAGCCTGGGTGACAAAGGGAAACCCTGTCTCAAAAAAAAAAAAAAAAAAAAAAAAAAAAAAAAAAAGATTAAAAAAATCCTAGCAGGATATTCTAAAAACTGAAATATTTGATACACACCTTGTTTCCTGACTGGTCCAGATAACCGGGAATTTCTGTATATTGCAAAGATCTATTGATCTTTTGCTTTGGAAAAGTGCTGTTTAGTTGTTACAACTGTTTTAGACACCATATGGAACACTTGTTTTATTCATTCCCTAACTCCATTTCAAGCTACACACTACCCAAGACATTTGTGTCAGGTGCCAGCTCAAGCTCACATGGATGTTGCTACCATGAGCAGAATTCCACTTCTACAAAGTACATACTGCGCATACTCAACTCTGTAGTTGTGAGCTTTTAGAAATATTGGTCAAGGTCATATTACCAATTTTTGCCAATCAGTTGCACCTGAGAACACAAGACGCACTAGGCAGGCAGCAAAAAGCAGCTGACTGACTGCCCAGGGTGGCTTGCCTCCAGTTTCTTTTTTACAATCTTCAAGGCAGCCAGTGCCTTTTACAAGGGTGCAATAAGTTCTCTCTTCTCCAGTATCCAATACAACAGTTGCAACAGTGTATCTTAGAACCATTTGGAAATACAGTTCACCAAACACTTAACAAGTGCTGACTTTGTTAGAAGATGGGAATGCCCTCAAAGATTTCACCCCTACGAAGGGAGATGAGATGTGAGACACTGATTCACGGGTAAAAGGAAGGCCTACAGAGATTGTGGAAGAAAGTTCATAGCTTCCTTACTTCTACTAAGTTACACTTGAACAAGCCCCAGCCCACAAGGCCCCTTCCTTCCCAGTGGTTGTCCTGGACACTCCACTTTTTTTTTTAAACCTTCATGGGAGGTATTGGATTGCCTTGCTTTTACTTTTTTGGGCATCAAAGTCCCATTCACCAAGCATCTCCAACTATAATTCGTTAGGCTACGTGTAATCAATTCCTTCCTCTGTTCCCATCATCTCTAATGCTTCTTTCAGTTGCTCTATTGGCTGGCATTGCTCACTAATGACAAGACCTCACTAGGACCAGGCGAGATCATTTTGGCTTCCATTGTTGGACCATACCCGTGACCATCACCAACAATGTCAAACACTTAACAACCTCTGACACCCTTTAGCACCATAGCTCAGACTCTCAGATTTAAAGCATGATGGAGGCAGAAATTCAGCTGGCCCCCAATCACCCCTCTCTCACAGGTACCATCTCAACAACGGTTATGTACCTCTACCTCCCCAAATCCACCTCCTTCCAAAGTCTGAACTTCCAGCAGTGGGGAAATGCCCTCTCTCCTAAATTCCTGGTTCCATCCTCCAATGTATAAGCAAATTGTCTGAGGTCAGAATCGTGATTCCCAGTGAACACACTAGTTCAAGAATTTGGGGTTACTTATGTACACAAATAAATAAAGATACAATATAAATGAATGTAACAATGTAACAACAGACAAGTATGAGGAAGAGAGTACAATGGGTATATTCTAGTACTCAGAATACCAGTCATACATATGAAATTTGTTTTTTTTATCTAAAATACACTTTTTCCATACAGTAATTCATTTGAACTCAAAGACTCTGGCATGTACAGAAATAGGTCAGGTATTATCATTTTAAACATGAGAAAACAGAATCTTAGAAAGGTTAAATACCTTTCTCAAAAACCTCTCAAACAGTACAATAGAACTTCAATGTAAATCCAGATCTTCTGTCCAAATCCAGTTCTTCTTCTACTACATTATCTGCTGATGGGATTACTCTAGTGTTCAGCTCATTGTGGGGCAGCCTTAACTAAGAAAACATTATAAATCTCCCTCTTGGTTGGGCGCGGTGGCTCACGCTTGTAATCCCAGGACTTTGGGAGGCCGAGGTGGGTGCACCACTTCAGGCCACGAGTTTGAGACCAGCTTGGCCAACATAGTGAAACCCCATCTCTACTAAACATACAAAAAATTAGCTGAGTGTGGTGGCAGGCACCTGTAATCCCAGCTACTTGGGAGGCTGAGGCAGGAGAATTGCTTGAACCCGGAAGGCGGAAATTACAGTGAGCCAAGATTGTGCCATTGCACTCCAGCCTAGTCAACAACAGCAAAACTGTGTCTCAAAAAAAAAAAAAACTCCCTGTTTTTCAGTATCAGAGCCTACTATGTGAGTTTCCAAGTCTTCCTTAACTTACCAAACTGAATTACTCCTTTAGATCTCTGTTATTCCTCCCACTGGGAAGTGGAGTCATTTCCTTCCCCTTGAATCTTGGCAGGCTTTGGTGACTTGCTTCACCAATGTAACATTGCAGAAGTGATTTATGAAGCTAGGTCATAAAAAGCCTGTCAGCTTCTGTTCGGACCTCCTAAGAACTCACTCTTATAAGCCTGCTGCTATGCTGTGATGAAGCGCAAGCAGCCCATAGAAAGAGCCATGAGGAGAGGAAACAAGGCCCCAAGAGACAGCCCTGTCTGAGCTCCTGGCCAAGAGCCATGTGAGGGAACCATCTTAGAAGTGGATCACCCAGTCCCCGTTAAGACGGATGAGCTGTCTCCACCCAACCTACCCAACTTGCAGATCCATAGACCAAGTAAATGATTGTTATTATTTCAAGCCATTAGGTTTTAAGATGATTTGTGTCATAGCAAATAACTGCAGCCTACCTTTCCAAAACCTTCATGGCTAACAACAATACGCAAACAGAAGTAGTAGCATATATCAAACTGGCCAATACATTATGAATATTTGCATGTTTATTTCACTTACATATTCTATTTTATATTTTTAAAAGTAAATGAAGAGGCCGGGCACAGTGGCTCACGCTTGTAATCCCAGCACTTTAGGAAACCTAGGTGGGCAGATCACCTGAGGTCAGGAGTTCAACGCCAGCCTGGCTAACATGGTGAAACCCTGTTTCTACTAAAAATACAAAAAATTAGCCGGGTGTGGTGGCACACACCTGTAATCCCAGCACTTTAGGAGACCTAGGTGGGCAGATGACCTGAGGTCAGGAGTTCGAGGCCAGCCTGGATAACATGGTGAAACCCTGTTTCTACTGAAAATGCAAAAAATTAGCCAGGTGTGGTGGCACATGCCTATAATCCCAGCTACTCGGGAGGCTGAGGCAGGAGAATCGCTTGAACCGGGGAGGCGGAGGTTGCGGTGAGCTGAGATCGCACCATTGCACTCCAGCTTGGGCAACAAGAGTGAAACTCTATCTCAAAAAAAAAAAAAAAAGTAAATGAAGAGTACCCTCTAATTTAAAAAGAAAAAAAAAGGCAATTAGATGAATTGCTTTAAAATGCCTTCAACCCTAAATAATAAAAATCTTATTATAAATATATTAGTATTTTGTTTGAAACTCTGTGAAAAGAATTAGGCCCTCCAGCTTTTACAGTTCCATGAAGGGCTTCTAAATATAGGAAAGTAAAACTGAAATTTATGTCAGTTTGTTAATGGCATCACTTAAAACTATAACAGTTAATTAACTAATTAACAACTTAATTAACTCAGCAGTTAATTTACTTACTTGAGTTCACTTAAATTCTCTAGATGTGATTTAATGAACTTTCAGTGTAATTTCTGACTAACCATGTAAATTGTATGATGTATATCTCTTTGATTTGGATTTTTTTAAAAAAATAATATTATTTAAGGCAGAACACTAAGCCTACTAGGGAGTTTTCAATTTTTTCTTCAATAGGGAAACTCTCTAAACTTCTGGCAAGTAGCAAGTTTCCCATCAACCTTGCTGGGGTATTTTTTGTTATTGTTTTTGTTTTTGAGACAGGACTCACTCTATCATCCAGACTGGAGTGTAGTGGCATGATCTCGACTCACTGCAACCTCTGCCTCCTGGGCTCAGGTGATCCTCCCACCTCAGTCTCCCGAGTAGCTGGGGCTACAGGCATGTGTCACCACATCCAGCTAGTTTTTGTATTTTTAGTAGAGATGGGGTTTCATGTTGGCTAGGCTAGTCTGGAACTCCTGGGCTCAAGAGATCTGCCCACCCCAGCCCTGCAAAGTGCTGGGATTACAGGCATGAGCTAATCCACCCAGCCCCACTCAGCCTTTTTACTTTCACAAAGAAAATCATATTTGGATTTGCTGGCTTGTTTAAATGCATCAAAATAAGATTCACAAATCAGCAAGCTAATGTGACCAAATTTCATGATAGTTTATTAATAATTAATTATCCTATATTCTTAAAAAATGGACATTGAAACAAACAATAATTGAAAAAGAAAGTGTTATAAAACATTTCTCTGGTCCATGGATTTACTTATTTAACCAATATGTTTACATAGCAGTAGGTAATGTCAGGTTACTCAATATGTGGCCCATCAACCTGTGCCCATCTATGAACTGTTTTTACCAGTGGGAAATGAGAAGAGAACAGGAAGTAAGTGTTTAGATATATTTACAGGACTTTGAGAGAATAAATGTACATCTATTGACTATCATAAAGAGACATTTGGAGGCCAGGTGCAGTGGCTCACTCCTGTAATCGCAGCATTTTGGGAGGCTGAGGCAGGCGGAGTCAGGAGTTCAAGACTAGCCTGTCCAACATGGCGAAACCCCGTCTCTACTAAAAATATAAAAATTAGCCGAGTGTGGTGGTGAGTGCCTGTAATCCCAGCTACTCGGGAGACTGAGGCAGGAGAATCGCTTGAACCTGGGAGGCAGAGGTTGCAGTGAGCCGAGATCGCACCATTGCATTCCAGCCTGGGCAAAAAGAGTGAAATTCCACCTCAAAAAAAAAAAAAAAAAAAAGAAAAGAAAAGAAAAAAAAAAGAGAGAGAGACATTTGGGCTTGTATTTTGCCCCGTATTTTTATTTTAGTTTTCTAATCTTTCATTTTTATTGTGTTTTACAAACATCTCAATCTGCAACAGATTGCTTTTTTTTTTCAAAGCTGGTTCTTTTTCAAAGATGGTTTGGGAAGCACTGATTTAACTGTACTAACTACTGTGGCAAACAAAAATTGGATAAAAAATGATCCCTGCTTTCATAAAGTTTGCATATTAATAAGAAAGGCAGGTTGTGATTGTTGCATAATTGAAGTGTAAACAACATGTTCTAGACACTTAGAGGAAAAAGATGATTCTACAAGGAAAGGTAACAGAAGGCTTTGTGGAGGAGGCAATTGTTGAATGAGGTCTTATTTGATGAATGAGTAGAGTTTGGGGAGGTAAAAATAGAAGAGGATACACATTTCAGAAAGAGTGAACAATGGGAGTGAAGTCAGGGGGGAAAATGCGGCTATGTATTCGGAAGAGCATGCAACTGACCTCCTTTGGTAGGAGCAGAGGGAATGTGATAAATCTAGAAGGATAGACCCAGAGGCCCAATTGTAGAAGGCTTTTTGAATGTGAAGCTAAGAGGTGTGCACTTGCCTAAGGTCATCTCCAAACTGCTATTGAAAATTTCTGAGCAGAGAAGTGGTGGTGTTCTTACAGTTGTGCTTCTGACAGAGGAATTCGAGGGGAGAAAAACTGGAGAATTAGATGAGGAAGGATACTCCAGATTCTTCAGGTACAACCTGATAGATTCAAGTCATCTTAAGACCCTGCCAACTGAGATTTTTAAAAGTACACTTTTAACCTTTCCAAAGTAGTGATCAACAAGTGAAAATACAACAGCAATTTACCCCAGAAATCTCCTGAGTAAGTGACAGGTTGCTAACATTTATGATGCATTCGCCGTGTGCATTTTAGGTCCAGTATCTCATGTAATCATCAAAATCACTCTATTTCAGGTTCTATCATCCCCATTTTACATATGAGTAATTTGAGGCTATAAAAGTTAGGTCCCATACCCAAGGTCACTCACTAAATAATAAGAGCCTAGGGCCAGGCTCGGTGGCTCACGCCTGTAATCCCAGCACTTTGGGAGGCTGAGGTGGGTGGATCACAAGGTCAGGAGTTCAAGACTGAAGCCTGGCCAAGATGGTGAAACCCCGACTCTAGTAAAAATACAAAAATTAGCCAGGGGTGGTGGTGGGTGCCTGTAATCTCAGCTACTCGGGAGGCTGAGGCAGGAGACTCTCTTGAACCCAGGAGGTGGAGGTTGCAGTGAGTCGAGATCATGCCATTGCACCTAGCCTGAGCAACAAGAACAAGCTTCTGTCTCAAAAAAAAAAAAAAAAAAAAAGCACCTAAAATTAACCAAATCAGTCTGATGCCAAAGTCCATTTTGGCACTATTGGATGCCAAACAAAAAGTAATCACTCAAACATGTTAGGCTTTCCCTGCATAAAGGATGATTTAGAAGACAATTAAAATCCATACCAGCTATCTACTTGAACCTTATGAAGCCCATTCTTTGGGAATGTCTGGGATTTTATCTGTTTTTCCATCTGAAAGATGAGACTACAATGAACAATAGGAAGATGATTTTTCTTTAGTAAGAGCTGAGGATATTTTTATATCTATAAACTCTTGAATATTCTTGCTTCACAAAAGGACCAGCACAAGTTGCGCTAAAAAAAAAAAAAAAAAAAAAAAAAAAACTTAGCCAGGCACAGTGGCTCACGCCTATAATCCCAGCACTTTGGGAGGTCAAGGCAGGCAGATCACTAGGTCAGGAGTTCAAGACCAGCCTGGTCAACACGGTGAAACTCTGTCTCTACTAAAAACACAAAAATTAGCTGGGTTTGGTGGTGTGTGTCTATAATCCCAGCTACTCAGGAGGCTGAGGCAGGAGAATCGCTTGAACCAGGGAGGTGGAGGTTGCAGTGAGCCAAGATCACACCACTGCACTCCAGCCTGGATGACAAAGCGAGACTCCATCTCAAAAAAAAAAAAAAAAAAATCTTATCAATATAACAAAGCAAATATATGACTGCCTATCCAGAAGTACAAGTTACAATGGCAAGTCTGCACTTGAATAAATGGTGGCAATAAAAGGTGAAAAACAAACACTATAAAGTTTATTGATTTGCCTAGTTGGAAAGGAGAAGCTAATGGAACAGAAACTACTGATCATAGCACCATTATTCTCTAGAAATGTGAGCAATTTCAAAGACACTATTTTTATCTTGAAAAAGATTCTAATTTAATTGTCTTCCATACTATAAATACAATTATATATCTGTTGTTTGAGAATATTAGAAAAAAACCTTTAATTAAAACAATGCACATGATTGAGATAGAAATTCTAATAGAGGCACTTCTCTTTGAGCACGTGACTTAGGAACTTACTGACAGTTGTATCCTCCAGTGCCAGCCCCTGAGAAGCTCCGAGGAAGAGCAGTATTTAGTTTCTCGTAACTGTTTCCTAAGCGTAAATAGAAATGTCTAATTATGTTGCAGTCTCCTTCATCTACTCTCCTTGCCAATCTCTTTGGCACACAATCCCAGCCTCGATATTCTAACTAGTGTTCAGATTCCCAGGCTAGCTCACATGAGTAGCCAGATTCAAACTGTAGCAGAAATAAGATTCAAGAAAAAATAGTATAGGAAAAAGAATGGGAGACAGGACAATGTATGTTCTGGTTATCTACTGCTGTGTAATAAATCACACCTAAACATAATGCCTGAACAGCAATGGTTTGTTAGCCCATGCGTTTCTGTAGATTGACTGAGCTCAGCAGGGAGGTTATTGACTAAGGTCTCTCATGCAGTTGCAGTCAGGTAGAACTGAGGCTGAAATTATCTAGAAGTTAACTGGACTGGACATCCAGGACAGTTCCTTTACTCACCACATATGACATCTCACTTGGGATGGTTGGCAGAGCTGGTGGCTGATCAGGCATCTCTCTCTCTCCAAGAGTGCGCGCTCTCTCTCTCTCTCCCCCGCCAAGCTCTCTCTCTCTCTCTCCTTGGCTAAACTGGATTTCCTCACAGTGTGAGCCGTAGGACTTCTTACCTGTTGGCTGGCACTGCCCCCCCACCCCCCAATCCCCACCACCACCCCAGAGTGTGTGTTTTAAAAGGGCAAGGCAAAAGCTGCAAGGGTCCTTCTGATTTGGCTTGAAATCATACTGCACCACTTCTGCCACATGCTACTTGTTCCCATGGGACTGGGTCAGATTTAATATGAGAAGAAACTGCACAAGGGCATGAATTCCAGAAGGCATGGTCCAATATGGGGGTGGGAGCCAGTATCTTTGGAGACTAGCAACAGAAGGGGATAAGAAAAGGACCTTTTAGGGTTGTGATCAGTCTCAAAGGAGAAATTCAAATTTTTAGATACATTACTGGTTTAACAGGACTTAAAGCGGAACAGTACCAACTAGCTGGGATCCTATCTACCAGTTACAGTATTATTCCTAGGGGAAATTTCACTTTGAGTGAAATACATAGTGGTTTTAAAACAAAGTATTTTTAACACAACCAATTTATGAGTGTGGGATTGGGAATCTGCTGATCATAAACTTACTATCCACCAAACTAGGCATCTCTTGAAAGTAAAACCTTTCTGTTTCTCCAACATCCAGTTGTCTGTCATTCTGATTTATTTTACTTCAGAGTTATGAATGATCACTATGAATACAAAATACTTAAAAGAATATAAAAACAAAATTTTTGAACCATATGATTCTATATAACTTGAATCTCCCACTTATATCGTTGAAAGGCTTCTTAACAACATAGAAAATTCTATATTTCTATTGTCAATAATTATCAATACACACGTGGGGCTGGCATTAAATAATGACTACGGATTCCTTTCAAGGAAGTTTTTGTTTCTTTTGGAAAAGCACCTCTATATTTGTAGGTGCAACTTCGAAGTTCACAACTTCCAAGAGGAAATTTGGGATGTATTTCAAGTACCGTTTGATTTGATGTTGTCTAAAGTTATCTATGAAAAGCATTACAGATGGTTGGCACAAATCAAGGTAGATTGGGGTTTTCACACAGAAGGGAAACCAGTGAACCATAGCCTGGCATTTCTAGAAGTGCCGCTACCCCAGGAAACTCACATCTCTCCACCTCCATCGCTGTGCGGAGAAAACCCGCACCGAAGGCGGCTTCCTCTCTAAGGCGGCGACCAGGGGAGACAGCGCCCCCTGCTGACTAAAATCACGCAGGCCTCGTTGCCAAAGTGCAGCGGGCGCAGCGGGCGCAGCGGTCTCCCGGCTTCCCTCCCGGCGCCCGCAGCCTGCCTAAAGCCTTTCTGGAAACTCGTGTTTTCAGCCTCAGCCTGGCAGACTGCGGAGGGCGGGCCAGGAAGAGTCAAGGAGCCGGGGGTCTCAGACTTTGCTCACCCCTTGGAAATCACCTTCTCGACCCGCTAGCCTAGGCCGAGACACAGTCTGTATTCTGAAAGCCGCCAGTCCCACCAGGGGAGGAGAAACCCAAAACAGAAGGAGCAGGGCCCCACGGCTGGGCTCGTGACGAAGCATTTAATGACCTTTTTAAGGAAACGAGGGAGGAGGTGAGGAGGCCAACAGCCGCTTAGGAGAGCCCGAAACGAGCAGGCTGGAGGAGTTAGGTTGAAGAGAGGTGTCAAATTAATTTCCACCAATTGTGTGTGAAATCGTTGCCGAAGTCTACTTTGGGATACCCAGAGATAACTTCGTTACGGGCACCCTGCTGACTTAGGAAAATAAGCCTTACTACCCAGTCAGGCATTTAATGTGGATGTTAAATCATTTGTGATTACTAATGTCTGAGTACTTTGTCATTGCCAGGCCCTCATTTTCCATCAGAGCAGTCCTAATTGATTTAAATGGTCTGTTTCGCCTTGGTGCACGCATGATCACATCGTAAGTGGTCTTTAGGACTATTTTAATTGCCAAGGATGTTTTTCCTTAAGAAAATCTCTGCCCAGAGCAGAACAAATTATTATTGCAATCTACAAATACACAAACATTGTTTTTCTCCCCTCTCTGCATATTTTGTTACAGCAGCCTCTCTCTTGTGTTTTTTGGGGGGAGGGAGATTCCAGTCTTAATTTATGCAAAATTAATTGATATATCTTTTATAATTGATGTGCTGTAAAATTAATGAGTAATTTATGTAATTAGTCAATTAAGGATAATTCCAGCATATGTTCAATATGCCCAGAAGGTGTACTTTACAAGTAGTTATTTGTCCAGGAGTTTGATGCTGAGAAAACTACCTAATTAATTTTTTATGCATATCAGCTTAGTATCTATTTAACAGCTCCCTTTGTGATAGCAGATTTAATATTTATCTTTCTAACATGTCTGAGAGGATGTACAATGGATAGCCTCTTGGTGCCTCTAAGAAGGCCCTTCCAGTTGGATGCCTCCTCACTTTAATTATAAAAGATCTTTGCTCTGATGGATCAACAACATCCGCCCCGCCCCCCCAACTCCACCACCACCACCAGACACACACAGACATGGGCGGGCACCCACGTGCCCAAAGGTGCGGTATGTGATGTCAGGGACGTTATAAATCGCCATCATTAGAAAATGTTTATGTGGAACGAAGAGATCATCTGGACCCACCTCTTTAATATTCTTTACCCCCCTCTCCTTTCCCCGCCGATGACCCTTTAAATGTATCTTAGAGGACTTCAGGGGCTTTCGAAGCATAGTGAGCTAGATCTGTTGGCTAATTAATTGACACTGTTTTGAATATTCATATCTAATATAGCCAGTATGCTCTTAATTACATTGTTGGACTTCTCTCCAAGGAGGCTAAATCACCAAAGACTTAATTAATGTAATGTATTCCAGAACTGGCTGGCTGAAAAGGAAGACAGTTACTGTCAGGAGTTTAACCGCGACACCTGGTTGCTGATGTGCGGAGTCTTTGTTATTAGTCGTCGGAGGGAGCGCAAGAAAGTTATTTAATTTTTAATCGTTGGTTATTTATTTGGTGGTTATGGTTGTCAGTGGCCGCTACCTAAACAGACACGGCCCGTAGGAAAGCTTCTGGATGTTGGCCAAGAGGTGTGAGGCGCGGGTGGACTGTAAAGGGGAAATTGCTCTGCTAGGGTGACACAAACGCTTCCCATCTCCACGCTGATTGCGCGCCCCGGGCCACAGGCAGTGTACACAGCCGCGGTGTTCGAGACGAATCTCGCCTCGAAGAGTGGAGATTTAAAAGTCAGGTTTCTGACTCTGGGCAGCACGTAGGGTCTTTGCGGAGTGAGTTTCGGTCAGACGAGAGCCTGGGGTCAATGTCGAGGTGGAGCGACGCTGGCACGGCAACCCTGAGCCTGCGCGGCCCGGCGCTATCCCCTGGCTCTCCGCTGCTGGCTGGACCCCCTTGTATCCTCCTTCCCTCAAACTCGCACACCTACGGCTCAGACAACCCAGCCAGTCTCGCCCGCGAGCGGAGGTGCTAGAAACTTTGGGGGACGAAAGCTGGGCTGTCTTTCTTGGCCGGTGGCACTGCGAGAGAAAGCCGTGTGCACCCCGCGGCTGACCACTCCAACGCCAGATACATCCACCCGCTCATGTACCGCCGTCGGGCTTCATTTTGTCGAGCTCTTCTTAGGTACAATTAGATTTGGAGGAAGGAAAAGATGATGACTTCTAACAGCAAAAACGATAATAGCATCTTATGTATTTACAATGCTTCACACTTTACAAGGCGTTTTCTGACGCTTGGCACACAGTAGGCTCTTGATAGAGGTTTACTGGATCAAAGTATTCCAGCAGTCACTCTCAAAATCCCACGTCTCAGAATCGCACTTTTAAGGCAACAGGGTCATCGCCACTTTAGAGAAAAGGAAACTGAGGCTCAGAGAAGAGGCAGTCGCACAGCCAGTAGGTGGCGAAGCTGGAGCTCGAGTATCGTCTCCTAAATTCAAGGCCAGTGCTTTTTTTCTCCAAGAAATAAATGCCCCTGACCTCAGGCTTTTCCCTTCTGCCCTCCACCCTCGGGCATTCCGAAAAGTCAAATCGAGCTTATGCACTCAAATCCAAGTAGGGCGGAGCCAAACCTGTGTCCTGGGCGCCTGCCGGGCAAGGCGCGGGGACTGGACGGGTCGGAAACGGGGCAGGGATGCACTTCGCAGAGATGTCAGGTCGGGTTGGTGACGCTGGAGGCGACGGATTCCTAAAACGTTATAAGGGGTTGACGGGTGGCGCTGCTGCCCTGCAGCGTCCCCAGCTGCGCAGCTCCTGAGCTCCCCGCTCCGAGCGCCCAGACCCCCAGCGCCACTCCACCGTCGAGATCACAGCTTCAAACCTCAACTCCTTGGAGCCTTCGAAGGCGCAGTTCTGACTACTGAGTATTTCCTGGAAAGAAAAAGAAGCCCAAAGCGGTGAAATGATGCCTCCAGGGTCATCCAGGCCTGGACTCGAGCTGGAAGCCACGTTTCCGAGTCCTGGGGCTGGCTTTCTCCTACCCTCTTCAAATCCACTTTAGGAGTTTCGTCTGGGAAAAGTATGCGCCGAGAAGTCAGCCGAAGGTCAGGCAAGTGCCAGGCTAGCGTGACCAGGAAGGCTCCTGGGAGGACCCCAAACGTAACTAACCCAGGCAACCTTCCGCACGTCAGCTAAGTCAGTGCGTAAAGGGAGAACCCATGGAAATTGAGATGTGCGCCTAAACCTTTGCCTTTTTTCTAGCGCTGTACGTCGTCCTAGCCCTATCGGTAACTTGTGTTCCTCCTCGCCCTGGGCACAGCTGTCCGCAGAAGCCGTGGGAAGGCCTGGCCTAGATCCAGCCCAAGGAGCGCGTGAGACCCTCCAGGGGCTGGGGGCATGGAGGAGAAAGAATGAATAAATAACCGCTCCTAAAGTTCCACATCTTTTTTTACTCCCCTCCATAGAGCCAATTAAACGCAATAAAAGCTTGCATGGAACCCCTCTTCCTAGCATAGCGTCGCCAACAATTGCCTAAGGGGTAAACCAAATACGCCTGAGATAATTACACTAAGCCCGGGGCAATGATTTGCCTGCCAGCGTCCTGAGCGCCAGCCAATATTTGGATAGTGCAGTAGTTGTTTAAAAACAACAAAAAAAAATTACTCGCGGAAACTTGAAACCGACTGGTTGGTGCCAGGGTGGTTACACGATCTGTTTTTCTTGAGAGGGGGTCTGCAGGCAGCTGGAGCGCGCGCGTTCCGGCCCCCGCCGGTGCCACTGAGCGCCTGCAAAACTTGTCGGAATTAACCTCCGGGGAAGTAGGGGAAGAGGAGAGCGCGCCCCCCTCCCCACCGCGGCCCCAGCTCTGCACCCCGGCCCAGTGCCGCGCTTGGAATCCCCCAGGATCCTCCGCGGCGGCCGCAGCCCGCCACTCTCCAAAACAGACACGCGACCCGAGCTCCCTGTCTGCGCTCTAGGCAGCAATTGCGGCCTGGGCCGCCGCGTCCGGCTGTGGCCTAGGTGGTGGGAAGTACTTTCTACCCTCGCCAAGCACAACCTGAATGCGGAAGCGTGAGGCTCGGGGCGCTTCGCTCAGCCTCCGAGACTGTTTTGTCCCAGGTTGCGTGGAACCTGGCTCGCCGAGGCCGAAGACACTGGCCAAGCCCCTGGCGTCCCCTGGCGCTGAACCTGAGGTTGTGGCGGCGGGTCTGCGGGCTGTAGCGAGCTCACCCAGTGAGGGCCTGGCTCATTTTTTGTGCTCAGGGTTCGCGTTATGCGCCCAAGATTTGTCCCGGGAGTCCCTGAAGGGCCCCTCCCCTCGATCGGTTCCCAGGAGCCGCAAGTGCCCAACGGGCACGGTCCCAGAGCTGCTCCCCAAAAGGAGACTCTGCTGTTCCAGCAACCCGCGGAAGGGATGCTATCCGAGGTATCAACAAAAGATCCCTTTGCTCGAGCTGCGTGTGGGGTCGAAGTCCGGAGAGCCCTTAAGTGTGCGGCACGCAGAGCTCCTCAGCAGCGGCCTGACAGCGGTGCAGGAGACCCCAGCTTCCTGGGCTGGGACAGGGCTGTTGTCTCACGGTCTTGTTCCAAGGAAAAGGAGCCACCTGGCTCCAGCAGGCTCTTGTCAAACTGTGAGCGTCCTTGGAATTCTGTGGCTTCCCGAGGCCAAGAGGCTGTCCGCTGCTCGGCTCTCTCAAGTGTCTCAGCGGACAAAAATCGCGCAGAAACTCCTATGGCAGGAGGAAAGCTTCCGACATACAGTGAAAGAGAAAACATCTTACTTTGAAAAGGGCTTAGGACCAAGAAGCTGCTCTTTTCCCCGGGCCTTCTTGCAAGCTTCAGTCGTAACATCTATTCTCAGACGTCTTCTGGCCTAGGACAAACTGGCCACATAGAGCTAGCCAGAAATCTAGCTCCTGACTAAAGATGGAAATTACGGGCCTGACCCGCTCACGGCACTCCTGCGACCTGGCTAAGCCACCCCACGGACAGACGTGCTCCCACCGTCCAGCTCACCAAAAGCCAGAAGCTGAAAACACCCGATCTGGTGTCACCAAGGTTGCTAGTTAGGGGGCAGCCCCCCAAGCAGCTGGGCCGATGGCTTTCTTCCAGGTTAGGCGTGGGAAAACCGAGGGAGCCATAGTGTCCAAATGCTCCTTTCTCCTCAAATCGCCTAACGGGAAAGGACCCGTGAATTTCCAACTTCAGCCACCCTATTTTACAAATAATGAAACAGTCCCAGAGACGGAGAGTATACTTGTTTCTAAACTCTGCTTTTCCTCCCAGCTGAAGGGCAAAGGTAGCCAAAACGAGTATACAACTTCAGGTTCTCCCTGCAGTAAACTGGGGTTTCCTGCTGGGTGTTTGGATGAGTGCAGAGCAGGAACCTCCAAGCAGAAGGACCTCACTCCTGGGTTCATCCACCTCTCCCTCGCAGATCACACCAGGATCCTGTGGACTGATAATTTTTGCTTCCTATTTAATTATTTCCATTCCACCTCCTGCCTCGCCCTGGCCCCACACCACCGTGCTAAGAATAGCAAAGATTTCCTTCCAGCACACACAGGTGATGGGACCCCTGAATCCCCAACTCTTACTTCTGGCCCCAGCTCAGACATCGCCATCCCAGAGAAACCTCATCTTGTCCAACTCACTCGCTCCAGGAAAGTGTGGTGGAGCCTCCATTCGCCAAGCCCTTTAGTGCCTATTCTATTAATTTCTTGGTTACTGTTCGTCTCACCCTCTATACCGCGATGGTGGAGCTCGGATACTGTCTCCTGTCTCCCTGCACCTGGTGCCTCACATGCAGTTGGCGCGCAATAAAACTGAGATGAATTTGGCATTTGGTGAAAACACCCCATGCTTTCTTCCCCATGAGTTTTTCCCTCCAGCCCTCTAATCATCGGGGTTTCTTGCAGAGAAGAGGCCTTGAGGACACGATACTCTGAACTTGACCCAGAGTGTCTAGCCCAGGAAAAAGGGTTTGTAAGGAGAGAGAAGCTCACAGCGAGTAGATGAAAACAGGGAAGGGTAAAAGGAAGGGGGCGGAAGAGGGAGATGCCAGAGAGAAGAGAAGCAAGAAGGCAGTGTCCTGTTCCCCCTCCACCGTGCTTGGTGGCCCGGGTGGGGCGCAGCTGCGGGAAATGCACCCGGAGCTGTGCCCCCTCCCGGCGAACAGCCTGCGCCACCCGCCGCACCGGGAGGTGGCTGGGGGCTGCCGAGCGAGTGGTGAACGCGATGGGTGGAGAGCGCCCGAAACGAGGTGGAAAAGGGGGCGGGGGCGAGGCACGGCGCCTTCTTGCCCCTTCTTCAGCTACAGACGCGGCGGCGGCGGCTGAGTCCCTCAGCCTCGGTCATGTGATAGTCTCGAAGCGCTAGCTGCGGGGGTCTCGGCGTCTCGGGGACCATTACAAAACGCAGCCAGGAGAGCGCGTCGCTGCCACTGCCGTCGCCTCTCCTCCTCAAGACAAGCCCGGGAGAAAGGCGGCAGCTGCGGCGCGGACGGCTGAGCCTCCCCGGCCAGCACTCACCCAGCATTCGCAGACGCCCTCTCCAGCCCGCCGCTCGCTCCCAGAGTCCTGCGCCCCACACTCCTCAGCAGAACCTGCGGGCGCTGCCGCTTCAGAAACCACCAAAGTTTTTTCTCCTCAGCGACAGCCTAGGGCTGCGCGTCTCTTCTAACCCCGGCGACGCTGCGAGCCTCGGAGAAAAGAGAGGCGCCCTAGAAGCCAATCTTCTCTCTCCTTACCCTGATTTTTCACTCCAGGAAAAGGAGAACTCCAGCGCGGTCTGGCTAAGTGCCTGGCCAGGGGCCTGCGTCCAGGGCACTGGAAGTCCTGCTGTCACTGGCCTCCAGGACAGCAGGCGCAAACTCAGATTTAAAGGGCCAGAGTCTCTACTGCCCAGACCTTCCTCCCAGCCATCTTGGTCTGGGTTTCCCTCGGACCTAGAAAAAGCAAAGAGGCCGGGAGGAAACACGGCCCCTTGCCACTCTCCTCTGCAGCCAGCTCCAGCACTCAGTCTTTGGCCACCCGGGGGAAGACGCAGAGAAGGCGGCGGTAAACCTGGTGCACTCCGCCCGCGACTGTGCGCGCCAGTCGGCAACCGTCGGGGCCAGAAGTTGCCAGCTTCCGAGAGCTGAGTAGGCCCGAAAGGCCAAGGTCGGAGACACCAGGCAATTCGGAGAAGGCAGGAGAGAGAAGCAGAGAGGGCCTGGAGGGCGAGAGGGCAAAGTGGCGGGACTGGAGGGGCCGAGTGGGAATTAGTGGGGGCAGCCAGGCCCCAGGAACGGAGTGCGGAGAGATTCTGTGGTCCAGTGCGGGCCGGAGGGCGGTGGAGGAGCCGGGGGCGATGCCGCGGCCGGGGAAGAGCTCGTACAGCGACCAAAAACCGCCCTACTCTTACATCTCGCTGACCGCCATGGCAATCCAGCACTCGGCCGAGAAGATGCTGCCGCTGAGCGACATCTACAAGTTCATCATGGAGCGCTTCCCCTACTACCGCGAGCACACACAGCGCTGGCAGAACAGCCTGCGCCACAACCTCTCCTTCAACGACTGCTTCATCAAGATTCCGCGGAGGCCCGACCAGCCTGGCAAGGGTAGCTTCTGGGCGCTGCACCCCGACTGCGGGGACATGTTCGAGAACGGCAGCTTCCTGCGGCGTCGCAAGCGCTTCAAGGTGCTGCGCGCCGACCATACTCACTTGCACGCGGGAAGCACCAAGAGCGCGCCGGGCGCCGGTCCGGGAGGGCACCTTCACCCCCATCACCACCACCACCCCCACCACCACCATCATCACCACGCTGCCGCACACCACCACCATCACCACCACCCACCCCAGCCGCCGCCGCCGCCGCCCCCGCCGCCGCCGCACATGGTACACTATTTCCATCAGCAACCGCCTACTGCTCCGCAGCCGCCTCCGCACCTCCCGTCACAGCCCCCGCAGCAACCGCCCCAGCAGTCGCAGCCTCAGCAGCCGTCTCACCCCGGCAAGATGCAGGAGGCGGCGGCCGTGGCGGCGGCGGCGGCGGCGGCCGCGGCAGCCGCGGTGGGCAGCGTGGGACGCCTGTCTCAGTTCCCACCCTACGGGCTGGGCTCGGCCGCCGCCGCTGCCGCCGCGGCCGCGGCGTCCACGTCAGGCTTCAAGCACCCCTTTGCCATTGAGAACATTATTGGCCGGGACTACAAGGGCGTGCTGCAGGCTGGAGGGCTGCCCTTGGCGTCCGTCATGCACCACCTGGGCTACCCCGTGCCCGGCCAGCTTGGCAACGTCGTCAGCTCCGTGTGGCCGCACGTTGGCGTCATGGATTCGGTGGCCGCCGCCGCGGCCGCCGCAGCCGCAGCCGGAGTCCCTGTAGGCCCGGAGTATGGGGCCTTCGGGGTCCCGGTCAAGTCCCTGTGCCACTCGGCAAGCCAGAGCCTGCCTGCCATGCCGGTGCCCATCAAGCCCACGCCTGCGCTGCCGCCCGTGTCCGCGCTGCAGCCGGGGCTCACTGTCCCCGCGGCTTCGCAGCAGCCTCCGGCGCCATCCACCGTGTGCTCCGCGGCCGCGGCCTCGCCCGTTGCCTCTCTGCTGGAGCCCACAGCCCCTACCTCGGCCGAAAGCAAGGGCGGCTCCTTGCACTCGGTGCTAGTGCACTCCTAGGGGACCCGGCGGGCGTGGGGAGACCAGCGGGGTGAGAGACGCCGGGCCCGGAACCGCCCAAACCACCCGACGGGGAGAGGGCGCCCTGGTCAGGCCGGGCAGAGCTGGCGAGTCTCAGCCTTTGCTGGAACGGAAGGTATTTAAATAGACGAACAACCCCGAAAAGTGGATTCTCCAGTGGTCTGAATAAATATAACCTTCCTGGTGTCTGTGTTTATACTATGTTGTACAATCAGATTAATGAAAGCCAATTTTCAGGTAAGAGTTTCTATTGTAATTAATATAAATCCATAAGTTATGGGGGGAGGGAACGAAGGAGGTTAGGAAAGCCTCATTCGCTGGTAAATTGGAAGTCGATTCTGACCCTTATTCCTGGGAGCAGAAGCTGGCAGAGCTAAACCTCCCGCGAAGAATCCAACAGAGAGTGACGCTGAAACGGATCTCAGCCACCACGTTTCTCTCTGCTGGTCGCATCCTCGGCGGTCGCCTCTCGTGAACATTCAAGACAAAACTGCCGTCCACTAAGGAAATTTCGTTTTATTTAAGAAGGAAAAGAGGAAGCGTTTGATACCGTTATTTTCCTAGTCAGCTAAATGGGCAAGGAAACGGTGTCATGAATAAAGTCGCTTTGGAGGGGGAAGGGGAGGAGAGGAGGCAGCGGGAACCCCACGAAATATCTTTGGGAAACAGCTAAGGTTCTTGGCTCTGACCTGGGGGTCAAGAAGGATAGGAGGAACCTCTAGAGCAATTAGTTTGTACAAAAGAGAATGGCAGCAGCTTAAAGGGTAAAGCCCCAAATTCCAAAAGTTGGGAAACACAACCAAAGGGAGACAATACAGGCGACTTTCCACCTGCAACTTGTTTGGGTATCAGTCGGATGAGAGCCCAAGAATAATGTGAATTCCCACGATCCTTTCTATTTGGAATTTTAAGGAAACAAATCACTTGTATAGCGGGATTTTGTTTCCCTAACTTACGAATGCAGGAAAAACTCGGCACATCACTCGACAATATTGCTCTTAACGCTTGCAGAAACGTTCCATGGCTGTTCCCTTCCAGTCTCCTCGGACGGAAGCAAGGGGACCACCCAGTCACCTTTGCACGCTGCGGCTGTTTTTGTATTCCGTGTGCTGTTTGAGCGCTTATGTCTTTCAGGCGAATTAATTCTTCAGTTTCAATTCGTGAATGGGAAAGAAACTTGCCTTGTCGCTCTTGCCCTTCCCCCCTCTTGAGCCCCAGGGAATAGCACTTTACTCGCGACACAATTTTGGGAATGGAGGGGGGCAGAGTGGGGAGAAATCCGCTTTGCCCTTTGGCTCTAAGTCACCTCCGCCTCTTGTCCGCGCCGCGTTCGGGTTGTGACTTTGTTTATGTCTGCTGGTGTTGTACGCGGTGTTCTCTATTAAAGCTTCTCTCTGGATATCTATGCTAGCCCCGTGTGAAGGTGTTTCAGTTCTCCAAGGATGAGGCCGTGGTTTGAGTGCCCACAGTTAGGTTAGGGTACTTTGCAAATCCTTCCCCTCCCTCTTATTTCTTAACTTCAGAACTTCAAAGGGGTGAGTACACGGGCGAGCCACCAGTAAGCACCGATTTCCTTCATTGCTCCTTTCAGCCTTTGGCACAATCATCTCTTTTACTATCTATTATTATTAGTAGTAGTATTTTAGAGACAAGATCCCACTATGTTTACCAGGCTGGTCTCGAACTTCCGATCTCAAACAATCGTCCCATCTGGGCCTCCCAAAGTGCTAGGATTACAGGCGTGAGCCATCACGCCCGGCCACCACCTATTTTTAATATGTCCGTTTCCTAATTGAACTTAAGTCCACCACCATGGTAGAGACTGAATTAGCAAAAACCCGCAACAGTGCGTTTTTCCTGTCACCACTATCCGTCACCTCTCTCCCATTTTGAGGTCCTCGACTACCATCTAAGGCCAGGAACTCGGTGTCAGCGGGGTGGGTGCCCGACGGCGCCCCCTTAAGTCTGCGGTCCTGGACGGAGGCAGCCGGGTTGGCGCCGGGACACTGCCGCTGCCGCATCAACTAGGCAAGCGCGCCCAGCCACCGCCGCCTAGAAGACCTGTTGCGCGCCGACACCGCGCCTCGCGGGAGGCCACAGCCTGGGGCCTGGGACCGCAGAGTTCTTGGTGGGTGAAAGCCGGCGGCCAAGCTGCTCGAGCTGCGGGAAGGGAACCCTTGGGCAGCGGCTGCTGCAGAGCTGCTCTGGGAGTGGGCCAGGAGGCCCCGGCAGGGTGCGGCGCCTCCGCTGGGGCCTGGGAAGCCGCGTCCCGGCCTCCGCCCTCCACCCTTTAGCACAGGTCTACTTTGAACCAGCTTCCGTGTGCCCAGCCAGGCCAACGAAAGTCACCTCTGACCTTTCATCAGAATAAAATAAAAAGCCAAAAGACCACCCATGCACAGAATGACAATGGCAGGGGCAGGAATGGGGAGGAAGTTAGGTTACATCTTAAAACTAGGTGTTTCAACGAATCCCTTATTTACAAATCCCATTGCGGCGTGCCTCAAAGTTTTGACTTCGCCTGGGAGACATTTCTTAGGCCAGAAGTTTTGTTTTGGGGGCTCAAACAATTCGGGAGTATATCCCATTCTTCCAGCTTGAGACTGCCACGTTTCCTGTGAGGTTTTCCTCTCTGTTATTCTGGGACTATTGAAAGAGAAAAGAAAGAAGGCGGAGGGGACCCTGACACGGGAGTTATAAATCTGGGGGAACTTTGGGGTCTGGCTTCCTTGTCCATCTCCAGGTGATCTGAAGCCCCGGCCCCAACCTAGTTTAGCAGCAGCGAGTTACCCGGCCAGAAGAAGGGCCTGGGATCCCAGGGGTTTCTTCAAAGCACCTCCTCTCTCTTTCTCACCTGCCTGAAAGGCCCAGTGTGCTTTTTAGGGGTGCCCTCGGTCCTGCTTTCAGGAGAGAGGTGAGGCCCAAAGCGACCTGCGGCGCCGGGTGGGCTGGCTCAAGGGTCAGCCTCTCCAGAAAGAGAGGAAGCTGTGGGCCATGAAGCTTCCCGGCACCCAGCCCCTGCCGTGGAACCCCCTCCTGCATCAGTGAGGTAAACACAGTGGTTTGGTTTGGTTTTCACAGTAAGGAGAAGGAGAGAAAGAGCAGAGATGAGGAGGCACAGTTTTCATCCAGAAGGGAACCTTGGTTCACAAAGGAAGCTGTGAACGAAGTGGAGACTGGAGAAGGTGGGGGGGGTTCGTGTAAATAAACAAGGGGGCGGGGCTTTTCTGCCAAGGCCCTGATCCCAAGGGAGACCCCAATTAAGGCCCTGGACACCGCCCTGAAGACCCTTCTTCATTAAGATGGCGCCTGGGTTCCTTGAACCCTAACTGTATTGTGAGGGCTTCATCCCCAGTAGCACCTACTACCGGCGTTGCCAAGCCGGGAACCTAGCAAGGAATAGTCTTGACAGGCCTTTGGGATACCAGGACTGGGAGACCCCCCAGGCCCAGGCTCACTGCTGTCACCAGAATCATATCTATATATCCAAGTGCCAAAACACATCCACTCAAAGACATCCGGGCCGAGTTTGGTGCTTATTTTAAATATGCTAATAGGGGTCCAACCATTGACAAAGTATTGGTTTGGCAATAATGGAAGTTTATAGAGAACCACTAAAACCTGTATAAGAGGAATAATAAATTAATGATGATATTTTGGTAACCCTCTCAACATGAAGTCATGCTCCTAGTTTCCAGGATGATAGAAAAGGCTGTAGTTGTTTAGCCTGTATCCCACTTAAGTGAACCCTGAGAAAGACGAAGAGAAGCAATGAGGAAGGAGGGTGGTGTTGATATTCTTAAAATAAAAGTAGAAAGAAAACAACTTGGAATGAACCACTTGATTATATTTTGGAGGGAAGTTGAGAACAGAGTTAAGGGCCAAGGTTAGGATGAAGCTACGTTAGCTATCATCCCAAGGAGAACAGGCCTTCCCATAAGGGCCGGGACTGGCACAGTTGGCATCTGGCACTTAGGAAGCCTGTCAGAAAGGCTGGCTTGTGGTCAATTATCTCCTTAAGTAGACTGGCATTAGTCCAGCCAGGGAGGAGGACTAGTTGCATCCATAGGAATCAGAGCCAGTTAGCTGGAAGTGGCACTGCTGAATTCCAAGCATCTTTGCATTGAGCAGTTTAGAAGGCTGATCAACACATCTCCTCCTGGGATTCAAAGGTGACATTTGCCTGCTTGGCACTAGTACAGGAAGACTCCAGCTGAGTGTGGAAATAGAGTGCCTTAGGAGAAGCAACACTGATCATTAAAGCCACTGATTCTCCTCAAATTCCATTCATCTGACAAAATTGCCATTTTCATTCCATTTCATTCCAATGCCATTTCATTTTTCATTGTATCTAACTATGAAATGGGAAGAAAGGATAGCCTGGGGACATGTTCAGGCTTGGATGATGTGGCAAGGACTTGAAGAGGTATTTGTGTTAACCAGATTGTGTGTCTGTGAGTCTGTGTGGGAGTGCAAGAGCAGGGTGGAGTTAGCGTTGAAAATGGAAAACTAAAGAAATAGTTGCAAAAGCCAGGGATAAGCTAACCTCTTTTGGGTTTAAAGGCAGAGTGAGGATCCAAGTGTAGCTGGGAAGACCTTGAATTCCAGAGGACAAAAACAATTTCTTCAAGTCCAGCATTCCCCATTTTGCTCATTCGAAGTATTTACATTAACTTTATCTTACAAAGTTGAAAAGCTACCTTATATCCTTTGGGGGAGATTAAAGAGATCTGCTTGGGATTTTAATTCAGTCTTAAACCATTGTTTAAATGGTATGAGTCTGGCAAAACTTCAGCTATACTCTGTCCCAAGCACTTTTCCCCTTTAACTATTCCCTGTGTGTTTTAAGGAAAATTCAAGCCACATGTTTCTCTTTCCCCCTTGCATCCAAATGTAGTTTTATTGAATTTTAGCACAGTCCACGAAATTCAAATTCTGAGTTTTAAGCCATAATATATTCATATGATCTATACTCAGTCACATGATAAGCACATATATTATTAAGCAGAAAATAAAGCATCTGAGAACTACAGTTATATGATTATAGTAACATTTCTTTAGACTGAAGAGCCACACTGGATGCCACATTAAAAAGGATGTTATAAAATTATCAAACACTTTTTAAAAGCTAACATAGTGATTCATGAAAACATTTTAAAAGAATATTGGAAGGAGGTTCTTTTTGTATTTAATTTAATCCAAACAGTTCTTTCCTGACACAAGGAACAGTGTCTTTTGTATACCTGAGACATCCAAGCTTTGCTCATAAGTCACTGACCTCATAACTGCAGCATCATTTTTAAAAGGAGTTAAAATTTGCTATCCGATCTGAGACACTGCCAGTCTTGTCAACACCTTCCTGGACAACATGTTTCTACTGTTACTGCAGAAGGATACCTGGGAAGAAAGGAGCTAGGGAGCTGAGGTCCAGGACCAGCTAAACTAGATTTATTCCAGAAAGGTTTCACAAAGCTGAAACACACAGATTTAAAAAGGAAGGAAAGAGGGAAGGAGGGAGAGGCAGAAATGTGCCTCCAATACTAACCAAGCAAAAATAAAATTAAATTACAATTTCCTTTTTCTTTTTTTTTTTTTTTGAGACATAGTCTTGCTCTGTCGCCCAGGCTGGAGTACAGCGGCGCAATCTTGGTTAACTGCAAGCTCCACCTCCCGGGTTCACGCCATTCTCCTGCCTCAGCCTCCCAAGTAGCTAGGACTACAGGTGCCCACCACCATGCCCGGCTAATTTTTCTGTATTTTTAGTAGAGACAGGGTTTCACCGTGTTAGCCAGGATGGTCTCGATTTCCTGACCTTGTGATCCTCCCTCCTTGGCCTCCCAAAGTGCTGGGATTACAGGTGTGAGCCACCGCACCTGGCCTAAATTTCAATTTTCTAACCTAATGCCATTGTTTTGGTTTTCTCTCAGGAAGCTATAGATCAATTATTTCAATGTATATTACTATATCTATGACACTAAAGAGAGTAAACTATGTAACTCTCAGCCTCATTTATTGCCTAAAAAGATGAGGCTTTAGTCTGCCTGCGAATTCCTCAGGATGAGGATTCTGTGACATTAACTTTGTTGTAATTTATTTTATAGGAATTAACCTAAATCCCCATAGGGAAATGTTTAAATAAATTATGCTATTTGCATACTATGGAATATCATGCAGTCATTATAAGTAATGTTTATGAAAATTTACTTCTAGTAGAAAATGATTATGAAAAAAAAAAAAAAGACCAGGCACAGTGGCTCACACCTGTAATCCCAGCACTTTGGGAGGCCGAAGCAGGCGGATCACCAGGTCAGGAGATCAAGGCCATCCTGACCAATATGGTGAAACCCTGTCACTACTAAAATACAAAAAAATTAGCCAGGCATGGTGGCACACACCTGTAGTCTCAGCTACTCAGGAAGCTGAGGCAGGGGAATCACTTGAACCCAGGAGGCAGAGGTTGCAGTGAGCCAAGATAGTGCCACTGCACTCCAGCCTGGTGACAGAGCAAGACTCCATTAAAAAAAAAAAAAAAAGATTATGAAATCCTATTGAGGAAAAACTATTTAATAGATGCAGTACGGTCTCAACCCTGTAACATACATTGAAAAGATACTAAAGAGCACTATACCAAATATTAACAGTAATGTCTTTAGGTTGGTGAAATGTCATTTTTTATGTGTGTTTTCCATATGTTCTAGGTTGTTTTAGATTATCTGCACCAATTAGGTTTTATTTTAATAATTAGGAAAATAATTACTCAAAAATATATTCAGCCAATATAACTGGCATTTTAACAAAATGTGGATCTTTTGTTAAGTTTTTAATTTTAATTTTTTTTTTTGAGACAGAATCTCACTCTGTTGCCTAGGCTGGAGTGCAGTGGCACGATCTCGGCTCACTGCAACCTCTGCCTCCTGGGTTCAAGCAATTCTCCTGCTTCAGCCTCCCAAGTAGCTGGGATTACAGGTGCCCACCACCACACCTGGCTAATTTTTGTATTTTAGTAGAGACGGGGTTTCACCATGTTGGCCAGGCTGGTCTTGAACTCCTGACCTCAGATGATCCACCCACCTCGGCCTCCCAAAATGCTGGGATTACAGGCGTGAGCCACTTCACCCAGCAGATCATTTTAAAATAGTAGTTTAAGTCTAGGGGGATGGGTGAAGAGCTGACTGATTGAAATATAAAACCAAACAGCAGCAAAGACACATGGAACCCTGCACAGCTTGCTATCTTCCCGCTGTGCCTTGCACCACAGCCCCCATTGCAGCCAGCCCTTCAGGAAGAAAATGAGGCTACCGCTTTACTTCAGGAATTTTCTGAGAATCACTGTGCCATAGAGCTGGAAAGAAGAAATGTTAAGGGGTTAAAATCGAGCTCCAGGAGAGAAAGACCAATTTTGCCTGTCCTTTGTTTTTGCTCTGTCCAGGTCCCCAGCCAATTGGATGGTGCCCACCCACACTGAGGGTGGTCTTCCCCACTTAATCTACTCAGATTCACATGCCAATCTCCTCTGGAGACACCCTCACAGACACACCCTAAAATAATGCTTTAGCAAGTCTCTCGGTATTTATCCCCTAATCCACTCAAGTAGACACCTAAAATTAACTATCACAGCACAGAACTTCTCAAAGTGTGGTCTGGGTTCCAGCAACATCAGCCTCACCTGAGCGCTTGCTAGAAGGGCACACAGTCTCAGGCACCACTTGACATCTGCTGAGTCAGAGTCTTTGCTGGTGAGGCCCCAAAATGGCTTGGGGGCTTGCTGAAGAGTAAAATTCACGTCATTGTATTACTTCTTCTACTGGCTTCCTCTCTTTTCACCTTTTGTGTTTCATGAATTTTTAGTAGCCTTAAACCCTTTTTGAAATTAAGAAGATAATTGACACAAAGTTCTACATTCTACCAGGTTAGGCATTTCCTTGCAAATGAAAAATAATATACAGTTTTCCAAAATAGTACTGTACTTTTTATTAATTCTAGCTGGCAACTCTTTTTGTGGAATGGCAAGGTTTTCAAGGGGAAAAGTTTTAGATACTAGTTCTATTACTTTGATTAAACCTGTATTGTGTCTTCCCTATCTATGCCAAAATTGTTTTTTTTTTTTTTTAATTCAAAAAACCTACAGCTACTCACGATTATTGCATGTTTCAGAAGGGTGAACATCTCCCAACTTTTATGCCAGAAGCCTGATAACTTATTGAAAATGGTCACAGATAATTGAGATGTAGATTTTCAAGTAAGTTTCAATGGAGAACTAAAACTGTTGAAATTATAAGACTGAATTTCTAACCCAAAGGAAAAAGAGAATCCAAGTAAAACTAAATATATCCTGCTTTGGACAGGCGCAGTGGCTCACATCTGTAATCCCAGCACTTTGGGAGGCCAAGGTGGGCAGATCACCTGAGGTCAGGAGTTCGAGACCAGCCTGGCCAACATGGTAAAACCCCATCTCTACTAAAAATACAAAAATTAGCTGGGTGTGGTGGTGGGTGCCTGTAATCTCAGCTACTTGAGAGGCTGAGGCAGGAGAATCACTTGAATCCGTGAGGCAGAGGTTGCAGTGAGCTGAAACTGTGCCATTGTACTCCAGCCTGGGCAACAAGAACAAAACCCCATCTCAAAAAAAAAATTAAAAAAAAAATGAAAAATCCTGCTTTACTAGCTTGAAATACAAAATAGATCTTCTTTCTTTCTTTCTTTCTCTCTTTCTTTTTCTTTTCTATTTTTTTTTTTTTTTTTTTGACGGAGTTTCACTCTTGTTGCCCAGGCTGGAGTGCAATGGCGTGCTCTCAGCTCACTGCAATCTCCGCCTCCCCGGTTCAAGCAACTCTCCTGCCTCAGCCTCCAGAGTAGCTGGGATTATAGGCCTGTGCCACCACACCCTTCCAATTTTGTATTTCTAGTAGAGACGGGGTTTCTCCATGTTGGTCAGTCTGGTCTCCAACCCCCAACCTCAGGTGATCTGCCTGTCTCAGCCTCCCTAAGTGCTGGGATTACAGGTGTGAGCCATGGAGCCCGGCCTGATGATATTTCTTTAATATACAAAAAAGTTGCTTTCTCATTCCAGTTACTCCTAGAAATGTATTCCTTGTCAGAGAACTCCAGAGGCCGACTCAGACCTAGTTATGCCCACCTCTTAAAGAAAAATTGAGGTCTATTAGATCTAGTAACATTGCCTTTCAAATTTTAAGTGCATATGAATCATCTGGAGAGGTTTTAAAACACAGTGTTTTGGGCCCCACCTTCAAAGACTCTGACTCAGCAGATGTGGAGTGGTGCCTGAGACTGTGCCCTTCTAGCAAGCACTCAGGTGAGGCTGATGTTACTGGAAGCCAGACCACACTTTGAGAAGTTCTGTGCTGTGATGGCTAATTTCGGGTGTCCACTTGACTGGATTAGGAAATAAATACTGACAGGCCTGGTAAAGCATGATTTTGAAGTGTGTCTATAAAGGTGTCTCCAGAGGAGATTGGCGTGTGAGTCTGAGTGGACTAAGTGGAGAAGACCCACCCTCGATGTGGGCGGGCACCATCCAATTGACTGGGAACCCAGATAGAACAAAAACATATCTATCTATGGTAGGTCAATGACAACTGCAGCCTCAGATTTTCACCTTTCCCTGCATTCTTGCCCCCTACAATGTCACTTTCTAGATCTTCACATCCAGAGGTGATTATTTTCTCCCCACCCTTGACCTGTGCCAGTCTTGTTACTTGCAGCTCAGCCAATAGAATGAGGAAGAGGTTACAGTATGCTAGTTCTGAGGCTATGTTTCAAGAACCTTGCATGCTTCTGTTTCATCCCTTAGGTGCCTGCCACTGCCACAAGGACATAAGGATGAGTGACCACGTGGAGCAGAGTTTGGGTCATCCCGAACTCTTCTTTGCCAGGGGCAAAGAACTTGTAGAGGTCTTGTTTCTGCTAGTTACCTATGTCTTATAGCTCTAGCTCTCACAGAGTTGGTCCAACATATGGCTCATCTCAGTGTCTAATGCATACTGTCCTTTACCCATAAATAAACCAGTGCAAGTGGCAAATGTCAGTGTCTGGAAGATTTGAGTTTACCTTTAAAGCCATAGTCATAAAGTCAAGCCTTCTTCCTTCCTTGCCATAGTCATAAATTCAAGCCTCCTTCTTTCCTTCCTTCCTTCCTTCCTTCCTTTCCTCTTCCCCTCCCTCCCTCCCTCCTTCCTTCCTTTCTTCTTTTGAGACAAGAGTCTTGCTCTGTCTCCCAGGCTGGAGTACAGTGGCACAATCTCAGCTCACAGCAACCCCTGCCTCCTGGGTTCAAATTATTCTCCTGCCTCACCCTCCCGAGTAGCTGGGATTACAGGTGTGCACCACCATGCCTGGCTAATTTTTGTATTTTCAGTAGAGATGGGGTTTCACCATGTTGGCCAGGCTGGTCTTGAACTCCTGGCCTCAAGTGATCTGCCCACCTCTGCCTCCCAAAGTGCTGGGATTACAGGCGTGACCCACCATGCCTAGCCAAAGTCAAATATTTATCATTTCTATTTTAAAAATCCTTGTGTCATCCTTCTACCAAGAATTTCTGACTGGTTCTTTATCATTATCCACCCTAATCTCACAGGTTGTGTGGCCCTGGTGCTCTTGTTTGACTGTTTGATCTTCCCTTTCCTTTTCAGCCACTACCTTTGCCCATGACCCTATTCCCCTTCAACTTCTGCTAACTCCTGATTAAGGGCAGTTTAATTCTCTCTCTTTTCCTGTAATTCCTTAAGACCTTAACATTGGGACTTCACCTCAATGAAAGCGCTCCATTTTCCTAAAAAAGATAGCTCTTTTTACAAGAGAAACTGAAGTTTTCACCACTGAAATCACATTTGAAAATATAACTGTAAACACATATCCATTCCAATGCATTTATTTATTTATTTATTTATTTTGAGGCAGAGTCTCACTTTGCTGCCCAGGCCGGAGTGCAGTGGTGCGATCTTAGCTCACTGCAACCTCCACCTCCTGGGTTTAAGTGATTCTCATGCCTCAGCCTCCCAAGTAGCTGGGACTACAGGCAACACACCCGGCTAATTTTTGTATTTTTAGTAGAGATGGGGTTTCACCATGTTGGCCAGGCAGGTCTAGAGCTCCCAACCTCAGGTGATCTGCCCACCTCAGCCTCTGAAAGTGCTGAAGTTACAGGCCTGAGCCACCAGGCCTGGCCCAAACCATTTATTCAAGACTGTAGTTCTGGAACCATGCCAGAGGCTGACAACAAAACCTGTTCTCTATTGTGCCAATTATTAAGCTATTGCCTCTCACTTGCAACCCCCCCCTTTCCTACTCTGCTCTAAGATGCTGTGACTAGGACTCTGCAAACTACATTTCTGCTTTGCCAGCTTGCTGTGTGTTAGATTCTGATAATACGGGGCTCAAGTGGGAGTCAACGAGTGCAAAGAAGGAAGAAACTTGCTCCTTTCTATTTGTTTCTTCTGGAGCTTCCTTCTGCTTGCAATTCCTGGAAGCATCACACTGGCAATGTTTCTTCGCCCTAACAATAGCAGCTTCTTCCCATAGCAGCAGCTGAACTCAGGTGGAAGTCTGCCAATACTTGGAGCACTAGCTTTATCCTGCCCCCATCTCAGAGAAAACAGCACCAGTCAGCAGGTGCCCCTGAGGTTCTGAGGCTTAGCTCCACTGGGTCCTCCTCTAACTTTCTAAATATTAATAACTCCAGCTTCTTCCTTTTGTACTCTCTGCCCTAGGGATGGATGGTTGCTGCTTTTTACAGTTGCTACATCTGTGATACATTAGACTTCTCTTTTTACCCTTTCAGTTTCTTCCACCTTTACACCTAGTTAATCCATTATATTAAATTCTGTCAGTAAAACTAACTGGAGAGGTTTGTGTCTCCTGGCCAGAATTTGATACATCTATCATCAAGGACCTGCTGGTCTGAAGCAGAAGACTGTCTCTTCCGAGAAAGGTGTATGTCAAAGGAAGTAGAGGAGAACGTGGATGAGAAAGTTAAAGTTCAAATTTATCCTGGGAAACAATAGGTGTAGACATAGATATGTTCATACATACCAACCAAGGAAAATATTTTAGAATTTCTTCACTTTTGCGAATATTAAAGTGTACTCTTTAAAAATAACTGTTAAAGCATGGCATGACCTTGTGTCTTTTCTGCATGACTTTCTTGCAACTTGGCTTTGAAAAATTGAATCTTGCGCCGGGCACGGTGGCTCATGCCTGGCCAATATGGTGAAGCCCTGTCTCTACTAAAAATATAAAAATTAGCTGGGTGTGGCGGCACGCCCCTATAGTCCCAGCTACTCGGGAGGCTGAAGCAGAAGAATCGCTTGAATTCGGCAGGTGGAGGTTGCTGTGGGCGGAGATCACACCCCTGCACTCCAGCCTGGGCGACAGAGCGAAACTCCATCTCAAAAATAAAAAAAAAATAAAAAAGAAGAGAGAAAGAAATAAAGAAAGAAAAATTGAATCTTTGTACGATAGATTCTGCAATCTCAATGTGACAGACCCAATCCAGGAACAATTTGCCAGGGTGAGGCTACTCCAGACCACACTATTTAGCTTCTGTCCTTCAATAACAAGGGAACAAAAAACTCAATTCTCCCTGAGAAGGTAGGAGACTAGAGAGCAAAGTGGTAAAAACTTCAACATTGAGTACAAAGCAAAACAAATCAAATAGGTCAAAGGTAAATAGAATGTTTCTGACTTTGACAAAACATAAGTACAGTCAGCCCTCCATATCTGTGGATTCTGCATTCATGGATTCAACCAACTGCAGATCAAAAATATTCAAAAAAATTATGTCTTCACTGAATATGTACAGACTTTTCTTGTCACTATTCCCTAAACAGTGCAGTATAACAACTATTTACATGGCATTTACAGTGTATTAGGTATTATAAGTAACCTAGAGATAAATTAAAGCACACAGAAGGATGTACATAGGTTATATGCAAACACTGTACCATTTTGTATCAGAGACTTGAGCATCCTCTGATTTTTTTTGTACAGATTTAAGGGGTACAGCAAGTACAATTATGTTACATGAATATATTGTGTAGTGGTGAAATCTGAGCTTTTAGTATAACCATTGTCCAAATAACAACTTTGGATTTTGATATCCAAGGGAGTTCCTAGAACCAATCCCCCATAAATACCGAGGGATGATTATATATTGAATGTTTTATATATGATTTCATCATTATATATTGATGATTATATATTGAAGATTATAGATTTAAGATTATATATTGAAGACTACTTACAATAGTCAATAATTTATTGAGCTTCTATGAGTTAAATGCTTTACATCTCAAATCCCATGTAAACTCATAACAACTCTTTAGTTAGGTGCTTTCATTATCCTTAATTTACAGATGAGAGAACTGAGGCATAAACAGTTCAAGGAGCTTTTTCAAGGCCATGCAACCAGTAAGTAGGTGAGAATAAGAACCTAAGTTTGTCTGGTATAAAGCCAGAGCTCTTCACCGGGAGATACTGATTCACCTTAAGTTCTTTAAGAGTGTTACATAAAATAATAGCAAGTTGGAATAAACATACTTCAAGGAAGTTTACAGTTTCCTATTATATCAGCAAAGCCATGTTTAGAATAGTAGTTTTGAAATAGTATTCAAATGCTTTCCAAACCAAACACCAAATGAAGGAACTCAAGAGAAGTTCGAGAATTATGAGGTCCATGCAAGATTTAACTTAAATGACAGCAAGCTGACACACTACATATTATTTTACTGGTTTGATATTAATATTTACGGAAACTTTTTCAATGTTTCTTGAGATGTCTTTTTCATCTTTGTCTCTTCATTAACTAGTATAATACCTGACCCATGATGCATTTTTAATAAAGATTTGTTGAAGAGAAAGAAGAATTTGGTCAATTCATATCTCCATCATGATTTAATGAATATTCAAATGCGTAGACTCTCAGCCTACATGGTTAATTTTTAAAACTTAGGTAACTAAATCTTAGTTAGCCTGAATGGCCTTAAGAGAGATTCACAGAGAGTCAACTACTTTGCCAAGGTCATTTAGCGAGTGTGTGATGGAACCAGGATTGGAACTCAGGGCTGTCAAACTCAAATCCAGCTCTTATCCAGTGTTCAACTGCTTTGAATAGTCTCTTCTCTCTGTTTCTTAATTTTCACATCTGTAAAACTGAAAAAATAATGTCTACTTAATTAGATTTTATTTACTCAATAAATAAAGTCAAGTATGTTGACAATTAAAATTGAAATTCATATTTTCAACAACCAGTTGAGAAACGTTTCTTAGTAATTGGAGACAGATTGCAAAAACTGTCTTTTTTTCTTTTTTCTTTTTTTTTTTTTTTGAGACAGAGTCTCGATTTATCGCCCAGGCTGGAGTGCAGTGGCGCGAACTCGGCTCACTGCAAGCTCCGCCTCCCAGGTTCACGCCATTCTCCTGCCTCAGCCTCCCGAGTAGCTGGGACTACAGGCGCCTGCCACCGCGCCCTGCTAATTTTTTTTGTATTTTTAGTAGAGACAGGCTTTTACCTTGTTAGCCAGGATGGTCTCGGTCTCCTGACCTCGTGATCCGCCTGCCTCGGCCTCCCAAAGTGCTGGGATTACCGGCGTGAGCCACCTCGCCCAGTGAAAAAACTGTCCTAACATTAATATGATTTAGTAAAGGATGCCAGATGAAACAAGGAAATTGTTTTGGACAATATTTTAAAAACTAGATCCAGACAGTGTTTCTTACAACTTTTCAGAGCTGTATGATGACTTTAAAATCATATTTATAGAAACAATTTCCTGGCTTTAAAATTAATTTTGGCATTATACGGTATTTACTTTAAAGTAAATTTTCTTTGTTTCAAAAACATCAAAAGCATATTAAAAGAAACACTGGGCTGGGCGCGGTGGCTCACGCCTGTAATCCAAGCAATTTGGGAGGCCGAGGCGGGCGGATCACCTAAGGTCGGGAGTTCGCGACCAGCCTGACCAACATGGAGAAACCCTGTCTCTACTAAAAATACAAAATTAGCTAGGCATGGTGGCGCATGCCTGTAATCCCAGGTACTTAGGAGGGTGAGGCAGGAGAATCGCTTGAAACCCAGAGGCAGAGGTTGCGGTGAGCGGAGATCGCGCCACTGCACTCCAGCCTGGGCAACAAGAGCGAAACTCAGTCTCAAAAAAAAAAAAAAAGAAAGAAAGAAAGAAAGAAAAAAGAAACATTGTAAAATGATTTGAACATTATTTAAAATGAACTTTTAGAATATACCCTAGTAAGAAGGCAAAACTCGAAATTGACTGTATAATCAAAAGTCCACATGAAAATGGATTCGGCCGGGCGCGGTGGCTCAGGCCTGTAATTCCAGCACTTTGGGAGGCCGAGGTGGGTGGATCACCTGAGTTCAGGAGTTCGAGACCAGCCTGGCCAATATGGCGAAACCCCATCTCTACTAAAAAAACAAAAAATTAGCCGGGGGTGGTGGCACATGCCTGTAATCCCAGCTACTGGGGAGGCTGAGGCAGGAGAACTGCTTGAACCTGGCAGGCGGAGCTTGCAGTGAGTGGAGATCATGCCACTGTGCTCCAGCCTGGGCAACAAGAGTGAAACTTCGTCTCAAGAAAAAAAAGAAAATGTGTATTCAAACAAGATGATGAGTACCTACTTGCCATATAAATCACAACTGCTTTCAACACCCCAGGTACACCTCTTTCTCTGTCTCTCTCTCTCTCTCCCCCCAACACACACCCCAAGGAAGTTGATTCTTTCTGTATCCAACTAATGAATTTAGCCTTCCTTCAAAGCCCAACTTAAAAGCAAACTCCTACCTGATATATTGTAGGATGTAGAAGAGCAAATATTTCCTTTCTTTCTTCCAAAAAGTAATCTCAATTTTCCTCCATTGTCCTCTACTCTCTGTTCTTAATCTCCTCTTTCCTAATTTTTTTTTTTTTCTGACAGAGTCTCACTCTGTCCCCAGGCTGGAGTGCAGTGGCGTGATCTTGGCTCACTGCAACCTCTCCCTCCCGGGTTCAAGCGTTTCTCCTGCCTCAGCCTCCCGAGTAGCTGGGGCTGCAGGCATGCGCCAACCACGCCCAGCTAATTTTTGTATTTTTAGTAGAGACAGGGTTTCACCATGTTGGCCAGGATGGTCTTGATCTTTTGAACTCGTGATCCACCTGCCTCAGCCTCCCAAAGTTCTGGGATTACAGGCATGAGCCATCGCGCCCACCTCCTCATTCTTAAAGCATGTGGTGAAAACCGTGGTACAGCATGCTTTGATTTGGATTGGACACGTACTGGCTCTCCTGACAAAATGGAACTGGAGAATAGTATGACCTTCACTTTTATGGAAATCTTCATATTCCTTACTGCATGGTGTTTTCCACTGTGTGTGTGTGTGTGTGTGTGTGTGTGTGTGTGTGTGTAACAGATTTACCCTTTGTAGGTCTCCTCAAAGCTGATTCCTCCAGAGTTAGGTAAAGTCTTTCTTGTCCGACTCTATTTGTATCTTCCATGTCCTTCCATTCCATGTCCTGCAACATGAAATTATATGGGACTCAGGGCCTCCCTCCCAAATTCTTGCAGCCATTTTCATCATTCATTTTAAGACATAACGGGGGCTTTACCTGTAGGTGGGCAACTTGCTTCACAGCAGATTTAAATTGACCAGAAGGATCATTCTAAAGTTCAAATTCTAGACATCTCGCCATGAAAAATGTTGGCCTTTGTGAACACCATCTAAAGGGCAATATGGTGAAATGAGATGAGCTTGAGGTTTGAATTCCATCTCTGAAATTTATACCTTAATCACTTTGATGATAATAATTAAGTATTTCTAGTCTGACATGAATCCTCAAAACAACTGTTTGCAGTAGCTCCTATTCTCCATTCCCACTCCCATTTCATAGGTAAAGAAACTGAGGCTTAGAGAGTCCATTTTCCTCCCACAATCACACAGCTAGTTAATGATTGTGTCAGGACTGGAACTCAAGGCAATGAAACTCAAGCCCCAGTTCTTAACCTCAATTTTATATAGCTTCATAAGTTCCATAACTTATTTCTCAGTTTTCTTACCTTAAAAATTGAACAAATAATTGTACCTCATTGGGTGGTTGAAGTAGCAACACAATAAATATTAGCTTCCTTTCACTGGAACTGTGGAATTGCTAAATCAATTTGAATCAAGACCTTTGGTAGAAACAAGTGAACATTATAGGTAATGCCCTGAATTTCATCCTCTGTTTTTCCAAGTAATTATAGGCTTCCCAATGACCCAGGTGCTTCTTGGTTGCAGATTTGAGTCTCCTACAAAGAGCAGGCTTCAGAAATGCCTTCGTTGGTCCTTAGCAATTTAAACACCTTTGCTGTGAGGGATTGAGGACTTTTAAAAGAGCACTTCTCACATTTTGTTGACAATAGCTTTTCCCTTTACGAATAGAAACAATTGTGTAAATTTACATATGTATCAATCTGAGCAGGGTTAGCTGTGTATTAACTTGGGGCAAGGAAAACTTAAGTCTAGAAAAGGAAATTGTCTTTAGTTTAACAAAGGAGAGGAAATTTACTCCTACTCCCCACCAAGAAGAAGAATGGACAAAGAAAGTACAAATGACCTATAGCCACATGGCTAAACCCCTTTCTCCTTTCCACAACAAAAGATCAACATCCAGTGACAATATTATGATGTTGATTTTGTTTTATACTGATGTATCATCAATTTTCATTTCTTTTTTTCTCTTTTCACATCATGTGAGATAAAGCCAATGATTGTGTACTTTTGATGAATCACAATGGCCTTTTTAATCTTTTGTTCTTCCCCTTATTATTCAACTAAGACAACATAGAGCCATTTCCAAGAGTTTACACAAGCCTTTTTTTTTTTTTTTTTTTTTTGGTTTCCCATGCTGTAAGTTGAAAGACCTGAGTACTAGTGTCTGCAATTCCTTTCTTCCTGATACTGAGAAAACAACAGAACTTCTCCTAAGCTTTAGTTTCCTTATTTACATTAATCAATTCCACATTTATCAAGCACTCCTTATGTAGCAAACACTGTGTTGTTGGGAGTTGTGCAAATAATGCTGCTCTATTTACCCCCACAAAATCACTGCAAGATGAAGTGTCCAAACACTCGGTCCAGCACCAAAAGTTGATAATTATCTTGTTCTAAGAAGGTCAGGTGAATGAAAGCTCTTTGTAGACTAAGTGTGCTACAGATGCTAGTGATGGGGATGGTGGTAATGAGGAAAGTGATGCCGGTGACGATGAGGAGGGGGGATGCTGTGAATAGTATCCATCCAGTGTTAGGAAAGTATTGATGCTACTGCTCTAGATTCATTGCAGATTTCAAAGTGGCAAACAAAACTTTTACGGGCATGGAAATGGAGTAGGAAATGGTAGACCTTTTTTTTTGCCTTGATCTAACAGAAGGTTGCTTCATGGAGCCTATAAGCCTATAGCACGTACATTAACATTATGTTCAAGTTCTCAAGATCAGATTCCTGGGATATCTCTTCCACATGCAACATTAACATTCTTCTTGACATATTTTATAAAGTGCCAGCCAGAGTGAGACAGAAACTCAGATATCTAAGAGCCTACTGAATTATTTGTAATCCTCGAAGCTGCCAAATGAAATTTATAGGTTGTAATATTTTCAGAGCATCTCACTAAAAATAACAATCCCAAGTCCGGGGGTGATGGCTCACGCCTGTAATCTCAGCACTTTGGGAGGCTGAGGCAGGTGGATCACGAGGTCGAGAGATCAAGACCATCCTGGCCAACATGGTGAAATATCGTCTCTACTAAAAATATAAAAATTAGCCAGGCGTGGTGGTGTGCACCTGTAATCCCAGCTACTCTGGAGGCTGAGGCAAGAGAATCCTTTGAACCCGGGAGGCGGAGCTTGCAGTGAGCTGAGATCGCACCACTACACTCCGGCCTGGGGACAGAGCAAGACTCCGTCTCAAAATAAAATAAAATAAAATAAAATAAAATAAAATAAAATAAAATAAAAAAGAATCCCAGAACTGATTACCTGCCCCTCCACACAGTAGGCATTATTTTTAGTACACTGAGCACTCTTTGGCATAAAAGATAAAAATGAGACACTTGACACTCACTACTAGTTTGTTCCTTGAGTCAAATAAGACTAAAATCTAGGATTTAGAAAATATTATTATTCTCAAAAAAAAGAAAGAAAATATTATTATTCTCTCTTTTTTACACATGATGTTGATACAGTTTCTAAAACAATCCCAAAGTCACTAAACTATCATTCTAAAATAAACATACTTGAGATTTCTGAATTTCTAAATTTAAAATATATCTCATATTAATACTAAAGTCAAGACTTAAGACTCTATAGCCCAATATCTATTTCACTTTTTAAATGATTGGTCATTGTGGATACAGTCTGGTGAGAATCTAAAATAGGCACAGTGGACCCCAGGTCTCCAAGATGACATCAGTCATACCAGTGAAGGACAAGAAACATCTGGAGGTCAAACTAGGGGAGCTGCCAAGCTGGATCTTGATGCAGGATCGAGTCATTGCCGCAGGGATTCAAAGAGGTTACTACTGGTACTACAACAAATACATCAACGTGAAGAAGGGGAGCATCTCGGGGCTGACCATGGTGCTGGCAGGCTACATGCTCTTCCGATACTGCCTTTCCTACAAGGAGCTCAAGCACAAGCGGCTATGCAGGTACCACTGAAGAAGGGGACACGCTCTGCACTCCCCACCATGACCTTCTTGGCCCAAGCCCCACCATGAGGAACACAATCTTGATCGTTGCTGAATCCTTTCATATTCTAATGGGAATTAACCTCCAAATAAAAGATGACTGGTTATATATATATGTGTGCGTGTGTGTATATATATATATATGTATATACATATATATATACACATATATATATGTATATACATATATATATACACATATATATATATGTATATACATATATATATACACATATATATATATATATATATACACATACGCACACACATATATATATATGAGTTAAGGCCAGGCACGGTGGCTCACGCCTGTAATCCCAGCACTTTGAGAGGCCAAGATGGGCGGATCACTTGAGGACAGGAGTTTGAGGCCAGCCTGGCCAACATGACGAAATCCCATCTCTACTAAAAAATACAAAAATTAGCCAGGTGTGGTGGCGTGCGCCTGTAGTCCCCACTACTCCAGAGGCTGAGAGGTAGGAGAATCGTTTGAACCCAGGAGGCGGAGGCTGCAGTGAGCCAAGGTGGTGACACTGCATTCCAGCCTGGGCGACAGAGCAAAATTCTGTCTCAAAATAAATAGATAAAATAAAATAAAAGTTAAAAATTATTTGGATAGATGCAAATTCAAATGCTTTGTGTTAGATGTGTGCATTTTCTGTTGCTGCTGTAATAAATTACCATAAACCTAGTGGCTTAAAATAATGCAATTTGTTCTTACAGTTTTGGAGGTCAGAAGTCCAAAAATCAGTTGTCCAGGCTAAAGTCAAAGTGTTGGCAGGACTGGCTTCTTCTGGAGGCTCTGAAGGGATAATTCACTTCCTTGCCTTTTCTAGTTTCTAGTGGTCCTCTGTATTCCTTGGTTTGTGACCTCCTCCTTCATCTTCAAGGTATGCTTCCATCATCACATCACCTTCTCATCTTCTTTTTTTTTTTTTTTTTCAGACGGAGTCTCACTCTGTTGCCCAGGCTGGAGTGCAGTGGTGCGATCTCATCTCACTGCAACCTCTGCCTCCCGGGTTCAAGCAATTCTCCTGCCTCAGCCTCCCAAGTAGCTGGGACTACAGGCATACACTAACGCACCCAGCTAATTTTTGTATTTTTTTTAGTAGAAACAGGGTTTCGCCATATTGGCCAGGCTTGTCTCAAACTCCTGACCTTGTGATTTGCCTGCCTTGGCCTCCCAAAGTGCTAGGATTACAGGCGTGAGCCACTGCGCCTGGCCCACCTTCTCATGTTCTGTAGTCAAATCTTTGATGGGGTTAAGGGCACACCACCCCAAAATATAGCACCTTGGCATTTGAGAAAATAGCAGAACCAGGAAGGTCACTTCACCTTTCACCACCCTTCCTCCATGATGCAAATCATAAAACCTAGGAAGAATTTTCTGATCTTCTCCTGAAGCATGTCATAAGATTCTTACTAAAGAGGTGCCCTCCCTATATCTGGGGGAAAGGAACTAAGACAGAGATGCCAAGAAGAAACTGAACAAACAGGCCTCACTAATTTCCCCTCAGTTGATTACCATTAGATCAGATCAGACCCCTTTTATCCAATCATACTTCTGCATGACTGTCCACTCTATTAAACCTAAGCACAGAAATACATGGGTTTCTCTCTTCCTTTGGGCCTTCATCATTTCCTTCTTGCTTTTTTTTTTTTTTTTTTTAGACAGAGTTTCGCTCTTGTTGCCCAGGCTGGACTGCAATGGCACGATCTCGGCTCACCACAACCTCTGTCTCCTGGGTCCAAGTGACTCTCCTGCCTCTGAGTAGCTGAGATTACAGGCATGTGCCACCATGCCTGGCTAATTTTGAATTTTTAGTAGTGATGGAATTTCTCCATGTTGGCCAGGCTGGTCTTGAACTCCTGGCCTCAGGTGATCCACCTGCCTTGGCCTCCTAAAGAGCTGGGATTTTTTTTTTTTTTTTTTTTTTTTTTTTTTTTGAGGTGGAGTCTGGCTCTGTCGCCCAGGCTGGAGTGCAGTGGTGCAATCTCGGCTCACTGCAAGCTCCGCCTCCTGGGTTCACGCCATTCTCCTGCCTCAGCCTCCGGAGTAGCTGAGGCTACAGGCGCCCACCACTACGCCCGGCTAATTTTTTGTATCTTTAGTAGAGACGGGGTTTCGCCATGTTAGTCAGGATGGTCTCGATCTCCTGACCTCGTGATCCACCCACCTTGGCCTCCCAAAGTGCTGGGATTACAGGCGTGAGCCACCATGCCCGGCCAGGGTCTTCAATTCCTTATGAGGGCTCCCATCTCACACAAACCTTATTAAGTAAATGTATATGCTTTTCTCCTGTCAATCTATCTTTTGATGGGGCCTCAGCCATGATCCTAGTGATGGGTAAGGAAGAGACTTCCTTTCCCCCACATTTGCCTCTGCCTTCCTCTTGTAAAGACACTTACGATAACGCTTAGGGCCTGCAGGATAACCTCCCCATTATAAGATAGTTACTTTAATCACATTTACAAAGCCCTTTTTATTATACAAATTAACGTTTTCAAGTTCTGAGAATTAGGAAGTGGGTATCTTGGGTGGGAGGGGACATTATTATGTCTACCACACCAGGTGAGTCACTCATTAATATGGGGCTTTTGTAGACCTTACCTAGATTTTCTACTCCATGAAAAAGGTAAAATAACATTTGATTTCACATCTAATCAAGATATTCATCACAGTAACTTCTACGGAGAACTCCAACTAGAGCACCTGACATTCAAGATTATGGGGCAGGACTAAAGGGGTCCCACAATAAATCTCACAGATTAATTGAAGGCAAGGTGATTTTGTATCCAAAGAAATCTGTTGCTTGCTTTCTATCTTCATCTCTTTAATTAAAGACACAGGCAAAGCTAACAGGAGTCAGCCTGTGTTGAAAAACTGAAGTAGGCTGGGTGCAGCAGCTCACGCCCGTAATCCCAGCACTTTGGGAGGCTGAGGCGGGTGGATCACCTGTGGTCAGGAGTTTCAGATCAGCCTGGCCAACATGGTGCAACCCTATATCTACTAAAAATACAAAAAAAGTTAGCTGGGCATGGGGCCGGGGGGTGCCTGTAATCCCAGCTACTTGGGAGGTTGAGGCAGGAGAATTGCTTGAACCCAGGAGGCAGAGGTTGCAGTGAGCCGAGATCACACCACTGCCCTCCAGCCTGGGCAACAGAGCAAGACTCCATCTCAAAAAAAAATAATTTTTTTTTTTGTAAAATTTCCCTAGTAACTGATGATGTTTAGCATGTTTTCATGTGCTTACTGGCCATATTTATGTCTTTTTAATTAAGGTGTTTGGTCAAATCTTTTGCAGTTAAAAATAATGAGTTTTTACTGAAAAAATAAATTTTAGAGATAGGGTCTGTCACCCAGGCTGGAGTGCAGCGGTGCGATCATAGCTCACTGCAGCCTCAAACTCTTGAGCCCAAGCAATCTTCCCTACTCAGTCTCCTGAGTAACTGGGGCTACAGGTCCATCACACCACTCCTAGCTAAATTTTTAATTTTTTCAGAGATGGAACTGGGGATAGTAAGTGGGGGGATAGGGAGATGTTGTGGAGGTCTTGCTATGTTGCTCAGGCTGGTCTTGAACTCTTGGCCTCAAGCGATCCATCCACCTCTGCCTCTGGAGTAGCTGGTATTACAGGCTTGAGCCACTGCACCCAGCTAGAGATACTTAATCTGGTTAAGAAAATGCAAATTGTACCACCAGAGAAAACTTCATTTTTCCCTTTGAAGTGAGGATTACAAGATAAGGATCATATATATATATATATATACACACACATATATAATTTTATTTTATTTTATTTTATTTTATTTTGAGATAGAGTTTCGCTCTTGTTGCCCAGGCTGCAGTGCAATGCGCGATTTCAGCTCACCACAACCTCGGCCTCCTGGGTTCATGCAATTCTCCTGCCTTGGCCTCCTGAGTAGCTGGGATTACAGGCACCTGCCACTATGCCCGGCTAATTTTGTATTTTTAGTAGAGACAGGGTTTTTCCATGTTCGTCAGGCTGGTCTCGAACTCCTAACCTCAGGTGATCATCCCGCCTCAGCCTCCCAAAGTGCTGGGATTACAGGCGTGAGCCACCGTGCCCGGTGGATCTTTCCAGTATTTAGGATCCCATTCCTTAAGTGGGGCTGGGAAAGAGGGGATGTAGGAATGGGGAGGAATCTGACTTCAACAATTGATGTGGGTTTGAGAACCTTGGATCCACCCCCTAAGTACTGACATGCAAAGAAACAGCATGAAAAGGAAAAAACATTTAAGGGTTGCTGGACCTCAGTGAAAAGGCAGAGGTTTATATGGTTTGTAATACATGAGGAGCTTCACATTTCCTCTTTCAAAGAAGAGGAAAACAGTAGCATTTTGTGTGTGTGTGTGTGTCTGTTTATTTGGAAGAGTTGATTCTCAGTCATTGATACTAAATGTAAATTCCAGAAGTTCAAATGACAATATCTGGTGACTCCTTTACAAACCATAGGACAGGAGTAGGCACCTGTCAGAAATAAGGCAAGTTTTAACTTTTTAAAAATTGTGCAGGATGTCACCGTATTTTCAAAGGATTTATGACACGTGCTCGAGTGATAAAGATCTGCTCATATAAAAGTTAACATAAAGCTCCATTTTCCATTGTTTTCATATGGAGAAAGTGTTTTGAATTCCAAAAAGTGTTTTTCCCCCAAACAATTTGAAATATCTCTGCCAACAATGGGATGGTACACTTCATTTGCCTCCACAGTTGTGTTCCTGAAATACAAATTACGTTTTTTATAACTCAAATTGAATATTAACATTCCCAGACTCCCCATTATGTAAAGAAATTGGTACATGTATGCTAAAAGCAGAGCATACATAGATTATACATTGTTTCAATAATAGAGAATAATAGAGGAACTGAGGCACAAGAGAATAAGTGACCCCAGAACACCAACAGACAATGATAGCTCTGGGAACAGACACAGGATTTTTGACTCCCAGCCAGAACCATGAAAAATATACCAACTTCCCTTCCTAAAGCAGAGCACATTTTTATGATTGACTATAGATTTAAAACCTTTAAAAAATGGTCTTTTTATCCTCTAAGGCATTGTTTCAAACATGAAGTACCTGGAAAATTATTTCAACTGTGCACTTTGTTGTGTCCTATGTTGACCCAGGCTTGATTATCAACAGGTTTTGTTTTGTTTTAATATTTGATTAAGTCTCCATCCTAGATGGAGTATTTAGATTTGCTACTTTTTAACTCATGGATTAGCTCTGCACTTGGGGAATCTTTGGACAGCATCAAACCCACCTACAGAATTCTGTGATTTAATTTCACTTATGAATTTAAAGGGCTTACAGCTGCCTTCACAGTTAAATGAGGATATACGGAGATGTTGCCCTCCCTGGCAGAGACAATTCCCCAAACAGCAGGACTTCTGCACTCTCAGGCATAGATAGTTTGACCAAGGAGAGTGAAACTAGCACACACAAACACAAACATGTCATCTGAGACTTTCAGAAAATGGGGATCCTGAGGGAAATCTTAGAGCATAAATTACTTCGCAGGCTTGTTTTTTTGTTTTTTGTTTTGTTTTGTTTGCTAGATCTTGGTTGAAAGAGATTTGTGTTCTTTCCAGATGCACAGCTGTGGAGTCTCTGGGGGAATTTCTTGCTCTTTTTCATTTTTGCATATCAACCAAAAACTGAGATCTAAGCACCAAATGTAATATCACAAACCCCACAGATGATGTGCGTGGGTTTTTCAAAGGAGACTAGACAGGGAGCTGATTAAAATCCAAGCTGGGGATTCTGAGGGCTATGCTGCACCACGGGTAGCAGGGTGAGAGGCAAGACAGCTGAACAGGTGGGATAAGGCCTTTGTTTTGTGGTTGTTTTTGTTGTCATTGCTGTTTGTTCAGTTCTCACTGTGGCTCTAACCGTTAGTATAAACTTGGCCAAATTAATGGGTCTTTTGTTATCTCAGTTACGCTGGTGAAATAAATATTTGTTACATGAAAAAAATTAATAAACAAACCATAGATTAATTTTTGCTTTACTTGTAATTAGGTATGTGACCTTAGCCAAGTGATTTGATCTCTACTCCTTTATTTCTCTATCTCATAAGTTAGTCTAAAATTTATCCTGGTTCCTTTTTTTTTTTGAGACAAGGTCTTACCCTGTCACCAGACTGAAGTGCAGTGGCACGATTATACCTCACTGAAGCCTCAACCTCCTGGGCTCAAGTGATTCTCCCACCTCAGGCTCCTGGATAGCTGGGACTGCAGGTGCATGCCACCACATATGGCTAGTTTTTCATATTTCTTGTGAAGACAGCGTTTCGCCATGTTGCGCAGGCTGGTCTTGAACTCCTGGTGTCAAGTGATCCTCCTGCCTCCGCCTCGCAAAGTGCTGGGATTCCAGGTGTGAGCCACCATGCCCAGCCTCCATACTTTTCCTTTCCCTGAAGGAAGAGGAGGAGTGAACTAAATATTCTCACCTTGCTTTTCTCCTTCCCTCTTGTCTCCTGGTAAGGCTCCTACTGGCCAAACCCAACAGAACACCATAAGGCAAGAGAATCGGTTTGTGAAATCCACACAGGTTTGCCTCCTGGGGAAGGCAGCAGGGTGGAAAAGGATGGAGAATGTACAGTGAGGAGCAAAGAACCCGGCCGACCTACTCTAGTGTTCACCAGAAAGAGCTGCAGTAGGGGCAGGGAGAGTGAGACTTACCCAGACATAAATGTTGATGTCACCGGGCATGGTGGCTCACGCCTGTAATCTCAGCACTTTGGGAGGCCGAGGCAGGTGGGTCACTTGAGGTCAGGAGCTTGAGACGAGCCTGACCAACATGGTAAAACCCCGTCTCTGCCAAATACAAAAAATTAGCCAGGAGTGGTGGCACATGCCTGTAATCCCAGCTACTTAGGAGGCTGAGGCAGGATAATCACTTGAAACCAGGAGGCGGAGGTTGCAGTGAGCTGAGATTGCACCATTGCACTCCAGCCTGGGCAACAAGAGCGAAACTCTGTCTCAAACAAAACAAAACAAAACAAAACAAACATAAATAAAATAAATTTTGAAGTCCAACAGTTAGCCCCAAAATACCTGTCCAAACACCAAGAGCCCTTAATACTTACCATATGTTTTGGTATCCTTTTTATCAACTCTTATCTATAAAATATCTATTTTTAAAGTAACTTTAAGAAAATGTCTTCCTTCATGCTCTAGTCTAGGATCTAGAAATTAACATGTTACTGTTTTTTGTCTAAAAACATTGTTTAAAATGTTCAGTGAAATGACCCGTGCAAGTTTCATCTCAAACCCATCATTTCAAACTAGGCTAAACTATGCTGCTACATTTACCAAGGCAGGATGTAGTCAATTACTAGCTTTCTCATTAAAGTACTGAGAACTTACAAAAAGAAAAAAACAATACTCTACAACCTTGTAGCACCCATTAACAAAGCACTTAGCAGCCTCATATCATTTTTTTTCTTTTCTTTTCTTTGAAGTGGAGTTTCGCTCTTGTTGTCCAGGCTGGAGTGCAACAGTGTGATCTCATCTCACCGCAACCTCCACCTCCCAGGTTCAAGCAATTCTCCTGCCTCAGCCTCCAGAGTAGGTGGGATTACACGAATGTGCCACCACACCTGGCTAATTCTGTATTTGTAGTAGAGACAGAGTTTCTCCATGTTGGTCAGGCTGGTCTCAAACTCCCGACCTCAGGTGATCCACCTGCCTTGGCCTCCCAAAGGGCTGGGATTACAGGCATCAGCCACCGCACCTGGCCTCATATCCTTTCTATTCAAAGCACTTTACCATTCTTTTATTAGAGATTCCGTTCATTATCTATTCAAAGTAGAGCAAAGTTTGTTTTGTTTCCTTTTCTCCCTTAAGTTACTAAGGAAGAAAGTTAATTTTGTCCTTAAGTTACTAAGTTTTAAGGGAAAACCCATTAGGTGACTGCCTAAGGTCATGCAACAGAACAAAGGTGAGAGATAGAAGAAATCTGGGAATATAATTAATGTTAAACAACAATAATACCTCAAATGGCAGCTTCTGAAACCAAGCTCAGGACTATGGCTAATGGAATATAGTTTCTACTGATTCAGAAAACAAATCGAATATGGGTTTTGAATGGCCAGAGAGCTCTCTAGTTACAGAGCTTGTATTAGTGAAAATAGGCTAAGCTATGCTGCTCTAACAAGCAGATTCTGATCTCAGAGTGGGTAACACACACAGAGCCATTTTTTTCTCCCCAACAAAATCTGCTGGAGAGTGGCCTCTTTCCAGGGCAGCTCCCATCCAAGTGGTAAGTCAGGTTTCTAAGCATTTCGTTTTTTAATTATGTCATCTGGAACATGTGACTTCCAAGTTGCCACAGCGGAGGAAGGGAGAGCTGGAAGGCTGCACTTAAACGCTTGAGCCCAGAAGTGACACACATCACTTCCACTTAACAGCCATTGGTCAGAACTAGTTACATGGCCCTACTTATAGGCGGGAGCTGGAAAGTGTGTCAGACCACATGATTTGTTGGTGAGAGATAAATGTCTCTGCTACAGTCCTATCTATAACTACTTATGTAGGCAGAATAGGGGTTGCAGAAGTGGATGAAGGAGACTCCTTAGGTACATAAGAAAAGGTTACTTTTTAGGCAGGGCGCAATGGTTCACGTCTATAATCCCAGCACTTTGGGAGGCCGAGGCAGGCTGATCACGAGTTCAGGAGATCGAGACCATCCTGGCTAACATGGTGAAACCCCAGCTCTTCTAAAAATACAAAAAATTAGCCGGGCGTAGTGGCTGGCGCCTGTAGTCCCAGCTACTCGGGAGGCTTGAACCCGGGAGGTGGAAGTTGCAGTGAGCTGAGATCGCGCCACTGCACTCTAGTCTGGGCGATGGATTGAGACTCCATCTCAAAAAAAAAAAGAAAGAAAGAAAAGAAAAGATTACTTTTTAGTAAAAGAGTCTTGTTCTCTCTACCTTCCCAGGGATCTGAACTTTCTTACAAAAGAAGGTTAAAATGGATGTGCTTATTAGTGTAACATTATTATTGAATATCATTCAGGGATGTAGCTAAAGGAAATATGAGGTAATGGCAAGAGCACAGGATTCAGAATCAGATACTATAGCCTCAACTCTACCATGTCACCATGAGGATATTGCTGATCTTCTTTGAGCATGTTTTCTTTTTCCTTTTTTTAGGGACAGGATCACACTCTGTCACCCAGGCTGGAGTACAGGTGGCACAATCATAGCTCATTGCATCCTCAAATGCCTGGGCTCAAGCAAACATCAGTTTTCTTATCTGTGAAATGAGGATAAAAATGTCTCCACTTAAGGGTTGTTGCAAGGAAGGTGTTGCCTTAGTCATAAAAGCTAGGGAAGGTGTTCCTAACGAAAAACAATTCGTCAGAGACATGAAGGTAGAGGAAGAATTCACACATGAAGGGGGCTGGGGAAAATGATTTAAGAAAAGAAACAGGCCTGGCGCAGTTGCTCAAGCCTGTAATCCCAGCACTTTGGGAGGCTGAGGAGGGTAGATCACCTGAGGTCAGGAGTTCTAGACCAGCCTGGCCAACATGGTGAAACCTTGTCTCTACTAAAAATACAAAAAATTAGCCGGGTGTGGTGGCAGGTGCCTGTATTCCCAGCTACTTGGGAGGCTGAGACAGGATAATTGCTTGAACCCAGGAGGCGGAGGTTGCAGTGAGCCAAGATTGCACCACTGCACTACAGCCTGGGCCACAGAGCGAGACTCTGTCAAAAAAAAAGAAAAAAAAAGAAACAGGCTCTGTGCTGAGAAGGACAACTTCAAGTAGAAAGACTGAAGGAAAGTTACAGTAGTGGTGTATAAGAGGGAGATTAAACATCAACCTTGCAAGCCGTGTTCAAAATTTTGGTCTTCATCCTAACAATGAAAGGAAGATCTTAATGGAGATCTCTTAGGTTCTAAATAAAGGGAATGATAAGATCTGACTTGTGTTTTAAAAAGATTTCCCAGGTTGCAGTGAAGAGAATCCATTAGTAGGGAAGAGTAATGTCAAAGATACCAATCAAGAGGCCATTGGAGTAAATCAACTGATGAGTTTGGATGAAGTAGGTGTAGAGAAAGATAAGATGAAGAAAGGTATTTAAAAGGTAAAATTAATAGGACTTGATGGGAAATGGGATATAGGGTATTAGGAAAAGGGAGGTGTCAAGAATTGCTGCTAGGTTTTTGGCTTGCTTAAGTGGATGAACAGTACATTATTCCCCGAAATTAACCCTGTAAGAAGATCAGGCTTGGGATATGGGAGGAAGATCAAGAATTTACTTTTGGACACATGCACATGTATGTTTATTGCAACACTGTTCACAATAGCAAAGACTTGGAGCCAACCCAAATGCCCATCAATGATAGACTGGATAAAGAAAATGTGGCACATATACACCATGGAATACTATGCAGCCATAAAAAGTGATGAGTTCATGTCCTTTGCAGGGACATGGATGAAGCTGGAAACCATCATTCTGAGCAAACTATCACAAGGACAGAAAACCAAACACTGCATGTTCTCACTCATAAGTAGGAGTTGAACAATGAGAACACATGGACACAGTGAGGGGAACATCACACACCGACTTGTCAGGGGGTGGGGGGAAGGGGAGGGATAGCATTAGGAGAAATACCTAATGTAGATGACGGGTTGATGGGGACAGCAAACCACTGTGGCATGTGTATACCTATGTAACAAACCTGCACATTCTGCACATGTATCCCAGAACTTAAAGTACAATAAAAAAATTTTTAATGATATATTTTTGCATTCCTTTACTTGCCACTTTTTTTTGTATATTTTTAGATGCATCCCCTATAAGCAGAATGTTATTGGATTTTGTTGTCTTTTTTAAACCAAGTCTGACAATTAAAAAGTTCACTTTCGGCTATGGTGAAATTTCGTTCCTTTGAGTAATTCAAGTGGAGATGACAGGAGTAAATATCTCTAATGTGTAAAATGCCTGATTTTCCTGGTGCACAGTACACAAAAATCAGTGACCATTATTATTGCCATTATTTTTATTTCTATTATGACTTTTAGGGACTTTCACAACTGGTGTCCAGTTTACCTGCTTAGACTAAAATAGTATTATTTGCTTTCAGTCATAATTTGCCATTCTATTTTCATCTATTCTATTTCAATTTACCAATTATTTATGGTCCAATTTAGATGTCACTCTCTCCATGCATAAAGCCTTTGCTTATTCTCAAAAAATCTTCAGCCTCTGAAATCCTGTAAAATTTTGTGGTTCTCAAATACTAGTTCCTGGCGTTATTCCAAATTGAGCTATCCTGACTGGAACCTCTTGTCCTTCTAGTTATTACACTCTCTTATCCCCTCCTAGACAAATTTTGGGTCTCCAGTTTCTACATTCCCTCTGTTTTCCCTATCAGCATCCCTCCCATCTTCCCTTTCTTCCTTACCCATTATTTCAACAACATTCTTGTCAATACTTTCAACCTCTTTGTTTTTCAGTCCTTCTATTACAATTGTCTAGCAAGGTCGGGCACATTGGCTTACGCCTGTAATCCCAGCACTTTGGGAGGTTGAGGTGGGCAGATCAATTGAGCTCAGGAGTTCAAGACCAGATTGGACAACATGGAAAAACCCCCATCTCTACTAAAAATACAAAAATTAGCTGGGCATGGTAGTGCATGCCTGTAATTCCAGCTACTCGGGAGCCTGAGGCAGGAGAATGGCTTGGACCAGGGAGGCGGAGGCTGTAGTGAGCCAAGATTGCACCACTGCACTCCAGCCTGGGTGACAGAGTGAGACCCCATTCTCCACTCCCCCAACAAAGAAAAAATTGTCTAGCAAAATCTAACCCTAGATTAAGCCAATCATCTACCACCTCCAGGATTTTATCTAGGCTTGTAAACACTGCTGGAGACATTCACACTATGATGAGAACAACTATATGGTACTGTTATTGGAAAGGGATCCTGATCCAGACCCCAAAAGAGGGTTCTTGGACCTCATGCAAGAAAGAATTCGGGATGAGTGCATAGATTAAAGTGAAAGCAAATTTAAGAAAGTAAAGGAATAAAAGAATGGCTACTCCATAGGCAGAGCAGCAGCATGGGCTGCTGGTTGGCTATTTTTATGGTTATTTCATGATTATGTGCTAAACAAGGGGTGGATTATTCATGAGTTTACTGGGAAAGGGGTGGGCAATTCCTGGAACCGAGAGTTCCTCCCGCTTTTAGACCGTATAGGGTAACTTCCAAACATTGCCATGACATCTGTAAACTGTCATGGTGCTGGTGGGAGTGTCTTTTACCATGATAATGCATTATCATTGGCATATAATGAGCAGTGAAAATGAGCAGAGGTCACCTTTGTCACCATCTTGGTTTTGGTGGGTTTTGGCCAGCTTCTTTACCACATGCCATTTTATCAGCAAAGTCTTTGTGACCTGTATATTGTGCTGAACTCCAGTCTCATCCTTGTGACTTAGAATGCCTAACCTCTTGGGAACACAGCCCTGTAGCTCTCAGCCTTATTTTACCCAGCCCCTATTCAAGATGGAGTCACTCTGGTTCAAACGCCTCTGTCAGTACAACATAAATTTGTATTAAGGCTCCTATGAAGAACTCATTTCTTTCCTACTGTCAAGCAATTCTTCTAAGTTTCCCTAGATTTCCAACATGCAACCTCCCCACACCCTTGCAGTCAGCAGACGACCTTGCTTTTACAGACAAAAAAAAGAAGGCTCCAGATGAGGCCTAATGTAATTCCCGGTGTGAATTCATGAACACAGCTGAATCTATACTTACTCTCTCTTAATGTTCTCAAATCATAATGGGAGAAATTGTCCCCTCACTGTAGGGCTACTTGTTATATAAACTCCATCTCCATTTCCACTCCAACCACCACCTTCAGGAATTGGACCTTCTCTCCATTATCATCAGTGTCTTCCTCTGTACTAGCTCCTCCCTGTTAGCATTTAAACACGCCCAAATCTGTCCCACCTTTAAGGCAAAACAAAAACACTCCCTTGCAGTCACACAAACATCCCTTGCAGTCCTGTATCTTCTCTGCCCTACTCCCTCTCCATCTCCATCTGTCTCTGTTTTTTAACATCATGAAAGTATTTGATCCTTCTTAAAGCATTCTCTTCCCTTTGCTGTCATGATATTGTGTTCACCTAGCTTTTCTTTAACCCCTCCAATTACTCCTTTTCCTTAAACATGGGCTTCTTCTTAAATGATGGTGTTGTGTTTGGTCTGAGATCCTCTTCTCTACTTCCTCTCTGCACTCTGAGCATTAGCTGGGCATGGTGGCACACAACTGTGGTCCCAGCTACTTGGGAGACTGAGGAAAGAGGATCGCTTGAGCCCAGGAATTTGAGGCTGCAATGAGCTATCACACCACTGCACTCCAGTCTGGGTGACAGAGTGAGATACTGTCACTGAACATTTTTTTCATACATTAAATAATATACTCTCTCTCTGTGCAATTCTGTCTACTCTCACAGCTGCAAATTACCATCTGTGTTGATGGTCCTCAGCGTATAAGTATCTCAAACTCCAATCTCCCTCTTTAGAGTCAGACCTACACATTCTTCCCACCTCCTGGGTATCACTGATTGGTTGTCCCACAAGCACCTCAAGCTTATTATCTAGCTTGCACTCACCACTTTCTCCCAGACCTGCTCCTTCTTCTGCATTCAACTTTTCAATGGCTAGCAATACAATTTGCCTCAACAGAACCCTGGGCATCACACGCTAGTCTCTAAGTACCTTAAGGCAAGTATAGTATCTGTTTATTCACCACTGTACATCCAGCACTGTGGGGCAACACTTGGCACATTGTAGGAACCTGATACATATTTAAGGGATAAATTAATTACTCCTTACTCTCTCTTATTCCTTGCATTCAGGAAATCACCAAGTCCTGTCAATTCTTCTTTCTAAATATTCTTTCAATTCTTCTTCTTTTTTTTTTTTTTTTTTTTTTTTTTGAGACGGGGTCTCTCTCTGTCGCCCAGGCTGGAGTGCAGTGGCGCGATCTCGGCTCACTGCAAGCTCCTCCTCCCGGGTTCATGCCATTCTCCTGCCTCAGCCTCCCACATAGCCGGGACTACAGGCGCCTGCCGCCATGCCCGGCTAATTTTTTGCATTTTTAGTGAGATGGGGTTTCACCGTGTTAGCCATGATGGTCTCAATCTCCTGATCTCGTGATCTGCCCGCCTCGGCCTCCCAAAGTGCTGGGATTACAGGCGTGAGCCACCGCGCCTGGCCCAATTCTTCTTATTATTATGGTCACTAACCTAGTTCAAGGCCACCATTATCTCTTTAATAGTCTTTCAGTTGATCTCCTCACCTTGCCGCCTATTGCAGAGACTGATAGTTATACCCAAGGCCTATTCTCCCATCTTCTTTTGCTACTAGAACTGAGCCCCATGCCTCCCAGTTAGAGGCCACATTTCCCAGTCTCCCTGGCAGCCCTACGTGACCAAGCTACAACATCACCTGGCATTGTTCTAGTCAACAGTCTGAGAGTGGGCGTGATATGAGCACCGTTGATGCTCCTCCTCTTTCCTCCTTCTGTGACTTTGCTGCAGTTTGGTTATAAGTAGATGAGATGGTGCTGAATCAGGTTCAACTTTGCAGGTAAAGGGAGCACAATAGGGAATTGAAGAGCTACAAGATAAAAGGAATCCTGTCCTCTCCAACTGCTTGCCATCTCAATCTTTTATATGAAAGAGAAATAAACCATTTTTATTTTTGGAATCCCAGTTATTTGGCTTCTGTTAAAATAACTAAGCCAATATCCTAAGTACTAATTCCTTCTTTTTCCCAACCAGAATCCTTCTTCTGCAATCCAACTAAAATGATCTTATTACCCTGCAAATATGACCAGTCATTCCCTTGGTCTTATTCGTTTTTGTAGTCTTCAGAGGGCTTAGTATATGATCTTGTTTATAGCAAGTATTCAAGAATATTGATTATTGGTAAATTATAAAGTTTATTTTCTAGTGGTACCTAAATTGTTAAAAATAATTGACTTTTAATTGTATGTGACACAGCATAGTCAGTGGATGAGGTAGCAGCTTAAGGCTTCCACAGCTTCTGAAATCACCCCAACATAGGCAGCATCCCCCAACTCCATTATCCAATAACCAACGGATCAGCAAACTCTCTGATGCTGAGTCTTATTCACAAGGATGAAGTTCCCGTGTGTGTCACTTACCACCCTAAATGAAAGGAAGAGAAAGAAATAGAGAGAGAGATGAAAGGAGAGAACAACGGGGGAACGGGGAAGGAGGAGAGAAAACAGTATTGAACTTTGTTTAGTGAGAAGTAGCAGAAGGTCATTAGGAATTTATCCACAGTTACTTGGAAAGGTAGGCTGTATTTATGACCACTAAAAATTAAGCCGTAATAATGAGTCCAGGTGCTATATTTCTGCTAGGAAGGTGATCATTACAAGTTTAGATTCCGATTCAGCTAATGTTTGTTGAACTCCTACTGTGTGCTAAGAATTGTGCATGGGAAACCCTCCTAAAATAATTCAGTGTTGAAATTCCACTTGCCCTCTAGGAAGGGTTTCTTGACTACCCAAGACTTGGCAAAATCTTCAAGAACAAGACTGTGTTATAAACCTCTCCATTATCTCTTTAATAGTCTTTTAATTGATCTCTTTGCCTCGTCTTGCAAATCTTCTCGAGTTCTAATCAGCTCAACTCGCAGAGCTGGGCTAAAATAAAAACTGTGTCAGAAATAGTGTCAGAAATTCCATCAAGTTTAGAGCTGCCTCCTCTCCCAAATGTATGTTTTTCAAAGCTTTGCTAATTTTTCTCCCAGTGTACAGCATCATAAATTTGATAAACATGAATCATCAGTGAGACTCTATCAGAGAGTGCCATCAATAATGTAGTTGTTTTTCACAAAGCACTGCATTACACTTGACATTTGGAAATGAAATCCACGTTTTTGTGTGACATACGGAACAAATTGCACTAGACGACTGGAGGCACCTGGGCAACTGATGTTTTCATTTGGGTTCCTGCAGTTCCTCGTTATTTTGTATTCACTTTCTCTTGTTCTTTGTTTTCATTCAAATTTTGCATCTCAAAAAACAAAGTAATCCAGATGTCAAAAAGCAATGAGGATCATTTGGAATCCAAAGTGTCCTGGTTCACTGTAAAGCTTTTTTTTTTTTTTTTTTTTTTTTTTTTTGAGATGGAGTTTCATTCTTGTTGCCCAGGCTGGAGTGCAATGGCATGATCTCAGCTCACCACAACCTCCGCCTCCTGGGTGGAAGCAATTCTCTTGCCTCAGCCTCCCGTGTAGCTGGGACTACAGGCATGCACCACCACGCCCTGCTAATTTTGTATTTTTAGTAGAGGCAGGACTTCTCCACGTTGGTCAGGCTGGTCTTGAACTCCCGACCTCAGGTGATCCACCTGCTTTGGCCTCCCAAAGTGCTCACAGGCATAAGCCACCGCACCTGGCCTCACTGTGAAGCTTTTAAGTGGTACAAGCGCTTGTTGTCTTTCCCATGGATTGTAGTACTCATGGCAGAGAACAAAGCAACAAGTATTAAGGCAATGTAAATAATCAAACTTCACCCACTCACTGAATAAAATGCACTATACTTTCAAAAAATTGATCTCACTTTAAACCCCACTGAAGTTTGAATACTCAATACCTGTTGATCTAAACAGAAGAAACACCTGAAGCCTTGAGGCATAGTAGCTTTCTGAAGAACAAAAAAACAGATTAATATTTCACATGGAAAGAATTTTTCAAGTTCTCTAAACAAGTGAGATAGCTCACATTTACCTCCAGCATGGGTCTTTTGAGTTCCATTGGACAGAAGGGTATCAGTTAAATTGTAAACATCACACACCTGCTTCCATGGTTAGCAAAAGCAGCATACTATAAAAAACAATGAGATCTCCAAATCTGGAAGATAAAATAAAATATAATAACAGCTGTTAACATTTCTTAAGCATTTATGACACAATAACACTGTACTAAATATTTCATCGGGATAATGAAATGTTTTTATCACATCAACCCTTTGAGACGGGTGCTCTTGCCCTATTTTACAGATGAAGAAAAGGAGGTCTAGAGAGGTTACCAATGTTGCACAACTAGGAAGAGGTGAAGTAAGGATTTAAACACAATATAACTTTTTTTTTTTTTTTTTTTTGAGGGAGAGTTTCCCTCTTGTCCTGGCTGAATTGCAGTGGCACGATCTCGGCTCACTGCAACCTCCACCTCCTGAGTTCAAGCAATTCTCCTGCCTCAGCCTCTCTAGTAGCTGGGATTACAGGCATGCGCCACTACGCCCGGCTAATTTTGTATTTTTAGTAGAGACGGGGTTTCTCCATGTTGGTCAGGCTGGTCTCAAACTCCCGACCTCAGGTGATCCACCTGCCTCGGCCTCCCAAAGTGCTGAGATGACAAGCGTGAGCCACCGTGCCAGGCCCTAAATACAATGTACTTTGTTTGTTTGTTTTTTGAGACAGAGTCTCGTTCTGTCACCCAGGCTGGAGTGCAGTGGCGCGATCTCGGCTCACTGCAACCTCTGCCTCCCGGGTTTAAGTGATTATCCTGTCTCAGCCTCCCGAGTAACTGGGATAACAGGCTTCCACCACCACTGATTTTTTGTATTTTTTAGTAGAGATGGGGTTTCACCACGTTAACCAGGCTGATCTCTTGCACTAGTAAATACCAGAAATTTTGTGCTTTTCAACATATAAAAGTTTAGTTGGGGCCGGGCACAGTGGCTCATGCCTGTAATCCCAGCACTTTGGGAGGCCGAGGTGGGTGGATCACTTGAGGCCAGGAGTTCAAGACCAGCGTGGCCAACATGGTGAAACCCCAATTCTGCCAAAAATATAAAAATTAGCCAGTTGTGGTGGCCAGCACCTGTAATCCCAGCCACTCGGAAAGCTGAGGTATGAGAATTGCTTGAACCTGGGAGGTGGAGGTTGCAACGAGCTGAGATTGTACCACTGCACTCCAGCCTGGGTAATAGAGCAAGACTCTGTCAGAAAAAAAAAAAAAGAAGAAGAAAGGAAGAAGAAAGAAAGAAAGAAAGAAAGAAAGAAAGAAAGAAAGAAAGAAAGAAAGAAAGAAAGAGAAAGAAAGAAAGAAAGAAAGAAAGAAGGAAAGAAAGAAAGAAAAAGAAAGAAAGAAGGAAAGAAAGAAGGAAAGAAAGAAAAAGAAAGAAAGAAGGAAAGAAAGATTGGTTTTATTTTTAAGCACTTTTAGGTTCATAGCCAAATTGAGCAGAAAGTATAGAGAATTCCCATACACCCAAATTCCCCCAACCACATACACACCACTTACACTATGCATTCTATAACTTTAAAAGTGCACGATGACACATATCCAGCATTGTAGCATCATACAGAGTAGTTTCAGTGCCTAAAAATCTGTGCTCCACCTATTCATCCTTTCCTTCTCCCTAACCCCTGACATTGATCTTTTTGCTGTCTCCATAGTTTTGGCTTTGCCAAAATGTCATATAGTTGGAATATGTAGCCTCTTCAGAATGGCTTATTTTACTTACTAATATGCATTTAAATGTCATCCATACGTTTTTATATCTTTATAGCTCATTTCTTTTGAGTACTAAACATTTCATTGGACATACCACAGTTTCTTTATCCATTCACCTGCTGAAGAAAATCTTGGTTGCTTGCAAGTTTGGGCAATTATGAATAAAGCTACTATAAACATGCATGTGCACGTTTTTATGTGGGCAATAAGTTTTCAACTTATTTGGGCAAATACCAGAGAGTGTGACTGCTGGATCATAAACTAAAAGTATGTTTAGTTTTGTAAGAAACTGCCAAACTGTCTTTCAAAATGGCTGTATCATTTTATATTTTTATCAGCAATGAATGAGAGTTCCTGTTGTTTCGTATTTTCCCCAGAATTTGGTATTGTCAGATTTTTGGATTTTGGCCGTTCTAATATGTATATGGTGATATTTCTTTGCTGTTTTAATGTGCAATTCCCTAATGATATGATGTTGAGCATCTTTTTCTATGCTTATTTGACATTGCCATCTGTATATCTTCTTTGATGAGGTATCTGTTAAGATTTTTGGCCCCTTTTAAAATTGGGTTGTTCATTTTCTTGTTGTTGAATTTTAAGAGTCCTTTGTATATTTTGGAAAACAATCCTTTATCAGTTATGTATTTTGTAAATATTTTCTCCCATTCTGTGTCATATCTTACATTCTTTTGACAGAGTCTTTTGCAGAGCAAAAGTTTTTAATTTTAATGAAGTTCAACCTATAAGTTACTTCTGTTATGGATGGTGCCTTTGATATTGTATTGAAAAACTCACTTAGATTTTCTCTTATGTTATATTCTAAAAGTTTTATGGTTTTTCATTTTGCATTTGTGTGTATGATTCATTTTGAGTTCATTTTTGAGAAAGGTATAAAGTCTGTGCCTGGATTAATTTTTTTTTTTTTTAATTGATCATTCTTGGGTGTTTCTCGCAGAGGGGGATTTGGCAGGGTCATAGGACAATAGCGGAGGGAAGGTCAGCAGATAAACAAGTGAACAAAGGTCTCTGGTTTTCCCAGGCAGAGGACCCTGCGGCCTTCCGCAATGTTTGTGTCCCTGGGTACTTGAGATTAGGGAGTGGTGATGACTCTTAATGAGCATGCTGCCTTCAAGCATCTGTTTAACAAAGCACATCTTGTACCGCCCTTAATCCATTCAACCCTGAGTGGACACAGCACATGTTTCAGAGAGCACAGGGTTGGGGGTAAGGTCACAGATCAACAGAATCCCAAGGCAGAAGAATTTTTCTTAGTACAGAAGAAAATGAAAAGTCTCCCATGTCTACTTCTTTCTACACAGACACGGCAACCATCCAATTTCTCAATCTTTTCCCCACCTTTCCCCCATTTCTATTCCACAAAACCGCCATTGTCATCATGGCCCGTTCTCAATGAGCTGTGGGGCACACCTCCCAGACGGGGTGGTGGCCGGGCAGAGGGGCTCCTCACTTCCCAGTAGGGGCGGCCGGGCAGAGGCGCCCCTCACCTCCCGGACGGGGCGGCTGGCCGGGCGGGGGGCTGACCCCCACCTCCATCCCGGACGGGGTGGCTGCCGGGCGGAGAAGCTCCTCACTTCCCAGACGGGGTGGCTGCCGGGCGGAGGGTCTCCTCACTTCTCAGATGGGGCGGCCAGGCAGAGACGCTCCTCACCTCCCAAACGGGGTAGCGGCCGGGCAGAGGCGCTCCTCACATCCCAGACGGGGCGGCGGGGCAGAGGCACTCCCCACATCTCAGACAATGGGCGGCCGGGCAGAGACGCTCCTCACTTCCTAGATGGGATGGCGGCAGGGAAGAGGCGCTCCTCACTTCCTAGATGGGATGGCGGCCGGGCAGAGACGCTCCTCACTTTCCAGACTGGGCAGCCAGGCAGAGGGGCTCCTCACATCCCAGACGATGGGTGGCCAGGCAGAGACGCTCCTCACTTCCCAGATGGGGTGGCGGCTGGGCAGAGGCTGCAATCTCAGCACTTTGGGAGGCCAAGGCAGGCGGCTGGGAGGTGGAGGTTGTAGCGGGCCGAGATCACACCACTGCACTCCATCCTGGGCACCATTGAGCACTGAGTGAACGAGACTCCGTCTGCCATCCCGGCACCTCGGGAGGCCGAGGCTGGCGGATCACTCGCGGTTAGGAGCTGGAGACCAGCCTGGCCAACACAGCAAAACCCCGTCTCCACCAAAAAAATACGAAAACCAGTCAGGAGTGGCGGCGCGCGCCTACAATCGCAGGCACTCGGCAGGCTGAGGCAGGAGAATCAGGCAGGGAGGTTGCAGTGAGCCGAGATGGCAGCAGTACAGTCCAGCTTCGGCTCAGCATCAGAGGGAGACCGTGGAAAGAGCGGGAGAGGGAGACCGTGGGGAGAGGGAGAGGGAGAGGGAGAGTGATATTCTTTAAAAATGGTGTTGGATTAATTTTTTTAAAATTAAAAAAGGCCCAATGATATTGTTCCAGTATCATTTTGTTGAGAAGACTATCTTTTCTCTATTGCTTTGCCTTTGCTCCTTTGTGAAAGATCAGTTGACTATATTTGTGTGAGTCTATATCTGGTCTCTCTATTCTTCTCCACTGCTCTATTTGTCTGTTCTTTTACTAGTGCCACACTGTTTGATGACTGAAGCTTTATAGTAAACTTCTTTGTTTTGAGACGGAATCTCACTCTGTCGCCCAGGCTGGAGTGCAGTAGCGCTATCTCGGCTCACTGTAACCTCCAACTCCCTGGTTCAAGCGATTCTCCTGCCTCAGCCTCCTGAATAGCTGGAGTAACTGGGATTACAGGTGCGCATCACCATGCCCAGCTAATTTTTGTATTTTTAGTAGAGATGGGGTTTCATCATGTTGGTCAGGCTGATCTAGAGCTCCTGACCTCGTGATCCACCTGCCTTGGCCTCCCAAAGTGCTGGTATTACAATCATGAGCCACCGTGCCCGGCCTCTATAGTAAACTTTTTTTTTTTTTCTTGAGATCGAGTCTTGCTTTGTCACCAGGCTGGAGTGCAGTGGCGTGATCTCAGTTCACTGCAACCTCCACCTCCCGGGTTCAAGCAATTCTCCTGCCTCAGCCTCCCAAGTAGCTGGGACTACAGTCACGTGCCACCATGCCCAGCTAATTTTTGTATTTTTAGTAAAGACAAGGTTTCACCATGTTGGCCAGGATGGTCTCGATCTCTTGATCTCATGATCTGCATGCCTCAGCCTCCCAAAGTGCTGGATTACAGGCGTGTGCCACCGCGCCCAGCCTATAGTAAACTTTGAAGTTGGAAAGTATTTATCCTCTGGCTTTTTTTTAGTCTTCTGACTTTGTTCTTCTCATTCAACATTTTGTTGCCTATTCTGGATCTTCTGCATCTCGTATAACCTTTAGAATCAATCAGTTTATTAACATTCACAAAATAACTTGCTGGAATTTTGATTAAAATTGTGTTGAATCTATTGATCACATGGGGAAGAACTGACATTTTAACAATATTGAGTCTTCCTCTCCATGAGTGTGAAATATGTCTTCATTAATTTAGTTCTTTGTTTTTTTTTACTATCAGAGTTTTGTATATAGAACTTGTACATAGTTTGTTAAAGTTATATCTATGTCAACTCTTGAACAATGAGGGGATTAGGGGTGCTGACCCCGCAATGGAGTTGAAGATCCAAGTGTAACTTTTGACTCCCCAAAAACTTAACCACTAATAGCCTACAGTTGACCAGAAGCTATACTGATAACATATGCAGTAAATTAACACATATTTTGTATATATATCAAACTATGTACATGTTGTATATAGTTGACACTTGAGCAACATGGCTTTGAAGAATGTGGGTCCACTTATACAAAGATTTTTTTCTTTTCTTTTCTTGTTTTTGTTTTTTGAGATGGACTCTCGCTCTTGTAGCCCAGGCTGGAGTGCAATGGCATGATCTCAGCTCACTGTAACCTCCACTTCCCAGGCTCAAGTGATTCTCCTGCCTCAGCCTCCTGAGTAGCTGGGATTACAGGTGCCCACCACCATGCCTGGTTAATTTTTTTTTTTTTTTTTTGTATTTTTAGTAGAGACGGGGTTTCACCACGTTGGCCAGGCTGGTCTCGAACTCCTGACCTCAGGTGATCCTCCTGCCTTGGCCTCCCAAAGTGCTGGGATTACAGGATTACAGGCATGAGCCACTGCACCTGGCCTACAAAGATTTTTCTTCATAAATGTATTGGAAAATTTTTTTGAGATTTGAAACAATTTGAAAAAATTCACGGATGAACTGTGTAGCCTAGAAATAATGAAAAAAATAGGAAATAGGTTTATCATGGATGCATAAAATATATGTAGATACCAGTCTATGTTATCGTTTACTACCATGAAATAAACAAAAGCCTTTAATAAAAAGGTAAAATTTATCAAAGTTTATGCACACAAGCACTTACAGACCACACGTGGCACCATTCACAGTCAACAGAATGTAAACAAATATAAAGATGAGGTATTAAATCATAACCTTATAAAATACACTGTAGTACATACTGCACTGTAATAATTTTGTAACCACCTCCTCAAGCTATTGTGATGAGGTCAAGTATTTCGAGTATCTGCTTAAAACACCGTGTGATGCTAACTAATCATCTCCACATGAGCAGTTCATCTCTCTAGTACATTTTGCATCACCGTAAAAGTGATTTCTTGCAGATCTCACATATTTGTTCATCATGTTTAGTGCAATACTGTAAACCTTGAATAACACTATGGGAGCCACACATAGTGCCACTAGTGATGTTGGAAGTACTCCCAATAAGCAAAGAAAAGTCATGACACTGCAAGAAAATGTTCATTGCTTGATATGTACTGCAGATTGAGGTCTGCAGCTGTGGTTGCCTGCCATTTCAGACAGATGATTCATCTTGTAAATAGACCACATAGGCTGGGCGCTGTGGCTCATCCCTGTAATCTCAGCACTTCAGGAGGCTGAGGCGGGTGGATCACTTGAGGCCAAGAATTTGAGACCAGCCTGGCCAATGTGGCAAAACCCTGTCTCTAGTAAAAATACAAAAATTAGCCAGGAGTAATGGGCTACACTTGTAGTCCCAGCTACTCAGGAGACTGAGGCAGGAGAATCACTTGAACCTGGGTGGTGGAGGTTGCAGTGAGCCAAGATGGTGTCACTGCCTTCCAGCCTGGGCGACAGAGCAAGACTCTGTCTCAAAACAAACAAACAAACAAACAAAAAACCTCATAAACTTACAGTAGCTGTACAGAACTGTAAATGTATTTTCTCTTTATTAAGATTTTTCTGGGCCAGGCATGGTGGCTCATGCCTGTAATCCCAGCAGTTTGGGAGGCTGAGGCAGGCAGATCACTTGAGCCCAGGAGTTTTGCCACCAGCCTGGGCAATATAGTAAGACTCCATCTCTACAGAAAATACAAAAGTTAGCCAGGCAAGGTGGTGTGCACCTGTAGTCCCAGCTACTCGGGAGGGAGGTTGATGTGGGAGGGTCCCTTGAGCCCAAGAGTTTGAGGCTGCAGTCAATCGACATCATGCCACTGCACTCCAGCCTAAGTGAGAGTGAGTATGGACAACTATGTAGAAATACGTTTTTTTCTTAACAACATTTTCTTTTCTCTAGCTTACTTTATTGTAAGCATAGTATATAACTTATATAACATACAAAATATTTCCTGGAGCTCAGAAAACAATACCCCAAAATGAAGGTCTCAGCAGCAGCCTCAGAAGCAAAAGTTTTTCTCTGACCATCTCCTGCTCCCCTGTCTCTCAGGCCCATTCTCTCCTGAGGCTAGCCGTAGAAACTAGAATCCCTCTTCCCCGGGCAGGTCTTAGAAACCAGAACTCCTTTTCCTGAAAGCCAGCCATAAAACCTAAAAATATTCTATGTAAAAACTAGCCATAAAGAAATCACCTGAGGGACCTTGTTTGACTGGAGGTCATGAAACCCCCATTCCAGAGAGGGCCCTGCCCCATACTCAGAAGGCGGGAACTCATGCTCAGAGAGGGCAAGAAGAATCCGGGCAGACAGGCCTTGCTGTCTATTAACATTAGATCAGACCCTTTTTGTCCACTTATATTTCTACATAGCTGTCCATACTTTGTTGAACCTAAACATAAAAATGGACGATTTCCCCTGTATCTTTGGGTCTTCATTCTGAAGGCTCCTATGTACACATGTTAAATAAATGTGTATGCTGGCTGGGTGTGGTGGCTCACACCTGTAATCCCAGCACTTTGGGAGGCTGAGGCAGGCGGATCGTGAGGTCAGGAGATCGAGACCAGCCTGGCTAACATGGTGAAACCCGTCTCTACTAAAAATACAAAAAATTAGCCAGGCAAGGTGGCACACGCCTGTAGTCCCAGCTGCTTGAGAGGCTGAGGCAGGAAAATCGCTTGAACCCAGGAGGCGGAGGTTGCAGTGAACTAAGTTCGCGCCACTGCACTCCAGCCTGGGTGACAGATGAGACCCTGTCTCAAAAAAAAAAAAAAAGTGTATGTCTTTTCTCCTATTAATCAATCTGCCTCATGTCAGTGATTTTTAGCACACCTTTAGGTGTTAATTGCCTGCTTATATTATCAGTATGGCTTCCAATCAACAGTAGGCTATTTGTAGGTAAGTTTTTGGGGAGCCAAAAGTTATACTTGGATTTTCTAATGTGTGGAGGGTCATGTCCCTGAATTATTCAAGGGTCAACTGTACTGTACTCCTCCCATAAAATAAGCTAGAGAAAAGAAAATGTTATTAAAACAATCAAAAGGAAGAGAAAATATATTTACTATTTATCAAGTGGAAGTGGATCATCATGAAAGTCATCTTCATGTTCTTTATGTCAAGTAGGCTGAAGAGATAGATGAAGAGGAGGGTTTGGTGTTTCTATCTCGGGGGTATCAGAAGCAGAAGAAAATTCTCAAACAAGTAGACCTGACAAGTTCAAACCTATGCTGTTTAAGGGTCAACTTTATTTCATTTTGGGGGATGTTGATGTAAATGGTATTGTGTTTTTAATTTCAAATTCTACTTGTTCATTGCCGGTATATAGGAAAGTAATTGACTTTTGTATATTATGCTTCTATCCTGCACCCTTGCTGTAACATGTATTAGCTCTAGGAGTATTTTTGCTAATTCTTTTGGATGATCTGCCTAGACAATCATGTCATCCAAGAACAAAGATAGTTTCATTTCTTCCTTCTAATTTATATATATTTTTTTATTTCCTCTTCTTGCCTTTTGCATTAGCTGTATTTTTTTGTAGATGTTTATTATCAGATTTTTAAAAAGTCCTCTATTCCTAGTTTGCTGAGAGTTCTTATTACAAATGTGGGTTGAATTTTGTCAAATGCTTTGTCAGCATCTATTGATATAATCATGTGATTTTTCTTTTTTGCCCTGTTGATGTGATGGATTATATTAATTGATTTTCTAATGTTGAATCAGCCTTGCATACCTGAAATAAAAGTCATTTCATTGTGATGTATAATTTTTTTTACTCGTTGAATTTGATTTGCTCAATTTTTTTAGGATTTTTTTCATCTATGTTCATGAGAGATATTGGTCTGTAGCTTTCTTTTCTTGTAATTTTTTTTGTTTGGTATTAGGGTAATGATTGCCTCGTAGAATAAGTTTGAAAGTATTCCTTCTGATTCTATCTTCTGAAGGAACTTGTAGAGAATTGGCACAATTTCTTCCTTAAATATTTGAGAGAATTTACTGATAATCGATTTGGGACTGTTGATTTCTGTCTTGGAAGGTTATTAATATGATAGACATAGGTCTGATATAGTTTGGCTGTGTCCCCACCCAAATCTCATCTTGAATTGTAGCTCCCATAATTCCCACGAGTTGCTGAAGGGACCTGGTGAGAGATAATTGAATCATGGGGACAGTTTCCCCCATACTGTTCTCATGGTAGTGAATAAGTCTCATGAGATCTGATGGTTTTATAAGGGCTAACCCCTTTTGCTTGGTTCTCATCCTGTCCTGTCTGCCACCATGCAAGATGTGCCTTTCACCTTCTGCTATGATTGTGAGGCCTCCTGAGCCACGTGGAACTGCAAGCCCATTCAACCTCTTTTTCTTTATAAATTACCCAGTCTTGGATATGTCTTTATCAGCAGCATGAAAACAGACTAATACAAGGTCTTTAATAGATATTTCTTTAATAGATGTGGGTTTATTCGGATTGTTTATTCCTTCTTGTGTGAGTTTTGGCAGATTATGTCTTTCAAAAAAACTGATCATTTTACCTAGCTCATCAAATTTGTGGGCATAGAGTTGTTCATAGTATTTTTTTAATCATCCTTTAAATATCTATAGGATCTGTAGTAATATTCCTTCTTTCATTTCTGATACTAGTAATTTGCGTCTTGTCTCTATCTCTCTATTTTGTTTTTTTGTTATCCTGGCTAGAGGCTTGTCAATTTTATTGATCTCTTAATAGAAACTGGTTTTTAATTTTATTGATTTTTCTCTATCAATTTCCTGGTTTAAATTTTATTGATTTCTACCCTAATTTGTATTATTTATTTTCTTCTGCCTACTTTGAATTTAATTTGTTCTTTTTCTGGTTTCCTAAGGTGGAATCTTAGATTATTTATTTTACATCTTACTTCTTTTATTTAAAATTTTTTTTAATAAATAGAGGTGGGGTCTCACTGTGTTGCTCAGGCTAGTCTCAAACTCATCCCACCTTGGACTCCCACCTTGGCCTCCCAAAGTTCCAGGATTGCAGGTGTGGACCGCCATGACTGGCCTTCTTTTTAAATATATATATTCAACTGGGCCTAGTGGCTCATGCCTATAATCCCAGCACTTTGGGAGGCTGAGGCAGGTGGATCACCTGAGGTAAGGAGTTTGAGACCAGCCTGGCCAACACAGTGAAACCTGATCTCTACTAAAAATACAAAAATTAACCAGCTACTTGGGAGGCTGAGGCAGAAGAATTGCTTGAATCGGGGAGGCAGAGGTTGCAGTGAGCCAAAATCATGCCACTGCACTCCAGCCCGAGTGACAGAGGAGGGCTCCATCTCAAAAAATAAAATAAAATAAAATGAATATATATACTCAATGCTGTAAGTTTTCCTTTAAGCAGCATTTCACTGCATCCCACAAATTTTGTTGTTTTATTTTTATTTTCACTTAGTTAAATTTTTTAAAATTTCTCTTGAGAGTTTTTTTTTTTTTTTTTTTTTTTTTTGGAGATGGGGTTTCACTCTTGTTGCCCAGGCTGGAGTGCAATGGTGCGATCTTTGCTCACTGCAATCTCTGCCTCGCAGGTTCAAGCAATTCTCCTGCCTCAGCCTCCCGAGTAGCTGGGATTACAGGCGTGTGCCACCACACCCGGCTAATTTTTTGTATTTTTAGTAGAAACGGGGTTTCACCATGTTAGCCAGGCTGGTCTTGAACTCCTGACCTCATGTGATCCACCCGTCTTGGCCTCCCAAAGTGCAGAGATTACAGGAGTGAGCCACCGTGCCCAGCCAAGAGTTCTTCTGTGATCTTGGTTGTTTAGCAGTGTGCTGTTAATCTCCAAGTTGGAGGAATTTCCAGCTATCTTCTGTTATTAATTTCTAGTTTAATTTCACTGTAGTCTAAAAGCAGAGATTTATCATTTCTATCTATTTAAACTTGTTAAGATGTATTTTATGGCCCAGAATGTGGTCTATTTTGGTAAATGTTTTATATGAGCTTGAAAAGAATATGTATTCTGCTGGTATTGGATGAAATATTCTATGGGTGTCAATTATATCCAGTTGATGATAGTGCTGTTGAGTTCAACTATATCCTTAATGATTTCTACATGCTGGGCCTATTCCTGATAGAACCAGAATAGTGTTGAAGTCTCCAACTATAATAGTGGATTCATTTATTTTTCCTTGCATTTCTATCCATTTTTGCCTCATGTATTTTGAAACTCTGTTTTTACATGCACACACATTAAGGGTTGTTGTGTCTCTTAGAGAATTGACCCTGTATCATTATGTAACACCCCTCTTTATCCGTAATAACTTTTGTTGTGAAGCCTACTGTCTAAATTAATACAGCAACTTCAGCTTTCTTTTGATTAGTGTTAGCATGGTAAAAAGGCTTTAAAAATTCTCTTCTAATCTAAGAAAAATTACTTTAGCATTTGATACATTTAGTTCTGTTCTTATTTTCACTGTGTATTTATCTCATAAAATGTTATCATAATATGAAAATAAAAAATATAATATTTTTCCTCTGAACATTACATAATAAGCATTTTGCTGGCTGCTACTACATAATCTTCATAGCCATTGTAATCGGCAGATTAATAGTATTCTTTTTTTTTTTGAGACAGAGTCTCACTGTGTTGCCCAGGCTGGAGTGCAGTGACTCAATCTCAGCTCACTGCAACCTCCACCTCCCAGGTTCAAGCGATTTTGCTGCCTCCCAAATAGCTAGGATTACAGGTACATGCCATCACACCCGGCTAATTTTTGCATTTTTAGTATAGACGGGGTTTCGCCATGTTGGCCAGGCTGGTCTCAAACTCCTGACCTCAGGGGATCTGCCCACCTTGGCCTTCCAAAGTGCTAGGATTACAGGCATGAGCCACCAGAATAACACCCACCCAGAATCATAGTATTCAAAGGCAAGGAAATAGTTTCTCTCCTAATGCTTCCAAAAAGGAACACAATCCTGCAAACACCTTTATTGTAGCCCAATGAGACCCATGTCAAACTTCTAACATACAGAACTGTAACAAAATAGATTTGGGTTGTTTTAAGCCAAAAAGTCTGTGGTAATTTGTTATAGCAGAATAGAAACTTAACACAACTGCTGGAGTTCAGAAAATGACACCTCAAGGTATGGTGTTTTGGCATGCTGATTACTTTGCATTGAAAGAAACAGAAGACTTTAAAAGGTGTCTCGGAACCAAGTACTTCCTAATCTTTTCTTGTTTCTTCTCCTTCCCCAACCCCTAGCGCACCCCCTTCCCCGCCCTGCCAAGTGTAGGAGAGGGATCTCTCTGGAATTTCCTTATCTGACTAAGGAAACTTCTCTCCAAAAGAAATGCAGTGGTCTTAAACCATCTTCCCAGGAATCTCATCAAGTAACCAGGAAAGATTAACACCTGAAAAAGAAAAAAGACTAAAAGTTATCACCATGTCTAGACAGACTTTTATTTTTCTTTTGAGACAGGGTCTCGCTCTCTTACCCAGGCAGAAGTGCAGTGGCATGATCACAGCTCACTGCAGCCTCGACCTCTCAGGCTCAAGCGATTCTCCCACCTCAGCCACCTGAGTAGCTAGAACTGCAGGTGCGCACCACCATGCCCACCTAATTTTTGTATTTTGGGTAGAGATGGGGTTTCATCATGTTGCCCAGGTTGGCCTCTAACTCCTGGGCTCAAGTGATTCACCCACCTCAGCCTCCCAAAGTGCTAGGATTACATGCATGAGCCACTGCGCCCGTCCCAGATATGGTTTTCATCTATTCTTCTAAGGGCAGCTGAGAGATTTCCTGGGAGACTTTATCTGCATAATTAGACAACCTTTGTTCAGAGTGAACTTCCACCCCTCACCTTCCTGCCACCTCCCCTAGAGCTCAGAGGAACTTTGTCCCCAGCCATTGTTCTTTGGGTTCATTCAATTTCCCTGAAAAACATCTTACATGGCAGCAGGCAAGAGAGCGTGTGCAGGGGAACTGCCCTTTTTAAAAACCATCAGATCTCGTGAGACGTATTCACTAACATGAGAACAGCATGGGAAAAAAATGCCCCCGTGATTCAGTTACCTCCCACCAGGTCCCTCCCACAACACATGGGGATTATGGGAGCTACAATTCAAGATGAGATTTGGCTGAGGACACAGCCAAACCATATCAGTAGGGCATAACTCAAGATGGAAAAATAGAATAAATGACTAATCCTAGGATAGTTTAATAGGATACCTTAATTTCTGTCCTACTTTCCAAAAAGTTTCTGGAGCCAATGTCTGAAGTGTCCTTTCAATGGAACCTGGTGGATAGGCAAGAGTGGTGATGAATATTGGGAAGGTGACCGTGGAACAGTAGGAGCAGGACGTCTCTAAAGGTACAGTAAACTCCTTCTTCAAAGAAAACATCCACATATTGGTTGATCAGATATTTGATCATTAGCTCCAATAAGTTTTAGCTATTGGTAATTAATTGTGATTCAATGGAATGTTATATAGCCATGAAATCATATATATATATATATATATATAATTTTTTAACAGATGTTTGTGATATGTTGGTAGACAAAGAAGGTAAAGATTTGGAAAAAATTTGCAAGGATTTATACCAAAATGTTTACAATGACAATCTCTCTCTTTTTTTATTTTTTTTTTGTTTTTTTTTGAGATGGAGTTTTGCTCTGTTGCCCAAGGTGGAGTGCAGTGGCGTGATCTTTGCACACTGCAACCTCTGCCCCTCACCCCCCAGGTTCAAGCGATTCTCCTGCCTCAGCCTCCCCAGTAGGTGGAGTTATAGCTGCCCACCACCACGCCTGGCTAATTTCTGTATTTTTAGTAAAGATGGGGTTTCACCATGTTGCCCAGGCTGGCTTTGAACTCCTGACCTCAGGTGATCCACCCACCTCAGCCTCCCAAAGTGTTGGGATTACAGGCATGAGCCACCACACCGGGCCTACAATGACAATCTCTTGACAATCTCTGGATGGTAGGATTTCAGAGGAGGTGTTTTTTGTTTGCTTACACTCATGTGACAATGTCAGGGTTCTATTATTAGCTGTGAAGACACATTGGAAACATAACATATTCAGAGATCTATTATTAACTGTGAGGACATGTTAGGAACATAACAATTTTCTTGGGTCCACTCAGAGCTGATCACCCTCACGGCAGACAGTAGTACAAACCTTGTCCGGGTTGAAAAATACCAGCCACATTTCTCATCAGAACATCCTGAGCACCATTCAAAAATTTATCAGTGAACATTGACTGTCACATCTACTTCTCTATGGCCATCTAGAGGTAAAATAGGCTAACAACTCTATAGCTGTACTGAACAACTACACAAAGAAGAATTCAGCACCTTGCTCTTGGAGGAATAGGTATCATTCAGAAACCAATCTTGAGCTTTGCCAGTACAAGATAATGTTTAAGAAAGGCTTAAGGCCGGGCGTGATGGCTCATGCCTGTAATCCCAGCACTTTGGGAGGCTGAGGCAGGTGGATCACTTGGGGTCACGAGTTCAAGAGTAGCCTGGCCAACATGGCAAAACTCCATCTTTACTAAAAATACAAAAATTAGCTGGGCCTGGTGGCATGCACCTGTAGTCCCAGCTACTCAGGAGGCTGGGACAGGAGAATCTCTCGAACCTGGGAGGCGGAGGTTGTAGTGAGCTGAGATTGGGCCACTGCACTCCAGCCTGGGCAACAGAGTGAGATTCTGTCAAAAAAAAAAAAAAAAAAACAGGAAAGGTTTATAATGAAAAGCTAATGTCATGACTCAAGATGGTCAGAATGCCTGGAAGAACGTGATTGAGAAATTTATTTTGCTTCATCTGTAATTATCCTTCAAAGATAATCACCACGTTGCAGTCCTGCCTGATATATGAAGTTCCAAGCTAGTCCTTTGACTCTTGAACTCATGGTTCCCCATATGAGAACCCCATAAAAGAAGAGAAAGTTGGCATAAGATGGATTGCAACCACGTGTAACTTTCTAGGGGAGACATGTAAAGGCCTTAAATGTCTGGCAGAGGACCAATGTGGTTTTTGGGAAGGGAACGAAAGGGAATGGTTACATGTGTATGGGACACTCCTTCAAGTCTGATTTTGCCAGCATTCTGGACTAGATGTTGAATCCAGACCTCACCATGGACTATAGAAATATTATGGTGTTGAAAACCACAACAAAGTTGGCATTATATGATATGCTTTTTTGTACATATAATTGACTTTCCATCGTCAGTTCAAATACATGTATTGCCCAAAATGGGAGACATTGAGTAAGGACTTTCTATTGACACCAACCATTGAAACGATTCAGCAAAGTTTCCTCCTTGCCGCTTTTAAATCAATAGAGACTCAATCATTGCAGAGGCATAGGCTTGTAGCTGTAATTTGCAGGACCCAGCCACAGTTTGAGAATAAAGAACACAGTTATGTGATGAAACTGTAATCATCCAAAAATATTGGGAAACAGAGTTCCAGGGCTTGAGTTGGCAAAATTTTAGGCTGGGCGTGGTGGCTCATGCCTGTAATACTAGCACTTTGGGAGGTCAAGGCAGGTGGATCACTTGAGGTCAGGAGTTCGAGACCAGCCTGGCCAATATGGTGAAACCCTGTCTCTACTAAAAATACAAAAATTTGCCTGGTGTGGTGGCACATGCATGTAGTTCCAGCTGCTGAGGCAGAATTGCTGGAACCCGGGAAGCTGAGGTCGCAGTGAGCCGAGTTCGCCCCATTGCACTTCAGCCTGGGCTTCGCACCAAGACTCCATTTAAAAAAAAAATTTTGTTTTAAATAGTAATGCATTTGTGATAGGTACAGTAGCAATATAAAAAGGAAGATCTGATATTCACATATCTCATTGTATTGCTTATTTGTGGGGGTATTTCAAGATAACTGTAGATAGGTAGATAGATAGATAGATAGATAGATAGATAGATAGATAGATAGATAGATATTAATAGGTAAACTAGAAGCTTTCAGAAGCTAAATTGGTGTCTTTGGGTGCTCGGTGCGTAATCAGTGAAATCATAATGCCATATCACCTGCCAGGAATACTAAAGTATTTGAAATAAGCTCTCAGACAAGAAATAATAAATGCCGTTAAAAATAGTTTTTATTTCCAACAACCATTCAGATAATTTAGCAACCGTTGTACATTTTGGCACCTGCTGGGAAGAAGTACGAAAACAGTTCACACTGAGAGGGTGAACAGCTCATTCTGTAGACACTAAGCTAGTGAAACAGAGCATCACTGTTCCACGTTGTCAAAGGACATTGTAATTCTTTAGCTCTCCCTACAGTGTTGTAACTCCAGCTTCCCTCAGGATGCTGGAGATGGACAAGTGGTGCCAGGTCTGTGCTGAAAAAATCCTCAGGAAGTTCACGGAAATAAATTCACAGTAAACTTAAGCTAAGTTACTGAGTGGTTAAAATGTACCTCCTGCCTGTTGATGTTTTGAAGCCCCATAGGGGTCTATTTTTTCATTTATTCATAAGTGTTCACTTCCCTTCAGTGAGTAAGAATTAGAATAATAGTTAACATTTCTGGACTTACTTTTCACTAGGAACTGTGCTAATAATGTTGCATGCCTTGTTTATCATTCCCATTCTCATACAATATGAGGTTGGTACTACCATTATCTTCATTTATATGCACAGAAGATGATTTGGTCAGTTCCTATCTTGCACAGTACCTAAGTGAGAGACTCCAGTATTGAACCCGGGCAGTCTAAATCCAGAGCCTATCCTCTTAACTACTATTTCACACAACCATTCTATGCAATAACTAAAAAGTATTAATCATCCTTCAAAATATTACAGACCATAATTATGCCAGTGTTCTTTTCATCACTATCAACTATGTAACCATGTTTTGTTCTTTAAGAGCTTTTCTGGGTTTTATAAAATGTCTCATTCTTAGGCCAGGCACAATGGCTCACGCCTGTAATCCCAGCACTTTGGGAGGCTGAGGCGGGCGGATCACTTGAGGTCGGGAGTTCAAGACCAGCCTGACCAACATGGAGAAACCACGTCTCTACTGAAAATACAAAATTAGTCGGGGGTGTCAGTACATGCTTGTGATCCCAGCTTCTCGGGAGGCTGAGGCAGGAGAATCACTTGAGCCCGGGAAGCGGAGGTTGCAGTGAGCCGAGATCGTAGCATTGCACTCCAGCCTGGGCAACAAGAGCGAAACTCCATCTCAAAAAAAAAAAAAAAAAAAAAGTCTCATTCTTGACCAAAGCATAAATCCTGGGGAGGGGCTGGTGGGTGAAGAAAGAAGGAGACCTTCTCACCACTGGAGAGCTGATTAATTTACAATTAGTAAAGGCTAAAAAGTCCCTTTCTGAAACTTTTGTTTGGAGCCCTAAAATTAAAATGCAGTCACTGAATTCTATCTCTTTTTGGGAAAAGAAGATCTAGACAAGCATTAACTTTCTAGGTCTCAAATCTCCTCTCTATGGCTAAACTGAGAATTCCATGGTGTGGAATTTCAGTGTGGAACCTCTGCCAGCGCATATGGATATGCCCTTTGGACTGATTCTCAAAGCTCAGTCTTTTACTTTTTCAAGTGTATGTCATTAAAAAAAACTTTAAACATACAGAGAATATGAAAATTTTAAAGGAATAGTACAATGAACAGCCTTAGACACATCATTCAGATTCAACACCCATGTACCTACTACAGAGATGTTAACATATTTTGTCATATTTGAATATATCTGTACGATAAGAAGAATAAGAATATTCTCTTACATAATCACGTACTGTTAACACATCTGAGAAAATAAACAGTATTACAGTATTTTTCTTTATTTTCTTTTTCTTTTTTTTTTTGGAGACGGAGTCTAGCTCTGTTGCCAGGCTGGAGTGCAGTGGCGCGATCTCGGCTCACACTGCAACCTCTGCCTCCCAGGTTCAGGTGATTCTCCTGCCTCAGCCTCCTGAGTAGCTGGGATTACAGGCACGTGTCGCCATGCCCAGCTAATTTTTTTTTTTTTTTTGTATTTTTAATAGAGATGGGGTTTTACCATGTTGGTCAGGCTGGTCTCGATCTCCTGACCTCGTGATCTGCTCGCCTCAACCTCCCAAAGTGTTGAGATTACAGGTGTGAGCCCCAGGCCTGGCAATAAACAGTATTTTTCTAATATCCTACAACACTCAGTCTACATTTGAATTTTTCTACTTGTTCCAAAATTGTCTTTTATGGCTGATTTTTTTGCACCAGTGTTAAAACAATATATATGCATTGCCTTTGGTTGTTGTATTGCTTTAGTCTCTTTTATTCTAACAGTTCCCCCTCTCTCCTTTTTTTTTTAATTTTAAAATTAATTTTTTAAAAAATTTTTAGAGATGGAGTCTCACTCTGTCACCCAGGCTGGAGTGCACTGGCGTGATCTCTGCTCACTGCAGCCTCTGCCTCCCGGGTTCAAGCAATTCTCTAGCCTCAGCCTCCCAAGTAGCTGAGATTACAGGAGTGCACCACCACGCCCAGTTAATTTTTATATCTTTAGTAGAGACGGGCTTTTGCCATGCTGGTCAGGCTGGTCTCGAACTCCTGACCTCAGGTGATCTGCCCACGTCAGCTTCCCAAAGTGCTGGGATTATAGGCGTCAGCCACTGCGCCCGACCTCCCCACCCCCCCACCATTTTTTTTTTAAAATAGCATTGACATTTTGAAAGTATCAAGAAGTTCTTCTATATAGAATGTTCCACATTCTGTGTGTATTAGGTTGTTTACTCTTGGCATCATTTGACTTCATTCCTGAGCTCTTATATTTCCTGTGAACTAGAAGTTTAAGGGCCTAGATATATCTTGGTTTAACATTCTTTCGCCAAGAATACTTCGTAGGTAATGATTTCATTCTTGAAGGACACAATGTCAGGTATGTCATTCTGCTCTGAGTGTGGGCATTGGTTATGGTGATGGACAATGAGTTCTCTCCCTTATAAATACATTTCTTTTTCTTTGAAATTATCAAGAAATCTTAGCCGGGCACAGTGGCTCATGCGTGTAATCCCAATACTTTGGGAGGCCAAAGCAGGTGGATCACCTGAGGTCAGGAGTTCAAAACTAGCCTGGTGAACATGGTGAAACCCCATCTCTATTAAAAATACAAAAAAATACAAAAAAATTGCCGGGTGTGGTTGCAGGCGCCTGAAATCCCAGCTACTCAGAAGGCTGAGGCAGGAGAATTGCTTGAACCCAGGAGGCGGAGGTTGCAGTGAGCCAAGATCGCACCATTGCACTCCAGCCTGGGCGACAGAGCGAGACTCCGTCTCCAAAAAAAAAAAAAAAAAAATTGGGGGGTTATAATTTGGCACCATTAATATGAATTGTTCCACAACATGTTTTCATTTAATGACTTTATAATCCATTGATGATCCTTCCATTCACCATTCTTTCTTGTATTGATTGCCTTTTGTTCCTCTGTAAAGGGCTTTTGTGGTTATAATACCAGTTTGATAGGTTCCTATGTTTTCAACTCGAGGGCTTGATTTTTGTTGTAGGGTTTGCTTTTTTCTTTTTAATTAACTTAATTTTTTACAGACAATACACACAAAGTTCAGAGTTAAAAGTATGTGAAAAAGTATATACCTAAAAAAATTGAAATCAAGGACTTGAACAGATAGATATTTTTACCCCCATGTTTTAACTTCATTATTCACAATAGCCAAAAGGTCTATTGATGCAACCCAAGTGTCTTTTGGATGAATGGAGAAACAAAATGTGTTGTATATATACAATGGAATATCTATTCAGCTTCAAAAAGGAAGAAAATTCTGATACATGCTACAGCATGGATGAACTTGAGGACATTATGCTAAGTGAAATAAGCCAGACACAAAAAGACAAATACTGTATGCTTTCACCTATTTAAGGTACCTAAAGGAGTCAAATTAATAGGGAGAGAAAGAAGAATGGTAGTTGCCAGGGGCTGGGGAGAGGGAAGAATGAGAAGCTGTTTTTAACAGGTTTGCTTTGTAAGATGAAAAAAGTTTTAGAGATTGAATACACAACAATGTGAATGTACTTCACACTCCTGTACTGTACACTTAAAAATGACTAAAATGGTAAATTTTATGTTATGTGTATTTTATCACAATTAAACATAAACGTACATCCAGGTGTGGATCATGCCTATAATCCCAGCACTTTGGGAGGCCGAGGTGGGCGGACTGCCTGAGCTCAGGAGTCAGAGACCAGCCTGGCCAACATGGTGAAACCCTGTGTCTACTAAAAATACAAAAATCAGCTGGGTGTGGTGGCACGCACCTGTAATCCCAGCTACTTGGGAGGCTGAGGCAGGAGAATTGCTTGGACCTGGGAGGCAGAGGTTGTAGTGAGCTGAGATTGCACCACTGCACTCCAGCCTCAGCAATATAGCAAAACTCCATCTCAAAAAAAAGACAAAAAAAACAAAAAAAAAGATATTCTTAAAGAAATCTCACTTCCATCCCTTTCCCCTCAAGCTCCATAGGTTACTATTTTTATTATTTTCTGACATCTTTCTGGAGTTTCATTTTACAAGTTAAACAAGTATATATATGCATTCTTACCCCTTTCTTACACATAATATACACTAAAAGGTATAGATCCAAATTTATCTTTTCCCAAAAAGATTATAATAAAGTAAGTGGAGTCATAGCTTTATACGTTTATTTCTTATACAATTTTGTGTTTAGATCTCACACAATTTTTTGTTTCCTCTTATTGATGGAAATGGTGGAAGTTACACAAACCTTCTGCAGTAGAACTCCTGTGACTGTTGTTTACATTGTCACACAAATGGAGAAGATTGCTTCTGGTGCACCATGACACACATACACACACACACTCATACACACTCTCATACACACAAACTTTAGTTCTTGGTCTGATGAAGAAACTTGGTTTTAGATTTTGATAATAAATATCATCAGTTTCTAATTGACATTATTCTGTTTTTTAAAGTTTCTAAACCTCTTCTGCTTTTTATACCTCCTAATACCATTGATAATATAACCTCAAGAAAATGGCAGGATTTGCTCATTCAAAACTAATGCAGAGAACTCCCAAATACATGAACCAAAAATGGAACTGAAAGGAGAAATAGATAAATCCATAATTGTAGTTGGAGATTTTTCAACACCCATCCCTCACTTGTTGATAAAGTAGACAGAAAAATTATACAGAATCAGTTGAGACGGCACTAGAGAGGCAACCCTTATTAATGGTGACTGCTGTTTCTCTATCTAAATTCCAGTTGCTTTAACTACCAATTCTACTCCTTTCCTGATATCTGGCATAGTGTGTGCTTCAAGTGGCATTTCAGCTCCTGATAGGTTGAGAACTTGAGAAAATGATGTAATCGTCTCACAGGTTCTTCCTGCCCACTGCACAGACAAAAAACAATTCACTGAGACTGTGAAATAGATAGGCAACATCCTGATGGCAATAGATTGGCATCAGATAGGCAATACTCAAGGCAGGGTAATTCATATGATATACCAGCCATGGAGGATTTTTGAGGAAAAGGAATAAAAATTATATAGGTCTGGTTGCACCTTGACTAACCAGTCCAAAACTGTAAAGATTTTTGAAGATGAAAGTTGGAAAACTGTGAATATAAGCAGCGAAAGGGCAAGTTTCTTGACTATTTCTGCAGTAAAGAAAGAGTTCAGTTGACACTAGCCTAGCCATGTGGTAGACAGAGTTAGTACTCAAATCATTCTTCCCAAAGGCCTAGAGGTTTGGGTTTTTCAAGGATAGTTTGGTGTGCAGGGGAAGAGGGAATAAGTGCAGCTGATTGGTTGGGGACGCAATCATAGGGGTGTGGAAAACGGTCCTTGTGCGCTGTTTCCCTCTGGGTTGGGGGCCACAGGACTGGTTGAATCATGAGTCCAGGTGGGGTTAGTCTGAAAAACATCTCAAAAGACCAATCTTAGGTTCTACAATAGTGATGTTATCTACTGGAGCAATTGGAGAAGTCGCAAATCTTGTGACCTCTAGCCACATGATTCCTGAGCAGTAAGGGATTATAGAATCTTCACTTACGTTTTAGCAGAATTCAGGCTCTTCCCATGATCCTAATCTTGTGGCCTTTCATTAGTTTTACAAAGGCAGCTTCAGCCCCTGAAAAAGGAGGGGAGCAGTTTTAGGGAGGGGCTGTTATTATCCCTGTTTCAAAGTTAAATTACAAACTAAATTCCTCCCATCGTTAGCTTGGCCTACACCTAGGAATGAGTGAAGACAGCCAGCCTGTGAGGCTAGAAGCAAGATGGAGTCAGCCATGCTAGACTTTTCTGCCTGTCTTAATCTTTGCAAAGACAGTTTCAATGAGAGTGTGAAAGCTGCATTTCGGTAATCCAGGGTATGGAGAACATGTTAAACAGTTAGTCTTGCTGAGACATAGAATTTCTAAAAACTACCCTGATGGGAGAATGTTTCAAGTGAGCCCTCCCCTACCATCTCTACCACAATAAATTCAAGGACACTCAGGTATGGTGACCTTTCAGGGCCTCTCGAGGAATTACAGTCGTTCTCTCCCTGTTTCTCCTGAAAATCACAGCACAGTGGCCTCCAGAACCCCATCAGGAAATGAAAACCTTTGCCTTTAATTTTGCAGGAATTTCTACAGCAGCAGCCGGACAGGAAGAATGCACCATCATGGAAGATCTAACTCTGGGGATTGGGAAGACCAAATTTGCTCTCTAAATCACTCTGGTTCAAGTTCTTACGTCTCATAGTGGTTGCAATTAATTAGGAAATATGAAGAAGTCATGACCCATCTTCTTTCTGTGTTCCCACTGATTAGCAACGATCAAGCACCAGGCCTGGAAGAAATATTGTCAGACTGTGTTATGTTGGGTTGTTTTGTTTGGTTTGGTTTGGTTTGGTTTTGGTTTTCTGTTCTGAGTCAGAGTTTCGCTCTGTTGCCCAGGCTGGAGTGCAATGGTGCGATCTCAGCTCACCACAACCTACGCCTCCCGGGTTCAAGCGATTCTCCTACCTCAGCCTCCCAAGTAGTTGGGATTACAGGCATGCGCCACCATGCCTGGCTAATTTTGTATTTTTAGTAGAGACAGGGTTTCACCATGTTGGTCAGCGTGGTCTCGAACTCCCGACCTCAGGTGATCCGCCCACCTCGGCCTTCCAAAGTGCTGGGATGAGCACTGCACCCAGCCTCGTGTATGTTGGTTTATGAGTCACCCGGGAAAGAATGCCTGACCCATGGTTGTCATTTGGCAATGGGGCATGCAGGCAAACACCACAGCTCCATGGGACCCCACAAGAATTTATTACAAAGATTTACCTGAGGCCATCAGACAGGCAACACTCAAGGCACAGTAATTCATATGGTATACCAGCCACAGAGGATTTTTGAGGAAAAGGAATAAATATTATATAGGTCTGGTTGCACTTTGACTGACCAGTCCAAAACTGTAAAGATTTTGAAGATGAAAGTTGGAAAACTGTGAATATAAGCAGCAAAAGGGCAAGTTTCTTGACTATTTCTTAGACACAAGAGTATTTTACTGGTTTCTAGTATGTGACTTATACTCTGAATACTCATTGCAGACCATTTCTATAAGTTGTTTGTCCTAGCTTTCTAACTTTCTTTTTTTTTTTTTTTTTGAGACGGAGTATCGCTCTGTTGCCCAGGCTGGAGTGCAGTGACACGATCTCAGCTCACTGCAAGCTCTGCCTCCCGGGTCCACGCCATTCTCCTGCCTCAGCCTCCTGAGTAGCTGGGACTACAGGTGTCCACCACCACGCCCAGCTAATTTTTGGTATTTTTAGTGGAGACGGGGTTTCACCATGTTAGCTAGGATGGTCTCGATCTCCAGACCTCGTGATCCACCCACCTCAGCCTCCCAAAGTGCTGGGATTACAGGCGTGAGCCACCGCACCTGGCCTGAATGTCCTAACTTTCTTAAATGTCTTTGAAAGTATAAATCAGAAGGCTGACACATTTTTTTGTAACAGGATAAATAAATAATTGACCTCTATCATATTTAACCAAATAACCTGTAAGGTAAAGACATAAACATAAAATAGAGGAAATGTGTGGAGAGATAAAACTGGTGTTGGTAGGCCGGACGCAGTGGCTCATGCCTGTAATCCCAGCACTTTGGGAGGCTGAGGTGGGCGGATCACCTGAGGTCAGGAGTTCGAGACCAGCCTGGCCAACATGGTGAAACCCCATCTCTGCTAAAAATACAAAAATTAGCCGGGCACAGTGGCACATGCCTGTAGTCCCAGCTACTTGGGAGGCTGAGGCAGGAGAATCACTTGAACCTGGGAGGTGGAGGTCGCAGTGAGCCAAGGTCGTGCCACTGCACTCCAGCCTGGGTGACAGAGTGAGACTCGGTCTCAGAAAAAAAAAAAACAAAAAAACAATACAACAACAACAAAACTCATATCTCAGGAAAAGAGACTAAAGGTCTATACCCAGGACACCACATCCAGACAGACTTTTCACCTATCCTTCTGAGAGCTGCTACCTGAGAGAATTTATCTGCACATTAAGACAACCTTTGTTGGCAGTGCGGTTCCTCTCCTCACCCTCCTATAGTTTGTTGTCATCATCCCCTAGGAGCCCCCAGCTCCTATTTCTTTCTGTAGCTCAAAATGCTATTTAAGCTTCAACCCATCTGGCCTTCTTTGAGTCTCAAACTTTGTGGGAGCCCTGTGTGTATGCACATAATACATTTGTATCCCTTTTGTCCTGTTAATGTGTCTACTGTTGAGTTTATTTATTTATTTATTTATTTTGAAACAGAGTCTTGCTCTGTTGCCCAGGCTGGAGTACGGAGACATAATCTCGGCTCACTGCAACCTCTGCCTCCCGGGTTCAAGCGATTCTCCTGCCTCAGCCTCCTGAGTAGCTGGGATTACAGGTGTCTGCCACCACGCCTGGCTAATTTTTTTGTATTTTTAGTAGAGATGGGGTTTCACCATGTTGGTCAGGCTGGTCTCGAACTCCTGACCGCAGGTAATCTGCCTGCCTCGGCCTCCCAAAGTGCTGGGATTACAGGCATAAGCCACTGTGCCTGGCTGCCGAGTTTATTTCTGAAACTCAAATATTGAACCTCCAGAGAGAAAAGAGAAGATTCTGTCACATCTATACTTCTTAGAATCTGACTTTTCTAGAAAAAGGTAATATCTACACATAGCCAAGACCTACCCTTTGGGTAAACTAGGAGGTTTAATTTTTTGGTAAACTTAGATAAATACGAGGAGATTAAAGGCCTCTTCAACTGTTAGGCAGAGCCATTGTTCACAATGGAGCGTATCCCTTGGTGTGATGGATTGCATTGATGTGTGGCCTTCTCGCTTTGAATGTGTGCTGAAAATATAGATGAGCAAAAGTACAGACAGTAGTAACACAGAGTCCATGAGATCTCCAAGCTGAAAAGGCTGAGAATTCAGACAGGAGCTAAGGGCTTTTCATGGTTGCTGAACCTAAAAAACTAAGTTTGTCAGACAAAATTGTAATACTTGGTACCAACTCCCCATAATAAAAGATTTTATTTTATTTTATTTTTTTGATTCAAGTCCACAGGAGTCTTCAAAGGAGACAAGGAGAAGGTGACGAAGGACTCCAACACAGCAATTTTTATCTGCAGGCTCTGTTTATACTTCATGCTTCCTAGGTTTGGTCTTACCGAAAGAGTTTTCTAACAGTCAGTCTGTTATAATCTAGGTCAGAGCACTTCATTTTGGCCCTTGGGAGATTAACCAGCCACTTGAATGCTGATTTACTGCTTAAAGGACTAAAGACTTTTAAAATCATGGGCCTGTAGCTTGCGGAGTTTTGAAAATAAATCTTCCTGACTGTGCAGCCAGGCAATGCAGCTGCACATACTTTTTGAGGACCGAGGTTTGTATTCATCTCAAACAATTTCTATGAATTACAAAGTAAGGTGATACCTTCAAATTATGTATACTTTCCTCCCGCAAACTTTTGCCTACCCCCCAAAAAACTATTCATTATAAAATTTTCAAGCCTATCGCCTTAACCTATCTCTCTTGAACCTTGTAAATACATATGCTTCATATCCCATCGGTGCAGAGTGGACACAAATACTATAGTTTGTTACTGGACAAGACATCTGATTGACAAATAGCATTAAAGGAAATATTGGTTAACGGCATTGAAGTTAGAGATCACTCTTCTTCAACATTAAAAAAAATCTCTTCTAGTCTTTGCAGATAGTAAAGGAAATCTAGTTAAAATCTCATTAAAGAACCATGCCAACATCACACAAGCTTAAAAGAAAGACTTAACATATTAATTTGCAGAACAAAGCCAGCTCAAGCCTACAAATAATCTATTAGCACATTTGGCAATACGGGGCTCTAACACTTAGTTATTCCTACAGCCTCAGGAAGCCAGGGCCTTCCTGTGGCCTTCCCCCATCCTCATCCTACCCCCAACCCCTTTGCACCTGGACCCCGGTTTTTGTGTGTGTGTGTTATGAAGAGGGTTATTTTGCCACGGAGAGAGGAGGACTTTCATGACTTCAAACATGGACATTAGATCAAGTTTTTATCTTCACCCATAATCCTGCCTTTGATGTCACCAGACTGAAACCTCTCAGAATAGAAAGGGGGAGCTGTGAAAAGAGGCCTAGTTCATTTATATGTTTAAGTGCTGCTACCCTGATTCGCTCGGGTAGCATTTTCATTTGTCTTCTGCTTTGCATCCTAAAGGCAGGCTTATACCAGGCAATTATGAATGGCTCCTCTGAACAAATAATTGAAATTCACAAGTTGTGGGGTATGGTTAAACAATGTCTGGGTTGGAGGTGTGAGGTCATACATACTCCCTCAGGCATTATTAAAGTTACAGGCACTCTCCTTACCAGATGAGTATTTGTCTTACATTAGCTTTAATGACAACTAATCAGGTAAGCTGCATGTGCTGAAGACCGAGCCGTCGCTCTTTACAAAGCCATCAGAGATCAGAGCTCTGTGGAAACAGCAAATTCTCCAAGAAACATGAGGTCCCAACGTGGCTACCCAGTTTTGAAAATAGGAGTGGATACAAAGTAGATTTAATTTCTGGAGAAAAAACATTCTTTTGAGGTTAAGAAAAGACAGCGACGTAGAAATTCTGAGTTCCAGATTTCGAAGAGTTCCTCTTTTCTACACAACCGGGGTAGTGTCATCTACGCAGGAGGCTCGGGGTGAATGTTTGAAGGCCAGTATATTTGCACATGTGCATTCATACTCACACACCCTTAGCTGACTAATTACAAATTAATTACTCCAAGACAAGTTCTGCCCTCTGCTGTGTATATCCAAATTGGTTAATATAGTGGTGTGTTCTCTAAGGAAAAGATTTATGCTCGCTTATAGAACATAATAGGCTCTTGTATTAACATGAATATTTGTTCTAAAGTAGAATCAATGTAAGGCAGCACAAGCAGCAGTCTTGAATGGGTCCTGTTCTATGAGCTTTTAAAGGAATCTCATAATAATGTAAGGGGACTCTCACCTCTAAGGCTGTCCTACGACTCAGGGCTCAAAATTAACGGTCCCTTCCACATCCTAGTGAAAAGCCAATGTATCTCACCAGGTCTATTATAATAAAAACACCTGATGGGGAATCTTGCCCTTCTCCCTTATTTGCTAGCATCTGTGGACTACATGTTTGGAGAGAAAAGAAAAAACAGGCAGAATGGAAAGTGTGTAATGATAGTATCTACAGATGAGTCAGATGCCCTGGAGGACTGCAGACTTCTCCAACTATATCTGTGTGAAAGACTCCCAAACTTGTTTTCTAAGTACAAGGAGATGTGTTCTCCCAATAAGATTTCCTGGAGTTAAATTCTAGGGCAATGAAAGAAGGAACTATTTCCTCTCTCTAGAACCTTAATTAATATTGTGATCTCAGAAATTCTATTTTCTCATCTTTCTACCAGAAAGTGCTTGAATTGACAAGGAAACATCAGAATTAAAAACTGAAGATTAGATTAGTACGAATTGATACCCATAAATACAGATACATGCCTACAGGTAAACAAAGATAAACAGAAACAGAGCAGATGTTTCTTATGACCTTATTTGTAATTATAAGTGGGAAATAATGTAAATGCCACTTATTAGGGACTGGTTAAATAAATACGGGACTTCTGTGAAACGGATGTGGCATTAAAAAGAATGAGTTAGATTCAGAGATGATTTAAGGACTTCAGTGACCCGAACAGTGAAAACATAATGGTACTCCCCTAATATGTAATGCCAATTTAAAATAAATTTAAACCACAAAACTCAAAATCAAATCAAAATTTGATTTTGAAATTAAAATAGCTTCTCTCTAGATTTTCTTAGAGTCTGAACATATCTTGCAACATACTTAAAGGATGGGGTTTCCATTCTTAACGCCATCTGGATTCGGTTCTAAGAGGCAAAAACTTATGATCCTCAATTTTTCTGGTTCAACAGAAATAGCTAGTATTGAAAAACAAAAAAGCAGAGCAGAACAGAATAGCGGTTGAAAGCTGGGGTATGTCAGAGAGCCTAGGTTTGAATTTTGCCCTCAAAACTTACTAACTTTGTGGTCTTGGACAAATTACTTAGTCTCTCTGTTTCTTCTGTCATCCTCTGTATAATGGAAATAATAAAGTTACCATTTCAAAGCATTAAACAATACTACATAAAATGATTAGTCCTGTGCTTGCAGCAGTAAGCATTCAATAATTACTATTATTAAAGACTTTTGATGATAGGAGTGATGCTCTCACAGAATCTGATTCAATCTTCAGAGCAATTAGACAAGACGTTCAGGGACTTGGGTTATAGTCTGTGTTTTTGTACTAAGTAGCCATGGGACCGTGGTAACACCTCTATTTTATATTTTGGTTTTCTATAGATTCTGAATGTGTTCATTAAACAAGTTGACTTAGCATCCAAGACCCTTCATGATTGACATCCTGTTCACCTGTAGAAATTCAAGACGAGGCTGGGTGTGGTGGCTCATGCCTGTAATCCCAGCACTTTCGGAAGCCAAGAGGGGCCGATCTTCTGAGGTCAGGAGTTTGAGACCAGCTTAGCCAACATGGTGAAAGCCCTCCATCTCTACTAAAAATACAAAACTAGCCGGGCATGGTGGCGTGCACCTGTAATCCCAGCTACTCGGGAGGCTGAGGCAGGAGAATTGCTTGAACCCAGGAGGTAGAGATGCAGCGAGCCAAGATTGCACCACTGCACTCCAGCCTGGGCGAGCCAAGATCGCGCCACTGCACTCCAGCCTGGGAGACAGAGTAAGACTGTCTTAAAAAAAAAGAAAGAAAGAAAGAAAGAAAGAAAGAAAGAAAGAAAGAAAGAAAGAAAGAAAGAAAGAGAAAGAAAGAAAGAAAGAAAGAAAGAAAGAAAGAAAGAAAGAAAGAAAGAAATGTTAGATGAATGTGCTCAGTACATAGGACTACCCTGAGAGGAGGACGGCCAGTGATCTGACATGAGACTGTATAGCTGGCATTCTCTGGCAAATTTACCAAGACAATATTTCGCTGGGGGACTTCAACTCCACTTCTACTTAACCAAGCTCTGAAACCTGATGTATAAAACCAAAGCATGGGAAATACCAGTGTGATGTAGACAAGGTGACTCCCTGAGTGACTAGCCTGGGTTCCATGTGGGTGATCTATACAGGAAGCCCAGTTAGAGCCCAAAGATTGTTTGGTGAACGTGAACCCAGAGTTGGGGGAGTCAGATATTGTGCATTTTTAAGGAACTCTTCCAGATATTCCTCCTTGCCATAATGACTGAGCTGAGATTCCTTCTAGGATGGAGCTTAGACACATTCTTTCCTTAGTTATGTTAATACTGTGCTATCAGTAAAGCCTGGGTAAGCATCAGTCTCTCTAAGGGGACTTTGTCTTACTCTGAATGCTCATCATATACACCATTTTATAGTTTAATTCTCAGAGAATAATCTATTTTTTTGGCTACAAATCAAATTTGTAAAGCTGCGTTTCTCAAATAATCTGTAGTGAAGGACCATGTTTTTTTGTGTGTGTTTTTTTTACTTGTAAATTGATCATTTTTATTTATTTATTTATTTATTTATTTAGAGACGGAGTCTCGCTCTGTCTCCCAGGCTGGAGTGCAGTAGCCGATCTCGGCTCACTGCAAGCTCCGCCTCCCGGGTTCACGCCATTCTCCTGCCTCAGCCTCCTGAGCAGCTGGGACTACAGGCACCCCCCACCACACCCGGCTAATTTTTTTGTATTTTTAGTAGAGATGGTGTTTCACCGTGTTAGCCAGGATGGTCTCGATCTCCTGATCCTGTGATCCGCCCGCCTCGGCCTCCCAAACTGCTGGGATTAGAGGCGTGAGACACCGCGCCCGGCCGATCATTTTTAATTGTATATATTTATGGGGTACAAAGTGATGTTATGATTTATGAATACAATGTGAAATAAGTCAACCAAGCTAATTAACATATCTATCACCTCAAATATGTAACTTTTTTGTGGTGAGAACAGTTGAGATTTACTCTCAGCATTTTTGAAATTTACAACACTCTATTATTAGCTATATTCACCAAGCCATGCAATGGAAAAAAGAGAAACCCATACTCCTCTTGTCTAACTGAGATTTTGTGTGCCCCTTGATTATCATCTCCCCATTCCCACCTATTTCCCCAGCCTCTGGTGGCCACTATTCTCCTCTACTTCCATGAGCTCAATTAATTTAGATTTCACAAATAAGAACATTTGGTACTATATTTACCTTTCTGTGCCTGGCTTATTTCACTTAGCATAATGCTCTCCAATTCCATTCATGTTGTCACAAATGACAGAATTTCTTTTCTTTTTAAGGCTGGGCACGATTCTATTGTAGATACATACTACCTTTTCTTTATCCATTCATCTGTTGATGGGCATTTAGGATGATTTCATAACTCGGCTATTGTGAATAGTGTTGTAATGAACTTTGACAAACTGATTTCAAATCTTCTGTGTAAATATCCAGAAGTAGGATTGCTGGATTAGATGATAATTCTATTTTTAGGTTTTTGTTTTGTTTTGTTTTGTTTTGTTTTTTTGAGACAGAGTCTTGCTCTGTCGCCCGGGCTGGAGTGCAGTGGTGTGATCTCAGCTCACTGCAACCTCTCCCTTCCAGGTTCAAGCAATTCTCCTGCCTCAGCCTCTCGAGTAGCTGGGACTACAGGCGTGTGCCACCACACTCAGCTAATGGTTTTGTATTTTTAGTAGAGAGGGGGTTTCACCATGTTTGCCAGGCTGGTCTTGAACTCCTGACCTCAGGTGATCCGCCCGCCTCGGCATCCCAAAGTGCTGGGATTACAGGTGTGAGCCACCACACCCATTTATTTTTAGTTTCTTTGACAAACCTCCAAACAATTTTCTGTAATGGCTGTACTGACTTACATTCCCACCAACAGTGTACAAGGGTTACTTTTTCTCCAACTCCTTGCCAACACTTGTTATCTTTGGTCTTTTTGTTAACAGCCATTCTGACAGGCATGAGGTGATATCTCATTGTGGTTTTAATTTGCATTTCCTTAATGGTTAGTAATGTTGAGCATTTTTTTTTTCATATATCTGATGGCCATTTGTATGTTTTCTTTTGAGAAATATGTCTATTAAAGTTCTTTGCCCATTTTTCATTGGATTTTTTGTTTTCTTGCCATTGAATTGTATGAGCTCCTTACATATTTTGGAAATTAACCCCTTATTGGGTACATGGCTTGCAAATATTTTCTCCCAGTCTGTAGGTTGTCTCTGTGCACTGTTAATTGTTTCCTTTGCTGTGCTGCCACTTCTCTTTTGTTTGCTTATGTTCCTTTTTTCCTTTCTTTCATTTCAATAGGAAACAAAACAGAGCGAGTCACCTTGTCCACATCTCACTGGTATTTCCCATGGTTTGGTTTTATACATCAGGCTTTAGAGCTCTATTAAGTGGAAGCAGTGTTGAAGTCCCCCAATGAAATATTGACTAAGTTTCTGAGTATGGGTCTTGGTAAATTTGCCAAAGAAGGCTAGCTATACAGTCTCATGTCAGATGACTGGCCGTCCTCCCCTGAGGGTAGTCCCCTATACTGAGCACGTTCATGACATTTCTACAGGTGAATAGGATCTCAATCATGAAGAGTCTTGGATCCTAAGTCTTGGGAAAAGATGGTGTTTGGTCACACGAAGAAGTTCTTCAGTGTCGATTTCTGAAATTTTGGTGCACTCATCACCCAAACAGTGTACATTGTACCCAATGTTTAGTCTTTTATCCCTCACCCCTCTTTCACTCTTTTCCCTCAGTCCCTAAAGTCCAATGTATCATTCTTTTTGTTTGTTTGTTTGTTTTTTGAGGAGTCTCACTGTGTCACCAGGTTGGAGTGCAGTGGTGTGATCTCGGCTCACTACAACCTCCAACTCCCTGGTTCAAGCGATTCTCCTGCCTCAGCCTCCCGAATAGCTGGGATTACAGGCACGCACCACCATGCCCAGGTAATTTTTATATTTTTAGTAGAGACGGGGTTTCACCATGTTGGCCAAGATGGTCTCCATCTCCTGACCTCATGATCCACCTGCCTCGGCCTCCCAAAGTGCTGTGATTACAGGCATGAGCCACCACACCTGGCCCATTGTATCATTCTTATGCCTCTGTGTTCTCATAGCTTAGCTCCCACTTATAAGTGAGAACATATGATGTTTGGTTTTCCATTCCTGAGTTACTTCACTTAGAATAATAGTCTCCAATGCTGCCATGTCTTAGTTTGATGTCATTCATTCGTCTATTTTTGCTTTTGTTGCCTGAGCTTTGGGATCCAATCCAAAAAAATCATTGCCCAGACCACTGTCATAGAGTTTTCCCATATGTTTTCTTCTAGTCGTTTTACATTTTCTGGCCTTATGTTTAAGTCTTTAATCTATTTTGAGTTTTTTGTACATGGTGTGAGGTAAGGGTCCAATTTCATTCTTCTACATGGGGATAACCAGTTTTTCACCACCATGTATTGAAGAGACTATCCTGTTCTTATTGTATATTCTTGACATGCTTGTTGAAAATCCCAATCCATTGTGGACTGATGTTTTTGTTAAATACAATAAAAATGTCACAAATATATTAATCTGCATGAAAGTTTCTTTCTTTTTTTTTTTTTTTTTTTTGAGACAGTCTCACTCTGTCGCCCAGGCTGCAGAGCAGTGGTGCAATCTCGGCTCGCTGCAAGCTCTGCCTCCTGGGTTCAATCAATTCTCCTGCCTCAGCCTCCCAAGTAGCTGGGACTACAGGCACATGCCACCACGCCTGGCTAATTTTTTGTATTTTTAGTAGAGATGGTGTTTCACTGTGTTAGACAGGATGGTCTCAATCTCCTGAACTCGTGATCCGCCCGCCTTGGCCTCCCAAAGTGCTGGGATTACAGGCGTGAGCCACCGCCCCTGGCGAAAGTTTCTAAATTTAATTTCTGTACATATCTTTCTCAGATTTCTACCAGACAGTTGGAGGACCACCGAAAGTCTTTGAGGAGCTTGCCCCAAAATCCATACTTGGTTGAATTTTAAACTTCTTTTTGAAAAAATTAATGCTCAGGTTTCTCCTTATTTTCTAAACATATATTGGGCCATTCCTCCTTCTCCTTCCAAAGTGAGGCTCCTTCTCCTTAATCTTCACTTCTGGAAATGCTGGCAGGCTTTTGAGAGCCAACTCAATTGATAACTCAGCTGATAGTAATTTCTCTTCCTCAGGCTAAAGTAGCACTTTGTGTCTTCCATACTGTACAACACATGGTCTTAGTTTAGGCTTCCCCAAAAGCAGACTCTGAGTCAGGGATGCAAAGGCAAAGAGTCTGTGTGAGAGATGATCTCAGGAAATACTGGTAGAAGAGTAGGGAAGGAGTGGTGAAAAAAAAGGAAGGGAAAGCAGCCAATAAAATGTTCATTGTTTACTAAGTTACCGCTGTGGGCATTGGGAGCTTGATCAGGTTGAGTAACTTAAGAAACCAGTATAAATCCTCAGTGTTATGCTACCAGAGAAGCAAGGGATCTAGAGGATTTATTAGGGGTGAGGGCAATGTAATTCCCCAATATGTTGGCTTGCCAAAGTGTTCAATGTACTCTCTGGCAAAGAAATGCAAGTGTGGCAGTTGTAGATATCTGTGAGGAGATACACGTAAGACGTGCACAGCAAATGCAACATCTATGTCTTTAATTACGGTTATTGGAGTGTAGACTGTTTGAGGTTAGGGGCTATAAACGGTCCTAATTTTACATAAGGCACTTGATAAATATGTGTTTCTAGAATGAATATAAATTTGAGAAGTGTTCATACATGTAATTTTCTTACTGGAAAGTAAGTAGGACACCAGCCTTCACATTTCAGAATGTTAGTTAGTAAATAGATTAATTCTTACTATTTTCTTTCATTGAAGTAAGGGTTTATCTTTCTTGCAATAAAACACAAGTAGGTCACTAAACTGTGTATTCCTGGATTGATAAGCTCTCTGAAGTACTGAGTCCTTTCAGGTGCAGGTGGAATGCCGCTGTTCTAGCTCGAGCAGTGCTTCTCAAACTTTAATGTGCACGCAAATCAAGGAAGCATCTTATAAAAATACAGATTCTGGTTCAGTAGATCTGGGGTAAGGCCTATGATTCTTCTTTTCTATCTGGCTTACTGATCCTCAGACCACACTTTGAATTACAAAAGCATAGGTCATAGAATTAACAGTGTGATTCCTTGGGTTACTGGTCCATTGAATGTCTTTGCTTTACAACATTCCAAAAGGCTTCAACTCCACTTCCACTGCTGTAATAGAGCCAGCTTGTTATATCGGCTCCCAAGAGCCAGTTAAATTTTCAGGAATTTGACAAGTCAGTTGTTAGCTTGAAATCAGCCATGCTGGGAGTACTTACACCGCATGAGTCAGCAAATTTTATAAGTCAGAGTTTGTTTTCCAGAGAGCTGGTTGACCAGTATATGCATCCTTGTTGCCTCCAACCCTGAATACTACTCTGCCCCATCAGGCATGCACCCAGAAGACTATGAAGATCCTTCGATCCTTTGGGGTATTGGTAGGAGTGGGGGGTGCTACAGAGGGTAAGAAGACAAGAATCTCTGAGTTGGAATCGAGGAAGAAATGCAGACAGAGGTAATTGTTGTTGTTGTTGTTGTTATTATAAGTTATTTCATTCTTGAGAATTTTTTTTTTATTTTTTTATTTTTTGAGATGGAGTCTCACTCTGTCGCCCAGGCTAGAATACAATGGCAGGATCTCGGCTTACTGAACCCCTGCCTCCTGGATTCAAGCAAGCCTTCTGCCTCAGCCTCCCGAGTAGCTGGGACTACAAGCGTGAACCAGCACGCCCGGCTGATTTTTGTATTTTTAGCAGAGACGGGGTTTCACCATCTTGGTCAGGCTGGTCTCGAACTCCTGACCTCAGGAGATCCATCTGCCTAGGCCTCCCAAAGTGCTGGCATTACAGATGTGAGCCACTGCACCTGGCCTGAGAATTTATTCTATGAAAATATTTTAACAGAGCAAAACTGTCTATTACAATATTATCTGTGAAAGTAGAAGAAATGAAGGCTGGGTGCAGTGGCTTATGCCTATAATCCCAGCACTTTGGGAGGCCGAGGCAGGCGGATTATGAGGTCAAGAGATTGAGATCATCCTGGCTAACATGGTGAAACCCCGTCTCTACTAAAAATATAAAAATTAGCTGGGTGTGGTGGCGTGCACCTGTAGTCCCAGCTACTGGGGAGGCTGAGGCAGGAGAATCGCTTGAACCCAGGAGGCAGAGGTTGCAGTGAGCCAAGATCCTGCCATCACACTCCAGCCTAGGTGACAGAGTGAGACTCTGTCTCAAAAAAAAAAAAAGGAGAAAAAATGAAATATTATGTATCCATTAAGCAAGATTATTACTAAGCCTATAGAAATATATAAAATGTGCATAGATAATGATGTGGGGACAAAAGCAGAATACAAATATGATAGTTGTTATTATGTGGATTTGTTGCTTCAACTGTGTAGAAACATGGATGCATTTAACAAAAAGAGGAATGAAATAAATACAAACAAAATCCTGGCATTATAGTGCTAGTTTTAGAGGAAAATTTTAAAAAATATTCTGAATATTGTAGCCTATGAAAAATAAAACGTAACAAAACATCTTAACTTGTCTAATTATATTTATTTTCAAATTTAAAAAAAAGTACATCAAAAGTAAGAACAGGAGTCGGGCACAGTGGCTCAGACTTGTAATGCCAGTACTTTGGAAGGCCAAGGCAGGAGGATTGCTTGAGCCCAGGAGTTTCAGACCAGATTGGGCAACATGGCAAGACCTTGTCTCCATAACAAAATTTAAAAATTAGCCTGCTTGGTGGCTCACACCTGTAGTCCTAGTTATTTGGAAGGCTAAGTTGGGAGGATCACTGGAGCCCAGGAGATCAAGGCTGTAGTGAGCCATAATTGCACCATTGCACTCCAGCCTGGGCAACACAGCAAGACCCTACCTCAAAAAAACAAAACAAACAAAAAAAAAAAGTAAGGCTAACCAAGCAAAGTCAGGAGAAATATGAGTAATAGTTAACATTTGTTATGTGTTACATGTGAAAAGCACTATTCTGTGTTCTTTATAAGAATTAGCCCAGTTAATTCCCACAACCTATGGTTGAGGAGCTTTTCTTATTGCCATTTTGCAGATGAGAAAACTGAAGCACATAGAGGTTTGTAAGTTTCCTAAGGGTATACGGCTGGTAAACCACATAGTTAGGTTTCAAACCTGACTCTTGAGCTCTGTAAATTCTTGAATCTTCATAAAATAGTTTTTGCAAAGTTCTTTCTGTCTTTATTTATTTATTTATTTATTTATTGAGACGGAGTCTCGCTCTGTAGCCAGGCTGGAGTGCAGTGACATGATCTCGGCTCACTGCAACCTCCACCTCCCAGATTCAAGCAATTCTGCCTCAGCCTCCAGAGTAGCTGGGACTACAGGCATGTGCCACCACACCCAGCTAATTTTTGTATTTTAGTGAAGACGAGGTTTTACCGTGTTGGCCAGGATGGTCTCAATCTCTTGACCTTGTGATCTGCCCACCTAGGCCTCCTAAAGTGCTGGGATTATAGGCACGAGCCACTGCGCCTGGCCATTTATTTTTTTGAAACAGGGTCTCACTCTGTAGCCCAGACTGGAATGCAGTGATCATGGCTCACTGCAGCCTCAACTTCCCGGGCTCAAGTGATCCTCCCACCTCAGCCTCCCAAGTAGCTGGGACCACAAGTGTGTGCCACCATGCCTGGCTAATTTTTTATTTGTATTTTTTAGAGATGGCATATCCTTATGTTGCCCAGGCTGATCTCCAACATTTAGGTTCAAGTAATCCTCCCACTTCAGCCTCCCAAAGTGCTGGGATTATAGGTATGAGCCATCATATCTGGTCAAAGTTGTTTCAGAAACAACAATCCTATCTCAAGCAAGAAAGATTCAGCCATAATTGTTTGTTTGTTTTAAAAAATTAACTTTGACCTGTGAGAGAAAAGTGTAAAATTAAAGGCAATTTCTAATAGACTCAACAGTCACTCTGCAGAAATAATCAGTTCCTTGCTGACTGAGGTAAGAAGAGGCTTCCCCACTCTTGTAGGCAAAGATGAGCCACAATCAGGTTCTAGGTAATCTAGACCTCTCCACTTCATGTTTCTTCCAGGAGCCAGAAGATAGGTCGCATGTTTTAAACGTAGGATGTCGGCAAACATCCAGCCTGTCTTTCCTCACGCTCTTCATCTGCTGATTGGGATCACTAGTGTATTAACCCTATTGCCTTCAGTTGCCTAGGAGAGCAATATACGATGGCTATTCATTCAACAAATGTCCTAAAATCCCAAAGTATAGGAATTCTTAGAAAATGTATGATATCAATATAAGTATGTATAGGCCAGTCATGGTGGTTTATGCCTGTAATCCCAGCACTTTGGGAGGCCGAGGTGGGTGGATCACTTGAGGTCAGGAGTTCGAGACCAGCCTGGCCAACATGGTGAAACTCTCTACAAAATATAGAAAAATTAGTCGGGCGTGGTGACGTGTGCCTGTAATCCCAGCTACTTGGAAGACTGAGGCATGAAAATTGCTTGAACTCGGGATGGGGAGGTTGCCGTGAGCCGAGATTGCGCCACTGCACTCCAGCCTAGGCAACAGAGTGAGACTCTGTCTCAAAAAAATAAAAATAAAAATAAATAAATAAAATATAATTACGTATAAATATAAAGTATAATCCTTTCACATACAGCTTAACAAGAAATTTTATTTAATGAAATACCATTAATTGTACTGTGACTAGCACAGAATATCAATTGTCTTGTTGAATATAGTGGACATAATTCCTAGCCTTTTTTCTTTAAAAGTGTAACATACTGGCCAGGCGCAGTGGCTCATGCCTGTAATCCCAGCACTTTGGAAGCCCAAGGCGGGCGGACCACAACATCAGGAGTTCTAGACCAGCCTGGTCAATATGGTGAAACCCCTGTCTCTACTAAAAGATACAAAAATTAGCCGAGCGTGGTGGTATGTGCCTGTAATCCCAGCTACTCGGGAGGCTGAGGCAGGAGAATCGCTTGAACCTGGGAGGTGGAGGTTCCAGTGAGCCGAGATCACACCACTGCACTGCAGCCTGGGCAACAGACAGAGACTATTCCATCTCAAAAAAAAAGAACATGCTGACAATACCTCTGGATGAGTAAATAAATTACTTTGTGCTAACATATTATGAAATAAATTAGAAAATATTATGATTGCATTACTTTCATCTTAACATCCAAGTGGTTCTTTGCCCTCAGAGCCAATATTTGATTTCACAAATAACCGCAAAATTGGAAAAAAAAGTAATATTATTACAATAAAGTTGTATGCAAGCATTACAAAATAAAGAGATTTTGCAACTGCTGGTTGCATTTTTCTGTCAGCTGCTCTACAAATTCAGGCTAAAAACACTTTAACTGCATTCAAGTTGGTTTTTGCAAACAAGCCTTTTAGGTTTAAAAGCTGTTCAACAGAATTGACCATCTTTGTAACTCTTCAGTTTCAAAATGCAAATAAATGGTCCTCTAGGTGCTCCCTATGTATTGTTACAAAATCTACATCCTTTTCACCCCTTTTATATCCCTTTTACGGCTATTAATTTTTAATTCTGGAGACACAGTCACTGTGTTTCTGGTTCTCTGGCGGGAGATAAATGTGATTTAGATCCTGTTTTATGTACGCTTGGGGTTGATGGTTCTGATTGTATCTATTTCCCAAGAGAAAAATTGCTGGTCCCCACAAGTCCTTCCTTGCTGGTCATAAAACAAATATTAAATAATGGCAATAAGCTATGAACCTTCTACAGTGCTCCAATGTTTAATTAAACGATTGCTGGTGAAAATAGCTAGTTATATAGAGAACTCACATGATTTACCTTATGTGTAGACCATACACATTTCTCGGGCCCTCAAGACCTCCTAATGCATGTACAGAATATCAACTATTATTTCTTGAGCCATATTTTTATAACTTACAGCCCTCTGGTATGTTGATGGGAGAACAGGGGCTACCCAAGTTGTGTTCTCTCAAAACTGGATTTCTGATTCCCAAACAGAACTGTTTTTTGACACTTAAAATAAACAAACCCTGTAAGTCTGTTACATTTAATATTTTATTCTCCACCCCTCCCCGCCCCCCCACCCCACCCCCACCCCACCCCCTCCCCTGGCTATTTAATGTGAGGTTTGTAGAGAAGTAAAAAGCTTTTAAAACTTCAGTTCTTCCTTTCATTACTTTTATCAAAGAATATACAGAAAAGAGCTGGAAGAGTTTTAAAATGCAAGCCTTGATGACATTCTGGAGCTCATCTAAGTATACTCTCTCTTTTCTTTTTTGAGACGGAGTCTCACTCTGTTGCCAGGCTGGAGCGCAATCTCGGCTCGCCGCCATCTCCGCCTCCCGCGTTCAATCGATTCTCCTGCCTCAGCCTCCTGAGTAGCTGGGACTATGGGCGCACGCCACCACGCCCAGCTAATTTTTGTATTTTTAGTAGAGATGGGGTTTCAGCATGTTGGCCAGGATGGTCTTGATCTCTTGACTTCATGATCTGCTCGCCTCAGCCTCCCAAAGCGTTAGGATTACAGGAGTGAGCCACTGCGCCCGGCCGTAAGTGTACTCTATCTTAATCACTTATAATTTTGTTTACAGGAGTATAATCCTCTCAGTGCTGTTATTGTCAGTCTTCCAGAGATTCTGCAAAGATTATTAGCTAAAGTGCATAGGATCTGTCCTAAAAGGCTCTAAGGAAAGATTTTAAAGTAGGCATTAGGATCAAATTACGTGTGTGCATGTGCATAACCACAGAGTGGGCTCCTCCCACCCACACACACACATATTAAGTCAAAATAGAGATACTTTCTATTTTTTGTGTATCTTTTTAAAATGGGTTTTGGGAACCCCTGCATGTGTCCCCCACTTATCTCAAATCCTCACAATTTATTTCTTCTCCCAAAATTATAAAAAAAATTTTTCTTTCTAGGGGCAAAAATGTTCCTAAACATTAATACATATTTAAGAAATAAGCCAGAGCTGAGTGATTTCACTTCACTGGGGATCGCTTTACTGATTGCTACAATGCTGTGGACTCATTTGGCTGATCCAAATATGCACTTAATTTCTGTCTATATAAATTATATGCCAATATGATTTATATCTGATTATATATAATTTATATAGATATAATTTATCTGTATATAATATCTCTCTATCTACATCTCTCTATATGTAATTTATATATAATTTATAGCTACACAACATAAACCAGATTGCGGTGATGAACATTCTCCAGAAGCAGAGGCATTTCAGGTAGATTCAAATAAATGATTTGCAAAGAATCATCAAAAATCGATCTTCTGTTCAGAGCTGCACTTCATTAAATAAATGTGGGATTCAGTCATAAAAAGAAAATAATATGCCTTGACTAGCTATGTTTCACCTTTTAAAAGAGAAAGAGAGAAAAGGAAGGAGTGAAAGAAGGAAAGAAGAGATTTTTTTAAAACTTTAAAATGTTGTGATAGGGTAGAAGAGAGTGGGATTAGGGAGTTGCGGGGTTGGGGGAGGATTGGTCCTGGCCATCTTATTTCCATTTACTGACTGTATTACCTTGGGAGAATCAGTTCATTTTTCTGAACATCAGTTTACTCCACAGAAAACAGGAATAATAATGCTCATCTTATAGGGAACAGAAAGATATTTACACATAAAAGCTTTGGAAACCATGAACTCACATAGGTTAATTCAACGTGTTAATTCAACTTCTGTTTCTATGTCATCCCCAGTGTGAGACAGGAAAAGCTTTATTTTCTCACTTTAGTTGGATTCTATTTGTGACACGATGGTTTAAAATCATGTCTTAAGGAGATGATGGCTTTGGGTATTAGTCAAGTCTACAGACTAGTGCTTTTCAAACTTCAGTGTCCACACAAATCACCGGGAGTCTTGTTAAAGTGCAGGTCTGAGGCGGAGCTTGAGATTCTGTGTGCCTAACCAGCTCCCAGGTAAGGCCAGGGCTTGAGAACCCTGCCTAGTTTTTGATAATATTAAGGGCTGCTTCACCACTTCCACATGCTGAGCACACATTATTTATTGGATCACAGCACAGAGTTGTAAGTGCTGCTGCTGATGTCATTCGAGTTTTCTTCATGGTGATAAATACGTCCTCTGGGAATGATTGCAGCCAACAGAGAGGACTGTAAACTGAATGACAGGATGAGGCAAGTAGGGGAGAGAGTGATCCATGGAAGAATCTGCTGCTTCTCCTCCTCTCTTGCCTGTCACTCATGATGAATGGCTCTATGCAGAAAGGTTGAACTCAACTGCAGTGGTGACTTGCAATTAAACTCCCCACGCATTCTTTACTATGTCTTTCATTGGCATACTGTCCATAATATGGACCATAATTACGGTCCATAATACATTTCATACCAAGGTGGAGACAAACCTTCATTTTGGTAGATTGTTACACACATAAGCATCTATCTCTCTTATTAGGGAATTTACTTTTATACCTTAAAGCAGAGGTTTTGGCTTCATAACATCAAGATGAAGCAATAATAAGAAATACAAATGACAAATTACAATGAATAGTACAGAGGCGAGCCATCTTCACTAAAAGCCACATAGACACCTTAGTCTCCACTTTTTAAAATCAAGCCATTCATCCAAGAAATATTTATTGATTCCCTACAGCATGCCAGGTATCATTCTGGGATCTAGGATAAAGGATTGAAAGAAATAACCTCTGCTCTGACAGAGCTTACAGTTTATACAAATAAGAAAATATACAACATACCAGGTAGGGATAAGTAAAGAAAAAAAAAAAGATAAAGCAAAGTAAGGAAGAAAGGAAAAGCAGATGTGGGAGTTTTATTTTACAAGAGGGGAAGATGATAGTGATAAGGGGGCAGGGAAGACTTAAAGAAAGTGAGATCAAGATACATGGATGAGCCCGCCTTGGCCTCCCAAAGTGCTGGGATTACAAGCGTGAGCCGCTGCACCCAGCCTACCCTTTCTTTAATCTCTAATTTTTGTTTTGTCAAGATGGAGTCTTGCTATGTTGCCCAAGCTTGTCTTGAATTCCTGGGCTCAAGCAATCCTCCCGTTGCATCCTCCCAAAGTGCTAGGATTAAATGCCAAGTACAATTACCCTTTTAAATATATGTTTTATTTTTTAAAAAAGTTTACCTAATTTGTATACAAATATTCTGATAATCTATTACATACATCTTTAAAAAAACTGTAATACTATTTATTTTAGAACATCTGTTAATGAGTGATATGATTTGATTCTGTGTCCCCACCCAAATCTCATGTCGAATTGTAATCCCCACACATTGGAGGAGAGTCCTGGTAAGAGGTGACTGAATCATGGGGGCAGACTACCCCCTTGCTGTTCTCATGATAGTGAATGAGTTCTCATGAGACCTGGTTGTTTTAAAAGTGTGTAATGCTTCCTCTTTCGCTCTCTCTTCCTCCTGCTCCAACCATGTAAGATGTGCTGGCTTCCCCTTCACCTTCTGTCATGATTGTAAGCTTCCTGAGGCCTCCTGGCCATGCCTCCTATATAGCCTGCAGAACTGTGAGTCTGCATAATAACCAGCTAACATCGTGATGACAGAATCAAATCCACACATATCAATACTAACTGTAAATGTAAATGGGGCAGGCACAGTGGCTCACGCTGGTAATCCCAACACTTTGGAAGCCCGAAGTGGGTGGATCACCTGAGGTCAGGAGTTTGAGAGCAGCCTGGTCAACATGGCAAAACCTCATTTCTACTAAAAATACAAAACTTAGCTGGGCATTGTGGTGGGTGCCTGTAATTCCAGCTACGTGGGAGGCTGAGGCAGGAGAATCGCTTGAACCTGAAAGGCAGAGGTTGCAGTGAGCCAAGATGGTGCCACTACACTCCAGCATGGGCTATACAGCGAGACTCTGTCTCAAAAATAAATAAATAAATGTAAATGGGCTACATGCCTCAATTAAAAGACATGGAGAGGCAAGCTGGATAAAGAACCAAGAACCAAGACATTGGTATACTGTCTTCAAGAGACCCATCTCACATGCAGCAACACACATAGGCTCAAAATAAAGGGATGGAGAAAAATCTACCAAGCAAATGGAAAACAGAAAAAAGCAGTGGTTGCAATCCTAGTTTCTGACAAAACAGACTTTAAACCACCAAAGATAAAAAAAGACAGAGAAAGGCATTATATAATGGTAAAGGGTTCAATTCAACAAGAAGATCTAACTATCTTAAATATATACATACCCAACACTGGAGCATACAGATTCATAAAGCAAGTTCTTAGAGACCTACAAAGAGACTTAGACTCCCACACAATAATAGTGGGAGACTTTAACACCCCACTGACAACATTAGCAGGTCATTGAGGTAGAAAATTAACAAAGATATTTAGGACCTGAACTCAGCTCTAGATCAAATGGACTTGATAGACAACTACAGAACTCTTCACCCCAAAACAACAGAATATACATTCTTCCCATTGCCACATGGCATATACTCTAAAATCAATCACATAATTGTAAGTAAAACGCTCCTCAGCAATTGCAAAAGAACTGAAATTATAACAGTCTCTAGGGTCACGGTGCAATCAAATTATAAATGAAGACTAAGAAATTCACTCAAAACCATACAATTACATGGAGATTGCATAATTACTCTTGAATGATTTTTGTGTATATAGTAAAATTAAGACAGAAATCAAGAAGTTCTTTGAAACTAATGAGAACAAAGATACAATATACAGAATCTCTGGGACACAGTTAAGGCAGTGTGAAGAGTGAATTTTATAGTACTAAATGCCCACATCAAAAAGTTAGAAAAATCTCAAGTTAACAACCTAACATGACAACTGAAAGAACTAGAAAACCAAGGGAAAACCAATCCCAAAGCTAGCAGGACAAGAAATAACCAAAACCAATACTGAACTGAAGGAGATTGAGACATGAAAAATCATTCAAAAGATCAATAAATCCAGGAGCTAGTTTTCTGAAAAAATTAGTAAAATAGACTGCTAGCTAGACTAACAAAGAAGAAGAAAGAGAAGATTCAAATAAACACAATCAGAAACAACAAGGGGAATATTACCACTGACCCCACAGAAATACAAACAACCATCAGATAATACTATGAACAACTCTACTCTATGCACATAAACTAGAAAATCTAGAAGAAATAGATAAATTCTTGGTCATATACACTCTCCCTAGAGTGAACCAGGAAGGAATTGAATCCCTGAACAGAACAATAATGAGCTCTGAAATTGAGGCAGTAATAAATAGCCTACCAACCAAAAAAAGGCCAGGACCAGATGGATTTACAGATAAATTCTACCAGATGTATGAAGAGCTGGTACCATTTCTACTGAAACTATTCCAGAAAGTTAAGGAGGAGAGAGTCCTCCCTAACCCATTCTACGAGGCCAGCATAATCCTGATACCAAAACCTGGCAGAGATACAACAATAAAAGAAAACTTTAGGCCAATATCCTTGATGAACATTAGTGCAAAAATCCTCAGCAAATACTGGGAAACTGAATCCAGTAGCACATCAAAAAGCTTATCCACCACGATCAAGTAGGCTTAATCCCTAGGATGCAAAGTTGGTTCAACATATGCAAATCAATAAATGTGACTCATCACAGAACTAAAGACAAAACCCACATGATTATCTCAGTAGATGCAGAAAAGGCTTTTGATAAAATTTAACTCCATTCATGTTAAAAACTCTCAATAAACTACGTATTGAAGGAACACACCTCAAAATAATAAGAGCCATATATGAGAAACCCACACCCAACATCATACTGAATGGGCAAAAGTTGGAAGCATTCCTCTTGAAAACCGGCACAAGATAAGGATGCCTTCTTTCACCACTCCTGTTCAACATAGTATTGGAAGTCCTGGCCAGGGCAATCAGGCAAAAGAAAGAAATAAAGGGCATCCAAATAGGAATTTCTATCCCTGTTTGCAGATGACATGATCCTGTATCTAGAAAACCCCTTAGTCTCAGCCCAAAAGCTTAAGCTGATAAGGAACTTCAGCACAGTCTCTGAATACAAAATCAATGTACAAAAATTGTTAGCAATCCTATATCCCAAAAACAGTCAAGCTGAGAGCCAAATCAGAAACAAACTCCCATTCTCAGTTGGCACAAAAAGAATAAAATACCTAGGAACACAGCTAACTAGGGATGTGAAAGATCTCAACAAGCAGAACTACAGACCACTGCTCAAAGAAACCAGAGATGACACAAACAAATGGAAAAACATTCCATGCTCATGGATAGGAAAAATCAATATTGTTAAAATGGTCATACTGCCCAAAGCAATTTAGAGGTTCAATGCTATGCCTATCAAGCTACCATTGATATTCTTCACAGAATTAGAAAAAACTATTTTAAAATTCATATGGAGCCAAAAAAGAGCTTGAATAGCCAAGGCAATCCTAAGCAAAAAGAACAAAGCTGAAGGCATCATGCTACCCCATTTCAACTATACTACAGGGCTACAGTAACCAAAACAGCATGGTACTGGTACAAAAATAGACATGTAGACCAATGGAACAGAATAGAGAACCCAGAAATAAGACCACACGCCTACAACCATCTGATCTTTGACAAACCTGACAAAAACGAGCAATAGGGAAAGGATTCTCTATTCAGTAAATGGTGCTGGGATAACTGGTTGCCATATGCAGAAGATTGAAACTGGACCTCTTCCTTATACCGTATACAAACATGAACTCAAGATGGGTTAAAGACTTAAATGTAGAACCCAAAACTATGAAAATCCTGGAAGACAATCTAGGCAATAGCATTCAGGACACAGGCACGGGCAAAGATTTCACGATGAAGATGCCAAAAGCAACTGCGACATAAGCAAACATTGACAAATGGGATCTAATTAAACTAAAGAGCTTCTGCCCTGCAAAAGAAACTATCAACAGAGTAAACAGACAACCTACAGAATGGGAGAAAATATTTGCGAACTATGCATCTGACAAAAGTCTAATATTCAGCATCTATAAAAATGTAAACAAATTTACAAGAAAAAAAATTAAAAAGTGGGAAAAGTACATGAACAGACATTTTCCAAAAGAAGATATACATGTGGGCAACAAGCATATGAAAATAAAAATTTCATTATCACTGGTCATTAGAGAAATGCAAATCAAAACCACAATGAGATACCATCTCACACCAGTCATAATGGCTATTATTTTTTATTTATTTATTTATTTATTTTTGAGACAGAGTCTCACTCTGTCCCCCAGGCTGGAGTGCAGTGGCGCAGTCTTGGCTCACTGCAAGCTCCGCCTCCCGGGTTCATGCCATTCTCCTGCCTCAGCCTCCTGAGTAGCTGGGACTACACGTGCCCACCACAAAGCCTGGGCATTTTTTTTTTTTTTTGTATTTTTAGTAGAGACGGGCTTCACCGTGTTAGCCAGGGTGGTCTCGATCTCCTGACCATGTGATCTGCCCACCTCAGCCTCCCAAAGTGCTGGGATTACAGGCATGAGCCACAGTGCCCGGCCCAGAATGTCTATTATTAAAAAGCTGAAAAATAACAGATGCTGGTGAGATTGTGGAGAAAAAGAATGAGAAAAAGAAATCCCACTGTTGGTGGGAGTGTAAATTAGTTCAACTATTGTGGAAGACAGTGTAGCAATTCCTCAAAGACCTAAAGACAGAAATACCATTCAACCCAGCCATTCCGTTTCCGGTTAGATACCCAAAGGAATATAAATCATGCTATTATAAAGACACATGCATGCATATGTTCATTGCAGCACTATCGACAATAGCAAAGACATGAAATAAACCTAAATGCCCATCAGTTATAGATTGGATAAAGAAAATGTGGTACATATACACCATGGAATACTATGCAGCCATAAAAAGGAATGAGATAATGTTGTTTGCAGGGACATGAATGGAGTTGGAGGCCATTATCCTTAGCAAACTAACACAGGAATGGAAAACCAAATATCACATGCTCTGACTTGTAAGTGGAAGCTAAATAAAGCAAACACATGGACGCATAGAAGGGAACAACACACACTGGGGCCTAACAGACAAGGGAAGGTGGGAGGAGGAAGTGGATCAGAAAAAATAACTGATGGGTACTAGGGTTAATACCTGGGTATTAAGATGAAATAATCTGTACAACAAACCCACATGACCCTATGTTTACCTAGGTAACAAACCTGTACATGCAAGCCTGAACTTAATGTAAAACTTAAAGAAAAAAGACAATCAGCAGATGCCAACAGAGATGGAATTATACATGCTTGAAACAAATTAAATAATAGGCAGCTTCAGCAGAGAAATAGAAGATAAATAGAAGAACCAAATGGAAATTTTAGAAATAAAAAATACCATAGCTGAATTTAAAAGCTCAGTAAATAGGATCAATACCAGAATGGTGGGAACAGAGGGAAAAAGTCAGTGAATGGAAAAATAGAATAATAGAAATTGCTCTGAAGAACAGAGAGAAAAAATAGACTGAAAAAAAATGAACAGAGGTTCAGAAACAAAACTAAAAACTAACATCATTTCATCAGAGTTCTGGAAGAAGTGAAGGAAGAGGGGAGGGCTGGAAAAACACCTGAAAAGATAATGACTGAAAACTTCACAAATTTGACAAGAGTTATAGACTTATAGATTCAACAACTTAAGTGAAGGTTAAACAGGATAAACCCAAAGAAATTCAAGTCAACACACTTCATAATTAAACTTCTGGAAACTAAAAGCTAACAAACAAAAATCTTGAAAGCAGCTGGAGAAAAACAACAGCATATCTACAGAGGAAAAGTGACTAGAATTACAGCATATTTCTCATCAGAAACCAAGGAGGCCAGAAGAAAGTGGTACAGGTTGAATATCCCTTATCTAAATGCTTGGAGCCAAATGTGTCTCAGATTTTAGATTTTTTCTGATTTTGGAATATTTGCATATATAATGAGATATCTTGGAGATGGGACCAAAATAAAAGCACAAAATTTATTTTTTTTGTTTCCCATGTACCTAATACACGTAGCCTGAAGGTAATTTTGTACAATATTCTAGAAGATTTTGTGCATGAATTTTTTTTGTTTTTGTTTTGAGATGAAGTCTCACTGGGTCGCCCCGGCTGGAGTGCAGTGGCACGATCTTGGCTCACTGCAATCTCTGCCTCCCAGGTTCAAGTGATTCTCCTGCCTTGGCCTCCCAAGTAGCTGGGATTATAGGTGTGTGCCACCACCCCCAGCTAATTTTTGTATTTTTAGTAGAGATGGGGTTTCACCATGTTGGCCAGGCTGGTCTTGAACGCCTAACCTCAAATGATCCACCTGCCTTGGCCTCCCAAAGTGCTGGGAGTATAGGCATGAGCCACTGTACCCGGCCTGTCCATGAAAATTTTGATGGCATTTTGACTGTGACCCATCACATGAAATCAGGTGTGAAATTTTCCACTTGTGAGGTCATGTCAAAAAATGTCTGATTTTAATGTATTTCAGATTTTGGATTTTCAGATTAGGGATGCTCAACCTGTTTATTTTTTAGGTATGAAATAAAAGAAATGTCAATCCAGAAACCTATACCAATGAAAATATCCTTCATGAATAATGGAGAAATCAAGACATTGACAATACTTACATTAAATGCAAATGGTGACTTACATCAATTAAAAGACAAAGAATCCAGCAATATGAAAAGAATAATGCAACATGACCAAGTGAGATTTCTTTTGCAGATGCAAAGCTGGTTGAATATTCAAAAAGCAACTAATGTGATCACATACTATATATATAATATATACATATAAAACATACATATAATTTTATATATGTGTATATAAACTATATATAATACACATATTATAATCACATTACATATATTATATATAACATATATATATTGTTGTTTGTCCACAGTTCCTGGCTCATAAATCCCATAGTCCTTATTATTTCCTGAGTCACCAAAGCAATAACCATATATTTTGTTAAAGTATTTAGCTTTTTGTCCTTGGTTCCTGAAGCAATTTTGGAATAGCTTCAGAGCAATAAAGGTGAAAGATAGTCTTTAGTTATAATGTGGGGGTGTTTTAGACTCAGAAGCAGGCCTCAGGAAACAGAAACTCTCTCCCATCATCTCCAGCCCTCCTTTCACTTGCTTCTTTTCTCCCCAAGGCAGGCCATAGAGACTAAAAATTTAATCTTCCTTTGCCTTTCTGTCTTGGAGCTGGTCATACAGAAATTCTCGATATACTCTTGTCCGATAGTAGGTCATACGATCTTCATTCCATAGGGGTTCTGGAAAGAAGAAATGCTGCAAAAGAGAAGGCAAGAAGAATATGAACAAACAGGTCTTGCTGGGTTTCCTCATTCAATCTAATAGTATTAAATCGTGCCCTTTTTGTCCAATCACATTTCTATACAGTTTCCCATCCTTCAATCATGCTTATCCAATGACATCTCCATAAAAGGCCCAGAGGACAGGGTACAGAGAGCTTCCAGACAGCTGAACACGTGGAGGTTCTTGGAGGGTGGTACATCAGGGGAGGGAATAGAAGTTTTGTGCTCCTTTCTCCATAACTCGCCCTATGAATCTCTTCATCTGTATCCTTTGTAATGTCCTCTATAATAAACCAGTAAATGTAAGTAATTGTTTCTCTAAGTTATATGAGCTGCTCAAGAAAATTAATCAAATCCAAAGAGGTGGGTCATGGGACTCCCAACTTACGGCTGGTTGATCAGAAGCACAGGCACAACAACCTGGGGCTTGCAGCTGGCATCAGAATTAGGGCACACTCTTGTGGGATGAGATGGAGCCCTCACCCCATGGGATCTCACACTCTCTCCAGGTAGATAGTGTCAAAACTGAAATGAGTTGGAAGACAGCCAGCTGGTGTCCATGGCAGGATTGATTGCTTGATTGATGGTGGGGAGAAATCCCCATATGTCTGGTGTCAAAAGTCTGCTGTGAGAATATAGTGGGAGTTTGTTTCTTCTACACGGTAACCCATGTTATGCAACAACAACAAAAAATCACATACTTATATCAATCAATGCAGAAAAAGAATTTGATAAAATTCAACACTGATTCTTGATTTCATAAAAACTCTCAGAGGAAAAATTGGAATAGAAGAGAAATTCCTCAACTTGGTAAAGGCTGTCTATAGGAAACCTCCAGCTAATATTTGACTTAGTGGTGAAAGATTGAATACATTTCCCCCAAAATCAGAATAAGGCAATGATGTCTGTCCTCACCACTCTTACTCAACATAGAACTGGAAGTTCTAGCCCTTGTAATAAGACAATAAAAGGAAATAAATGATGTTCATATTGGAAAGGAAGAGGTAAAACTGTCCCTAGTTATGGATGATATGACTGCCTATATAGAAAATCCCAAGGCATCTACATAAAATAATATTCAAAAATCCTATTACTAATAAGTGAGTTCAGCAAGCTCCCAGGATATACTATTGATGTGGTTTAGATGTTTATCCCCCAAAACCTCATGTTAAAATTTGATCCCAGTGTTGGAGATGAGACTTAATGGGAGGTGTTTAGGTCATGGGGGTGGACCCTTCATTAATAGATGAATGCCCTCCCTATTGGGGGAAGGGAGTGAATGATTTCTCACTCTAGTAGTTCCTGTGAAGCAGGTTGTTTAAAAAAGACAGGCACCTCCCCTCTCCCTTTCTTGCTTCCCCTCTTGCTATGTGATCTCTGTACATGCTGGCACCCTTCACCTTCTGCGACGAATGAAAGCAGCCTGTGGCTGTCACCAGATGTAGATGCCCAATCTTGAACTTTTCCAGGTATGAGAATCATGAACCAAATTTCCTTTATAAATTACCCAGCCTCAGGTACTCCTATATAGCAACACTAAGTGGACTAAGACACAAATATATATGCAAAAATCAGTTGCATTTCTATGTAATAGCAATGAGCAGCTGGATACAGAAATTTAAAAAGCAATATAATTTATAATTTATAATTGCTCAAAAATTCTGAAATACTTAGGTATAAATCTAACACAATAATTATAGGATTTATAAACTGAAAACTACACAACACTGATGAAAGAAATCAAAGATCTAAATAAGTTGAGAGATATACCATGCTTATGGATTGGAAGAATAAGCATAGAAAGATGTCAATTATCCCAAAATTGATACATAGGCTTGTTGGGGGCTCAGAAAATGATCCCCCTAAGTATGGTGTTTGGCATGCTGAGTACTTTTAACTAAAGGACATAGGAAGCCTCCTAAAGCAGCTTCAGAGCCAAGTGGTCTGTATCTTGATTGCTTCAATGTCAATATCTTAATTAATTGTGGTATTGTACTATATATACATTTGCAAGATGTTATCATTGGGTAAAATTGGGTGAAGAGTATATTCTGTTTCAGCTTCAACTACTGTATTGCAGTGTAGTCCTGACACTAACTTCCTGAAGTTAGTGCAAACTCCACAAGTTAAGGGTTCAGTTTTCCATAGGCTTCCCTCACTCCAGACTCCAGCCACTCTTTGGAGGTCCTCAGACCACCCACACTTCTGACTCAGTGGCTGCAAATTCAGGAGTTCCCACAACCACCTCAGGTTTAATTTATAGAAAGACTCACAGAACTCAGGAAAGTATTATATTTATGATTACAGCTTTACTAAAGTACAGATCAGGACTAGCCAAATGAAGAGACACATAGGACAAGGTCTGGAAGGTCCTCAGTGCAGAGTTTCAATGCTGTCTCCACATGGAATCAGGGTGCACTTTCCTGGTATACTTATTTGTTCACCAACCAGGAAGCTCCAGCATGTTTTCTCCACCTCCCGAAGGTCAGGATGTTGGGCTGATATCACATGGCTCAAAGCCCCAACCCTCTAATCACACGGTTATTCTTTCAGGGCTGACCAGCCCTTAAGCTGAGGCTATCTAGGGGTTTAAAATGAGTTACCTAATTAGCATAAAATATCAGGTATGATCTAAGGTACTGATGAATAACAAGGACACTACTATTACTCAGGTAATTCCAAGGATTTTGTCTCTCACCCATGAACCAGGACAAAGGCCAGTCAAATTATTATACAACAGGACACATGGATGTCTCTGTATTATCTCTTGCAACTGCATGTGAATTTGCAATTGTCCCAAAATCAAAAGCTTTTTTAAAAAAGCTACCTAGAATATCAGAAACAAAGTCAATACCAAACACAGAAAGAAACAAAGAAAGTCAATACCAAAATTTGCTTTGAAACATGATAAGAAATGAGGTTCTAAATTAAGAGTTTTAAACTGTGGTGCATGAACGCTTATGGACTATAGACAGGATTCTGCAGTTCCATGGATTTATTTCCCAAATAATTTCTAGAAACATTTTTCAGAACAATTTATTAAGTATTTTCCCCTTCCCCTGTGATGATTCTTTTTCATATGTTAATTTCTTATCTATAGTTGGGGTTCAGAAAATAATATCCCCAAAATATGATGCTTTGGCATGTTGAACATTTTGAATGAAAAGAAATTGGAAGACCTTAAAAGCTACCTCAGAACCAAGGACTTTCTTTTTTATTTTATTTTTTTTTGAGATGGAGTTTCACTCTTGTTGCCCAGGCTGGAGTGCAATGGCACAATCTTGGCTCACTGCAACCTCCACCTCCCAGATTCAAGTGATTCTCCTGCCTCAGCCTCCCAAGTAGCTGGGATTACAGGCATGTGCCACCATGCCCGGCTAATTTTGTATTTTTAGTAGAGACAGGGTTTCTCCATGTTGGTCAGGCTGGTCTCGAACTCCCCACCTCAGGTGATCTGCCCACCCCAGCCTCCCGAAGTGGTGGGATTACAAGCATGAGCCATCATGCCCGGCCAGAACCAAGGACTTTCTAACCTTCTTTCGTTTCTCCCTCCCAAGTGCAGGGCTTTCTCTGGAATTTCCTTATGTGACAGGAAACATCTTTCCAAAAGGAGTGTAGTTGTCTTAAACGCCTTCCCTAGAAATCTTGTTAAATAACCAGAAAAGTTTAACCATAGGAGAAGTCGATCCATTCCTGGATAGACTTTTTATCTATTCTTCTGAGGGCAGCTTTGAGAGATTACCTAACAGACTTTATCTGCATAATAAGACAACCTTTGTTTACAAGGTAGTTCTGCCCCTGACCTTCCTATAACTTGCTGGGTTCATTTCATTTCCCAAGAGAATCATTTACAAACTGTTGTCTGCTCTTTAGGCCCATTTCTTTCCCTTGAAACTACCACTCCTGATTGCCCACATCCTCCATTTTCCTCTTTCCCCTGAGGAGAGTGTTATTTAGCCTTCAGCTATCTAGCCCTTCTTTGATTCTCATATTTTGTATGGCTCTGATGCTTACACACAATAATAAATTTGTATGTCTTTTCTCTCATTAATCTGTCAATTGTCAGTTCATTTCAACAGACTCAGACCTTCAGAGGGGGAGGGAAAAATTCTCTTCACTCCTACGATATAACAGGATATATTTATCAACTAGTTTTTCTTTACGAATGATCTGTCTTCTCTTGGATATCAGTTCACAACGATTAAATAATTTTAACTTTATGATATATTTTATATTTTATTCCCTTCTTTCATTCTTGCTGTTAAAAATCCTTAGCTCAGCTGGGTGCAGTGGCTCACACCTGTAATCCCAGCATTTTGGGAGCATAAGGCAGTGGATTGCTTGAGCTCAGGAATTCGATTCCAGCCTGGGCATCACAGTGAGACCTCATCTCTATATTAAAAAAAATTAGCTGGGTGTGGTGGTGCATGCGTGTGTTCCCAGCTACTTGGGAGGCTGAGGTGAGAGGATCATTTGAGCCCAGAAGGTCAAGGCTGCCACTGCTCTCCAGCCTGGGCAACAGAGCAAGACCCTGTCTCAAAAAAACTTTGTTTTTACTGGTTTTGGTTTTAGTTACTATAAAATATTTAGCAACTAGCCATAAAAAAAGAATGAACAAGATATTTGTGAATTAAGGTGGAGTGATTTCCCAGATACATTAAGTAAAAGAAAAAAAAGCAATAAGTAAAAAAAATTTATATTACTATATTTTGTGTAAAAATAAAGGGGCAATATATTTTCTTGGCTTTATAAAAAGAAATAAAGAAAAGATAAGACAAAAACTAATGAAAATGTTTATAGGTGTTAATTGGGAATAAATGGAATGAATAGGGATAGGAGAGAGTTTTTCAATATTACCTTTTAATATAATTTTGACATTTGATCCATGTAAGTGGTTTACATATTATTTTAAAATCAAATGAAATTTTAAAAATGGGAAAAAAATTACTAACATTGAAAACAAATAGAACTTCACTGTACATAAAGTTGATAACATAGCCAAACAGAAGAATTAATTCAAGTAACTTTTATACATGGAAGTCTGGTTGAAAATCCTTAGAATATTTTAGGGGCAGAAAAAACAAACAAAGAAGCTTGACTCGGTTGTTAGTTGTCTTAGTGGAATAATTCTGGAACTTTCTGTGTATATGTAAGATAGAGCAAATGAGTAAATGAATTGGTTCTTTGGTGAACCAAGTCCCTTGCTGTGGGGAAGGGGAGATACACTTGTGGAATAGAGGAATGTGAGGGACCCTGTGATGTTGGATTTGAATTGCAGTATCAGTATAAATTGAGTCCCAGGAGCAATTAGCATACCTAGAGCCCAGAATGTGGCTTCTACATACCTTTCTCACAAAAAGGAACCAGGGTTCTTTGTGGTTAGTTCCAGGTGTGAGGTGGGAAAATTACAGAAGGAACCTGGAATATCTTAAGCCTGAAAGGAAGGAAGTGCACTAAAACTCAAGGGAACACAGGAACCAATTGGCCAAATATGGGACAATTTGAGCATCAAAGCCGGTCGTTTAAAAATGAATCTTTTAGTTTATTATAATAAGCAAAAAGAAGAGATGGACAGTGAAGAAATTCTTTAGAGAAAGTGCCAGCTAACAAAAGTAGAAAGAAATACAGAATTAGCAAACCACCACCATACCACCACTACATAATGATTGAGTCAGGCAAGGATCATCTACGAATTCTGAAAGCAATGTGGTGAAAGGTCATCTTGAAATGGGATATCCACACAGTCTGAAAGACTACAGGGTCCTCACTAATTTTAGAGAAAATGTATGTCTTCACAACAGAGAAATGTTGTGCACACTACCTTAATCGAATGATCAAACTTGACATTATCAATAATGAGACAACCTGACGCTATGTGCCTCTCTTATGAAGCAATGGAAAGTACCTATGTTGTCAGCCATGTAATATTCTCTTACCAAAAATGCTTAACCCTATACAAATTAGTTAGGCAGAAGGAATAAGATCTAGTGTTCAGTAGCACAGTAGGGTCATTAAAGTTACAATAATTTATTGTATACTTCAAAATAACTAGAAGAGAAGATTTGGAATGTTCCCAACACAAAGAAATGATAAATGTTTGAGGTGATGGATATCTCAATTACCTGTATTTGATCATTACACATTGTATGATTGTATCAAAATACCATATGTACCCCGTAACTAAATACAACTATTATGTGTCCATACAAATTAAAAGTTAAAAACACATTAAAAATACTTAACCCTAATATAATTTTGTGAGGATATAATTTAACAAATCTAAATGATGTGACATTCTACAAGACAACTGCTCTGAGCTCCTCAAAAATATCAGTAACATGAAAGTAAAAAAAAACCAGAGGCTTATTGTACTGGATTTCAACAAGCTTGAAGAAACATGGCAACTAAATAATCCTCTGCATAATCCTTGATTGTACTCTGGATTTTAAAACAAATCTATACAAATACATGATTTGAGTAATTGGTGGAATTTGAATATTAATTACATTTTGGATAATATTATTGTGTCTGCTGGGCACAGTGGCTCACACCTGTAATCTCAACACTTTGAGAAGCTGAGGAGGATTACTTGAACCCAGGAGTTTGAGACCAGCCTGGGCAACATAGTGAGACCTCACCTCTATAAAAAAAAATTATCTGGGAACGATGGCATGCACCTGTGGTCCTAGCTACTCCAGAGGCTGGGATGGGAGATGGGAGGATCGCTTGAACCTGGGCAGTTGAGGCTGTAGTGAGCCATAATTGCAGCATTGCATTCCAGCCTGGGTGACACAGCAAGATCCTGTCTCATAAAAAAAAAAGAAAAAAAAAGAATATTATTGTGTCAATCTTAAGTATCTTGGGAGTGATAATGGCATTGCGACTGTGAAGAATACATACTGAAGAATTTAAAGGTGAAGCATCATGATATCAGCAAGTTACTTTCAAATGATTCAGCACAACAGAGAGGGCAGAGGCACAAATGTGGCACAATGTTAACAACTGATGAATAAGGGTATGGAGGCATTGTGGTTGTATGTTGCTGCATACCAAACTACCCCAAAGGTTAGTGGCTTAAAAAAAAACTCATTATATTTTACCATTTTATGGATCAGGAATTTGGGAGGACTTTCACTGGATGATGGTTCTGCTCTAAGTGGCATTACCTACAGTCACTTGGTGACTGGCTATTCACACAGCTGATGGACAACTGGTTCAGAGAATCCAAAACATGCCTGGTGCTTTGGTGGAGATGGCTGGATTGAGCTTTCCCTCTCTGGGTAGTCTTGGGGTCTCTCATCAGCCTCTTCACCAGGGTAGTGGAACTTAACATGGAGGCTCAGGGCTTCAGGAAACCCCCTAAAAAAGCCAGTCTTCTTGAGAGCTAGGTCCAGAACTGTCACAGAGTTCTGAGTTAGATTTCAGAGCAATCTAAAATCTTCTGCCATTTTAGATTGCTCAAGAAGTCACAGTAGTTCAGATCCAAGAAAAAAAAGGGACCCCACATCTCAATGAGAAGAGTGTAAAATAACTTATGACCATCTCTACTCCACCACAATAGGTTTCTATAGTTTTGAACGTTTTCAGAATGAGGGGTGGGGGAAGTTTTAATTAGTGTGTTTGGCATTGTTTTGCAAGTATATCCGTACCCTAAACTCCTAATTGTTTTTTATTTTGATAGTTCCGAGTTCCTCTCCAAAAAGTATATACCAGTTTGCCTAGCAAAAGTGCATGGGAGTCACTGTGTTCTTCATTATTCGAAATAGTTTTAAAGTATACCTATACTGTGACATATCCCTCATCAAAAAGTGGAGTCTAATTCTTCTTCCATTCATTGTGGGCCACACTTAGTAGCTTCTAATGAATAGGATACGGTGGGAGTGATGATGTGTGATTTGCAAGGTGAGATCCTAAAACGAGGTCCAGCTTCCCCCTGAATCCTTGTCTGTTGGGACATGCACTTTGGGAGCCCTGAACTGACAGCTAAGAACCCTGGCTACTAGAGTGGCCAACTTTTTTGAGGGCCAACGTGGACACAACTATACTGAATTTAAAAAAAAAACCCAAATGTAATAATCTAATATGTAATGAATAAGTATACTCAAATGTGTTATTACTTTAACATAAAATATGAAAAATGGTATTTATTTGAAATTATATGTTCTGTACTACTTACTTTTATGTTAAATAAATGCTATTATTTAAACAAAACAACAATAAGCCTAGATAGCAGTGGCGGTTAGAAGTGATTAATAGCAGGATTAAATAAGCAATATGTGTGAGAAAATATAGCAATATTTTTTGATGTTTCTGTCTTCTGATACAGCAATTTATTTGAACTCTTTTTAAATGCTTTATTGGACTTTTTAATATTTCAGGTTATATTTTTATAAATTCTTTTTTTTTTTTTTTTTTGAGATGGAATCTTGCTCTGTCTCTCAGGCTGGAGTGCAGTGGCATGGTCTCTGCTCACTGCAACCTCCACCTTCTGGGTTCAAGCGAGTCTCCTGCCTCAGCCTCCCACGTAGCTGGGATTACATGCTTGAGTCACCATGCCTAGCTAATTTTTGTATTTTTAGTAGAAATAGGGTTTCCCCATGTTGGCCAGGTTGGTCTCAAATTCCTGACCTCAGGTGATCCGCCTGCCTCAGCCTCCCAAAGTGCTGGGATTACAGGAGTGAGCCACCACGCCTGGTCCTTTTTTTTTCTTTTATGTAGTACTAAAACTGAATACAGGCAAAAGTAAGATTCAGTTTGACTTGCAGTTCTGCTTTTATCAAACCCATATTACACTGATTCCTGGTGTCAGGTCAATGTGATGTCAATTAAGCTAGCTATCCTCTCAACAAAAATGCCTATGTTCCTTTGCACATGAAATACTCAGGATATTACTTACTGGCAACAGCAGAATTTGGACCTGTGGTGCTCTAAAAATGCCCGTCTGTTCTGTATCCACAGGCTTGTTCTGGTACACCAGCTCATCATTAAGCAGGTGCTTTGCATCTATAACTTCATCGTTATAGGCTATCCATGTCTAAAATGTCCATGATTTTCAAACACTCACATTAAATGTCATGATTAATTAAGTCTCTCTCAGGGAAAATTTTTGAACTTGTAAAATTGAAAGTAGATTTGACATCAACCTAAAAAGCGTTTACACGGCAAAGGAAACAATCAACAAAATGAAAAGGTAACCTGCCAAATGGGAGAAAATATTTGAAAACCATATATCTGACAAGGGGTTAATGTAAAAAAATATATCAGGAGGCCGGGTGCAGTGGCTAATGCCTGTAATCCCAACACTTGGGAGGCCAAGGCGGGCAGATCACCTGAGGTCAGGACTTCCAGACCAGCCTGACCAACAAGGTGAAACCCCGTCTCTACTAAAAATACAAAAATTAACCAGTCGTGGTGGCGGGCGCCTGTAATCCCAGCTACTTGGGAGGTTGAGGCAGGAGAATCACTTGAACCCAGGAGGCAGAGGATGCAGCGAGCCAAAATCATGCCATTGCATTCCAGCCTGGGCAACAAGAGCAAAACTCCATCTAAATAAAATAAAATAAAATAAAATAAAATAAAATAAAATAAATATATCAGGATAGCACACAATTCAATAGCAAAAAAACCCAAATAACACAATTTAAAAATGGTCAAATGACTTGAATAGACATTTTTCCACAGAAGATATACAAACGGCCAACAGGTATATGAAAGGGTACTCGACATCACTAATCATCAGGGAAATGCAAATCAAAACCATAACAGGTTATCACCTCACACCTGTTAGGATGGCTAGTATCAAATATAAAAGAGATAAGTGTTGGAGAGGGTCTGGAGAGAAAAAGAGCCCTTATACACTATTGGCAGGAATGTAAATTGGTACAGCCATTATAGAAAACGGTATGGCAGTTTCTCAAAAAATTAAAAATAGAACTACCTTATGATCCAGCAACCCCACTTCTGGGTATATATCCAAAGGAAAGGAAGTCAGTACCTCAAGGAGACATCTGCATCCTCATGTTCATTGCAACATTACTCATAGTAGCCAGCATATGGAGACAACATAAGCACTCATCAGTGGATGAATGGATGAAGAAAACGTGGCATATACACACAATGGAATATTATTTAGCCAAAAAAAAGAAGAAAGCCTTGCCTTTTGTGACAACAGGGATAAACCTAGAGGACATTATGCTAAGTGAAATAAGCCAGACACAGAAAGATAAATACTGTGTGATCTCACTTATATGTTGAATCTAAAAAAACCAAACACAGAAACAGAGGGTACAACAGTGGTTGCCAGGCAGTAGGTGGTGGGGGAAATGGGAAGATGTTGATCAAAGGGTACAAACTTTCAGTTATAAGATGAACAGGTTCTGGGAACCTAATATACAGCATGGGTGAGGGTGTGTTAATTAATTTGATTGTGATAATAATTACAAAAATGTATACACATATCAAGTTATCATGTTATAAACCTTAAATATAGCTATAATATTTTTCAATTAAATATTTTTAAATAAAAAAAGAAAGTAGATGCCGAGCAACTTGAAGTTTTAGTAAAGAAATGTAAAAGATTCTGTTTTTTCTGGTGGCAATTTTTTGAGTTCTAAAACAGTCTTGTCCCAAAAAATGAGGTTTTTTTTCTTACTATATGAGTTTTTGTTACAACCTACACATAATATCAACAATCAGGTGATCAAATGATCAGTTCATTCTTTTCTAGGTTTCCTATGACCTCTTCAAAGATAATTCAACCAGTTTTGGAGAAACAGCAAGTAAATTTTTGTTATACTATAATCCTATACTCAACGTTCATCTTCAACATATTTTCAAACTAGAGAAGGACATTCTTTTTGTTCCACACTTTGAAAATCTGATATTTTGGCAGGCCAACATTTTAGCATCTTTTAAATAGTCAGCAACAATGGTAACCATCTTGTATGTTCTAGTCTCAGGAGGCTGGCCCCTCCCATTCTATAAAGTCGAAATCTTATTAAGGGCTTCCATGGGTTTTGAGAAAAATGGCAAAGAACCAAAATCTTTCACGATGAAGGCCTCAATATCAGAAGTAAGCAAATCACACTCCCTTTTAGCGAGTCATGTCAAGGTATGCAGGTCATTTAATAGGTAAGAGCTTTTTGTTTCCTCTGCTAAGAAGTTTATGGGCTGAATAGAATTTGCCAAAATATATATCTGCACTGTCTATTGTATATGTAGATGAATGAGCAAAGTCTAGTTTGTATTTGGATAAGATATAAGCCATCTCTTATTTAATGTTTTCTGCATTTTTATTAAAATCTTTATAGAATTTTTTTAAAAGATTATTTGAAACTCCCTTTCCAAACAAAAGTACTTAAGAGCTAGGGGGAGCATATTTTTGCTGTCATGAGTCAACATACTCATCTAGAATTTATAGTAATATTAGAAATTAGATAAGGATTTAGATTTCTTTTAACATTTGCTAGGCCAATGGTCTTAACATTATTTATTGGCCAATACATATTTTACCAACTCTGATGGAGTTGTACTGTGTCGGCTTAGCAAAGCTGGAGCTGTGAATTGTGTTTCCCATTACCTTTTCCTCAAAAAAAGAGTGTCTCTTTTAAGTTTTTAAATTATTAAGCATTCAAAGATCTAGGCTACACAGCATTAAATCCGGTTTTATCCTGAAAGAAGAATGAAAATTAATGAAATTCTAGTTTTTATTCTAATAGGTAAAAAGAAGAAATCAACTAAGAAAGAAAGTTTTGCCATATAATGAGCAATATTTTAAAAAATTAATGCTTATGTTAACCTGAGTCATTCTTGTAACTCAAGCCGGAATTAATTTATTCCACTGTAGGCTTTTTACTTGTTATATATTCACATTTATTAATATTGTACATAATCTATTCCCAGTTATCCATGTTAATTTATTTAAGACTTTGCCATATCTTCTTGCCTTTGGAACATCAGCCATTTCAGTACTTATTAGCTCTTACTACAAAGGATTTATAGAAGTATCAAGAAGATTTTAAAAACGGAGATCATGCATGGGACTGAAGGTGGATAAAAAGGAAGTAAGTTGTAAGATAGTCTGCCATGTACCACAGGCTCCATATTTACTACTTCTGTTCACTTCCTTGAATTTAGAGGAAAGATTTGGTGTTTAGAGAAGTTGGAAATGATGATTATTGAAAAATTCTAGTTTATCTCTGGCTTTTGATTTTCTGTTTCCTCTTTGTTATGCATGATTTGCATGATTTGCAGAACTAACCTAAGTTAGTTCTGGGTTCTTCTCAAATGATAACCGAAAGCCTGAGATTAAACATTAAATTTATTTCCAAAGCTACTAGTTTATTGTCAATAGGAGAGATATCTGTGCATGTGTTGGTTCAAGTGATGTAATTGTCACTCTCATCAAAGGAATTGCCTCTCATTAGATTTAGTTTCATTCTCGAATAAGACATCATCATAAATATGATATAGGATTCATTTCAAAAGATCAGACCTATTAAATCAGTACTGGAGACTGCTAGAAGATATAATTTTTAAGTACATTAAACACTCTTAAACACATGACCCGTCTTCCCCCAGATACTTCTGAGAAAATGTAATTAAAATGTAGTCTGTTTTGTGGTGTTTTTTTAAGGAAAAACTCATCAAATCTTTACAACATTAGAATATTGCATACCACAAGTGTTTGACTTTATTCCACTGGATTTGAAAATAAGTGCATAGTACTTATCTCTGCGTATAATGGAGAACCTGAAATGTGTGAAGACATGCTTCAAATGATGAAGAAAATGTAAATGTATCTAGTTTAAGGGGAAATAGACTACCTGCTAATTGCTTCAAGAATTGAGTGATTTGGAAGACCTCAGGAGAGGGTTCATTTCTCTGATTTGCATACACTTCGCTCTTGCTACCTGGCTTACCACAAACGCCTCGATGATGTTGCATGTGGAGTGTTCCTCATCAACACCAGAGATTGAGAAGGATCCAGTGGCTCTGGGGACCAGAGAGCTTCTTCCCTTAAAGAAGCCGCCCTTCATTGATATCCAGCCCTTCAGAGAGCAGACTTCATGTTTGATAAATGATCTGGTTTTCTTGTTACTATTACTATTATTATTATTGCGCAAAATTAATTGGCTTAATTTTCTTGGTGAGCTTATTAGTTAATACAGTTCTTTCAGCTCTCATAGAGAGTCTCTCTTAGACAGTCTAATAAAAAGGGCAGAAAAAAAGAAGTAATATTATTTTTATTTCCTTTCAGAGCTTTTAACACTTGGTAATATAAATAATCAAGGACTCTTAAACCACAAAATCAAATGCTTACAGCCTGCTTTTTATGCAGGTGAAGAATACAAATTCCCTTGGGGGAGATGAATGAGGTAGAGGAGAAAGTGTGAGAGAGGAACAGGACAGAGGTGCATGGAAATGGTCAGAATATAAAGTGTATCCATAGAGAATGGGGACAAAGGAGAACTGCAGAGGAGAAGGCAATAAAATAAAGATGGAGCAAAGATTAGCAGAGGGGGGAATAAAGTGGGAACAGAAAGGTAAAGCAGAAGAAAAGAGAGAAAAAGTAAGTCGAAGAGGTAAATGGATTTTTCCTTAGAAAAGATAGAACTACAAAGGAAGGGATATGTAACATAAGATACTGTGATATGGAGTGTGCATTATACCACTTAAAAAAACAACAAAAACCTCCATATTTACCACAATTTATGTACAGACTGCATTGAAAATCTGACCCCGCACTCTTGCATAATTTTTTGAAATTTATAAACCTGTGTTTTTCATATTGAGGGTATTAGCAGTGCTTGAGAAAATCAAACTAGTTCTTTCCATAGTAGACAAAAAATATTTTTAAAGAATGTCTCAAAGTAGCAGCTTCTAGTTATATAAGAGGGTAATCAAAATGTTAGGATTTTCATTTATCTTGAATACACAACCATGATTTGAAACAGTATAAAGGGTTGCAAGGCATGTCAAGGATAAAATGCACTTTAAAAATTAAAAGATTCATAAGGTTAACTTTCATTTCAGAGAAATCTGTTAAATATGAATGTAAAAATGAATAAAATATAAGGTCATAGGCAAATCATCCTGTTTTCATGAACCTTGATCATATAATAGAAGTTACATTTGTTACTGAAATGTGAATGAAGATGGAATTCAAGATAAGGTATTAATCATAATTAGAATGACTATGACAGGTCTGTGGTGACAAATACTTAACAAGTAGTAAGAATGCTTATTCATAACAAACCTCTTAATTCATTAAATTCTTCATTAAAAGGGCAACCTCTTAATAAGTTCAACATAAAGTTGGTATAACATGCTATTTGCATTTTCTCTCTTTTTATTTCCATTTTAGGAGTGTATTGTTAACAAATTGAGATAAATCATTTAAAACATATAATTACTTGGATATAGTCGCATAGTAATTCCCTAAGCAATTGCATGGTTATAAGTTGTCAGTGTGCATATTAATTTATCATAGCCACCAGCCTCATCTTCATTGATTTGCTACTAGCTGTTAGAAAAACAGATTAAGAAGAACATGCTGCCCTTCTCTGAAAGTTTCATTGAGGCACAAGTAGGGCAAACACTGCTTTCCAATTAGAATCCTGCTGTTTGCCAGGACTTGACAATGACTAATTACAGTCCTAAATGACTTATTATGTTTGAATGCATGATTATTTATAAATACATTTTAAGAGCTGCATAAAGAATCATTCCTGGTTTAAATATGAAAGGCTACTTTTGTGCAAAGAGCAAAGACCTGTTGAACACCTTGAGGTCAAAGAAAAAAGACATTTTAATGTGAACGTTAGAATGTGCTTAGGCAACCGTTGTCTTACAAAGAAAAAAAAGTGATTAAGTAGTCTACCGTAATGAAGTTGTAAGAGGATAAATGTTAGGTTTAAATCTCATCACTACTGACTATGAAATTTGTCACTGGCCAGGCACAGTGGCTCACACCTGTAATCCCAGCATCTTAAGAGCCTGAGGCGGGAGGATCGCTTTAGCCCAGGAGTTTGAGGCTGCAATGAGCTGTGATGGTGCCACTGCACTCCAGCCTAGGTGACAGAGTGAGACCCCATCTTTAAAAAAAAGAAAACAAAAGAAAAGAAACAAAAACAAAGCAAAAAAACTTTATCACTGTAGGATTTTTAGAGGGGTTCACTGTTCTTAAAATATAGAATTACCTTCTCAGGGGTGCTAGGAGAATTAAATAGTTAATACGTGTACAGCACTTTGACCAATGCCTGGGATAGGGTAAGTGCTCAATGAATTTTAGTTTTCATTGTTATTCTGTAGCTGAGTGACAGTAACAATGATGAACTATATGGCAGGTCCTGATTCCAGTAAAGCTGGAGTACAATTTTTGGATGTATAACTGATTTTTGAATTTTTGAATCATTTTAGGCAGTTCATTTGATCATCCATCATTCATGAATCAGCTTCTATGAGTCAGGCGCTGTGCTAGGCATGGGAAATAAGATGAATACCATGCACAACCATTGAATTGAGTTTCTTTGCACTGTAACTCAAATAGATGATGAAGATAGCAAAGTGGAGTTACAAGTTGTTTTATCAAAAAACTGCTTTTAAACTTTAAAATTTTTTTAAATTTTGAAATATGTGTAACAGTAGAGAAACTATTATGTTAAACACTATGTTTGTACACCAACTTTAGCAAATCTTAGCTATTTCTATATTTTTCATACACTCATGTGGCCGATAGATGTAGGGTGACCCCCAATGATTTCCCACCTTTGTTTCCATGCCTTTGTGTAACCTCCTCCCCTTGAGAGCAGGCAGGATCTCTGACTTCTAACAAGTGGGTTATGCCAAAGGTCATAGACTATCACCCGTGTGATTATTTGGTGTTATATACTTGACTCTGTCGCAGCAGACTAAAGTGAGTGAGTTTCCTTGCTAGCTTGATGAAATTAAGCAGGCATTTTGAGGACGTTCCCATGGCAAGAAACTTCAGTCAGCTCCTAGGGTTTGAGAGCAAACTTCAAGTAAAAAGCAAACAAAACGCTGGGGCCCTCAGCAGACAGCCACAAGGAAATAAATTCTGGCAACACCTGAATGAGCTTGGAAGCACATTCTTCCCCAGTTGAGCTTCTAGATGAGAACACAGCCCATCTGACACCTTGACTGCAGGCTTACGAGGCCCTTCACTGAAAACCCAACTATGCTATCCCCAGACTCCTGACAAATGGAAACTGTCTCTTAATAAATATGTGTTGTTTGAAGCCACTGAGTTTGCAGTTATTTATTACACAATAATAGAACACTAATACAACTTCTAATAATATCACAAATGACTCAAAGGCAAGAGGTTCATCCCTCTTGCCTTTAAAAAGGGAAAGATTTCTGTAATGCAGAGAAGTCTATCAATATCATGAGAAAAAGTCCCAAAACCTTTCCTAGGAATTATTCAAGTGTTTAATGTGTCCTGCTGGCATATAGACTGTCATGCTATCTAATCTACAGTTAGAGTCCGTTTCGTTATATTCCAGGATACTTTTTAAAACTCACATCAAATAGCTATTTTCTAGTCTATAAGCTTTGTGTTCTGGAATTATTTTGTTCAATTGTTTCAATCATTTTATCATCTAGGATTAAGAATTATGATTATAAAAAATAAAAAAGAATTATAACTATTTTAACTTTTTTTCTTTATGATCCACTTCATTATGAGCTTTATCATTTTCTCTGGAACTTCCTAAACTGAATGCCTTCTTCTCTTTGCCCTTCCAGACTCACTCCCTGCCCTTCTCTGCTCTACTAACTGGGCCCCAGGAATAGACTTGTATGGATCACAGCAATGGGTGGCCTTTCCCAGTGATAACCAAGTTATACATTTCTTTAGCTCTTTCTTCTAATATTTCAGACTTTGGATATTATCCACTGGCATCCTATAATGAAAGATAAAATTTTGACTCTCTTTTATTCCACTGTCATATTCACATGCGTATACTTTTATCCCCTATCAAACAAATTATATATAAGCCTGTTTTTTTGTTTGCTTGTTTGTTTGTTTGTTTGTTTTGGTGGGGGATTGTTTGTTTTTTGAGACAGTGTCTCACTCTGTAACCCAGGCTGGAGCGCGGTGGTGCAGTCTCAGCTCACTGCAACCTCCATCTCCTGGGTTCAAGCAATTCTCTTGCCTCAGCCTCCCAAGTAGCTGGTATTACAGGTATGTGCCATCATGCCCAGCTAATTTTTGTATTTTCAGTAGAGACAGGGTTTCACCATGTTGGACATGTGGAATTAAATAAAAAAAAATAGACCAGCTATCTTGGAAGTGCATGAGATATTTCAAAGTTTTCCAAAACTGTTTCACTCATGGCTTTGGAAGCTTCTCTTCCTTTATGGAGTAATTTCTTCAACCCCAAATTGAAGTACTCACTGAATTTGACTGTGAGGTTGTGTAAGATAATGTCTAATTAATTACATTCAAACAATAAGTCTTGCATCAAAAGCTTATAAGCTGTCTTATAAGAAAGCTCATTTTAAAACAAAGGCAATTTATAATTCCACAATACTATGTATCCTGCCATTTTGCATTTGTTACAAAATGGCCCAGTTTTATCTGGGAATACATTGTGCCTCTAAAGCGCTGCATGATTAAATCTAGTCACTTAAGGTTTAAACTTTACTGGCTATTTCTAGTAAACAAGAAAGCTTTGTATCTAGAATGCTTTCCTATAGCCTAGGGAACAACATTTGTACTTCAACTAATAAATCAACCACAAGGTTGCTTTCTTGGTTCTTTTCTCTTTACATGGTTAGTTAATTCTCAGTATCTTCTTTTGAAGAGGAAATTTTGGGTTTTGCAACTTTGCCATATGGCTTCAAGAAGCTGAGGTAGGGATGATAAGCAAGTTAGGCTTTGGTTGAAGGAGAAGAACTTGGAATTTATAAATGTCTCAGGTATTTCCAATAAATTGGAGGTCACCACAAAAGATGTTAGGATAATAAATCTACCCTCTAAGTATATACTCCCTTTACCCAGCAGGGAGCCTCCTGGGATCATTTGTCTGCTGTTCATTATCTTGTCTGCATTATTCAACAGCTCTGTTCTTGCTCAATGGGCTTCAGAGAGCTTTTAACAGCTGCAGCATCCTCCAATTTTTACTTAAGTTCTCTTTCTCTTTGTTACACACACACACACACACACACACACAACAGAAAAGAAAAAAGGAAGAGAAAGAAGACTTGTCTTTAACACCCAAGTGCTACCTGAGTAATTGAGCCCATATTATAACTAAACTTGTGTATTTATTCTATATTAACTGTAGTATTTGGGGGCCCAAAAGAGAAAGCTTACATTTAAATACTAAGAATATGAGGATTTAAAAAAATATTCCAAACCATCTAAAAGACAATGAAAAGGCAAAACACATTTAATTTCTTGGAGATACTAAGTTTAAGCTCTTTTTAGGGAAAAATTTCCTTTTGTATCTGGCAAACCAATAAAGTTTTTAAAAAATCACCAAAAAATCTACTACATGATTGAAAAAGAAAATAAGCTTTGAAGAAAGGGAGGAGCCAGTTTATTAGCCCCACCCAGGCCAAAACCTTTGCATTTCATTTGTTGAAATTAGGACAAACTTAGCTGTTCCCTCAGGTATGTTGTTTTTCAGAAAGGCTGACAATGTTTATGACTATGATGAGACTTAATAGTACTCCCCTTAATCTAACTAACCTAATGCTATTGAGGTAAAATAAAGTATGGTATTGTATTTATCAACCAGATGATGGATAGTGTAAAATAGTTTTTCCAATAACCAGAAGCAGGAACCTATTTGAAAATAAAAGTACCTGATGACAAGAACTGCTAACAGTGGCTGGAAGGAATGGGCAAGGAAGCATTAAACCCACAAAGAAGCTCATGGAGGCACTTCAAGGACTTATCAAATGCTGACTGTTTCATCTAAATTACGTGACATTCAGAGGACTAATGAAATTTTTCTAATCTAGACTATGGAGACCCACTGTGATCAGTTCTGATCCCAACATCTTAAGGTAAAGAATATTTTAAAAGCTGAGGTAAATGGAAAACAGCATTTAAAGATAGATCTAGCTCATGTTGATCATAAGGAATGGCGTGGTTATCCAGTGATAATGTGATTTGTAACTATATACTACATGAGCCATTCATTTTTCTAGGAAGGCTTTGCTTTGGACTAAAATGTGTAGAGGGTGAGAGTTGGGAAGAAGAAATACTTGTGGACAAAATTAAGTCATTTAAATTTGCTCCGGTGGCCCCAAGACCCTCTGACCTTTAGTAAGAAAATAAGGTCCACAGAGGTTACAGTCCATGGCCAGAATGGAATGTCTTGATCCATGTATAATAACAAGGGACTGCAATTTCCTAGCATTAGATCATCATATTAAAAACCAAGGGAGCTTTTCAGCACCACCATTTGATCAGATTAAGATCCTTGGTCTTGTACAAAACACAGCTTGTTAGCCACCCAAAGGCTGAAAGCATCTCTAAAGTGTCATAGAAATGCTAAATAGTCTCAGGCACCTGGACAATGCTTGACATCCAAGTAAAAACCAAAGACCTCCTCAACTATCAGAATATTTGTTACTGGGAAAAATCTAGATAATTAACTGAATCTGTGATTGGAAATATGTAAATAAGTGCCTGAAACTTTTATCTAAATCCTTAATATAGTTTTAGCTGGACCTCCCAAAGCACATTAAATGCTGTGAAGACAAATATGGCCTTTGTCACTTGCTTTCCAAGATGCAGGACAAATGTCTAAGAAAATTGTAACAGCTATATACTGCCTCTCAAAATTATATTCTGTATTATTACCCATATCAAATCTGAAGCTGCTTCCTTAAACTATTAAAATTCTGTTTGCAAATGTAGCATTTGCCCTTGAATATCAGATCCAATTTTGCACGTGCTTTGTACATTAATAGACGGTCTATCTTACAATGCAGTAAATTTGATTTTCATCATTACCACTTATTTTGTATGCAATCAGCACAAAACAAAATGTTTAAGATGGTGCATGTTTAAAGCAGCTTCAGTCTCACAAAACAGGTACTCAAATTGACTTTGGGAACATGACTTCAATTTTTTAATTTTAATTTTTATTTTTATTTTTCGAGATGGGGGTCCCACTGTGTTGTCTAGGCTAGCCTTGAACTCCTGGGCTCAAATAGTCCTGAGTAGCTGGGACCACAGGTGTGCCACTACACCCAGCCTTTTTTGTATTTTTAATTTTACCACTACTAGTATAAAGTCTCAGGGAGGAAAATATAATTATTTGATATATTTTACTATATTTTGGGAGCTGATTTCCACATTGTCTGCTAATCAAGACAATTTGTATAACAATAAGAAAAAACTAGAGTGTTTTTGGGGACTGGGGTCTGGAGAATGGTGGCCCCCTTTCCACAGCTCCACTAGGCAGTGCCCTCTGTGTGCTCCAACCTCACATTTCCCTTTGACATGGCCCAGGTAAAGTTTCTCTGTGAGGGCTCAGTCCCTATAGCAGGCTTCTGCCTGGGCACCCAGGCTTTCTCATACATCCTCTGAAATCTATTCAGAGGTTCCCAAGCCTTCTTCATTCTTAGATTCTGTGTGCCTGCAGGCTTAATACCACATGGAAGCTGCCAAGGCTTATGGCTTGCACATTTTGGAGCTGGAGCAGAAGCTTGAGCTGTACCTGGGCCCCTTTGAGCCACAGCAGGAGCTGGAGCTAGAGCAGCTGGGATGTGGGGAGCAGTGTCCCAAGGCTGCACAAGGCAGCAGGGCCCTGAGCTTGGCCCACAAAACCGTTCTTCCCTCCTTGGCATCTGGGCCCATGCTGGGAGGGCCTGCTGTGAAGGTCTCTGAAATGCTTTCAAGGCCTTTTTCCCATTGTCTTGGCTATTAGTACTTGGCTCCTTTTTAGTTATACAAATCTCTCTAGCAAGTGGTTGCTCCACAGCCTGCTTGAATTATTCTGAAAACGGGCTTTTCTTTTTTACCACATGGCCAGGCTGCAAACTTTCCAAACATTTGTGCTTTGCTTCCCTTTTATTATTATTATTTATGTATTTTTTCGATAACAGAGTTTTGCTCTCCTTGTCCAGGCTAGAGTGCAATAGCACAATCTCAGCTCACTGCAACCTCTGCCTCCTGGGTTCAGGCAATTCTCCTGCCTCAGCCTCCCAAGTAGCTGGGACTACAGACATGCACTACTATGCCTGGCTAATTTTTTGTATTTTTAGTAGAGTTGGGGTTTCACCATTTTGGTCAGGCTAGTCTCAAACTCCTGACCTCAGGTGATCTGCCTGCCTCTGCCTCCCAAAGTCCTGGGATTACAGGCGAGAGCCACTGCATCTGGCCTCCTCTGCTTCCCTTTTTTTTTTTGAGACTGATTTTTGCTCTTGTTGCCCAGGCTGGAGTGCAATGGTACGATCTCGGTTCACTGCAACCTCTGCCTCCCAGGTTCAAGCAATTCTCCTGCCTCAGCCTCCTGAGTAGCTGGGATTACAGGCATGCACCACCATGCCTGGCTACTTTTGTATTTTTAGTAGAGGCAGGGTTTATCCATGTTGGTAAGGCTGGTCTCAAACTCCCAACCTCAGGTGATTGGCCTGCCTCAGCCCCGTAAAGTGCTGGGATTACAGGCACGAGCCACTGCACCTGGCCTGCTTTCTTTTAAATATAAGTTCTATCTTTAAGTCATTTCTTTGCTCCTGCATCTGAGTGTATGCTGTTAGAAACAGCTAGGTCACTTCTTGAACACTTTGCTGCTTAGAAATTTCTTTTGCCAGATACCCTACGTCATCACTCTCAAGTTGAAATTTCCACGGATCCCTAGAGCAGGGGCACAATGCAGCCAGTTTCTTTGCTAAGGTATAACACATGTGACCTTTGTTCGAGTTCCCAGGAAGTTTCTCATTTTCTTTTTTCTGAGACGGAGTCTCACTCTGTCTCGCCCAGGCTGGAGTGCAGTGGCACAATCTCAGCTTACTGCAACGAATCTCCTGTCTCAGCCTCCCGAGTAGCTGGGATTACAGGCACAAGCCATGACACTCAGCTAATTTTGTATTTTTAGTATAGATGGGGTTTCCCTATGTTGGCTAGGCTGGTCGCGAACTCCTGACCTCAGGTGATCCACTCACCTTGGCCTCCCAAAGTGCTGGGATTACAGGTATGAGCCACCACACCCAGCAAGTTTCTCATTTTCATCCGAGACCTCCTCAGCCTGAACTTCACTATCCATATTACTATCAGCATTTTGGTCACAATCATTTAACCAGTCTCTAGGAAGTTCCAAACTTTCCCTCATCTTCCTGTCTTCTTCTGAGCCCTCAAACACTTCCAACCTCTACCCATTACCCAGTTCCAAAGCTGCTTCCAAATTTTCAGGTATCTTTATGGCAATACCCCACTCTCAGTATCAATTTTCTGTATTAGGCTGTTCCTGCATTGCTATAAAGACATACCTGAGACCAGGTAGTTTATTTTTAAAAAGAGGTTTAATTGGCTCATTGTTCTGCAAGTTTTACAGGAAGCATGAGGCTGACATCTGTTCAGCTTCTCGGGAGGCCTCAAGAAGCTTATAAAAATGGCAGAAGGCAAAGGGGAGCAGGCATGTCACATGGCAGAAGAAGGAGCAAGAGAGAGACAGTAAAGGAAGAGATGCCACACACTTTTAAACAACCAGATCTTTCAAGATTTCACTCACTATCATGAGAACAGCACTAGGGAAATGGTGCTACACCATTCATGAAGGTTCTGCCCCCATGATCCAATCACCTCCCACCAGGCTTCACCTCCAACACTGGGGACTACATTTCAACATGAGATTTGGGTGGGGACAAATATCCAAATTGTATCAGATTTTTCCAGTTTTAAATAGTTAAATGAATCAAAAGAAAAGTAATACTCATGACACATAAAATATTTAAAAATTCAAATTTCAGTATCCATATATAAAGCTTTGCTGGGACACAGCCACACTCATTCAATTATACATAGTCTATGGCTTCTTTTGCACAATGCCAGAGTAGAGTAAGTAAAGTACTTTTAACAGAAACCATCTGGGCTGCAAAGCCTTAAATAATTTACTATCTGGCTCTTTACAGAAAAAGTTACTGATCCCTGGGTTCGACTCTGTGCTAAGGACAATGTATATGTTATTAAATTTAAGCAGCTATAGTTGCAAAACATTTTAGTAATTTAATTTATTCCTCACCATTGTTTAGTCCTTTGTATATTTTCACATCATTTAAAAAAGTTTCTTCCTCCCAAAGAAACATATCACCAATGTGAATAACTTAAAATTTGTCATTACTAGAATAATAGTGCAAAGATAAGTTAAGTGCTGTCTTCCTCTTATTTCTTGTCTTTTAAAAGATGTCCCTTCCTTTCTTTCTACCTCTTTATAAATTGTATAAAATTTTCCTCTATAATAGTTGGAAAATTCCACAACTCTTAGAAATGAATCAAAAATACTAACTTCTTCTCAGGCAGTGCCAAGAGTTCTGTAATATATATACTTTCCCAAACAAGACTGGCAAACTTGGCCACTGAAGCAGCTGTAAAAATGGAAATGCAATCACAGAAGGAGTTATCAGCCTGATGAATTGAGGCGTCTTGACACTACTTGACATTCATTCTCAATTACCAAGTTCAGGCTTCTTGCCTTCATTGAGCAGCACTACAGAGCACCTCACATAAATAAGTGGATTCTGGGCAGCCACGATGGTGTAAGTAGCATGCTTCACTTCTTCAAAGGACTTGGGTCAGCCGACGAAGCACTAAGCATTAAATTATTTCTGACAGCAGCCACAGGCTATTAGAATGTAACCCCCCTCTCTCTTTCAGATGTTTATCTTTGAAGAATCTACTCACATTTTTATTGCAGTCATAAAGTCTGTTGTAATGATAAAAATAAAAAAGACATCTAACGTGTACCTACACACTGGAGCAGAGCTCTGGATATATTAATTGGTTTCTCTTACTCTTTCTTCAATCTGAGTAATAAGGTAAGACTTATGGAAAGTTCAAAATGGAGAAAACTTGCTGTGGAGTCAGTAGGATAAGAGTCCGGGATGTAGAAGATATTTTGTTTTCCCAAGAACATAGGTGGAAATGAATAAGGAAAGCCGAGTTTTGTCCAGACAGGTATGTTTTTGTTGCAGTGTTTATAGAAACATCATGAATTATGAGATATGAAAATATCTATAGCTTCCTTGAAATTTCACATTTCATAAAATTGTACAATGTTAGAACCCAAAAAAATTCATGTTTTATACATTCACGTCTTTATTGTGTGTCTAACACGTTTCAGACATTGTGCTAAACAGATACGTGTATGATTACCAGTTACGTTCAATGCTATTAAGGAAAGAGCAAAGTACTTTGACAGAGTCTAGCAGGAACAATGTATGTTAGGCTTGGGAATAGGTAAAGGTCAGGCAAGGTTTCTCTGAGGGAAGGACATTTAAGCTGAGTTGTGAAAGGAAGAAAATATGCCAGGCAGGAAAAATGTTCTATGACCAATGGCCAGTGGTGTGTGGTCCTTTCAAGTGAGTGAATAGGCCACTGAGGTTTGGAGATATATTCCATAAGTGTTGATCCCATCAACATGAATAACAAGATTTTTCCACCTGCCTGGCAGATTTACTGATTGAAATTGAGATTTTTGTTTGGTGGAAAGAAATGTGTTAAGAGCTCAATTATTTAATCCGTAACACGCATTGTTTACTAAATCATATGGTTAGTAGGAAAATTAAAGTTCTGGAAAATGTCTGTGATATGGTTTGGCTCTGTGTCCCCACCCAAATCTCATCTTGAATTGTAATCCCCACATGTTAAAGAGGGACCTGGTGGGAAGTGATTGGATCATGGGGCAGTTTCCACATGCTGTTCTCATGATAGTGAGTGGGTTCTCATGAGATCTGATGGTTTAAAAGTGTAACACTTCCTCCCTCGCTCTCTCTCTCTCCTGCCACTTTGTGAAGAAGGTGTCTGCTTCCCTTTCACCTTCCACCATAATTGTAAGTTTCCTGAGGCTTTCCCAGCCATGTGGAACTGTGAGTCAATCAAACTTCTTTTCTTTATAAATTACCCAGTCTCAGGTATTTCTTTATAGCAGTGTGGAAACAAACTGATATAATCTGACATGGAATCAACTAAATGTATTCAATATCTACATTTTCTCAGCTTTTTGGTATTATCATCATCATTACAAGAGATTACAAAGTATGGGGATGGAAACCTGCTTCCTATCTGTGGCTGCATTACCATGACTTAAGATGACTTGGTCCTAGAAACCATTTGCTTTGTAAAAGCCTCAAGAAGACCGACCCAAGAGTTCCAGGCCAATGTTACAACATTTTATCCTATAAAACCACACATGACAAGAGACTCATTCCTTTCTTCTATGTAAATCTCTGACAAATATATCACTAAGGGAATAACAATGATCCAATGGGGAAAATATGGACAAATAACTTAAACAGGCAAATCAGAAGAAATACCAACATACCTCTTGACTGAGCAGTTTCCATTCTAAAAATGTATCTTACAGCTACTTCTCCACCTATGCAAGAAAGTATAATTATGAAAATACTTATCATAGTACTGTTTGTAAAATAAATAAAAAGTGGAAATAGCCAAATTGTTCAATAATTGGATTATTGACAAATAAAATTCAGAATATCCAGATAACAAAATACTACACAGCAATTAAAAGAATGAGGTAGATATATGAAAAGCCATTTATTGATATGAAAAGCCATTGTCTTAGTCTATCTTCTGTTGCTTATAGATGAATACCTGAAAATGGGTAATTTATTTTAAAAAATAATTTATTTCTTATAGTTACAGAAGCTGAGAAGTCCAAAGGTGAGGGGCTACATCTGGTGAGGGCCTTTGTGCTGGTGGGGACCCTCTGAAGAGTCCCATAATGGCATAGCGTATCTCATGGTGAGGGGTTGGGCATGCTAGTGTGATATCTTAGTTTCTTTCCTGCTTCTGCTTCTTATATCACCAGTTCCCCTCCCATGATAATCCATTAATCCATGAATGGACTAGTCCATTCATGGGCACCAGAGTCTCATGATCAAATAACCTCCAAGACAACTGCATCTCTCTCCAGGTTTCTTTTTTTTTTTTTTTTTTAGACAGGATCTCACTCTCTCACCCAGGCTGGAGTGCAGCAGCATGATCACGGCTCCCTGCAGCCTTGACCTGGGCTCAGGAGATCCTCCCACCTCAGCCTCCCTAGTAGATGAGGACTACAGTTGCATGCCACCTTGCCCAGCTAATTTTTGTACTTTTTGTAAAGACGGTGTTTCGCCATGTTTCCCAGGCTAGTCTTGAACTCCTGAGCTCAAGTGATCCTCCTGCCTCAGTCTCCTATAGTGCTGGGATTGTAGGCATGAGCCACCATTCCCACCCCCTACCCCAACCTGTCAATATTGCCACACTGAGGATTAAGTTTCAACTTGAGCTTTGGAGGGAACAAGCATTCAAACCACAGCAACCACAAGATATAGTGAATGAAAAAAGCAAAGGATAGTGTGCCTAGTAAGATTCACTAGTCATTTTCTAAATGAAATATATAACACATGTGTTATTGGCTGAACTGTGTCACTCAAAGCTGTGTGTTGAGTTCCTAACCCCCAGTAACTCAGAATAGATTGTATTTGGAAACAGGACCTTTAAAGAGGTGACTAAGTTACAATGAGGCCATTAGGGTAGGACCTATCTAATCTAACTGGTGTCCTTATAAGAGACTAGGACACATGGAGAGACATCAGGGACACACACATTCAGAGGAAAGGCGGTGTGAGAGCACAGCGAGAAAGTGGCCATCTGCAAGCCAAGGAGAGACGATGCAGGAGAAGCCAAACCTGCCAAACCTTGATCTTGGACTTGTACCTTCCAGAACTGTGAAAAAATATATATATTGTTTTGTTTAAACCTCCCAGACTATGGTATGTTGTTATGGCAGCAACAGCAACCTAATACAATATGTATATATGCATATATGTATGTAGAATATTTTTGGATGTATACTCAAGAAACAGCTGATGATATTTATCTCAAGACAGTGTGACTAGGGGTCTGAGGTGAAATCTCAGTCACACACTCTATTTTGTACTTATTTATTTATTTATGAGACAAGGGCTTGCTGTGTCACGCAGGCTGGAGTGCAGTGCTGTGATCTCGGTTTACTGCAACCTCTGCCTCACGGGCTCAAGCCTACTCCATGTCAGCCTCCTAAGTAGCTGGAACTACCATATCTGGCTAATTTTTTTGTACTTTTCCTAGAGACAGGGTTTTGCCATGTTGCCCAGGCTGGTCTTGAACTCCCGGGCTCAAGCGATCCACCCACTGTCAACCTCCTAAAGTACTGGGATTACAGGCATGGACCACCACACCCCGTGTTTAACTTTTGCCATATACATCTATGGTGAGTTTGAGGATGTCTGCGCTGATCAAGGAAAACTCGGGACCATGAGACTGTAGTAGTTTTATTGCGCCCTGCTGGAACAGGGTTGCATGAGAGAGGAAGTGCCCATGGAGTAGACCTTCCAGAGACAATGGCATGGGGCCACCACTCAGAAGGAGAAGAGGGCAAGGGAACTCTCAAGGGAGAGAGGAATTATAGAGGGGTTTCGTGTGTCTAAGCAATGTCATTCAGCAACAAGTTGGGAAATTGGGTCAGAGAGCTCTGAAGGGCAACAGTAGTTCAGGGTCATTTATAACTATGGGATTTATCTTCTGTTTGGCTAGGTCGTGGGGTGCAGTTGTGTGGGGGTATGCAAAGCAAGTAGACTGAATGGCTACAAATATGCTTATTTGGCCTATATCTAAAGCAAATAGATGTGTAAAATTTTGAGTTCGGCATCAGTGGCCTTTGAGCTAACAGTCCTACTCTGCTGTGAAGAAATAAACAACATAGGGGCCAATATAAGGAACCATTTTTAACCCATTTATATAACAGCATCATTATCATTATCAAGATCATTATTGTCATCATCAACTATTTAATAGGAAAACAGAGATCTGTCCAGGTAGAAGTTTCACTCTCCGAAAAATAAGGTATCAGGCATTTTCACTTCTACTCTCCTCCACAGGGAGACCACAGACCACCCCCACCCCTTCCTCTGAATCCTCTACACCATGGCCTTTACCTAAGGCTGACAAGCTTGTGTGTACTGAATATCAGGATTTTTTTTTTTATCTCTCCTGGGAACTCATTTTACATTTTCTCAAAATGTGTTAATATACATTCATTGGTAATATCCCAGAGTCAATATGTCCTGAAAAGAAAATAATATCTGAGATATATTGGTTGATCCACAAACAGAATGTCTATTTTTCTTTTTTCTTCTTTCTTTTTTTTTTTTTTTTTTTTGAGACAGAATCTCGCTCTGTCACCTGGTCTGGAGTGCAGTGGCACGATCTCAGCTCACTGCAACCTCTGCTTCCCGGGTTCAAGTGATTCTCTACCCTCAGCCTCCAGAATAGCTGGGATTACAGGCATACGCCACCACATCTGGCTAATTTTTGTATTTTTGGTAGAGACGGGGTTTCACCATGTTGGCCAGGCTGATCTCGAACTCTTAACCTAAGCTGATCCACCCAACTTGGCCTCCCAAAGTGCTGGGATTACAGACATAAGCCACTGTGCTCGGTGCAGAATGTCTATTTTTCTAAGTAGCAGAATTATCTACACTAAAGCTTTGTGAGGAATAGGAGAGAGTGGAATCTTGCATGGTATAATTTTATTAAATGACCTCTAAGATTACTCACAGTTTTTTTTCTTTTTTCTTTTTTTTTTTTTTTTTGTGAGATGGAGTCTTGCTCTGTCACCCAGGCTGGAGTGCAGTGGCGCGATCTCAGCTCACTACAACCTCCAGCTCCCAAGTTCAAGCGATTCTTATGCCTCAGCCTCCAGAGTAGCTAGAATTACAGGCATGTGCCACCATGCCTGGCTAATTTTTGTATTTTTAGTAGAGACAGGGTTTTACCGTATTGGCCAGGCTGGTCTCGAACTCCCTGACCTCTTGATCTGCCTGTCTCAGCCTCCCAAAGTGCTGGGATTACAGGTGTGAGCCACTGTGCCTGGCCAGATTACTCAAAATATTTTATATTGTAATCTAGTGCCAGATATAATGCAGGTGGGCACTGTAAGAGTCCAAAATGAGAAAGCTCAATAATAGCTGATTAAGAATGGAATTTTCTTTTCTCTTTTTTGTGAGATGGAGTCTCACTCAGGCCGGAGAGCAGTGCGTGATCTTGGCTCACTGTAACCTCTGCCTCCCAGGTTCATGAGATTCTCGTGCCTCAGCCTCTTGAGTAGCTGGGATTTCAGGTGTATGCCACTACACCCAGCTAATTTTTGTATTTTTAGTACAGACACGGTTTCACCATATTGGCCAGACTGGTATTAACTCCTGGCCTCAAGCGATCTGCCCACCATGACCTCACAAAGTGCTGGGATTACAGGCGTGAGCCACCACGCCCAGTCTAGGGCAGAATTTTCATAGAATCATTAGGACTTGAGCTGAGCCTTGAGGAATGGACGACACTTGTATAAGAAGCAAAAAAATTGTAGGCAAGATGTCTTAGTTCATTTTCTGTTGTTACAACAGAATACCTGAGAAGGGGTAATTTATAAAGAAAAGAGGTTTATTCAGCTCACAGTTCTACAGGCTGGGAAATTCAAGATTGGGCAACCTTACCTGAAAGCTGCTGGTAAGGGTTTTGTGCTGCATCAAAACATGGTAGAGAGGCCAGGCACTATGGCTCATGCCTGTAATACTAGCACTTTGGGAGGCTGAGGTGGGCTGATCACCTGAGGTCAGGAGTTCAAGATGAGCCTGGCCAACACAGTAAAACCCTGTCTCTACTAAAAATACAAAAATTAGTTGGGCATGGTGGTGTGCGCCTCTAGTCCCAGCTGCTCAAGAAGCTGAGGTTGAAGTAAGCCGAGATTGTGCCACTGCACTCCAGCCTGCGTGACAGAGTGAGATGCCATCTCAAAAACAACAACAACAACAACAACAACAACAACAACAAAAACCACACACACAGACACACGGTGGAGAAATGAAATGGGCACTGGGTATGTACACAAAAGGAAAATCGGAGAGGCAACCTTGCTTTATAACAACATGCCCCTGCAGGAACTATTCATTTCCACAAGAACTACCCAGTCTTTTGAGGAAGACATTAACCCATCTTAATCATCTTAATGACCTAATCACTTTTTTTTTTTTCTTTTTGAGACAGAGTCTTGCTTTGTCACCCAGGCTGGAGTGCAGTGGTGCGATCTCAGTTCACTGCAACTTCCGCCTCTTGGGTTCAATCTCCTGCCTCAGCCTCCTGAGTAACTGGGATTACAGGCGCGCACCGCTGTGCTCTGCCAATTTTTGTATGTTTAGTAGAGATGGGGTTTCACCATGTTGGCTAGGCTGGTCTCCAACTCCTGACCTCGTGATCTGCCCACCTGGGCCTCCCAAAATGCTGGGATTACAGGCGTGAGCCACCACGCCCGGCCCCAATCACTTCTTAAAGGCACCACTTGCCAACACACTTATACTGAGGACAAGTCTCAACATGAGTTTTGTGCTGTGGTTTCTCGAACCATAGCACATGAGAAACAGAATTGTAGTGCCAAGGTCCCACTCACGGCAGGAGGAACCAGGGAAGAACATCAGCCTCAAATGCCTCTGCCAAAGATACAAGGTCCAAATACCAACTGGTGGCCAAGCTAAAGCTCTTCCTCATAGAGGCCACAACAAAATAACACAGGGGTGATGATCACTTCAAGGGAAATCAGAGTTAGAGCTAGAGGAGCAGAACAAAGCCATCAATAAAACAAACCTAATGGTCAGACAGCAAAGGCATTAGCAGTAAGAGGTTGAGAACTGAAATGGAAGTCAGTTTAAGATAAAAAGTTCAAATAGAAACCATGAAAATCTGAGGGTGTAGTAACCCTATTTTATGTAGTGCCCCAGGACAGGCTCCCAAGGTTTAGGGGATATATGGAGGAAAACATAACATTTCCCAATCAGATGAGATGTTTCAGCAATGTTCAATTTTTTTTTTCTTTTTAGCAATGTCCAATTGCTTTACAGACGAGAAGCTGATGTCCAGAGAGACTGGCTTGCCCAATATCATGTAACTCATAGCTGTTAAGTATGCAAAGTAAAAATGGAGATAAAATGATTGGGTTTTTGTTCTTTGGGATTTGTTTGTTTAACATTAAGAAAATTAGTTTAACTACAACTGAGAGTATGTATAGGAAAATAGAAGTAGAATGGTTCCTGATACTGGAATCATGAAAGATGGTAGAGAGCATAGATATGGTGTTTTAAGAAAATATGAATTACTTCAAGCCCAGAAGATAAAAATGTGCATAAGAACAAACAGGAAGATGCTGACATCATGTTGCATTGTAGATGTATGCTTGTGTGTGTTTTCAATTTATATATAATTGGGATGGGCGCAGTGGCTCACGCCTGTAATCCCAGTACTTTGGGAGGCCGAGGTGGGCGGATGACAAGGTCAAGAGTTCGAGGCCATTCTGGCCAACATGCTGAAACCCCGTCTCTACTAAAAATGCAAAACTTAGCTGGGTGTGGTGACGCACACCTGTAGTCCCAACTACTTGGGAGGCTGAGGCCAGAGAATCTCTTGAACCTGGGAGGCGGAGGTTGCAGTGAGCCGAGATCTCACCATTGCACTCCAGCCTGGCGACAGAGCAAGAAGGCTCCATCTCAAAAAAAAAAAAAAAAAAAAAGTATATATAATTGGCTGGGCGCAGTGGTTCATGCCTACAATCCCAGCACGTTGGGAGGCCAAGGCAGGTGGATCACTTGAGCTCAGGAGACCAGTTTGAGCAACATGGTGAAACCCCATCTTTACAAAAAATACAAATACTATCTGGGCACGGTGGCACACACCTGTAGTTCCAGCTACTCAGGAGGCAGAGGTGGGAGGATCACTTGAGCCTGAGAGGCGGAGGTTGTAGTGAACTGAGGTCATGCCACTGCAATCCAGCCTGGGTGGCAGAGTGAGACCCTGTCTCAAAAAAAAAAAAAAAAAAAAAAAAAAAAAAAATATATATATATATATATATATATATATATATATGTATATGTATATGTGTGTGTGTATATATATACATATATGTGTGTGTGTGTATATATATATACACACACACACAAAATTATTTGTAATATAGGCAGTGCTGATAATAGTCTCTGACAGAGATGAACCCCTGAGGAGAGAAGGTAGAGAGGGTAGAGAATCACCTCATGTTGTTTATGTAGGGATTTCCGTCATTTCCTTGAAAAGAAATCACTTAATATTATGTTATTTTATTATGGTGTGTCTCTGTTGGTGTATGTGTGTGTAAAATTAGTTAGTACTTTTTAAATAAAACATAAAAATATGAGCTGTACGTCCACTGGTATTAAGATGGGTGGCCTGTCAATGTAATGTTGTTTAAATGCTAAAAAATAAAATAAATTTTTATGAGAAGAGTCCCTTGAGGATACAAAACATGTATTTGCCCTAAGTAATAAATGAGGTTTGTAATTGACATAAATAATTCTTCAATTGTAGATGTTTTAGGAGAATATTGTTTTTTGGTGATAAAATGCCTAGGGTGAGATTTGATGTAACGTTTTGGGACAAATAAACAATGTCTTGGTCCTCAGTTTCTACAGGGTATTCAAAATTGTCCTTACTACTACAACTACTATTTCTGTCCCCATTATCTATTACTAGAAATATATATCTATGTAGGCCGAGCGTGTTGGCTCACCCCTGTAATCCCAGCACTTTGGGAGGCCAAGACAGGTGGATCACCTGAGGTCAGGAGTTCGAGACCAGCCTGGCCAACATAGGGAAACCCGTCTCTACTAAAAATACAAAAATTAGCTGGGCATGGTGGCACATGCCTATAATCCCAGCTACTCGGGAGGCTGAGGCAGGAGAATTGCTTGAATCCAGGAGGCATAGGTTGTAGTGAGCTGAGATCGCACCACTGCACCACAGCCTGGGCAAAAGAGCAAGACTCTGTCTCAAAAAAAAAGAAAAAGGAAAAAAATATATATATGTAGCACTTTATCACTCCAGCCACAGATGACTATCAAGTCATATTTTTTAAATGTTGACACTGATAGGTGGCATATATAGTGAGGTAAGAATTGTATGAGTTTCTGAGCATTTGTTTTAGTAAGCATTCTAAAATTAAGCTCAGAATTTTTGTAACATATAAAGCTGAATAGACTGCAAAAAGCCTTTATGAAGACTGCCTGAACTTCTGACCACTTACTTAGCGAACAACATAACCTTCAAAGCATTTGCAAAGTCAATCAAACATTTTAAAGTTTTAGCAGTTTTATAAGTATAAAACTGCTTTATCTGTGGATAAAAAAAAAATCTATAGTTGATGCCAATGAAATGTCACAAATGAGGTCAAATAAACTAGGAAACCACCCGAAACTCCACTATGTAAGGCAAGAGAACATTGAAGGAAGAAAATGAATTGGAACTGAGAAAAATAATAGTAAAACTCTATAGGATTAATAAATTATCAGCATTGTTTGTACTATAAATGTTCAGCAAATTGCAATCAACCCTGGAGGAGTTTGTTGTAGAAAACGTGTCTTAACTCTGAACCCTATATTCACATGTGGCATGTACTTCTCTTTTCACTGGACACAAATATGGCTTTTATAATCAGAAGAAGGTAACTTCCTACACAGTTGACATTTCCAAGCATCATTTATAATTCACAGGGACAGATTTTAGATTGAATCAGTATGTATTATCTCAAATCTGCATTACCTAGTCGAAGTTCTGTCATGGGACTCATTAAGGGATATAACTGAGAACAAGATTTTGAATTGTGTCTACAAGTAAATGAATAAAATGTTAATATTTCATTAATGACTGCTAAGTTCTCATGGGTTCTATTGTACTCACTATAAAATGTATAGTGTTTGCCAAAATATATGATCTTATTCTTTGAATAGTTTATTTTACAGATATAGAATCTGAGGCTTAAAGGAAAATTGGCAAAATTGGAACTAGCACCTATGCCTTCTCTTTGTAAACCAAGTAGTGTGTTATTCATCAAACTATGCCAATATCCGGAAAATCAGGGCTCCACCCTGCCTGTTTCTAGAAGCACCCTTCCACTTCTATCCGGAATGGATCTTCAGTCCCTACATTCATGATGGCTGTGTCTGGTGCTTGCTAAAGTGTCTGTTCTGATTGATTTCTTTTTTTTTTTTGAGACGGAGTCTCGCACTGTCGTCCACACTGTAGCGCAGTGGCACGATCTTGGCCCACTGCAACCTCTGTCTCCGGGGTTCAAGCAATTCTCCTGCCTCAGCCTCCCAACTAGCTGGGATTACAGGCACCCACCACCACACCCAGCTAATTTTTTGAATTTTTAGTAGAGACAGGGTTTCACCATGTTGGCCAGACTGCTCTCAAACTCCTGACCTCAGGTGATCCACCCGCTTTGGCCTCCCAAAGTGCTGGGATTACAGGCATGAGCCACTGCGCCCAGCCCTGACTGATTCTTAATAATTTGAATATCACCCTTGATCAATACAAACCTATTCAGTACCAGATTTTCAAGATTGCTAAAGGTAGTCACGGGGATTAAATCCATTCTGAAGATTGATGGCATAATATGAACATTAGTCAAGTGACTTACTGACATGTGCTTAATGAAAGCTATAACTGTTGAATAACTGAATAAACATTGGACATTAGCCATTGTTTGGACTTAGTATAGAGTAATTTTTTATGGGAAAGACAATGTAATAGCAGGATGTAGACAACTTAATCCCCAGAATAAAAGATAGCTATCTTAATCTGATGGTATATGTAGGCCTGCAATTATATTTTAATAGTATGCTTTATTCAGTTTAGATAGCTATAAATATCTTTCCTTGTCTCTACACAGTTTGTCTAATCAGATTTCAGTGACTGCATACTATGCTAATGGATATAGATTTGATTTTAACTATGACATTACCACTTTAAGATTAAATGTAATGGTAATAATGCTTTTGGTAAACTCACGTTTGAGTTTATATGATACAAGCCATTAAAATATTACTTTTTTTTTCAATGAGTTATTATTTTGATGATTTAGGCTCCTGAAAGTCTTGTAATTCTAAGGTGTGAACTAACTTAATTTATCTTGGAAAATGTGAAAATGTTCCTTGAAGGTACAAATTACTTTCACAATAAATACCAAATGATTTTGATTTGCTTAACATAAAATTTAAATCAATATGTTACATGCTTTTGTAGGGAATATGTCTGTCTATACATTATTTCTGTGGACAATAAGGAAAAGATTCCAACTTTGGAAAACTAGAATATAATGAGTTTGGAATAAAAAAGTAAAGCCCTATTCACGGCCATTGTGTTATTATGTATGATATAATTTTCACAATCAAAAAATACCATTTGGATATTCATGCTATCATGGTTGTTTGGTACTTTGACTGCTGCCGCTGTTTCAGCTCAGACAAGAGTGTGATTTCATCCTGAGGTCAAATCCCATGCAAGCACGATTTATCGAAGCAAAATTTCATCTCACAAAAGCGTAATGCATTCTGCCAAACCTGTTCATGCCAATGCAGGTCATTTAATATATAATTGGCTGCAGCTGGCACTCACACAAGCTGTGACATTTTCTATCAGCAACAGGGTAGTATTTGGAATGCCAAAGAAACAATTACATGCTGCAGATGAGAGCCTGAAGTGGAAAAAGAGGAAATGCAGTATTAAAGAAACCAGCCCTTTTCCATTTCAAAGAGGTAGTGAGGAAGCTACAGTACCTGTCATTCTACTTTCTTCTATAAAATGTGAGAAGTGAAGAAAAGAGAAAATATTGACTTGGGAAATAAAGGATGAAATCATTTGGGGTCTTCTGTTTAGAGAAGGCAAATAAAATAAAGAGAGTATTAATTAAAAGGACCCAGAGACCACTTAATATTAAGGAAAAATGGCATTGACTCATAAAATGTCCTTCCGTTGGTAAATAAAGGAGAGAGAAAAAAACTGAAAGATGAATGGAGGAAAAAGGAATGAAAGAAATAAAGTAAGAGAGGAAGTAATCCTTATAAAAAGAAAATAGACCAGGAGAATTTGGGAAAATAGAAACCTAAATAAAAAACTGTAGCATCAGTAGATTACTTTAAACGCTTGTTTTCTCTAGTAGTTAAATGTAAAATAATATAACAAGGATACAAAATTTTGGGGTCACCCATTAGCAAAGATTAAAAAGAAATTTAATATCCAGTTTGGGCAAGTATGTGGAAAAACAGTCTTGTACACTGCTAGTGGAAATATAAATAAATAAACTGTGTGTGGAACTAATGGGTAAAACTTTATTAAAATATTCATACCCATTGACTCAACAATTCCCCTTGGCTGTGCATGGCAGCTCACGCCTGTAATCCCAGTACTTTGGGAGGCTGAGGGAGGAGGACTGTTTGAGCCCAGGAGTTTGAGACCAGCCTGGGCAACATAGGGAGATCTGCCTCTCCAAAAATTAAAAAATTAAAAAATAGGTGGTTGCAGTGGCACATGCCTGTGGTCCTAGTTACTTGGGAGGCTGAGGTGGATTGCAACAGAGCAAGACCCTGTCTAAAAAACAAAGAAACAAACAAAACAAAATAAAACAAAAATCCTTATAGGAGAGACACATATAAGTATGAAAATATATGTATACAAGGATATTCTCTGCAGAATGGTTTATGGTCAAGAAAAATTGAAAAACAACCAAAATAAGCATATGACATTTAAGTTCATCCATACAGTGAAATGCTATACATAAGCTAGAAATAATTAATAAAATCATATGTTAATAGAATGTCCAATATATATTAAGTGAAAGTGCCTACAGTAGTAGTAGTAATACTAATAATGAGCATAATAAAAAGTTAATATTGTATGATTCCAACTATATGACATTCTGGAAATGGCAAAACTATGAAGACAGTAAAACAATAAATCAGTGGTTGCCAGAGGTTAGGGGAAAGGGAGAGGTGAATAGGCAGAGAACAGAGGATTTTTAGGGCAATGAAATTATCCACTATGGATACTTGGATACAAGTACATTCTACATTGTATCTTGATATATCTAGAAGATATAAGATACAATGCATCTTGTATCTGCATTGTATCCTGTATCTCAGTGTACAGAGCTGGATCTGCAATGGTGGATACTTGTCATTATACACTTGTTAAAACCCATAGAACCTACGACATCAAGAATGAACCCTAATGTGTATATGGATTTGGGGTGAGAAGGATATATCAATGTAGAATCATGGACTGTAACAATGTACCACTCTGGTGGGGGATGTTGATAGTGGGGAAGGCTGTAGGGGAAGGAACATGGGAACTCTCTGTACTTTCCACTCAATTTTGCTGTGAACCTAAAACTGATCTAAAAAAATAAGGTTTACTGAAAATTTTTAAAAATTAATATTTATCCAGTGGTATGATCACAGCTCACTGCAGCCTCAACTTCTCTGGCTCAAGCAATCCTCCCACCTCAGCCTCCAGAGTAGCTGGGACTACAGGTGTGCACTATCATGCCCAGCTAATTTTTTATTTTTTTTTGGAGACAGGATCTCTCTATGTTGCCCAGGCTGCTCTCAAAATCCTATACTGAAGAGATCCACTCACCTCAGCCTCCCAAAGTGCTGGGATTACAGGTGTAAGCCACCACATCCTGCCAAGAACTTATTTTTCATGTCGTGCTAATCCGTTTATAGCATTATCTCATTTAATTCTCACAAGAATTTTATTACATAGGTAGTATTTTTATCTGCAGATGAGGAAATCTGAGACTTACAGAGGTTAAATAAACTGCCCAAAGATGCTCATAAGAGACAGAGCTGTGTCTGAAAAGCAGATGCTCCTGGCTCCCACATCCAGGCTTTCCACATGGGGCATGGGACTTACTGGGCTCCCAAGACCAGGTCTTGTGTAGATTCTCAAAGTCCAGATTCCCAAAGTATAAACAATCCAGTTTTAGAAGAATTATCTTACTAAATGCATAGGAAAAAATACAGAGTGTTGGCCAAACTGTTAACATCCTTTATTAAGGAGAAACTGTTGGATTGTATTACATTCTGTTCATTTCTGCAAGGTTTGTAATTTTTTATAACAGCACTTACTTCTCTATAAAAAGAACAAAAACCAATAAGTTTAACAAAATGCATAATTTTTTTTTCTTTTTTTGAGACAGAGTCTCGCTCTGTCCCCAGCCTGGAGTGCAGTGGTGCCATCTCGGCACACTGCAACCACCGCCTCCCGGGTTCAGGCAATTCTCCTGCCTCAGCCTTCCGAGTAACTGGGACTACAGGCGCACACCACCACGCCCAGCTAATTTTTGTATTTTTAGTAGAGATGAGATTTCACCATGTTGGCCAGGATGGTCTTGATCTTTTGACCTTGTGATCCGCCTGCCTCAGCCTCCCAATAGAGTGCTTAATTTCTGAAAGTTGATAGCAAAGTAGCATTCTAATGTGACTGATATAGGCCCAGCGCAGTGGCTCATGCCTGTAATCCCAGCATTTTGGGAGGCTGAGGTGGGTGGATCACCTGAAGTCAAGAGTTCGAGACCAGCCTGGCCACCATGGTGGAACCCCGTCTCTACAAAAATACAAAAAATTAGCTGGGCGTGGTGGCAGGCACCTGTAATCCCAGCTACTTGGGAGGCTGAGGCAAGAGAATTGCTTGAACCTGGGAGGCGGAGGTTGCAGTGAGCCAAGATCGTGCCACTGCACTCCAGCCTGGGCAACAGAGCGAGACTCTGTCTCAAATAAAAATAAATAAATAAATAAATAAATAAATAAATAAATAAATAAAAATAAAGTGACTGATATGTCTTTAATCAATGTTCTAAGAACTTCTGAATGCAAAGATTCCCAAATGCCAGTCCATGAACGTGTGGTATATTTTATTGCACACACCTATTCCTTGGCCCCAAATGCCCCATCCTACTCAGTTCAGTACATTTAGAATGGAGCTCAAGAATTTACATTTTTAAAAAGCTTCCCAGGTGATTCTGATACTCAATCAGGTTTGGGAATCACTGTCTAAGGGAATGTGATTTATGTGGATCAAAAGAAGAAAGAGAGAGATTGCACCATATGGTATGTTAACTCTTTAATTTCATTTTAAAGGTAGTGTCAGAGAAAGAGTTTCTATATCATCAGTATACGTAATATTACTGAAAACATGCCTACAACTTTGTTCATGTGAAATATGGCAATAATTTATATTTACCTTGGAATGGAGGGAGGAAGGGTGTTTGTAAGGTTGTATAACTGAGTAATTAAAACATTCTGGCATTGGTGCAGAGATAGATATCTAGACTGACAGATCATAGTAAAGAGCACAGAAACAGATCCAAGCATAGGTGAAACTTTGGTTTATCCTAGGGTTGGCCATAGATCAATGGGCAGGATGGCATTGTGCAATGGGCTACCTATATTGAGGGGGAAATAAGATGAACAGTTAGCAGAGTGCCTGATACTTATTGGGCATTCAGATTTTTGGTTTAAGAGAGCAACTGCTTAAAAAAAACAGTCCCTTGAGTTCTACTTTTCTAACTTTCTACGGTCAGGTGCCTTCATTAACTGGGCCTTCTCTTCCTCTTCCTCCTCCTTCACCTTTCGTTAAATGTTTGTGTTTGCCTTGATTCTTTCTTTTCTTTTTCTTTTTTTTTGAGATGGAGTCTCACTCTGTCACCAGGCTGGAGTGCAGTGGTGTGATCTTGGCTCACTGCAACCTCTGCCTCCCGGGTTCAAGCAATTCTCCTGCCTCAGCCTCCCAAGTAGCTGGGACTACAGACACTTGCCACCATGCCCAGCTAATTTTGTATTTTTAATAGACACGAGTTTCCACCATGTTGGCCAGGATGGTCTCGATCTCCTGACCTCGTGATCCACCCACCTCGGTCTCCCAAAGTGCTGGGATTACAGTCGTGAGCCACCGCGCCCGGCCTGCCTTGATTCTTTTCTTGGTTGTCTTCCATTTTCTTCACACTCTACCTGCTCTCCTGGGTGATCTTATCCATTCTCATGACTGACCACCAAAGACAAAAAGAAACCCTAAGTCTTTTCTTTCTAGTGGAGGATTTTGTCCCAAATTCTGAATTCATATTTCCAAAGCTGAAGGTATCTGAAAGGCATCTTACATTTATTATCTTCTCTCAATGCTTTTTCTACTGTAATTACAATGCAAGTTAATGAAATCACTATCCAACCAGTTTTCCAAGGTAGAAACATGTAAGACCAACTTAACTTGGTCTTCTCCTTGTCAACCGACCACCAAGTCCTATAATTTATACCTCAAAAATATCTCTTAACAACTCTCCATCCCTGTTACCCCTGCCTTAGCTCAAGTTCTCACCATTCTTCCCTCTACAATTGCAGGTCTCCAATCTGGTCTCCCTCCTTTCCATCTCTGGAAGGATGGAAAATACATTTCACAATCTTCCAATGTAGAATGATGTGCTTAAAATCAAATTAGTAAAAAAAGAAAAAAATCAAGTCATGTCTGCCACTCCCCTTCTTAAAGGGCTGGTGGATTATGAAAGCCTACACAATAAAGTCCAGATTTCTTATTTGGCAAATGATGATAATAATAGCAATAGCATACAAATGCCTATTTCACATATGAGCAAACTGAGGACCAAAAAGGTTAAATATCTTTCCAAAGGTGAAGCTGGGATTTGAACCTAGACTAAATCCAAATGAAGACCATACTCAATTCAAATGTCACTTCCCTGACCTAATGTAGGTGTTTACAGATTTTTCCCTCCAGATAAGCTGTGAACTCCCCAAGGACAGGAATGGCATCTTATTCATCTTTGTGTCTCAAGTGTCTAGAGTGTGTGACACAGAAAGGGTGCTTAGTATATGCTTGTTTTCATAAAGTGGATGAAGGAACAGAGAAAGGAAAGGAGTCAACGAAATGAGTGAGGTGGTTTTAAGAACATGATGCTTTTAAAAAATACTTGAAGAATTGTTGTGTAGAAAGGCTTTATTTTCCTTAGAGTAGGGACGCTTCACCTGAACTCCATGAATGAGTTTAGGGAATGCATCTTTCTAGGATGAGAGTACATACTTTCACAAGTCTCACAAAGCTATCCGTGATCCAAAATAAAAATGTGTAGAAACCTTGGCTGGTTGTGGTGACTCATGCCTGGAATCCCAGCACTTTGGGAAGTCAAGGTGAGAGGACTGCTTAGGCCCAGGAGTTTGAGACCAGCCTGGGTGATACAGGGAGACACTGTCTTTCCAAAAACAAACAAACAAACAACAAAAAACCCACACACAAAAACACACAAATAACAAAAAACTTAAAAATTAGCTGGGCATGGTGGTGTACACCTGTACCCCCAGCTACTCGAGAGGCTGAGGTGAGAAGATCACCTGAGCCCATGAGATTGAGGTAGCAGTGAGCCATGATTACATCATTGCACTCCAGCCTGGGCAGCAGAGCAATACCCTGTCTCAAAAAAATACAATAATAAAATAAAATAAAATCTTTACAACAAAATATTGAAAGCTCTGAATTGGTGGATGCATTCAAGCAGAGGCCAGAAAAACATACTCAGAGATACAAAGGAAGGAATTTCCACAGAATTTAGAAGGGCTGAAGACTAGGCTAAAATAATATCCACATTCCATCAATCTCTGTCAGTCTGTAATTCTAAGATGCAATCCATAACAAATTTGTCTTTTCTCCTTCTTCTTCTTCTTTTTTTTTTTGAAATGGAGTTTTGCTCTGTCACCAAGCTGGAGTGCGGTGGCGCGATCTTGGCTCACTCCAACCTCTGCCTCCCGGGTTCAAGCAATTCTGCTGCCTCAGCCTCCTGAGTAGCTGGGACTACAGGTGCCCGCCACCACACCTAGCTAATTTTTGTATTTTTAGTAGAGACAGGGTTTCACCACGTTAGCCAGGGTGGTCTCAATCTCTTGACCTCGTGATCCGCCCACCTTAGCCTCCCAAAGTGCTGGGATTACAGGCGTGAGCCACTGCACCTGGCCTTTTTTTTTTTTTTTTAATCTTTACAAAGAGTTTGATCCTTTCAGAAGTATCAGGGCATCGCATCTTTCTCAGTCTGTTTCCTTTACCTTTCCAGGTACTAACCACTAACAATCATCTGTAGGTTTCTTTGCATTTCTTAGCAAACAACTCACATGTAAATTCTGTTGACATCTACAGGCACTGGCAATTCCTGCTTCTCACATCAGCTCTCCTCCTTACCTGTTGTGTAGCCTGACTGTTCATTTATCACTTTTCTTGCTTCCTAGGTTATCTAGATTTTAGTTTACATTGAACAAAACTTTGAAGCATGAAGTACAGAAATAATTGTTCTGTAGACTTAATTGCCTCTAATAAATTGACCCTTTATTGGGTCCATTTTCCTTTTCCCCTCAAAGACATTTAGTTATTCCATAATTGCTGTTGACATAACAAAAACTTTCAAAAATATTTATATTGCTACTCTCCAAAAGATAGTAATAAAACAAGAGTTCACTTTCATGATATGTAGAAGTTCTTCCTAGTAACTTTTCCCCATATATATTTCATTATTTGCATCTCCAAGTGATTAAAAGGATGCAGTACATTTTAAAGGATAGATTTGGACAAATGTGGACGTTATTCAGAAAATAATAATATAATTGTTTATCATTTTGTGCACATCCTCAAGTTATTGTACCTTTACTTAGAAATATAACAAATATTTGTAGTTTTTTTATTAAGAACAGCCATTGGAATCAAGATTAAATAAATAATTTTTGTTTGGTAATATATATTAAATTTTATGTTTTGTTACTAAGGAACAGTTTAAGACTTTTGCCCCATTTCACATATTCAGACTTTCATGATCACCCTTTCAAAATGATAAGTCAGGTCTAAAATGGATTAACCTTCCTGTTTCTCAGTGTGAGAAGTAATGAGTGAGGCAAATGTAAATTACTTTTATTGTTTTTATTGGCACAAGTCAAAGAAAATGCATCAAAAAGAACATCAACTCTGAAGGAGTAAGTTGGTTTCCTATTTCAGCCAATACTTGCTGCCATCTGCTGGCCTAAACGGAAAGCTGCAAGGAATGGACAGCTGTGTAGAGGGAGTTGGATCAGGTTTGTGCCAGAGCATTTACATAGGGCAGGGAGGAGTTAATTACCCAGAATTGTCCTTTTAGAAATACTGTCCACCCCAGCTTCAGAGCCAGCACTTTCTGACTGGCAAAGAGAAGAAGAGGGTAGATGGTTGATGGCTATCTGTCCCCAGAGTAATAAGTATTTGCCGTGGTCTAAGAGTCTGGTGATGGGCACCTTTATTTCAAGCTCCACCTTCCTTACGCTGGTTTGCAAAGCAATAGAGTGCATTTCTTATTGTGTGGCATAACATTTCCTAAAATGTTGTCTCAAGGAAAACTCTCTCTCCTTGGTCAGTGGTTGAAGGTTAGGTACAAATTGCAACATTCAGACACAGAATTTTGAAATATGTGGGTGTTGATTCTAAAATAAGGAAAGGCCGGGCGCGGTGGCTCACACCTGTAATCTCAGCACTTTCGGAGGCCAAGGCAGGTGGATCGCTTGAGACCAGGAGTTCAAGACCAGCCTGGCCAACATGGAGAAACCCTGTCTCTACTAAAAATACAAAAATTAGCTTGGCGTGGTGATGCATGCCTGTTATCCGAGCTACCTGGGAGGCTGAGGCAGGAGAATTGCTTGAACCCAGGAGGTGGAGGTTGCAATGAGCCGAGATTGCACCACTGCACTCCAGCCTGGGCGACAGACAGAGATTCTGTCTCAAAATAAAAATAAAGGAAATAAAATAATACAAGAGTTGGCACAAAAATCTGAATTATGCCTCAGATATGCTTCTTACAGTTTGACCAAAGATTTGAAGGGTTCATGCTGATACATGGAAGAGGAGCATTCTCAGCAGATGGAACAGATAGTACAAAAGCCCTGTAGTGGAAGGACTGGCGCATGTTCAAAGGATAGCTGTAGGATAGTGTGGCTGAAGCAGAGTGAGCCAATGTAGAGCAGGTCATTGCTTCTCTTGGAAAATGGGAACATCAGAACACAGTGGGCTCCATTCCCACATTGCTGGGGCAGAATATGGCTGAGCCTATTAGGTGAGACATGAGCTTCCCTGCTCAGCGCCGTTCCCATCACTTCCTGTTATCTCCCCACACAAAGCCAGAGGGTCAGTTGTCATTAACCATCTTTGCCATATATATATGTGTGTGTGTGTGTGCGTGTATATATGTATATGTATATATATGCATATATATACATATATATGCATATATATGTAGAGAAAACTCTATATACACATATATACACACACATATTTGTGTATATATATACACACACACACACACACACACATATATGTAGAGACTTTTCTTTTAACCTATGTGAGACAGAGCCTGCTCTGGCACACCCCTCTTTTCTTTTTAGTGACTGACATATCTTTTATCAGGGGATGGCATGGACCCAGTTAAAACTTATATTTTCCTTTATCCCTTGTAGATAGTAATGACCAACGACATATATGTGGAAGTTTATGGGCAGGACATCAGGAAAGATTCTTTTAAAATGGCTGACTCAGCTGCAAGCATTCTTTTATTCCCCCTTCCTTCCATTACTTCCTAAATAAAGAGCAGACATGATAGCAGGGGCTTTAGTAGCTATTTTGGATCCTACACTGACCTAAGGATGGAGGTCAAGGGCTCAACATGGTGAAGAAGATAGAACAAACCCAAATCTCTGATAACCATGGAGCTAATATACCAGCTCTGGACTGTCTCCAATAGAACTCCTTCTTCTTTTCTTCCTCCTCCTCCTCCTCCTTCTCCTCCTTCTTTCTTCTTCTTTGAGAGGGAAAAAAATCAATCCTTATCTTATTTAAGCCATATATTTGGGTTTTCTGTTAAAAACAGCTAAATTCAATCTTGCCTGATAAATCACAACTTTAACAAGACTGGGACAAAGAGAGGCAGACTGGGAAGCCTGTGTCTTCTTATAAAAATGTATGACTTTGTATAAGCATGAAGTCTATTTCTCTTTTTTTTTTTTTTTTTTTTTTTGATGAAGTCTCACTTATCGCCCAGGCTGGAGTGCAATGGCTTGATATCAGCTCACTGCAACCTCTGCCTCCTGGGTTCAAGCAATTCTCCTGCCTCAGCCTCCTGAGTAGCTGGGATTACATGCAGGTGCCACCACACCCGGCTAATTTTTGTGTTTTTAGTAGAGACGAGGTTTCACCATGTTGGCCAGGATAGTCTCGATCTCTTGACCTCGTGATCTGCCGCCCTCAGCCTCCCAAAGTGCTGAGATTACAGGCGTGAGCCACTGGGCCCAGCCCTAAAACATAGTTTCTGGATCAATTTGCTTATTAGTCTCCCTGTCTCCAGCCTCGTCTCCATACAACCTGTTATCGTTCCTTTCTTCTGGGTGATTTTTCTAAAATTTAAGTCTAATTACTTAGGGACCCCAGGCCTGATAAAACACCATGTCTAGAATTTTCTTCCTCGCTCTCTTTGCCTGGGTAACAGCTAATGTATTGTCTGGGATTGGTTTATGTCACCTCCTCCAGGAAGTCCTTCCTGACACAACAAGTGTGAGTTGGTTCATCTTCCCTTTTACTCCCTTTGCTCTCTCTATTCCTCCACATGTCATGCAACATTAGGGATGATCATTGCTTGATTAGATGACATTTCTCAGTAAATTGTAGGCTTCACGAGAGCTATGCTGTTCACCATTTATTCTCAGAGCCCGGCACATCGTAGGTGCTCTATAAGTATTTTTTGAATGAACGGATGATAGATGGGTGGATGAATTCAAGAGCCTAATTAGCTCTTCATATGGAAGTAGCCGGGCTTACGTGGAGATAATCAGGTTATGAAAGAATCTAGATAACCACAGAAACAGAGGAGGAGGAAGATCAAGGATAAGGTACCTCTAATTAGGAAACCTTTTCACTTCTGAAGATTCTTTTAGGAAAACTGGTAAGTAGAAAGAGAGATTGAAGATTGAGGAGGCCAGGAGCAGTGGCTCACACCAGTAATCCCAACACTTTGGGAGGCCAAGGCAAGTTGATCACCTGAGGTCAGGAGTTCGAGACCAGCCTGGCCAACATGGCAAAATCATGTCTCTACTAAAAATACAAAAATTAGCTGGGCGTGATGGCGGTCACGTGTAATCCCAGCTACTCAGGAGGCTGAGGCAGGAAAATAATTTGAACCCTGGAGGCGGAGGTTGCAGTGAGCCGAGATAGCACCACTGCACTCCAGCCTGGGTGACAGAGTGAGGCTCCATCTCAAAAAAAAAAAAAAAAAAGAAAAGAAAAAGAAAAAGAAGATGGAGGAAACAGAGTATTCCTATTCCAATAATTAAATACCATTCTTCACTTCACTGACTGTTCTAAACACTCAAACATTAAATAAGAACCAACTAACAGTAGAAATAAGATAGGAAAATCCAACAATGCAAGCAACATACCAGATTCAGCAGTGTGGATGGGGTCGGATGCAGAACAAAGAACAGGAGACATACAATGTAGTTCTATTTGCATTAGCCTAATGTTCTTCTTTGCAGGTTAAAGTCTCATTCATTCATTTATACCATAATGAACTGTCTACAATGTACCAAGGACTTGCTTTGAGGAAAAGTGAAAAGGTTTTTTTAAATTACAGTTTCAAATACAAGGGAGGCAATATGTTACATTTCCCTAAGATTCATCATAGAGCCTATTAATTCAGTTTTTGAATGAATCTACTGAATTTTTATATGTTGAAAAGCACAAAATTTCTGGTATTTACTAGTGCAAATAAAAAATAAGCCATTAAGCTCAGGCAGGTGGATCAGTTGAGGCCAGGAGTTCAAGACCAGCCTGGCTAACATGGTGAAACCCCATCTCTACTAAAAATACAAAAATTAGCTGGGCATGGTGCACATGCCAGCTACTCGGGAGGCTGAGGCATGAGAATTGCCTGAACCTGGGAGGCAGAGGTTGCAGTGAGCTGAGATTGCACCACTGCACTCCAGCCTGGGCCACAGTGCGAGACTCCATTTCAAAAATAAATAAATAAATAAATAAAGGCCATTACCTGGGCACAGTGGGTGGCTCATGCCTGTAATCCCAGGCTTTGGGAGGCCAAGGCAGGTGGATCACTTGAGGTCAGGAGTTTGAGACCAGCCTGGCCAACATGGTGAAACCCCGTCTCTACTAAAACTACAAAAACTAGCTGGGCATGGTGACGCATGCCTGTAATCCCAGCTACTTGGGAGGCTGAGGCACGAGAAGCCCTTGAACCTGGGAGGTGGAGGTTGCAGTGATCCAAGATCATGACACCGCAATCCAGCCTGGACAATAGAGTGAGACTCTGTCATAAAAGAAAGAAAGAAAGAAAGAAAGAAAGAAAGAAAGAAAGAAAGAAAGAAAGAAAGAAAGAAAGAAAGAAAGAAAGAAAGGCCATTAAAACCAAAACAGTCTAAATTACCCTTTTACATACAAAGAAACCCAAGATAGTTGGTAATTTTACAAAACGGCTCAGAAAGGTAATTTCTCCACTTTAGTTACCTATATATTTCAGATGCTATTTCCACAGGATGATATTAAGTTCCTGATTATTCACCTATATTGTAAGAACTTCCTAGTTCACCACAACTCTGTGATACTAATTCTTTTAAAATTAGGTATGTCCGTTTTCTGATTAGCAGGGTTTACTACACAATTAACAGAAGGGGCGTGAAAATCAGCTTAATAAAATTCTCCTTCATGACTGATTTTTGCACCTTTGGGACAGGTGGTCTTAGGTCAGTTGCCTTGGAAAACAGTTTGGGATGGAGATTTGCATACAGGAAATTTGCAGGGAGTGCTCTTGGGAATAACCCCTGTAGGGGAATGAGGGAAACAGGGCTGGGCAGAGGGAGAATTCAAGTGGCAGAGAAGTTGCAACAGAGGCCTCAGCTGAGCCTAAGAAAATTTCTGACTTTTAAAAAGTCAGGAAACAACAGGTGCTGGAGAGGATGTGGAGAAATAGGAACGCTTTTACACTGTTGTGGGAGTGTAAACTAGTTCAACCATTGTGGAAGACAGTGTGGTGATTCCTCAAGGATCTAGAACTAAAAATACCATTTGACCCAGCCATCCCATTACTGGGTATATACCCAAAGGATTATAAATCATGCTGCTATAAAGACACATGCACACGTATGTTTATTGCGGCACTATTCACAATAGCAAACACTTGGAACCAACCCAAATGTCCATCAATGATAGACTGGATTAAGAAAATGTGGCCCATATACACCATGGAATACTATGCAGCCATAAAAAAGGATGAGTTCGTGTCCTTTGTAGGGACATGGATGAATCTGGAAACCATCATTCTGAGCAAACTATCGCAAGGACGAAAAACCAAACACTGCATGTTCTCACCCATAGGTGGGAATTGAACAATGAGAACACTTGGACACAGGGCAGGGAACATCACACACAAGGGCCTGTCGGGGGGTAGGGGACTGGGGAAGGGATAACATTAGGAGAGATACCTAATGTAAATGATGAGTTGATGGGTGCAGCAAACCAACATGGCACATGTATACATATGTAACAAACCTGCACATCGTGCACATGTACCCTAGAACTTTAAGTATAATAAAAAGAAAAAAAAGAGAAAATTTCTGGAGTTGGGACAGCCTTTCAAAAGTTGTCCTATATCTAGACAAAGGAGCCTAGTCCTCTACCCCTTCATTAACCAGTCATTAGATGTGGGCTGCTCCTGGGGAGGGGGCATTTGGCTTGGGGGAGTCAACTCTTTTCTGCCCAGGGCAACAGAGAGGAACTCAGTTGTAAACCACCAGCAGCTTTCAGAAGCTGGGGAAGGCGAGGGGAGGGCGGTGAGTTTTGGTCCTGAAAGGAAGCTGGATAGGGCCCTACAGACTCCTCCTCCTCCTCCTGCTTATACCCTAGCTATATAGATATAAAGTTACAATTAATGTATTTAAACTTTTACATATTGCTCTTATTATAGCTACTTTCATATCTCAATGAGTCAGAACTAAAAATATTCCTGGCTCTTTGTTGTGTGTTCTTGGATCAAAGACAGAACAGATTTACACCATTACCAGGATTAGTGTCTGTGAACAATCAAACTAAGTAATAAGTTCAATGTGTTCTGTCCCTTTAGGTGAAAGGAGTAATAACTACAGGAGTGAGTAAACAAAGATCATTCCAAGTATTATATTTGGCTGGGCAGGTGTTACAGGCAGACAGATGCCAGTAATATTCAGTAACTAGGGAAAAGGAAGCAGGTCTTTTCTTTCAAGGCAGGTGCCTCCCTATTGCCTCCTGCAGTTCCCATAAGACCTTCCTGATCCTTAACATGTCTCTCACCTCCTATCAGTGATGACTGGCACAGAGCTGCCCTGGCATTCCTTGCAGTGGCTCTCAGCTGCTCTGCCATCCTGCTGCCCTCATGATTCTGGTATCGAGATAAAAATTGCTATGGACTTTCATTAGTTTTGAGGCCAGAGTTAACAGAAGTAGCTTGTTTTTTTAACCAAGGTAAGCTTGTCCACCATATGGATGTTAACTACAGATCCATGTTATTTCATTGACTTAAAACAATGGCATTTGAATATATCCATATTTTCTGCTGGTCCCACCCAATGCTCTTTCTGTGCCTGAGTAGACTTGTCTAATGTCTTCTGTAAAGCTGAAAATAAACCTTTAAAGTAGCTCACTTGGGAAAATAGAAATGTAGAGGTCGATAGGAAATTATGGTTGCACTTGTGATTACTCAGTGTCTTAAATAATATTGAAAAGGGAAATTTCAAAATTATCCATGTATTAAACCATATGTATCCAAACTAAACACGTACTACTTAATTCTTTAAAAGGATTGGGCTCTAGTAAGACAAAAATAAACCCAGCTAAATCATTTCTTTATATCAACTGGGTATAAACACTTTCTCAGATTTGCATGGTGTTGACTGAAATTCTTGTGGAAAAAAATGTCCAGATTGGTGGAGATGTATTAAAATCATCATAATTCTGACAGCATGTTTTATCCTTATTGGTTCCCTTATGTATTAATAAACATATAGAACTGGATGAAAGAGATGTGTGCAACGATTATTGATTTTATAATAAGTCAATTGCATATCTCACCTGACTAATCAAAGTCAGGATATTGCACCTCATAGAATTGAATGAAAATGCTCCCTGAGAGCAGGCACTTTGACTTGTGTCCTCAGCCCCTAGAACAGTTTCTGGCACATAGTAGTAAATAGAAATAATTATTTATGGCTGGACGCAGTGGCTCACACCTGTAATCTCAGCACTTTGGGAAGCCGAGGCGGGCAGATCTCCTGAGGTCAGGAGTTCAAGACCAGCCTGACCAACATGGTGAAACCCTGTCTCTACTAAAATACAAAAATTAGCCAGGCATGATGGCAGGTGCCTGTAATCCCAGCTACTCGGGAGGCTGAGATGGGAGAATCACTTGAACCCGGGAGATGGTGGTTGCGGTGAGCTGAGATCACACCACTGCACTCCAACCTGGGTGGCTGAGCGAGACTCCACCTCGAAAAAGAAAAGAAAAGAAAAGAAATAATTATTTATTCAACTAATAAACAGATGGATAGTGAAATCAGCTATACTTTGAAATGTCTCATAGGAGATCGTAGGAGAGGCTGTGGAAGCCTGAAGCAAGGAAGGCTAATGAGATAGCTGAGGAACATACTGAGTACAAGGAACTGAAATGAGCATCACGAAGATTTTTTTTAAGACTAAAAGCCCTACCCTCACAGGAATGTTCCTTAAATATTTCTGAAAGAAAGATATATTCAAACAAGGGCAAAAGAAGTCCTTTAATCAAGAGATGCTTGAGTCCCCTCAGTTAATTTAATCCTGTAGATAGAGCTTGCTTTATTATTATTTTTTTAAGGTCCTGTCTTTTACATCCAATGTGATTTCTTAAGGTTGAGGGCAGGTTTCTCTCATGTCTAGGCAGGATATCTCACTGCTGCAATCTCATGATTGGAATCCCAGCAATGTCCTTTAGTGTTTCCTTTGGCAGGGATCAAGTTCCTTCTTGCCATTCTACCCACTCATGATACAACTTTCAGCAATATCAGCTATTTATGATTCCTGTCATCTTGAAAAATACCCAATTCTGGCCAAGTATGTTGTGAGAAAATGCTATAGAAATGATCCTTATTTATTTGTGTTTCCATAATTTGAATCAACTTTGATCCACTTTCGTGAAGGCTTCCTGTTTCTCCCAAGCAGTTGTGGGTTCTTCTTCCAGGTTTCTGTTGTATATTGAACATGCATCCTTCATGACAATTAGTATATTGTAGCATAATTGGTGTATTAGTCAGGGTTCTCTAGAGGAACAGAATTAATAGGATAGACGTCTATATGAAAGGGAGTTTATTAAGGAGTATTGACTCACAAAAGCACAAGGTGAAATCCCACGATAGGCTGTATGCAAGCTGAGGAGCCAGGAAGCCAGTACGAGTCTCAGAACCTCAAAAGTAGGAAAGCTGGCCAGGCGCAGTGGCTCACGCCTGTAATCCCAGCATTTTGGGAGGCTCAGATGGGCTGATCACCTGAGGTCAGGAGTTCGAGACCAGCCTGGCCAACAAGGTGAAACCCCGTCTCTACAGAAATTAGCTGGGGGTGGTGGCATGCACCTGTAATCCCAGCTACTCGGGAGGCTGAGGCAGGAGAATCGCTTGAACTCAGGAGGCGGAGGTGGTAGTGAGCTGAGATGGCTCCTCTGCACTCCACCCTGGGCATCAAGAGCGAGAATCCATTTAAAAAAAAAAAGTAGGGAGGCTGAAAGTGCAGTCTTCAGTTTGTGGCCAAAGTCCTGAAAGCCCTTGGCAAACCCACTGGTAAGTCCAAGAGTTAAAAAATTGAAGAACCTGGAGTCTGATGTTCAAGGACAGGAAGCATCAGCACAGGAGAAAGATGGAGGCTGGAAGACACAGCAAGTCAGCACCCTCCAGCTTCTACCTGATTTTTCTAGCTGTGCTGGCATCTGATTGGATGATGCCCACCCACATTGTGGGTGGGTCTTTCTGAGGGTGGGTCTTCCTCTCCCAGTCCACTGACTCAAATGTTAATCTATTCTGGCAACACCCAGATACACCCAGCAACAATACTTTGCATCCTTCAATCCAATCAAGTCCACACTGAATATTAACCATCACAATTGGTCATGTGCTTTCCTTCCCATAGATGCAATGTTCCTTGAAGAAAGACTGTGTCTCCATATCTATTATAACCTGACACAACTGGTGCTTAGTAAATATTCATTAAGGTAGAGATTGGTCTGACTTACTAGCTACAAGGAGGATTTATGAACCTTAATATGCCTGTCAGTATTTTGAGAGAAGTCTGGATATGTCCAACCCATCCTTAACCCATTCCCCGTTTAGAAAACAAATGTGCAGCTCACTGCCAGTGCAGTATTCTCAGGGCAAATGGGAAATGGGTTAAGGGGATATATGTTAACCAAGACTAAAAGAAGTCAATAAAACTTTTTTTCTTAATTGCAACACTTCAGCTATTCTGTTCCAAGTCATCTTTCCTCATTTTGCCATAACAATCCACAGTTCATTACTTTAGGTTGACCCATGTGAAACTGATGATAATCAACTATTTTAGACTAGGACACTCAGCAATATCATATGGCTTAACCTAAAAATGTCAAGGAAGATGGGAGATGTGAACTTGTCAATGCATCTAACACCTCCAGGGGTATCATCTAATTTTCTTGTAAGCTTTTGACACCTTCTCCTTAGAACTATAAAATTGCCACATAACTCAGTTTTCCTTGGCATCTTTGCAACAAAAATATCCCTAGGGTTTCCTCCTACATGCAAAATAGCAGTAAATTACCATGATTACAAAGGTAAAGGTAAAATATCCTGAAACAAAGAGAAATGCAGATTATCATTTGGTGGACGTGTTTTGCTAGGGAAATAGGTGATGTCAGAGGGCTGCCTTCTGTTTCTATTCTAAAGAACAAAGGTGAGAAAAAATAAGAATTAATGTTGTGACATTAAGGACATTGTAAAAAAAATGCAAAACATGTCTGCATATGTAGGTGTGTATATATATTTCAATTTTCTATTTTATTAGTTGTGGCAATTATAATTTGGTTTACAACAAACTTTACTAGCAAAGAAAAGGAAGGAAGGAAAAAGGAAGAAAACTAGGAAGAGGAAGAAAAAGGGGGGCGATGACAAGGAGAAAAAGAAGAAAAAGAAACAAGATCTCCTTATTTAAAAAGAATTAATCCTCTACTTGTGTTTAATGGAGCAAAGCAGCTGCTATGACACCTTGAAAGAAAACTGTCAACAATTCCACTGATCTCCTTGAAGTGACCAAGTCATGGTGGCAAAGTCAAGCATGGCTCACTCATGAATCTCAGACATTTCTGTCACCAGAGTCTACACCCTGCAGACAGTGGCAGGCAAACAAGGGGCAGGAGATAGGCTCAGTGCCAGAGACGTCAGCATTGTTGAGGAGCAAGCTTGACCATCCAGGATCATGTTGGGTTACAGAGGTACAGAAGTGTTGGGATATAGAGATTTAACAAGAGTGGGTTCAAAAGAGACGACTGTCAGCCAGGCATGGTGGTTCACACCTGTAATTCCAGCACTTTGGGAGGCCGAGGCAGGCAGATCACTTGAGGCCAGGAGTTTGAGACCAGCCTGGCCAACATCATGAAACCCCATCTCTACTAAAAATACAAAAATTGGCTGGATGTGGTGGCGCATGCCTGTAATTCCAGCTACTTGGGAGACTGCAGCAGGAGTATTGCTTGAGCCGGGGAGGCAGAGGTTGCAGTGAGCCGAGATCATGCCACTGCACTCTAGCCTGGGCAACAGAGAGAGACTCTGTCTCAAAAAAAAAAAAAAAAAAAAAAAAAAAAGAGAGAGAGAAAGACTACTGTCATTGTCATTATACTTTGAGTTATATTCATACTCCAGGAAGGAGAAAAATGAAGATTCATGGATTAAATGTGGAAATCTACTAGGAAAACCAGAAACCTCCTGTCTGACTGCTTTTATTTCATTTCGTGGTTTTCTGAAATATTTTTAACATTTTGAAAACTAAATCTTGACCATAAATATTTTATTTTATGTACAAATAATCTACAATAAAGATATGATTATCAGGTTTGAAATTGTAGTAAACTACTTTAAAAGGAGAAGATTTAGAAAGATGGAAGCATAGCACACTCTCCTGGCTCATGTGTGTATCAAAACAATATGAATAAGCTCCACTCACTTGTTTCTTCATGTACAACTTGCAAGATTTCTCCACTTTTTTCTGTCTCCTCCCATCTCCCTCTCTCCCTCCCTCTTAGTTTTAAAGGGTGTTTTTTTCTGAATACAAAAGGAATACATACCCAGTGAAATAAATTCAGTGATCATCAAAACATAAAAGAAACTCAGAACTTATCCCTGATTTCACCACCTGAAGACAATACTATTACATCCTAGTGTAAGTTCTTCCAGACTATTTTCTATGCAAATGCCCACCAAGTTGAACAAATATCTGGAACTCTCAGCACATAGCAAGGACTCAAAAAAAGTTGGCTGTTGGCTGGATGTATTGGCTTACTCCTGTAATCCCAGCACTTCGGGAGGCCAAGGGAGACAGATCACTTGAGGTCAGGAGTTTGAGATCAGCCTGGCCGACATGGTGAAACCCTGTCTCTACTAAAAATACAAAAGATAGTTGTGCATGGTGGCACATGCCTGTAGCCCAGCTACTTAGGAGGCTGAGGAACGAGAATCACTTGAACCCAGGAGGCAGAGGTTGCAGTGAGCCGAGATCACACCATTGCACTCCAGCCTGGGGAACAGAGCTAAATTCCGTCTCGAAAAAAAAAAAAAAAATTGGCTGTTAACACTCTTTTATTTTTAACCAACCTTTTGAACTTAAGATATTCTAAATACATTTTCTTTCAAAATGTATATGATCATTTGAATGAATGCAATTTGCATAATAATTCCTCTATTAATGGATAATGAGCTTTATTTTCTACTTTTCTTTATTATACACTATGCAGTAAACATCCTCATTCCTACAGATTTGCACATATGTCCATTTTTCCTAAAAATAAGGCAGACTTGTGTATAAACTATTCCAGTAGTTTGATCTCTGGCTTATTGCTAAAACTTTCTGTGCATTAGTTTCCTCAATTGTAACAGTTGGTAATAATATCTGCTTGCAAAGTTGTTGTAAGGATTAAATACTTATGTCTATAAAGTGGCACTACAGAGCCTGGCTCAGAAGTAGAATTCAATAAATGATTATTTTTCTTTAAAATAATTTACTAAAAATAGACTACTTGGCTCAAGGTTAAGCACAATCCAAAAGCTATTTACAAATACTGTCGAATGGACATCCAGAAAAATTATACCAATTTCTTCTGCTATCAGTAGGGTTGGAAGTTTCCCATTTACCATTTCCTTCAGAACTCTGGGTGCTACCAATTTTTTAAATCTTTGTCAATTTTATAGGTGAGAAGCACTTTCTTGTTTTTTATTTGGATATATTTTATTAGCTGGAAACGACATATTCTTATACATTTATTAGGTATTTATTTCTCTCACGAATTGTCTATTCAAATCAATTGCACATCTTTCTGCTGAGTTCTTTTAAAAATTTGAAAGAGTAAACTTTAAGGGTATCCTGTATTTTAATAACATCACAACTTTGAAATCTTGTTTTCAGGCCCGGAGCTGTGGCTCATGCCTGTAATCCCAGCACTTTGGGAAGCTGAGGTAGGCAGATCATTTGAGGCCAGGAGTTTGAGACCAGCCTGGCCAACATGGCGAAACGCCGTCTCTACTAAAAATACAAAAATTAGCCAGGCATGGTGGCATGGGCCTGTAATCCCAGCTACTGAGAGAGACTAAATATCCAATTTTAAGAATTGTTGTCCCCTAATTCAAGTTAAGTAAAATGTATTCCCTTGTTTTACATAATTATTAGATTTTAAGCCAGGGCTTCTCGACCTCAATCTATTAACATTTGGAGCTGGTTAATTATTTGTTGTAGGAGGATTTCCTGTGCATTGTGGAATGTTTAACAGCATGTCTGGCCTCCGTCGAATGTCTGAAGACATTGGCAAATGTCCCATGAGGAGCAAAATCACTCCTAGTTGAGCAACACTTCTCTAAGCTAATCATCGTTGGGTGGTGCCTTAGTTCATTTCATGCTGCAATAACAGAATACCACAGACTGGGTAATTTATAATGAACACAAATTTATTGGCTCACAGTTTTGAAGGCTGGAAAGTCCAATATCAAGGTACTAGCATCTGGTGAGGGTCTGCTTCTTGTGTCAACTTATGGTGGAAGGTGAGAGGGCATATGAGAGAGAGAGAGCCCAACTGAAAGACTTTTTATTAAAGCATTAAACCTACTCATGAAGGTGGAGCCTTCATGGCCTAATAACCTCTTAAAGGCAGCCCCACCTCCTAACGCTGTTACAATGACAATTAAATTTCTTTTCTTTTCTTTTCTTTTTTTTTTTTTTTTTTTTTGAGACAGAGTCTCAGTCAATCGCCCAGGATGGAGTGCAGTGGCGTGACCTCGGCTCACTGCAACCTTCACCTCCCAGACTCAAGTGATTCTTGTGCCTCATCCTCCCAAGTATCTGGGATTACAGGTATGTGCCACCACACCTGGCTAATTTTTGTATTTTTAGTAGTAAAGACAGGGTCTTGCCAGGTTGGCCAGGCTGTCCTCGAACTCCTGGCCTCAAGCCATCCATCTGCCTTGGCCTCCTAAAGTGCTGGGATTACATCCGTGAGCTACTGTGCCTAGTCAGTACTTTTTACTACATTTTAAAAAAACAACTTGTGTGACAATTTGGTAATACCTCTGCTATGGTTTGAATATCCCGTTTGAAACTCATGTTGAAATTTAATTGCCATTTGTGACAGACTGAGAGGTGAGACCTTTGAGTGGTGACTGGGTCATGAGGGCAGAGCTCTCATGAATGGATTAATGCTATTATTGAGAGAGTGGGTAGGTTACCTTGAGAGAGGGCTCCAGACAAAAGGATTAAATGCGGACCCTATTTTAGTTTATTTTATTTTTTATTTTATTTATCTTTATTTTATCTTTCTGTCTGGTGGACTCGCTACGTGATGCTTTCTGCCATGGGTTGACCTTCATCAGACATTGGTGCCTTGCTCTTGGACTTCTCAGCCTCTAGAACTGTGAGCCAAATAATCTTCTGTTCTTTATAAATTACCCAATCTGTGGTATTCTGTTATAGCTGCAGAAAATTGACTAAGGCAACATTTTTTTCTCTTAATTTCAATCTAAAAAATATTGTAGCCATGCTCTTTGACACAGAACTTTGATGTCTAACTTACTCATCATCTTGAATTCAGAACTACCTCAAACTGACCTGTTGGTCACAAGGTATACCTGAGCCCACCTCTATATGGAGGTGAACTGGCTTTCATATATTTCATTGTTGAGCTACTCAGTGATCCTAAAAAGGAAGCCAGTTGTAATGCCATCTCATTAGAGTTGATCATTACAGCAATTTGCTGCACACTTTAAATAGTTACACTTAAAACACTTGGTAAAATATGTAACCTTGAACTCACTACTCCTTAATACTTATCAAAAGCTTGAATGAGATAAAAAAAATATTTTTGGAGAATTGCCTGTTGGATAAGTAGCCTACCCATTTCTCTCCATGTTAAAGAATCTATCCCTATAAAAAGACAGATGGTCAGAAAAGTTATTACTTAAGCTCTAATATATGGCTTACCTGCCTCATCCGATTTGTTTATTCAACATATATCTACTTCAGGCACGGTGCTTGGTGCTAGGGATGTAGCAATAAAGAAAATACAAACTCCTGGCACTCAGGGAGTTTGTATTCTATGAGAGGGTGTACTAACTAGTTATTGCTATATAACAAACCACCTCCAAATGCAGTGTCCTTTAAAAAAAAAACAAACCTCATTATTAGAATTCTTAAAACATAAGGGCACTTTGGGAGGCCGAGGCGGGCGGATCATGAGGTCAGGAGATCGAGACCACAGTGGAACCCCGTCTCTACTAAAAATATAAAAAATTAGCCAGGCGTGGTGGCGGGCACCTGTAGTCCCAGCTACTTGGGAGGCTGAGGCAGGAGAATGGCGTGAACCCGGGAGGCGGAGCTTGCAGTGAGCCGAGATTGTGCCACTGCACTCCAGCCTGGGCGACAGAGTGAGACTCCGTCTCAAAAAAAAAAAAAAGAAAAGAAAAGAAAAGAAAAACATAAGGGGCAGGTTAGGCCAATCAAAGAGACTGGGGCAATCTTGGTGACTTGGCACTGCTCCACGTATCATTCATTGCCTAGCAGCCTAGGCCAGGCATGTTTCCATTGCAATGGCCCAGAGGGAGACAGAAAGACTAACTGTGCAGGTGCTTTCCAAGCTCTGTTTGCATCACAGCAGCTAATGTGTTATTGGCCTAAGCAAGTCACATGAACGAACGCAGAATCAAAGAATGAGGCGGAATGCCCCCCTCACAATAGGGGAATGCTGCAAAGTTAAATGACCAGATACAGAGAGAGGTAAAATAATGGAATCAATGGTGAAATTATTACAGAGGGAGACAGAAAACAAGCAAATAAGTAGTGATAAGTACTGTAAGAAATAAGCAGAGTAGAAAAAGAATACTAAGGAGTAGAGGAGGGATACAGGGATAGTGTTATTTTTGAGAATATAGTTAAGGAAAGCTGCTTCAATTAGGAGGTATTTGAAGAGCGATCTCAATGTGAAGAGGGATCATTTGGGGGAATTTGAGGAATACAAGCTAAAAGGAACAAAATAGAAAAATAATGAAGAGAATAAACAAGAGTGAAAAGACAATCTAGCTGGAAGTTATGAACTTGTATTCCCATCAACCCATATGGTTGCCTGACCATTGCTATCCATTTTTTAAATGCATTTGCAGGATTGCATAGAGACGCCGACTTAATTTTACTACTCACATTGTCTACAGGCCCGCTAGTCTGATGATGAGGTGTCAGTAGTTAAGGCTGAGGCAGTCCTCATGTTGTTCTTTTCATTCCAAATGCATTGATGAATTTTATGCAATTAGAGAAAAAATCAAACAGTTTGTATTGACCACGGACACTAAAGGACAAATTCAAATTCTATACTTCCTCATAGACCAGCTCAAATGTCTGACATAGCCAGTGAGTAGAATTAAACCTTCTTTGTTTAAGAATTGGTCCATTAACAGTATAATGTTGAGAAAAAAACAAAGCCAAACTTGTTTTCAATACCACAAAGCTGCAATCAACTGAGTCTTTCTTAAAAGGATATGAAAAGCAAGAAAATCTTTAGTATGCCATAATTAACATTCAAATAGAAGAGAAACCAATTCAGTAGTAAAAATATGTGGTTAAAAATGTCATAAGCTAACATTACTAAGTTTGATTTTCAAATCTGAAGTTTAGTTGAAAGGATGTTTAGGATTCATTTTATAAAATATATAATTGATTTATAATCACTGTCATTTAAAATGAAAGTTTTCTTTTAAAACCGATGATTACAGTAGTTCAATTTGAATACAGATTTGGAAGGATTTTATATTTAAAAATCCACTAGATGGCGCTCTTTTAACCTTCTGGAAGGGAAAGTTGAAGACATTTCAATCTCTGACTGATGCTGGAATCAGCTAATTTAACATTAATGAAACCGAACTGGTGCATCTGACTCAGAATTTCCTTGGATATAAAAAGCAGAGTGTATAATCTACGAAGAATATAAATGTGATAATTGACAGAGACTACTCTTCTTCTTTTTTTCCATCTTTTTTTTTTTTTTTTTTTTTTTTTTTTTTTTAAGACGGAGTCTCGGTCTGTCGCCCAGGCTGGAGTGCAGTGGCGCGATCTCGGCTCACTGCAAGCTCCGCCTCCCGGGTTAACACCCTTCTCCTGCCTCAGCCTCCCGAGTAGCTGGGATTACAGGCGCCCGCCACCCCGTATGGCTAATTTTTGCGTTTTTAGTAGAGACGGGGGTTTCACCATGTTGACTAGGCTGGTCTCAAACTCCTGACCTCCAGCTGATCCGCCTGCCTAGGCCTCCCAAAGTGCTAGGATACAGGTGTGAGCCACCACACCTGGCCTAGTCTTCTTAGCAGTGGAAAAACACCATGACTTCTTTCAAAGAAGAGATTCTGGGAACATTATGTCCATGCTCTTTGGGAAGTAAGGTTTTATAAAATATGAGCATCGGAAAACTTTAGACATTATCAGGTTTAACTTAGTAAGTAATTGTTGAATTGAACTAAATAATTTAATTAGAAACATACTGCTGTTAGGGCCGGGTGCGGTGGCTCACGCCTGTAATCCCAGCACTTTGGGAGGCTGAGGTGGGTGAGTCACAAGGTCAGGAGATAGAGACCATCCTGGCTAACATGGTGAAACCCCGTCTCTACTAAAAAATACAAAAAATTAGCCAGGCATGGTGGCAGGCGCCTGTAGTTCCAGCCACTCGGGAGGCTGAGGCAGGAGAATGGTGTGAACCTGGGAGGCGCAGCTTGCAGTGAGCCGAGATCGCGCCACTGCACTCCAGCCTGGGCGACAGAGCAAGACTTCGTCTCAAAAAAAAAAGAAAAAGAAACGTACTAGTGTTATACATGAGGCTTAATTGTACCAATAGCCTTTTCTGTAATTACATATCTGTCCTCTATCTGTGATACTGTATGTAAATTCTCTCTATATAAAGTACTTAAGCTAGCTCTCCATGATGTAGAAAATATTATTTATTGATAAGTGCTGGATCATATTACAACTTCTACAGCACATGTCTGTGTGTGCACGTGTATATATACTAGGGAACAAGGGATTTGTTGTTTTCTTACAACCTCACATATATGTTTATTAGGTCAGCAATGGTATGTCTTACCAGGATTTATATAAGTGCATAAACTTAGAAAACAGTTTTATATATAGTTCATAAAACAGCTCTTTATAGACTAGCATATTTCCAGGCAAATAGTTATTAAATAAAGAATGCTGGCCGGGCACAGTGGCTCATGCCTGTAATCCCAGCACTTTGGGAGGCCGAGGCAAGCAGATCATGACCTCAGGAGTTCAAGACCATCCTGACCAACATGGTGAAACCCCGTCTCTACTAAAAATACAAAAAGTAGCCAGGTGTGGTGGTGCACATCTGTAATACCAGCTACTCAGGAGGCCAAGGCAGGAGAATCGCTTGAACCTGGGAGGTGGAAGTTGCAGTGAGTCGAGATCACACCACTGCACTCCAACCTGGGCAACAGAGCAAGACTCCGTCTCCAAAAAAAGAAAAAAAAATGCTGGCCGGGCACAGTGGCTCACGCCTGTAATCCTAACAATTTGGGAGGCTGAGGCAGGCAGATCAACTGAGGTCAGGAGTTCAAGACCAGCATGGCTAACATGGTGAAACCCCGTCTCTATTAAAAATACAAAAAGTACCTGGGCATGGTGGCATATGCCTGTAATCCCATCTACCCAGGAGGCTGAGGCAGAAGAATTGCTGGAACCTGTGAGGTGGAGGCTGCTGTGAGCTGAGACCGTGCCACTCCACTCCAGCCTGGGCGACAGGGCGAGACTCCATCTCAAAAAAAAAAAAAAAAAAAAAAAAAAGAATGCTAAAATGTGATTAAAACAGTCAGAAAATAGGATATTTGAAAGTGAGTGCTTTGTTTACTTATGAATTAGTTAAGATTCTTACTGGGAATTATGTTATATTGTGATGATAAAAGCATATACTAGAACAAGAATAGTTTAGATATCATAGAAATACAAAAAATACTGTGTACATTTATCAAGCTAATGCATCTCCATTGACAGTGAATCTCTCTACTAATATTGAAGGAACAGTGTGCATTTAAGTACTTGGTAAGTGTTGATGTCAACTTAATTTTCTAAATAAAAGTGTAAACATGAGGTTCAAATTTGGTAGTAACCTTTTTTGTTATTGAAATATATTCTCTATTTGTGACTTTTTAAATGACCCTGGGTAGACATCTCTTAGGTGAATCAAAAGAACTTGCTTACACTCAGTAATAGCTAAATTCACTTTTTTTTTCCTGAGGGTTTTTTTTTTTTTTTTTTTTTTTGAGACAGAGTTTCGCTCTTGTTGTCCAGGCTGGAGTACAATGGCGCAATCTTGGCTCACTGCACCCTCTGCCTCCCAGGTTCAAGCGATTCTCCTGCCTCAGCCTCCCGAGTAGCTAAGATTATAGGCTTGTGCCACCATGTCCGGCTAATTTTGTATTTTTAGTAGAGATGAGGTTTCTCCATGTTGGTCAGGCTGGTCTCCAACTCCTGACCTCAGGTGATCTGCCTGCCTTGGCCTCCCAAAGTGTTGGGATTACAGGTGTGAGCCACCGTGCCCGGCCATTTTCTGAGTTTCTATCTTTCTTGACATCCCTACACTTTTGTTACTGCTGACCTCCCTTTCTTCCTATAAGTCCTCTTGGATTTCTATGTCAGCCCACTCCAGGTATACTGGCTTTTGTTGTAGGTCTCTTTTCTCAAGTTCATTTTGTTCCTCCCTAAATGAGATGGTTTCTTCACAGTTCAGTCCTCATTCTTCTGCTTTTCTTTATAATTCTTTACTCCAAAGTGTCATCCATCCATTGAGTATCAACGGTTGCTTCTGTGTAGGGAGTCCCAAGCCTTCATCTCTTATTCTAGACTCTCACTGGAACCCCATTCCTTAATTTCTAACTAACACTAGACATTTCCTCCTGAATTACTATTTACACTCTGTCCCAAATATTTTCCCCTAGATTTCAAATCTCATGGAACCTAAAACTAAAATTCTTTATCATCTCCTATAAAACCAATGTCTTGTTTTCATGTTTCAGTTGCTATAAATGACACAATCTTGGAATTATTATATTTACCTCATTTACCACAGTTAATCAATTTCGAAGGCTATAAATTCCACGTTTATGACCTCCATCACATCAATGTATTTCTATTCATTTGAATTGCATTGGCCTAGTTGAGATCTATAATTACCTCCTGCCTAAATCTCCATAATGGACTTTCACTGCTCTTTAACTCCGGGACTTTCCCACCCCACTCCATCCTGGTCAGTGCTTCCTACCTGTATGTTTTATTTTACTTGCATTAACAGATAAGTAGGGGAGGGTAGGTGAGGCAGAGTGACAGTGGCTGTCCTTAGAACTGCACATTGACATGTGGTCCAGGCTCTGGGGAAGGGCTTAACAGAAATAGCAACACACACATGGAACACAGAGCTTCTAGTTCAGTCAATGGTTCACAAAGGAGGGAAAGAAATCAGAGGCAGGAAATCAAGATCATGGTCAATATTTGGAAGTCCAGAGAGGAAGAGAGTTCATTCTGGGAGGTCTTTCACATCCTGTCTAAATCAATATTGGCTCACAAATGGAGAGGTTGGGCTGAACAAACAAGGAGGGGCAGTGGTATCAGTGGATTCAGTTCAGAGTGAGCTATCTAAGCCCACTGCCCCTGTGCCACAGGGCAATTAAGAACAAACTCTCAGCACGCCACATGCACAGCCCCACCTCTCCATCCTTCTCCTGGACCTACTTCATACTGCACTGATTGACCTGTTCTTGATTATCCAAACCTTTGACCCTTGGGCTCATTACCTATTTATAGACTAGCAGTTGCTGCCTGTCCTGACACTTAAGCAGCTCTCTGGCCCTGAGCCTGGCTTCCCTCCTCAGTCATAATTTGTATTTACTCCCTTTGATTACATGGCTTCCCTCTCTCAGCCAAACATCTCCCTTGCACAGACTCAGCTGCAGGCCCCAACTCCCCTTTCTATAGATATAGGTACGTACAGAATTGTTAACTAGATAAGTAATTAAGTAGTGAAAAGGTAAAGAGAGAATTCTAAGGTACTGAGGAGGCAGTTACTGCAAAAACCAGATACAACCCCAAGGGTTCAGTGAGCAAAGGGACAGACTTGGAAATTTAGAAGAGGGGCCCTCAAACTGAAACTCAGACTTCTGAGGCGAGGGGATGCTTGACTGGCCCTTGTGCCTCTGAGTTCTGAGAAGCAAACTTCTAAGGATGGGGAACAATGAAGTTGGTTCTGACTGTTTTGAGATAGTGAGGTAATGCTGATTCTGCAAGTGTTGGAAAAAATGCCAGCTAGATTAAGGTGCTGCTAAAGTGATATGGCAGAGCATAACTGCTGGCCACTAGAGACTGAGAGGTCAGGGAAGACATCACCTCTATGATTAGGTGATATCTGAGCACAGAGCTGAATCACAAGGAATCAGCTTTTAATATCAGCCATGTTAAAATCTGAGATCAAAAGCACTGGTGGACATCAGTATTTGGTACCCTCTTTTTCTGGGAAGAGCTCAGGTGTTTTAAGTATTTAGAGTCAGAGGAAGTTGCTTGAGAGTCCCTTATTGTACATCCCTCTTTCAAGTATTTTACCGGGATCACAGCATAATTGATATTTCAATACATGCTGGTAAGTCACCACATTCAGATACTTTTCTTTCTTGAATATTTTTACCAGGCACCCCGTGCAGGGATATTAAATTATTATGTAGGAGCTGTTAACTCTCAGGCTTATCTCATTCTCTGGGGCATCTCCTAGTTGACTTTGACTCAGCAAACCCTTCAAAAATTATTTTAAAAATAATTATACTTTGATAGAGAGTTGTTGCAAAAAAATCTATAGGGGGGGTCCCATATACCCTTCACCCCAGTTTTCCCCAATGGTGACATCTTATATAACTATAATGCAATATCACAATAAGAAAATAAAGATATTGGTACTATCCATGGAGATTATTCAGATTTCTCCACTTTTATATGCACTTACGTGTGTGTGTAGTTTAATGCAATTTTATATAACCACTGCCACAATCGAGATACAGAAGTGTGTCATAAACATAAGGCTCCTTCCTGCTATCCATATGTAGCCGCACCTATCCATCCTACTTATACTTAACCTTTGGCAACAACTAATTTGTTTTCCATCTCTATAAATTTGTTACTTCAAGAGTGTTTCACAAATATAATAATACATGTTTTCACTCGCATAATTCCCCTGAGATCCATCCAAGTTGTTGCATGTATCCATAGTTCACCTTTTTTTATTGCTGAGTATTCCACAGTGTGGATGTACCACAGTTTGTTTAAACATTCACCAGTTGAAAAAAATGTGGGCTGTTTCCAAGTTTTGGCTATTCATGTACAGGTTTTTGTGTGATCTATAAGGTTTCATTTTTCTGGGATAAATGTCCAGGAGTGCAATTGCTGGGTCATATAGTAAGTGCATGTTTAGTTCTTGTGGCAACTGCCAAATTGTTCTCCAGAGCGCTTAACTATTTCACAACCCCACCTCCAGTGAATAAATGATCCAGTTTCTCAGTATCCTAACCAGCCTTGGTATTGTCACTATTTTTTCCAACCATTCTGATAGATATAATATGATAAGATATTCTGATATCTCATTGTGGTTTTACTTTTCATTTCCCCAATGGCTAATGATGTTGCACATGTTTTCATGCGCTTGTTTCCATCTGTATATACTCTTCAGGAAATGTCTGCTCATGTCTTTTGGTAGGCTTTTGAGAGTTCACATCCATGTCTATCAATTATCCGATAAGGTTCAGAACCCGCTCACAGCAATTCATCAATGTGCATACATAGTTTTCCCAGAGAGTTATAAGATAACATACAACATAATAGCATTTCTGATACATCTTCTTCACCAGTTTAGAAGGGCAAAATAATACATGCTCACTACAAAAAAATTAAACTTGAAAGAACAGAAAAAATACACATTGCCAAAAGTCTCACCATATAGAGATAACCACTGTTAATATTTGGTGAGCATACTTCTAGATTTCTTTCTGTATGTAAATGCTCTGCACACTTAAAAACTCACCAATTTGTATAATTAGTGGGATACTATTCTGCACCTTGTTTCTCATGAGCATATATTATCGACATCCTTCCACACTAGTATAGACTTTCATTATCATCTTAATGCCTGTATAGTAACCCACTACGTGTGTATGTTTACTTAACCAGCTTCCCTGTTAATGGATATTTCGGTCGTTTCCATTTCTTTTTGCTATTATAAACAATGCTTTAAATAGTGTTCTTGGCTGGGCTTGGTGGCTCAAGCCTGTAATCCCAGCACTTTGGGAGGCCGAGATGGGTGGATCACTTGAGGTCAGGAGCTGGAGACCAGCCTGGCCAACATGGCGAAACCCTGTCTCTACTGAAAAATACAAAAATTAGCCGGGTGTGGTGGCACCCGACTGTAATGCCAGCTACTTGGAGGCTGAGGCAGGAGAATCGCTTAAACCCTCCTGGGAGCGGAGGGTGCAGTGAGCCAAGATCGCACCATTGCACTCCAGCCTGGGTGACAAGAGCGAGACTCTTTCTGAAAAAAAAAAAAAAAAAAAAAAAAAAAAAAAAAGTTCTTGTGGGAATAATTTTTTGGATTTTTATAATTATTTTCTTAGAGTAAATCTGTGGAAGTGGGATTGCTGAGTTCGTCATATACACATGTACGTATATATATGTATGTACGCTGATATATATACACATATGTACTATGTCAGTTTGTAAATGTTTAGGAACTGCCTTTTAGAAATATTGTGACAATTTACATTTTCCCCTGCCCTGCTTAAGTAAGATTCTTTTTTTTTTTTTTTCTGAGATGGAGTTTTGCTCTTGTTGCCCAGGCTGGAGTGCAATGGTGTGATCTTGGCTCACTGCAACCTCTGCCTCCTGGGTTCAAGCGATTCTCCTGCCTCAGCCTCCTGACTAGCTGGGATTACAGGTGTGTGCCACCATGCCTGGCTAATTTTTTTTTTTTTTTGTATTTTTAGTAGAGACGGGGTTTCGCCATGTTGACCAGGTTGGTCTCGAACTCCTGACTTCAGGTGATCCACCTGCCTCGGTCTCCCAAAGTGCTGGGATTACAGGCATGAGCCACTGTGCCTGGCCTTAAGTAAGATTCTTATAAGGTTTTTACCTTTTTGCTTGTATTCCCCTTCCAGTGAATTTTTCTCTTTTTATTAAGGATTGGAACACATGGTCTAAAGAATTTTTTTTTTTTTTTCACTGTGTCACCCAGGCTGGAATGCAGTGGCACCATCATAGTTTACTGCAGCCCCAAACTCCTGGGCTCAAGGGATCCTCTCACCCTTGGAGTAGCTGGGACTACAGGCATGTGCTACCATGCCAGGCTCCAAATAACTTTTTATTGTTTAAAATTTTTAAAGCATAAACAGATGGAGCACAGGGCTCTGTGAAGTTAGATCAGTAAAAGTCCCATACCTATAAAACGGCCATCTTCTACACTTGTTCCTCCAGGACATCTTCTGCTTCAACAGCTTTGTGGTCTGCTTCAACAGCTTTGTTATCTGGCCATCTAGCCTGCTACCACAATGCCCATGGGGAATGATAAGGACAAGCAGCCCACCAATGACATTTACTTGTGGACAAAAGAATTAAGATTAGGAGAAAAAAAAATTCCAAGATTACTACCAGTACACCAAAACTTTAAAGACGAAGAGCTGTGGCATGGAAGGTATACATAAAACTGCAAGTCCTACTTGCAAAGTTAGAGATTTATTGTAAAGTTAGATGATATTGCAGTTTGGGGTCATTCAGATGCTCTCCCCCTCTTTTGTTTTTCCATTTGATCAAACAATGAAGTATAGCATTTTAATTGTGATCTAGAGAAAGAATAACATACACTGACATACTTCCTAATTTGAAACTCGAGTTTTTATGGTAGTCATTGGGCTTATTTTTCAAGGTACAACAGAAATTTGGTTTAATGGTTTAATGAGCATACCTTTTACATGATGATGTTAATATATTTTTGCTTACAAACTTCCTTAGATGGATTAAGCAATGCAAAGACTGAATGCAAAATGTTGTCTTTTAGTATTTACAAAGCATGTTCATATACATCTAACACTAGATAAGAATTCGGTTACAATATGCATCCACTTATTTCTAACTCTTCCTCAGCAGAATTTTTTTTCATTGCTTTATGCTTATACCTCTAACTTTTCAGCAACATCCCTTCCCCTTCCTCACTTCCACAAAATTTTCCTAGATCGTAGAAAACTAATATGAAAACGTTTGCAAGATACTTAAGATGGATTTTTGGAGTTCTGGAAATTCTTGTAACTTTGAATTTGCAGCGCTAGATATAACAGCGGAATTTTGCAGCTACTGTGTATCTGGCTTCTTATTAATAGTGCAATGGCAAAATGCCTCATTATGTAGAGCTCTTCCCCTTCCTAGGCATTTTAGCCTCTATTCGTTTCTCCGTGCAGGTATTCTGAAGCAGACTGTTAGCTGAATGAGAGAGAAGCAGGTGGGGTGGTAGCCAATCAGAAGGGCCAAGTTCCAGTTCTTCCACAGAACATTGGTTGTATGACCTTGCACACATCCCTAACACTTCAGCTTCATTATATTTAAGACTAGGAGGTTGGAGACCTCATAAAGGTCCTTCAAATATAAAATTATATGAAAAACATTCATAAACTCAGGTAAAAACTTACAGTTTTTGTCAGGCATTCTACTTGCAAAGGCACACCCTAAACATTTAATTTTGAAAAGTCGGTGACTATGCACAAAAAGTAGTAAAATGACACAGGAATTAATAGAAATCCATCATTATTCATTTAACGTGTAAAGAGAAAACGCTCAATGTACACTTTTTCGGTCCTGCAGATGATTAATTACAGTTCTCTAAACCTCACATTTAGCATCTCTGTGACCTCAGGCCTTTGGGATTACTTCTAAGTAAGACCAAACAGGTCGAAAGATCTGTAATTGTAATTTATTTTAGGTCAGTGGTTCGGTGGAGGCATAGGGGTCAAGGGTCCAGCACTCCCAGTATTTCTTGGAGGGTGTTCAGCAGTTTCCAGACCGGCTGACTCCAACTCTTATCTGCAGGGAAGCGTGTTACTCTTTGGAATGAAAGACAGCTCCGTATAAATGACTTGACCAAAAATGGGTGCTCATCTCAGATGCAGGGCAGGGACTATGTAACTCCATCCTCGACTCGCAGCAGGAAGTTAACTCCTCCTGAGAGCCAGGCGGTCGGAGGACCAGGCGGGGAGGTTACAGGCACCAAGACACCCAGGCTGGCTGGACCCTCCCACCCTGTAATGATGAGGGGAGATGCTCCCTGGGACAGCCCCCTTGAAGCTTCTGGCGACGGGGCTGGGATCCGCCCACCCTTACTCAGGGGCGAGCCCTGTCATACGCGTGGAAGCGGCCACCACCTTCTAGGGGGAGGGGCGTTCCCGTCGGGCGTAACCGCCCCGCCCTGGGGGGCCGCTGGGGACGCTGATCTGCAGGAGGGGGCGGGGTCGGAAAAAATCCGGTAGCTCCAGACCGGTGTCCCGTTGCCAGGCGATGGGGAGGAGGCGGGGCCGACAGGAAAGAGGAGCCGGGCTCGGCGCGAAAAGGGCACCCTCCAGAGCCGCGGCCGCGCAGCCGCCTTTCCTCCCTCTCAGGGCTGCGCGCCCAGGTCTGCGCCGCGCTCCGCCTCCAGCCGCGCGCAGACTTGCGCACGCGTCGTGAGAGCGACCGCCTCCGTCTCTCGCTGGGCTCGCTAGGGCTGCGCGTTGGGCCAGCGGGGGCGCCGCAGCTGAAGCCGCCCCGGAGCCGGTGAACCGAATTACCTCGAGGGAGGGGCGTGGGGAAGGCGGCGGGAGGAGGAGCGCACGGGCCGGCTGCCGTGCCCACCACGGCTGAGGAACATGGTTTTCGAGTCGGTGGTCGTGGACGTGTTGAACCGGTTCTTGGGGGACTATGTGGTGGACTTGGACACGTCCCAGCTCTCTCTGGGCATCTGGAAAGGTAAGGAGGCCGCCGCCGCCGCTCCCCGGCCTCTCGTGCTTCCCGGCCGTCTCGCTGCCCGAGCGGCGTCCTGCGTTCTCGGGGCTTCGAGCACCTTGCTCGCCGGGTGCAGCCACCTGCCGCCGCCCGCCTGTGGGTCAAGTTACGTAAAGCCGGGCGGCAGTTCCCTGGCCTCCGCCCTCGAGTTGTTTATATTTTGGGGGAAAGGAGAGGGTCATGAGTGCGGGATGAAAAGGTCTATATTTTCCGAGCGGAGCGGACTTGCCGTGGGCTCCGTGGGTCTGGCGTTCAAGTCCCGGCGAGGGGCCGTTCTCTACCCCTGGCCCCGCACGGTCCGGCTTTAGCCGCGCGGGGCGAGGAGGCGAGACGACGCCTTCCTGGGCTGGGTCCCATCCCTGTCCTTTGCCCCCCTGGGTTTATGACGAAGGCCCCAGAAATCCCCCGCGTGTTGCATGCTGCCTCGCACGTGAAGGCAGGGCGCTGTGACCGGGGACGCCCGCTTCCTTGCTTCCCCAGCCTCAATTCCTGGCTTCACCCGTGGTGCTTTCTGCTCTCCCCCTTCCGGCCCTAGGACCCGGACGCCGGCTCTCTCTCGCCTGGGTTCGGCGGATAACAAAAAGGAAACTCAAGTGCAAAGTAACTCAAACAGTTGCTTGTGTGGTTGCAGTTAACAGCCTGACCTAGGAATGTGTAACATTTTCAAGACTTTAGGATATGTGGGTCAGAGTGAATTGCCGAATTTTAAAGAAAAACCAGGGCGTGCGGTGCAACGTCTCAGACCTGCAAAAGACCGGGCTGAACAGGGCCCTACGCTGCCTAGGTGGTGAAGGACCGAGCTTTCCTTGTGTCCGTTTAGTGTGGTATTCTGCCTTAGTGAGAGCCTCATTTTTAGTGTTTCCATCTGTTTTTGCATTATGCGCTTGTTTATTTTAAACACCCGCTAGAAATTAGACTCCTTTGTGAAATGAATTTCCCAGGCCAAAGTGAGGGTTAATTTTGTGTGTGAAGTGTGTGTGTTTAAATATATATTTAAAGTAATTTATTCTTGTCTGTGCACACACTTCCAGTCTTCTTCTAAAATACTTACCTTGACTCTTCTCGTTTATGAGATAATGTAAACAGGTAGTTTAGTTTGATTTTAAAGAATGTTACTACCGTGGGGACCTAGTATCATGATGGAGAGTGAGTGGACTACAAAAGCTAGGGATATAGTGATAGCTGCTCAGCCTGTTTGATTAGTACAAGAAACTTGCAGTCTGTTTATGCTGCTTCTTAGTTGCAAAGTGAAAATAAAATTTGTCTCCCATGTACCTCAGAAGGAAGCCTTAAGAATACTTGAGGTGAACTTTGATCTGTAGTGGAGTCTTGCTTCCACATTCAGGGTGGAGGTTTGTCTAGAGTGTGATTAATCAACTTATTTATTTGTTTAAAATTTACATGCAGTAAAATTCACTCTTGTGATACAGTTCTGTCTTGACAAATGCTAAGAGGCATGTATGCACCACCACAATAATGGCACATAAAAGGTTCATCAAGCCTCCCGAATTCTCTCAGCTGCTCCTTTGCAGTTGATCTCACCCCGCCACCACGCCCGGCTAATTTTTAGTAGAGAGGGGGTTTTGCAATGTTGGCCAGGCTGGTCTCAAACTCCTGACCTCAAGTAATCCGCCTGCCTCTGCCTCCCAAAGTGCTGGGATTACAGGCGTGAGCCACTGCGCCCGCCTGACTGTAAGTATTTATCTGTTTGCTGGTTGAAGAATATTTCAGTTTTTGGAGGTTATAAATAAAGCCGTCATAAACATTCACGTACGGGTGTTTGTGTGAACATAATTGTTATTTCTCTTGGATAAATACCTAAGAGTGGTTTTAAATTGGGTTGTACGTTTTTTTTTTTTTTTTGAGATTTATTTCATATACCATAAATTTCACTCTTTTAAAATGTACAATTCAGTGTTTTTTAGTATAGTCACAAAATTGTACAACCATCACCACTCTCTCATTCCGGAATATTTCAGCACCCCAAAATTAAATCGTATGTCCATTAGGAGTGACTCCCAATTTCCTCCCTTCTCACTACTCCACCTCTGGCAACCACTAATCTTTCTGTCTTTATGGATTTGGTAATTCTGGACATTTCATTTAAATGGAATTATATGATATGTGGCCTTTTGTTTCTGGCTTCTTTAACCTAATGTATTTTCAAGGTTCCTCCATGTTGAAGGATGTATGACTATTTCATTTGCTCTTAGGGTTGAATAATATTCCATTATATTCATAGACCACAATTTATTTATCTATACTCACCAGTTGCTGGATGTTTAGATTATTCCTAAACATCCACCTTTTGGATATTATGAATAATGCCACTGAACATTCATGTACAAGTTTTTTTGTGGATGTATGTTTTAAATTCTCTTGGATATATACCTAGAAGTGGAATTGCTGGGTCATATGCTGACTTTGTGTAACCTTTTGAGGAACAGCCAAACTCTTTTTCCAGAGTGTTTGTTTTCTTATGGTTGAGTTTTGAGAGTTCTTTAAATATTAAGGATACAATTTCTTCATCAGATATGTAATTTGAAAATACTTTCTCAGTCTTTTCCCATTTTGTCTTTTGCAGAGCATACATTTTTGATTTTGGGAAAAGCCCAGTTTATAAAACATTTCTTTTATGAATCATGGCTTTTGGTATTCATATCTAAGAAATCTTTTCCCAACCCAAAGTCAAAGATGTTCTCCTGTGTTTTCTTAAGGAAGTTTTGTAGTTTTAGGTTTTGGATTTCTTTTTGTATAAGGTGTGTGATATGTGTTGAAGGTTGAGGTTCATTTGTTTGCATGTGGATGCAAATATCCAATTGTTTAGCACCACTTGCTAAGAAAGAGGATCCTTTCTCTATTGAATTATCTTTGCATTTCGTAAAAAAAAAATCAGTAGACTTAATATTGTGTGGCTTTAGTCTGTCTCAATCTGTGTGTCTATCATTTCACCAATACTACACTGTCTTGATAACTGTGTCTTTGTAGTTAGTCTAGAAATCAGGTAATGTGATCCCTCTAACTTTAGTCTTTAACAAATAATTTAAAAAATAACAAGTCATTGTCCAGGTGTGGTGCTCATTCCTGTAATCCCAGCACTTTGGAAGGCTGAGGCGGGAAGATTGCTTGAGCATAGGAGTTTGAGATTACAGTGAGCTCTGATCATGCCACTGCATTCCAACCTAGGCAACAGACAGCGAGACTCTGTCTCAAAATAAAATAAAATAACATGTCAGTGTTTTATTTATAGAAATTGGTTATGTTTTGATAAATGAAACTTTAAATAATAGCTGGAGTATTTTTTTAAAATATTCTTTGAGAATTTCAAAAGTAGTAATTTGATAAATTTGGAGGATTTTTTAAAAACATTGTTTGAAAATTTCTGTAATAGAAACTAGGTGGCCAGGCATAGTGGCTCATGCCTGTAATCCCAGCACTTTGGGAGACTGGGGAGGGTGGATCACTTCAGACCAGCCTGGCCAATGTGGTGAAACCTCATCTCTACGAAAAAAATAAGATACAAAAATTAGCTGGGTACTGTGGCGCTCGCCTGTAATCCCAGCTACTCAGGAGACTGAGGCAGGAGAATCACTTGAAGCTGGGAGGCATAGGTTGCAGTGAGCTGAGATCACACCATTGCCCTCTAGCCTGGCCAACAGAGCGAGACCCTGCCTCAAAAAAAAAAAAAAAAAAAAAGAAACTGGATGCTGCATAGGAAAATTTTAAGATAATATTTTATGGTCTAACGTGAAGGACCTATTGGTAGTTGTAAATGTGTGCTTTTGCTAGGCTTCTGAAATAATCCAGCAAATTTCAATATTAGCATGTTACTATAATAGTATCAATTAGTATTCAGTCATTGCTAATAATGGATGGTGCTCTGAAAATTTGTTGCTGAGATGGATTCTTTGGAAATCAGAATGCATTTTTCCCATGGAAGCATTCTTATATATGAATGAGGACTTTTCCAAAAACCTGTTTAACTATAATGCAGCAGAAGAGTGCTACTGTACTGGGTTCAATACAGTAAGTAGACTCACTGCTAGAAGACTCTGTCTTACAGGGGATGAAAAAGGAATTGAGCTTCATTCCAGGACTGACTCTTGGCAAATTTTGATGTTGGTAAGGTATACTTTTTATACACTTCTATTTATAATTCTCCCTTCCCATATATCATCTAGTTAGAGAGGTGGTAATATTTCATAGACTCATCTGAAATTTATCTTCCCAACTTTCTCCAGCAATTTTCTTTTTCTTTTTCTTTTCTTTTTGAGACGGAGTCTCGTTCTGTCACCCGGGTGGGAGTGCAGTGACGCGATCTCGGCTCACTGCAACCTCTGTCTCACGGCCTCAAGTGAGTCTCCTGCCTCAGCCTCCCGAGTAGCTGGGATTAAAGGTGCCCACCATCATGCATGGCTAATTTTTGTATTTTTAGTAGGGACGGCATTTCACCACGTCAACCAGGCTGGTCTCGAACGCCTGACCTCAAGTGATCCACCTGCCTTGGCCTCCCAAAGTGCTGGGATTACAGGTGTGAGCCACTGCGTCCGGCCATTTCACATATTTTCTTTAAGAGCTAGGCTGCATCAGAATCAGCCATAGGTGCTTATTATGAATACAGAACCTGCCCCCAGAGATTATAAATTATTTATCTGGAGTAGGACATGAAAATATTTTTTTAAACAAATGACACTGGGGACTTGATGCACAGTTGGGTACATTTTAAGAGAACATTAAGGGGAAAAGTATTAGAATTTTAAATAGACAAAAGCAGTAGTAAAAGTGGCTTGTGTGATAGAATTATCATTTGTAACACAGGAAGTACCTGTACTTCATAGCCCCTTCTTAAGTTAGCCTCCTTTGTCTCTATTTTGTTTTCTCCGAAATCACAATACTTGGACAAATTTGTAATTTTTTTTTGATAATGCCTGACATCTTTATGTAACATTAGAAGTTCAGATTTCTTGTCTATTAACTAACATACGTATTCTGTTTTTGAAATGTTAATCTCCCAGTTTTCCCTTTATAATAGAATCATGTGTTTAGTGGCCACTTAGCTGGATACCGCCATGATACCAGAAGCAGTACAAAAGATGAAGATTCAGTTAGGATACAGTTTTCGATTTTTAAGGAGTCATTCTTCTGTGCCCAGAATACACTAGGGAGCCAAACAAATGATTCTTACAGTCTGGTGTTAATGACCAATTCTAATTCCTTATGTATTATTTTTATATTTATGTTCTAAGATACTTTAATAAAACTTTAAAGACTATGAAACATTTTATTATAAAAAGTGTTAGGAGATTTTACAGTGCCTCTCCATATACCCATTATCTAGATTCTGTCATTAATATTATGTATTAACAGCTTTATTGACGTATAATTAACATGCAGTAAAATACACGTTAAAGTCTACAATTTGATAAGTTTTAGCATATATGTGCATGCAGGTAACAATCATCACATGATAATGAACATATCTGTCATACCTAGAAGTTTCCTTGTGCCTTTTTGTAAACCGTATCTTCTAACCCTCCTTGTCCCTTATACCCTTCTTGTCCCCAGGTTTTTGCTGATTTGCTTTCTGTTACTGCATATTAGCTTGAGTTTTCTAGACTTGGATAAATGGGATTGTACAGTTTGTATTCTTTCAGTCTGGCTTATTTCAGCATAATTATTTTGAGATTCATCCATGTGGTAGTACAATCAATAATTTATTCCTTTTTATTGCTGACCATAGCAAGTGGTGGTGAGGATGTGCAAAAACTGGAACTCTGTTAATATGTCTCCTGGGGATGTAAAATGTTAAACAACTTGGGAAAACAGTTTGGCAATTTCTTAAAAAGTTAAACATACATCAACCATGTTATCAAGCCATTGTGCTTCTACATGTTTACCCAAGAGAAATGAAAGCATATGTTCATACAAAGATTTGCACACAGATGTGCATAGCAGCTTTATTTTTAATAGCCCCAAATGGGAAACAGTCCAAGTATCCACCAACAGGTGAATGGATAAACAAACTGGCATATCCATATAATGGAATACCATTAATATTTAACCACACATGTTTTGTCACATACCTGTCCATCTGTCCATCTCTCTATCCATGCAGCAATTCATATTATTAAATGTATTTCAGAATAAGTTGTAGAGATGAGCTCATTTCCTCCTAAATACTTCAGCATGTGTATCATTAGAGTGCAATATTTGCTTAGTTTTTTTCCTTTTGAGGTAAAATTTATGTAGAAGAAAATATACAAATCTTAAGTGTACATTGACTGAGTTTTGACAAATACATACACACATGTAACTCAAACCCAGTCAAGATATAGAACATGACCATCACCCCAGAAAGTCTTTTTCCTGACCTTTCCTAATTTATTCCTACCCTCATCTTCAGAGGCAACAAATACTCTAATTTTTTTCTTTCTGTCATACATACACATCTATTCTGCTTTGCTGAGAGTGTTTTCTTTTCCTTCAAGAATGTTGGAGCCAGGCATGATGGCTCATGCCTGTAATTTTAGCACTTTGGGAAGCTGAGGTGGCCAGATCAGTTGAGGCCAGGAGTTCGAGCCCAGCCTGGCCAACATGGTGAGACCCTGTCTCTACTAAAAATACAAAAATTAGCTGGGTGTGGTGGCGGGCACCTGTAGTCCCAGCTACTTGGGAGGCTGAGACACGAGAATCGCTTGAACATGGGAGGCGGAGGTTGCAGTGAGCCGAGATCGTGCTACTGCACTCCAGCCTAGGTGACAGAGCAAGACTCCGTCTCAAAAAAACAAAAACAAAAGAATGCTGGATTTTGTCAAATGTTTTTTTCTGCATCTATTACTATTATCACAGGATTTTTTTCTTTTTTAATCTGTTGGTGTGATACATTACATTAATTGATCTTTGAATGTTGAACTAGCCTTGCATACCTAGAATAAATCCCATTTGGTCATGACGTGTATGTTTAGCACTCAGTATCTCCAGGGGTTTAGTTCCAAGACCTGTGCAGATACCAAAGTCCACAACAGGGAGGGCATGGAAGCTCCCCACCACCTTACTTTGCTCTGTCCATCTCTTTATCTGTATCCTTTGTAATATCCTTTATGATAAACTGTTAAATATAAGTATTTCCCTGAGTTTTGTGAGTTATCCCAGCAAATTATCAAACCAAATAAAATCAGGTGCGAACCCTGATTTATAGCTGGTCAATCAGAAGCACAGATCACAGCCTGCGACTTGTGACTGACATCTGAAGTGAGGGGCAGTCTTATGGAACTGAGCCCTTACCATGTGGGATATGACATTATCTCTTTTTTTTTTTTTGAGACAGAGTCTCGCTCTGTCGCCAGGCTGGAGTGCGGTGGCGCAATTTTGGCTCACTGCAACCTCCGCCTCCCGGGTTCAAGTGATTCTCCTGCCTCAGCCTCCCGAGTAGCTGGGACTACAGGCGCCTGTCACCACACCAGGCTACTTTTTGTATTTTTAGTAGAGACGGAGTTTCACCATGTTGACCAGGATGGTCTTGATCTCTTGACCTTGTGATCCACCTGCCTTGGCCTCCCAAAGTGCTGGGATTACAGGCGTGAGCTACTGCGCCCGGCTCGATATGACACCCTTTCTAGGTAGATAGTGTCATTATTTAATTGAATTATAGTTAGTGTCTGTTGGAGAATTGTTTAGGGATTGGGGGAAAAACTTCACATATCTGGTTATCTAAGGGTTCTGTGTCGAATATGAGAGTAGAGAGAAAAACCTTTATTTTCCTTTGACAGTGTCTTATCATATTTATAGCTGTTTTCTGTTTTGTTATACTTGTTTCCTTTTTAAACAGTCTTCCCCTCCTCTTTTGCCCTCTCTGGTTTTAATTGATCATGTGATATGATTTAATTTTTTTCTCCTGTCTTAGCATACCAATTATGCTTCTTAAACAATTTATTTAAGTGGTTGTATTACAGTTTGTGCTGTTCACTTAAAACTAGTCCAAGTCCACGTCCAAATAACATTATAGGTCAGGTATAGTGGCTCACGCCTGTAATTCCAGCATTTTGGGGGACTGAGGCTGGCGGATCATTTAAGGTTAAGAGTACGAGACCTGCCTGGTCAACATGGTGAAACCCCATCTCTACTAGAAATACAAAAAATTTGCTGAGCATGGTAATGTGCGCCTGTAGTCTCAGCTACTCAGGAGGCTGAGGTATGAGAATCTCTTGAACTGGGAGGCAGTGAGCCGAGATTGTGCCACTTCACTCTAGCCTGGGCGACAGTGCGAAACTCTGTCTCAAAAAACACAAAAACAAAAATCCCACTATACTACTTCATGGAAAATGGAGGTAGTATATGTAATACTCTATCTTACAATACAGTATACAGATTCCTCCCTTCTGCCCATTGTAACATTGTTGTCATTAATTTCACTTACCTATAAGCTGTAATAATCCAATGCATTGCTGCTATTAGTATTTTAGACATTTTTCTATTAATTTAAGAATAAGGAAGAAAAGACTTAATTTACCTTCATCTCTTAATTCTCTAATGCTCCTGTGAATCTGAGTTTTTGGTTTAAATCATTTTCCTTCTTTCTGAAGAACTCCTTTATTTATTTGTTTTTTTTAATTTTTGAGATGGAGTCCTGCTGTGTTGCCCAGCCTGGAGTGCAGTGGCGCAGTCTCTGCTTACTGCAACCTCTGCCTCCTGGGTTCAAGCGATTCTCCTGCCTCAGCCTCCTAAGTAGCTGGGACTACAGATGCATGCCACCATGCCCAGCTAATTTTTGTATTTTTAGTAGAAATGGGGTTTCACTATGTTGACCAGAATGGTCTTGATCTCTTGACCTAGTAATCTGCCCGCCTCGGCCTCCCAAAGTGCTGGGATTACAGGTGTGACCCACCACACCCGGCCTATCTTAACCATTTTAAGTGTACACTTCATGTCATTAAGTACACTTACATTGTGCAACCATCACCACCATTCATCTCCTGACTTCACCATTATTCATCTCCTGAATTCTTCATCTTGCAAAACTGAACCACTTACCCGTTAAGCAATGACTACCCATTCCACCGTCTTCCCAGACCCCAGTAACCGTTATTCTACTTTTGATGTCTGTAAATTCGAATACTTGAAGTATAAGTGGAATTATACAGTATTTGCCATTTGTTATTGGTTTCTTTTACTTGGCATAATGTCCTCAAGGTGCATCCGTGTTGTAGGAAATGTCAGCATTTCAATAATTTTTCAAGCTAAATAGTATCCCATTGTATGTATATACTGCATTTTGTTTCTCCATTCATCTGTTGATGAATAGTTGGGCAGCTTCCACCTTTTGGCTGTTGTGAATAATGGTGTTATGAATGTGGATATTTTTCTTTGAAGTTCAGTCTGTGCTGTCAGATTTTTGGGTTACATACCCAGAAGCAGAATTACTGGATCATATAGTAATTCCATTATCAATTTTTTTGAGGAATTATCATACTACTTTCTATAGTGACTGCACCATTTTACATTCCTACCAACAGTGTACAAAGGTCACCATTTCTCCACATCCTCACCAACATTTATTTTCTCTTTTTTTGATAGTAGTTATCCTAATGGATATGAGGTGGTATCTTGTAGTTTTCATTTACATTTCTCTAATTAGTAATGTTGAACATCTTTTCATGGGCTTATTGACCATTTGTATATCTTAATTGGAGAAACATCTATTTAAGTCCTTTGTCCATCTTTTAATCAGGTTGTTTGTTTTTTGAGTTGTAAGAGTTTACATACAAACATACACACACACACACACACACACACACAATGTTAGCTGCTTATCAGATATATGATTTGCAAATATTTCCCATTTTGTGTGTTACCTTTTCTTCCTTTTTTTCCCTGCTAACTTTTATTTTAGGTTCATGGGGTACATGTGTGGGTTTGTTGTGTGGGTTAATTGTGTGTCACTGGGGTTTGATGTATAAATTATTTTGTCACCCAGGTAGAGAGCATAGTACCCGATAGATAGTTTTTTGATCCTCACCCTCCCCACACCCTCCACCCTCAAGTAGGCCTTGGTGTTTGTTGTTTCCTTCTTTGTGTCCATGTGTACTGGATAGAGTTTGAATACATGTCCCCACCAAGTCTCATATTTAATTGTAATCCCCATTGTTGGAGGTGGGGACTGGTGGGAGGCAGTTGGGTCATAGGGGTGGATCTTTCATGGCTTGGTGCTGTCCTTGCAATAGTTCTTGCAAGATCTGGTTAAGTGTGTGGCACCTCCCTATGCACTCCCCCTCTTGCTCCTGCTGTGACCATGTGATGTTCTGGCTCCGCTTTTGCCTTCTGCCATGATTGAAAGCTTCCTGCGTCCTCCCCAGCAGCTGGGCAGATAGATGCTGGTGCCATGCTTCCTGTACAGCTTGCAGAACCATGAGCCAATTAAACCTCTTTTCTTTGTAAATTACCCAGGCTCAGGTATTTCTTTATAGCAACACAACAATGGACTAACACAGTACTCAAGTTTTAACTCCGTCTTGTGAGAATATGCAGTATTTGGTTTTCTTTTTCTGTGATAACTCGCTTAGGATAATGCTCTCCAGTGGCATCCATGTTGCTGCAAAGGGCATGATTTTGCTCCTTTTCATGGCTGTGTGGTAGTCCATGGTGAACATATACTGCATTTTCTTTATCCAGTCCACTGTTGACAGACATCTATGTTGATTCCATGTCTTTGCTATTGTGAAGTGGTGCTGTGATGCACATACGCATGCATGTGTCCTTATGGTAGGACAGTTTATGGTCCTTTGGGTATATACCCAGTAATGGGATTGCTGGTTCTAATGGTAGTTCTTAATTCTTTGGTAGTTCTTAGTTCTTAAATCTCCAGACTGCATTCCAAAGTGGCTGAACTAATTTACATTCCCACCAGCAGTGTGTAAGTGTTCCCTTTTCTCTGCAGCCTCACCAGCATCTGTTATTTTTGACTTTTTAATAATAGCCATTCTGACTGGTGTAGGATCGTATCTCACTAATCATTAATCCTCTAATGATTAGTGATGTTGAGTTTTTTTTTTCCATGTTTCTTGGCCGCATGTGTCTTTTGAGAGGTGTCTGCTCATGTCCATTGCCCATTTTTTAAATGGGGTTGTTAGTTTTCTGCTTGTTTGTTTAAGTTCCTTATCGATTCTGGATAATTAGATCTTTGTTGGATGTATAGCTTGCAAATGTTTTCTCCCATTTTGTAGATTGTCTGTTTACTCTGTGGACAGTTTCATTTGCTGTGCAAGAGCTCTTTAGTTTAATTAGGTCCCACTTGCCTTTTTTTTTTTTTTTTTTGTAGTTCTGGAATTTTCATCATGAAATCTTTGTCAGGGCTTATGTCCAGCATGGTATTCCCTAAGTTTTCTTCTAGGGTTTTTATAGTTTTAGGTTTTACATTTAAGTCTTTAATCTATCTTGAGTTGATTGTTGTATATGGTGAAAGGTAGGATCCAGTTTCAGTCTTCTGCATGTGGCTGGCCGTTATCTCCACACCATTTATTGAATAGGGAGTCCTTTTCCCATTGCTTGTCAGTTTTGTTAAAATCAGATGGTTGTAGGTGTCTGGCTTTATTTCTGGGCTCTTGACCTGTTCCATTGGTCTACATGTCTGTTTTTGTATCAGTGCCATGTTGTTTTGGTTATTGTAGCCTTTTAGTATAGGTTGAAGTCAGGTAGTGTGATGCCTCAGGCTTTATTCTTTTGGTTTAGGGTTGCTTTGGCTATTCAGGCTACTTTTTTGGGCCAGTATGAATTTTAAAATAGTTTTTTCTAATTCTGTGAGAAATAACATTGGCAGTTTGATAGGAATAGCATTGAAGCTGTAGATTGCTTTGGGCAGTATGGACATTTTAACAATTTTGATTCTTCCTGTCTATGAGCATGGAATGTTTTTCCATTTGTTTGTGTTGTCTCTGATTTCTTTGAGCAGTGTTTTGCAATTCTCATTGTAGAGATCTTTTACCTCTCTGATTAGCTCTATTCCTAGGCATTTTATTCTTTTTGTGGCGATTGTGAATGGGATTGAATTCTTGATTTGGCTCTCAGCTTGGATGTTATTGGTATATAGAAATACTACTGATTTTTGTACATTGATTTTGTATCCTGAAAGTTGGTTGAAGTTATTAGTTCTAGGAACCTTTGGGCAGAGACTATGGAGTTTTCTAGGTATAGAATCATACCGTCTGCAAACAGGGATGATTTGACTTCCTCTCTTCCTATTTGGATGTCTTTTATTTCTTTCTCTTTCCTGATTGCTCTGGCTAAGACTTCCAGAACTATGTTGAATAGGAGTAAGTGGGTATCCTTGTGTTGTCCTGGTTCTCAAGGGGAATACTTCCAGATTTTGCTCATTCAGTGTGATGTTAGCTGTGGGTTTTTCATAGATGGCTCTTATTATTTCCAGGTATATTCCTTTGATGCTTAGTCTTTTGAGGGTTTTTAACATGAAGGGATGTTGAATTTTATCAAAAGTCCTGAATCTGAAAAGATGATCATGTGGTTTTTGTTTTTAGTTCTGTTTAGTAATGAATCACACTTATTGATTTGTGTATATTGAACCAACTTTGCATACCAGGAATAAAGTCTACTTGATCATGGTAGATGTGCTGCTGGATTTGGTTTACCATTTTGTTGAAGATTTTTGCATTTATGTTAATCAGGGATATAGGCCTGAAGTTTCCTGTTTTTGTTATGTCTCTGCCAGGTTTTGTTATCAGAATGATGCTGGCTTCATAAAATAAAATGAGTTAGGGAGGAGTCCCTCCTTCTCAATTTTTTGGAATAGTTTCAATAGGATTGGTACCAGCTCTTCTTTATATGTCCGGTAGAATTTGGTTATGAATCCATCTGGTCCAGGGCTTTTTCTGGTTGGTAGACTTTTTATACAATTTCAGAACTCATTATTGCTCTGTTGAGGTATTCAGTTTCTTCCAGGTTCAATCTTGGGAGGTTGTATGTTTCCAGGAATTCATCCATTTCTTGTAGATTTTCTAGTTAGTGTGCATAGAGATGTTCATAATAGCCTCTAAGGATTTTTTGTATTTCTCTGGGTCGGTGGTAATGTCCCCTTTGCCATTTCTAATTGTGTTTATTTGGATCTCCTCTCTCTCTTTTTTTTTCTTTGTTAGTCTGGCTGGCAATCTATCTTATTTATTCTTTCAAGGAACCATCTTTTGTATTTTTTTTGTTCAGTTCAACTCTAATTTTGGTTATTTCTTTTCTGTGGCTAGCTTTGGGGTTGATTTGCTCATTTTTCTAGTTCCTCTAGGCATGATGTTAGTTGTTAACTTTATATCTTTCTAACATTTTGATGTGGGCATTTAGCACTATAAACTTTCCTCTTAAGACTACATTAGCTATGTCCCAGAGATTCTGGTATATTGTATCTTTGTTTTCATTAGTTTCAAATAATTCCTTTCTTTTCTTTTCTTTTTCTTCTTCTTTTTTTTTTTTTTTTGAGACAGGTTCTTGCCCTGTTGCCGAGGCTGAAGTGGAGTGGCATGAACACGGCTCACTGCAGCCTCCACCTTCCAGGCTCAAGCAGTCCTCCCACCTCTCAGCCTCCTGAGTAGCTGGGACTGCAGGTGTGCACTCCTACACCTGGCTAATTTTTTTTGTATTTTTTGTAAAGACAATGTTTCACCATGTTGGCCAGGCTGGTCTTGAACTCCTGGGCTCAAGTGATCCCCCCACCTAAGCCTTGCAAAGTACTGGGATTACAGGCATGAGCCACCGTGCCTGGCCCAAAGAATTTCTGGATTTCAGTGAAATTAAGATTTCGTTGTTTACCCAAAAGTCATTCAGGAGTGGTTTAATTTCCATGGAATTGTATGGTTTTGAGAGATCTTCTTGGTATTGTTACCTATTTTTATTGCACTGTCATCTTGAGAACATGGTTGGTATGATTGTGGGATTTTTAATTTGTTGAGAATTGCTTTATGGTTGAGCATGTGGTTGGTTTTAGATACGTGCCATGTGCATATGAGAATAACGTATATTCTGTTTTTGTTGGGTGAGGTGTTCTGTAGAACTCTGTTAGGTCCATTTGGTGAAGTGTTGACTTTAGGTCTGTCTAATACTGTCAGTGGGTTTTTGAAGTCTCCCACTATTATTGTGTGGTTGTGCAAGTCTCTGTAGGTCTCTGAGAGCTTCTTTTTTGAATCTAGGTGCTCCAGTGTTGGGTATATACGTATTTAGGATAGTTAAGTCTTCTTGTTGAATTCAACCTTTTATTGTTTTGTAATGCCCTTCTTTGTCCTTTTTGATTGTTGTTGGTTTCAAGTCTGTTTTGTCTGAAATAAGTTACCCATGCCTGCCCTTTTTTGTTTTACTTGCTTGATAGATCTTTCTCCATTCCTTTACTTTGAGCCTATGGGTGGCATTGCATATGAAATGGGTCTCATAAAGACAACATACAATTGGTTCTTGGTTCTTCATATGAATTGCCATTCTGTGCCTTTGAAGTGGGATGTTTAGCCTGTTTACATTCAAGATGAATATTGTTATGTGCTGATTTCATCCTGTTATCGTGTTGTTAGCTGGTTGGTATGCAGACTTGATTGTATAGTTGCTTTATAGAGTTAGTGGTCTCTGTACTTAAGTGTGTTTCTGTGGTAGCCGGTAATGGTCTTTCATTTCCATGGTTAGTACTCCCTTAAGGACCTCTTAAAAGGCAAGTCTGGTGGTAATGAGTTCCCTTAGCATTTACTTGTCTGAAAATATTTTATTTCTGATTCACTTATGAAGTTTAGTTTGGTTAGATATGAAATTCTTGGTTGGAATTTCTTTTCTTTAAGGATGCTGAATTAGGCCCCCAATTTCTTCTGGCTTGTAGGATTTCTGCTGAAAGGTCTGGTGCTAGCCTGATGGGATTCCCTTTGTAGTAGACCTACCCCTTCTCTCTAGCTCCCTTTATTATTTTTTTCTTTCACATTGACCTTGGAGAATCTGATGATTATGTGTCTTGGGGATGGTCATCTTGTATAGTATCTTGCAGGGGTTCTATGAATTTCCTGAATTTGCATGTCAACCTCTCTAGCTAGGATGGGGAAATTTTTGTGGACAGTATCCTCAAATATGTTTCCAAGTTGCTTGTTTTCTCTCCCTCTCTTTCAGGGACAACAGTGAGTTGTAGATTTGATCTCTTCACATAATCTCATGTTTTTGGGAGATTTTTTTCCATTGAAAAGTTATTTTTCCTTTATTTTTGTCTGAGTTGATACTGAAGAACCAGTCTTCAAGTTCTTGAGATTCCCTCCTCAGCTTAATCTGTTCTGCTGTTAATACTTCCAGTGATATTGTGAAGTTCTTGTAGTGAGTTTTTTAGCTCTGTCAGATCAGTTTGGTTGTTTCTTAAAATGACTATTTCATTTTTCAGCTCTTGACTCATTTTACTGGAGTCCTTAAATTCCGTGGATTGGGTTTCAACTTTCTCCCGAATTTCGGTATCTTCTGAGTTTTATGCCCATCATTTCAGTGTGATTAAGAACCATCACTAGGCTGGGTACAGTGGCTCACACCTGTAATCCCAGCACTTTGGGAGGCTGAGGCGGGCGGATCACTTGAGGTCAGGTGTTCAAGACCAGCCTGGCCAACATGGTGAAACCCTGTCTCTAATTAAAATATAGAAATTAGCTGGGTGTGGTGGTGGGCACCTGTAATCCTAGTTACCCAGGAAGCTGAGGCAGGAGAATCACTTGAACCCGGAAGGTGGAGGTTGCAGTGAGCCGAGATCATGCCACTGCACTCCAGCCTGGGCGACAGGGCAAAACTCTCTCTTCAAAAAAATAAATATATAAAATAAGAACCATTGCTGGGGAGCTACTGCAGTCATTTTAAGGTAAGAAGACACTCAGGCTTATAGAGTTGCTAGAATTCTTGCCCTGATTCTTTCTCATCTTTGTGGGCTGATGTTCCTTTAATCTCTCCAGTTGCTATCCTTTGAATGAGGCTTTTTGCTTTTATATTCTTGGATGCCCCAAGGGTTTGACCTTGATATAAGTTGAGTTTAGTCGACTGGCATAGTTTCTTGATGATTTCTGGGTACCAAGGCTCAGCTCAGCACTCCTGGCATGCATGCTATAACCCTGGGGTGTTAGGACTAGGCACATGACTTTGTTCTCTGTCTCCTCGAGGTTAAGCACCCATTGCACTGGTGGGGCCAAGGTGTTCCCGGTCTGCTGGGCAACAACACTCTGATGGTGGGGCCGGCAAAAGTGCTTGGTTGGGGTGGTGACAGTAGGGTGGTAAGGCCTGCATATACATTGGAAAAGCCGTCGGGGGAGGCTGTGGGTGACGGTGTCCTGGCAAAACAGTGCGGGGAAGCTGTGCGTGGGTGGATGCTGGTGGAGGCCCATGTGCAGGTGCTCTCTGGTGGTTACCTGGGGCTTGCCAGCAAAGGAGCTATAGTGGTGGCTGTCGGGAAGTGCTGCGGTTGGGCATCAGCGTCCATTGCAATTGGATGTGGCCAGGCAGGGACTGTGGAACAGGCAACCAGGGATGGGGGTTGGGGGGGGCGCTCAAATCTGACAAGCCCTGTGCCATGGGCAAGATAGTTCTGTTCTGTCTAGGTCCAATAGTCAGCAAAGACCAAAGCTACCTAGAGGTGTGTGGTGAGCTTTGGGAGATGGACATACCTGGCCATGCTCCACTGCAGCCATTCCCACACCAGGCCTTCTGGGCTCCGTGCAGACTGGAGTCCTGTTTCTGCCAACTTCCCAAGCAGCTGTCTTTGCAACCTCAAATGTCTGTAGGGGTCATGGAGCCTCCTTCAGCTAGGATTCTAGAGGTCCATGACAAGAACAGGCTACTCCATGCCTGTTTAACTCATCCTTTCCCCAGGAGCATTTGGGGTCAGAATGAGTCATGGTGCTAGGGGAGCTCCCTGTAAGGTTCCCAGCTTTCTCCTCCTTCAGCCCAGGATCCGCATCCTCCTTCTGTTCACTCTCAGTGCCTTCCTTCCAAAGATCTGCTCAGAGTGTGCTGGTCTTCTTGATGGCCTGGTCTCTTGGTGGTGGAAGCTCTTCCTGACTCTGTGTCTACTTGGCCACCCTGACTCCTCTCTGTTGTCTGTTCACTGTATATAGTGTCATGTGAGGAATAAAAGTTTTAACATTTGACGAAGTCCAATTCACCTATTTTTTTTCTTTTGTTGCCTATGCTTTTGGTGTTATATCCAAGAAATCATTGCAAAATGCAGTGTCACAGAACTTTCTCCCTATGCTTTATTCTAAGTTTTATAGTTTTCAGTTTTACATTTAGCTCTTGGATCCATTTTGAGTTAATTTTTGAATATGGTATAAGCCTGTCACACAGGCTGGAGTGCAGTGGCGCAATCTCGGCTCACTGGAAACTCCGCTTCCCGGGTTCACGCCATTCTGCTGCCTCAGCCTCCCGAGTAGCTGGTACTGCAGGTGCCCGCCACAACACCTGGCTAATTTTTTTGTATTTTTAGTAGAGACCGAGTTTCACCATGTTAGCCAGGATGGTCTCCATCTCCTGACCTCGTGATCTGCCTGCTTCGGCCTCCCAAAGTGCTGGGATTACAGGCGTGAGCCACCTTGCCCAACCTATTGATCTTTTTAGAAAACTAACAGTCGGTGTCCCGGTGCAGTGGCTCACGCCTGTAATCCCAGCGTTCTGGGAGGCTGAGGCGGGTGGATCACTTGAGGTCAGCAGTTCGAGACCAGCTTGGCCAACATGACAAAACCCCGTCTCTACTAAAAATACAAAAATTAGCTGGGCATGGTGGTGGGCCCCTGTAATCCCAGCTACTCAGGAGGCTGAGGCAGGAGAATCACTTGATCCCAGGAGGCGGAGGTTGCAGTGAGCTGAGATCGTGCCACTGCGCTCCAGCCTGGGCGACACAGCGAGACTCCGTCTCAAAAAAGAAAAAAAAAGAAAACGAATGCTTTATTTTTATTTTTATTTTTTTTCCATTCTCTTTCACTTATCTTTGCTCTGATCTTTATTATTTTCTCCCTTCTGCTAGGTTTGCATTTTGTTTTGTTTTTTTCCCTATTTCCTTAAGGAATAAATTTAGGTGGTGATTTGGGATGTTTCTTCTTTTTAAACATAAACAGTTACAGCTTTATGTTCCTTCTAGCGCTGCTTTTGCTGTATCATACTAATTATGATGGTACAGTCTTTTTATTTTCATCTCGATATTTTCTAATTTTTCTTGGGGTTACCTTTTTGACCCGTTTCTTATTTAAGAGTGCTTAATTTTCATATATTTGTTCATTGTTCTGTTTCCATCTGTTATTTCCTTATTTATTTTATTTATTTATTGTTACTAGAAAAGATACCTTGCATAACGTCAATCTTTTATAATTTTACAATTTTGTTTTTAATTGACATGTATTGTGCATATTTATTAGGTACAGGGTGATGTTTCAATACATGTATACATTGTATAAAAATCAAATTGGTATTTAGAATATCCATCACCTTATACATTCATCATTTCCTTGTGGTGAGGACATTCAAAATCTTTCTTCTAGCTATGTTAAAACATGCAATACAGTATTGTTAACCATAGTCACTCTGCTGTGCAATAGAACACCAGAACTTATTCTTCCCATCTTACTGTAACTTTATTCTCATTGACCAATCTTTACCTATTTCCCCTCTCGCCAGTATTCCCCAGCCTCTGGCAACCACTATTCTATACACTACTTCTATGAGATGTCAACTTTTTTAGATTTCACACGTGAAATCATGCAGTATTTGTCTTTCTGTGCCTGGCTTATTTCCCTTAGCATTATGCCTTCCAGGTGCGTCTGTGTTGCTGCAAAGGACAAGATTATATTGTTTTGTTTTGTTTTTTTTTTTAAATGGGGAATAGTATTTCACTGTGTATATATATACCACATTTTCTTTAGCAGTGCATCTGTTTGTAGACACTTGATTTCATATCTTGGCTTTTGTGAAAAGTGCTGCAATAAACATAAAGTCCAGGTTTCTCTTCAACAAACTGATTTCATTTCTTTGGGATATTTATACATTAGTGGGAATGATGGATCATATGGTAATTTTATTTTTAAATTTTTTGAAGAACTTCCATAGTGTGTTTTATAATGGCTGTACTAATTTATACTCCCAAAAACAGTGTGTAAGAGTTTCCCTTTCTCCACAGTCACACCAGCATTTATTTTTTTGTCTTTTTGATGATAGCCAGTCTAATAGGTTGAGGTAATATCTTCTTGTGGTTTTGATTTTTATTTATCTGATGATGGGTGATGCTGAGCCTTTTCTCATATATATACCTGTTGACCATTTGTATGTTTTCTTTTCTCTTTACAAAAATTTTGACACTTGTTTTATGACCTCACATATATCCTGGAGAATGTCCCATGTGCACCTGAGAAAAATGTGTATTCTGCTGTTGGTGGGTGGAGTGTTCTGTATGTGTCTTTTGGTCCAGTTGGTCAATAGTATTAAGTCCTATATTTCCTTATTAATCTTCTGTGTGGTTGTTCTGTCCATTACTGAAAGTGGGGTATTGAAGCCTTCTACTGCTAATGTAGTGCTATCTGTTTCTCTCCTCAATTCTGTCAGTGTTTGCTTCATATGTTTTGCTGGTCTCATGTTTGGTGCATACATGTTTATAATTGTTACATCTTTTTAGTGAAGTGTCGGTTTTATCATTATATAATGCCCTTCTTTGTTTTTTGTAACAGATTTTGACTTAAAGTTTATATGTCTAATATTAGTATAGGTTGAATATGCCTTATCTGAAATGCTTGGAATCAGAAGTGATATGGATTTTGGATTTTTTTTTTCTTCAGATTTTAGAATACGTACATATACATAATGAGATATCTTGGAGATGAGACCCAAGTCTAACACAAAATTCATTTATGTTTCAAATATACCTTGTACACATAGCCCAAAGATAATTTTATACAATATTTTAAATAATTTTCTGCATGAAACAAAGCTTGTGTACCTTCAACCATCAGAAAGGAAAGGCGTCACTGTCTCAGCTGCCCATGTGGACAATCTGTGGTTGTTTGGCATCATCGTTATTCTTGACTGAATTTATATGCTGATCAGCAATAATTTTCTCACATTTATTCACACGTAAGTTGTTAACAGTAAGACATATGAGGTACCATTAATTCAGTGAAAATACAGTGTGTTCAGGGTGAGTAAGCAGCACAGTAGCATCACTGGGAATATATGTATCCACTGTTAAACAGCAGCAGCAACAAACAGTGGCAGGCAGGCTCTCAGTCTCCACCTACAATGCTGTGTTTTGATTAAAAGGTAACTGTAGAATGTACTGTATTTATTTATTTTTTTTTTCAAGTGAGAAGAAACATTAGAAGCAGTTGAGGGGCCCGGAATTGGATCCTCAGGGGATGAGGAGGCATTTTGCTAGATGGCTTTTAAAAATGTTTCCTCCAGAACCATCTGCCTCACTAACTCTTTTTTGTCTGAGAAGTCTCTGATTTTATAAACTGTCATAATTTATTGTTCTGTTATGAATGCCTGCTGCTCCAGTCCTTTAATAAGCCCATCACACATTTTCACCATGTACCATGTGGTCTATAGGTACCTTTTTGCATTGGTAACATCATCATCTTTATCTTCATCATCCACTTGTGGTATTATGTCTGCACTCAGAAAGTTTCCGATTTTGGAGTTTTGGATTAGTGATGCCCAGGTATCTTTGCTCTTTTGGTTATTTTTGCATGGGCTTACTTTTTTTTAAATCTTTTTGCTTTTGACCTATGAGTGTCCTTAGAGCCAAAGTGAGTTTCTTGTAGACCACGTACTTTTATTTTTTTTGTCTCTCTCTCTTTCTCTCTATTTATTTATTTTGAGATGGAGTCTCACTCTGTTGCCCAGGCTGGAGTGCAGTGGCGTGATGTCGGCTCACTGCAACCTCCGCCTCCTGGGTTCAAGCAATTCTCCTGCCTTAGTCTCCCAAGTAGCTGGGATTACAGGCATGCACCATCACGACCGGCTAATTTTGTACTTTTAGTAGAGATGGGATTTCACCATTTTGGTCAGGCTGGTCTCGAACTGCTGACTTCAGGTGATCCACCTGCCTCAGCCTCTCGAAGTGCCAGGATTACAGGCGTGAACCACCGCTCCCGGCTGGGATCCTGTTTATTTTAATCCATTCTGCCAATCTGTCTTTTTGTAGGAGAGTTAAGCCATTTATATTTGAAGTAGTTACAGATAGGGAAGGACTTAATATTGCCATTTTGCTAATTACTTTCTATGTGTCTTACAGCATTTCTTCTTTCTGTTTTACCCCTTAGTGCCTTTCCTTTGGTTTAGTTAATTTTTTATAGCAACTTTGATTCATTTTGTGTTTAATTAACTAATAACATAATTAATATTAACATCAAGATAGCAATGAGGTCTCGCTGTGTTGCCCAGGCTGGACTTCTAGGCTTGTGTGATCCTCCCACCTCAGCCTCCTCAAGTAGCTGGGACTACGGGTGCCTGCCACCATGCCTGGATGACTTTTGTGTATGTTCTAAAGGTATTTTCTTTGTGGTTACGATGGGGTTACATGTAACATCCTAATGTTATAGCAGTGTATTTTAAACTTTCATTAATCCCATTACCTGTATGTTACAGCTTTTGCAATTGTCCTATAGTTCTTAGACATTCTGTTCTATTATTTTTCTCATTTTCTTTTTTTATTGGCTTTGAATTGGGAAGTTTTTATTTACGTATCTTGGGGCTTACTGATTTTGCATTAAATAATTTTTTCTCAATGGTTTATTGCAAGTATATTTAAATGTAGTTTACTTTTTGCATGTTGATCTTGTATCATGCTACTTTGTTAGACTCATTTGTATAATTCTGATTAAAATGTTTGTATATATTAACATTGAGCTACAATTGCAGAGGTCAAAAGATACAATTAGTGAAGATTTGGTCAAGCATACTCTGTTAGACTATGTAGAAGAATGAAGGTGAGATAATAAGATTATAGGCAGATTATATTATCTGTTATGCACATTATTTATATATTTTTCCTGATTATGACAGGAATGAAGCATACATATTAACTTTTTAAAATGAAAAATATTTGATTGTTTGAATCTTTTTTTTAATCTTTTTTAGGAGCTGTGGCCCTCAAGAATCTTCAAATTAAAGAAAATGCCCTGGTAGGTTTTGACTATGAAAAATTTGTAAAGTTATTGCATTTAATTATGTATAATTCTTCCTGATTCAGTTTGTCACCTTAAATTATTTAAATTTGAGAAAGTTTTTTGTAAATAATTTTTGCAAAATGTAAATTTTGCTAAATGGAGTTTTAATCTCCCTGAAAGCACAAATGGACAGTGTGATTTTTTTTCTATTTAAAAATACATATTGTTTTAGGCTGGGCATGGTGGCTCATGCCTGTAATCCCAGCACTTTGGGAGGTCAAGGCAGGTGGATTATTTGAGGTCAGTAGTTCGAGACTAGCCTGGCCAACATGGTGAAACCCCATCTCTACTAAAAATGCAAAAAGCTTCGCCAGGCATGGTGGTGGACGCCAGTAATCCCAGCTGCCAGGGAGGATGAGGCAGGAGAATCGCTTGAACCCAGGAGGTGGAGGCTGTAGTAAATGGAGATCGTGCTACTGCACTCCAGCCTGGGTGACAGAGTGAGACTCTGTCTCAAAACAAAACAAAACAAAAACAAACATACAAAAAATACAGATGTTTTTATTTCAAATTTTTAACTTGTTTTCTGATTTTTTTTTTAAGACAGGCTCATGCTGTGTCACCCCAGGCTGCAGTGCAGTGGTGTGATCATAGCTTACTGTAGGCCTCAGCTCCTAGGCTCAAGCTGTCTTCCCCTTTCAGCCTCCTGAGCAGCTGAAAAGTTTTTAATCTGATAAAGACTAGTTCATTTTTTTAATTGCTTGTGCTTTTATTGTCATATTCAAGAAGTCTTTACCGAATCTAATGTCGTGAAGATTTTCCCTTATGTTTTCTTCTAAGAGTTGTATAGTTTTAGCTCTTAGGTTTAGATCTTAGATCCATTTTGAGGTAATTTTTGTATATGGTATAGGATAAGGGTTCAGTTTCATGTTTTTGCGAGTGGATATCTAGTTTTCCTAGCACCATTTATTTAAAAGGCTATTCTTTGAATGGGGAGAACGTTTTGAAAGTTTATTTTTTACAAAACGCGTATTTTGCAAAATAGAGTTTTAATCTCCCTAAAAGCATAAAATGACATTGTAATTGCCACTTCTTTTTCTTAAAATAATATAAAATTGGTAATGATTTGATATGAGTAGATTTTCTGGTCATTTTTACTGTAGACCTTTATCCCCAATTATTATTAAAAGAGCAGCTTCCCTGGATTTTATGGATTTGATAGTAATATTGCAGTTATATGTTTATATATTTAAATAAATGTTGATGATAAGGAAATGTGTAAGTTTATTAAAAAATCCCTTGAAATAATTTTTGGAAGTAAAGAGTATTCATTTATGTTGTTAAACTCTATATCTACTAATGTTTTGTGTATATATAAATTTTTTCTGTAGAGTCAACTGGATGTACCATTTAAAGTTAAAGTTGGTCACATAGGTAAGCCATATTCATTATTGGGATATCCTCCTTCCTGGACATGCAGCCAGAATAATTTGCCTAATATATCTATTATGTGATATTTTTCATGTTTCTGAGCATCAATTAAAAATAATCATGTGTTTTTGTCTCAGTAGAGCTTTGTTGTGCAACTTAAAAATATTGTCCGATACATATATCCCTTGCCTAGTATTTGATATCCTAATACATTACATATCTCTTTAGGTGGTAAATTGAGTTAATTCAAAGGATTACCTCTAAGGGAGAGCTTAACTGTTTCAGTTTCCTAGGTTTCTGTCTAGTTACCACTGCTATATTTTGATTAACATTGGATATATTGTGTAAAGAATAGGTTCTGCATCATCCAGGCCCTGTGACTAGGGGCCGATTTGAAAACTAATTTCTGCTCTGCAAGTTTTTGTATGGTTTCAGAAAATACTGTGCTTTTTCTTGTTTGGTATTATTTTTACCAGTGTTTACTGTTTATATCTTAAATATATTGGTTGAGCAGTAAATGATTGGAATTTGAGGTTTTAACATCTTTAATAAAAACTTATCTGTCATGTTTCTTGTGTTACAGTTTTACTGGTTTAAATATTGTGCAAGATAATAGTGTCTTTAGTTGGGACTTGGAGATATTTTTGTTATATAGATAGTTTTGTGGTAGGATGTATACATTGTTATTGAAGCTATACTGTTGTCACTTGGGGAACAAAGTATTCTGAAAGGTTACCTAGATTACATGATAAAGGTCTTCATAATTATGTGTACTTATGGTTGGTATTAGACCACATACCATAGAAAACTTTCATCATCATATGTTACTGACAGTAGAATTCTATCCTCCCCACTCCTACCTTTTAAAGACTGTTTACTGTAAGAGGGGGAGAATGTCACCCATTTTTATCTACCTAACATTTTAATTTTTTCATATTTCTGATTATTTACATGTGTACATTTTAAATACTTACAAGTTTATATGTATTGAAATACTTGTAATTATGCTATTTTTACAGTTTTATATTTTTTCATTAGCGTATAAAAAGGATTTCTCATAATCTGAGTTGATTTGATCTCATTTATTCTGTACCATAATAATCCAGTGAATGCATATTTGGATATTGTAGAATAATTTTATTTTTCCATTGGTACAGAAGTATTACAATACATATTTTTATATAACTTTTAAACTTTTACCAAAGGTCATTGAATTTTACAGTGATGATTGTCGTATTTCAGTGTATGTAAATTTAACCTCAATTCAAGAACAGTCAAAAAATATATCAGGAGAGTAGATAGACTATTTTCTTTAGAATCTGCCCGCCTTCTCTTTTCTTGCCTAATCTTGTTTAAAAATGATAAGGTAATTTTTAGTGATAATATAAGATAGTAGAAAGTACACTGAACTAAACCCAAGATAATTTTGAGAGTCATTTAAGGTGTTGTGTACCTCTGTCGTAGCACCTGTCTTTTAAAAATATCACTGTTTTTTCCCCCTTCTAGTAGACATCGAGTTTCTTGAGAAGAAGTGGGTTTAATTTTTAATGTATCCTCACCACTTAGCACATTACTTGGTATATATAGTAGGGGCACAATTTATTGTATGAAAGTAATACATGTTTCCAAATGAATGATACAGTAGTACAATCAGTTTTATAGGAATGTATGTCCCCTTGCTATTATTGGGTATTGATCTTTCAAAATTTCCCTCGTTTAGAATGCAGAATTATAGATATATCAAATATAAATACACATGTACATATTATAAAAGAGGTTGTCTTCTGTGGAAGGTTTTTGGAATTACATCTGTGTATTTTTTTGAAATTTGCCAAATTTTCTACTAGGAGTCTACATTTTATAAGGGAAGGAAGAAAAGGTTTGTTTGTTTGTTTGGTTTTTGAGACAGCATCTTGCTCTGTTGCCCAGGCTGGAGTACAGTGGTGCGATCTTGGCTCATTGCAACCTATGCCTTCCTGGCTCAAGTAACCCTCCCACCTCAGTCCCCGAGTAGCTGGGACTACAGGTGTACGCCGCCATGCCTGGCTAATTTTTGTAGTTTTTGTAGAGACAGGGTTTTGCCATGTTGCCCAGGCTTGTCTTGAACTCCTGGACTCAAGGGATCCTCCTACCACAGCCACCCAAAATGCTGGGGTTACAGATGTGAGCCACTGCGCCTGGTCAAGTTTGGATTTTTTAAAAAAACATTTGTGGTGAAAATGGCACACTGTTAATATGTGTTTATTATTTTTACAGTTTTGTAATTGCTCTTTGTCCTTTTGTTCATTTACTTTTTTTGAAGTATTACTGTATGTATTTTAAGCAGTCTGTTGGTACATTTATAAATAAATTAACCGTGTCAAATTTGTTACAGTTTTTTCACAATCTTATTATTTCATTTTGGTTATATTTTTGGTCTGTACAGAAATTTGAAATGATCCCCATGTTCTCTGGTTTAAAAACTTAGAAAGTTATTCCTCTTTTAGAAATCAGATAGTTTAGAGGCCGGGCAGGGTAGCTGATACCTGTAATCCCGGTACTTTGGGAGGCAGAGGCAAGAGGATTGCTTGAGGCCAGGAGTTTGAGACCAGCCTGGGCAAAATAGTGAGACTGTGACTCTACAAAAAATATAAAAAAGAAATCAGATAGTTCATTTTTCTCTGAAGTGATATTATATGATGAAATCTTTTTCTCAGTTTGAAGTTTTCTACACATGGAGTTTATAAAATATCATGAGATGGATCTAAGTGGATTTAAAAAAATTTCCCAATCACTAACCAGTTTTAGCAACATAGTATATTTAATAATCTATTCCTTACACAATTATGGCAGCTGTATAAATCTAGACACTCATACCATTTAAACAATTCTAAAATATTTTAAAACTCTCTATTACGAAAATATTCTCAAGATACAAAACTAGAGTGAGTAGTATAAGAAACCCCATACATAGTGTTTTTGTAGTTCAAGAACCCTTACGCTTAAAAAAAAAATTCTTTGCTGTTTGATTTTCTTAGGATGTTTTCATTAGTTTGCATAATTTTCAAATATTACCCAGAATATTTTATTATTACTTTATGTGTAGTTTTCATATATATAGTTTATATGTATGATTATTACCATATGTGTATATGTGAATTACTATACATACATACATACGTATGTAACACACATATACATAATGAAAAATATACATACACACACTTATTTAAAGTATACAATCTACCTTTCATTGCGGGGAGGTAAAGGTCTCACTCTGTCACCCAGGCTGGAGGGCAGTAGCATGATCATGGCTCACTGTAGTCCTGACCTCCTGGGCTCAAGATCCTCCCACCTCAGCCTCCCAGGTAGCTGGGACTACAGGCACATACTGTCACGCCTGGCTAATTTTTTTAGTTTTTATTCATAGAGACAGGGTTTTGCCATGTTGCCTAGGCTGGTCTTGAACTCCTGGGTTCAAGCGATCCACCTGCCTTAGCTTCCCAAAGTGCTAGGATTCCAGGTGTTAGCCACTGCGCCTGGCCTAATCTACCATCTTAAAGCATTAAAAAATATAGGTTTAGAGTAAGAACTGGGGAAATTCAAAGTTATGATATTAAGGATTGTTGATTAAGGGAAGAAGAACATTGTTTTGTTTATGGTACAGAGAACTGTAAATAGAAACTTGTATATTTCGAATATAATCTAGGTTTTCCAACAGTACTGATATAAATACAATAATTTCAAATCATTACAACAAACACTTGTTGTTTGTAGTTGTAAAATAGCTTTCAATAAAGTGATTAAACGCTTAAGGACAAAGGCCACTTTATTATCTCTTCAATGCCTGACAGAAAATAGACTAACCATAAATGCAGGTTGAAGGAGTAATATTTTTTGTCCTTTTTTTTTTTCCCAAAAAAATGTAGGTAATCTTAAACTTATAATTCCATGGAAAAACCTTTATACTCAACCTGTTGAAGCCGTATTGGAAGAAATTTATTTACTTATAGTGCCTTCTTCTAGTAAGTTAAATTTAAAAAAATTATAATTTAAGTTATTCTTTTTTATGGATGGAAAAATATTTATATTCAAAATACTTTTGGAATTTTTTTGAGATTTTAATATTTAAATTTGATATTTGTTAATTCAAATTAAATTGGTTTTTACTCTACATTTTTGGCAACTTTGAATTATTTATTATTTATTTATTATTATTTTTTTTTAAGATGGAGTCTCGCACTGTCACCTGGGCTGGAGTGCAGTGGCACCATCTCAGCTCACTGCAACCTCTGCCTCCTGGGTTCAAGCGATTCTCCTGCCTCAGCCTCCTGAGTAGCTGGGATTATAGGCGCCTGCCACCACGCCCAGCTAGCTTTTGTATCTTTAGTAGAGATGGGGTTTCACCGTGTTGGCCAGGCTGGTTTCGAACTCCTGACCTCATGATTCGCCCAGCTTGGCCTCCCAAAGTGCTGGGATTACAGGCATGAGCCACCGCGCCCGGCCAATTAATGATTATTTGTAAGGATTTTTTTGGAATGACTATATTTAAATTTAAGGTAGTTATGATTCTTCCTTTTTAATCTTCCTATAGGAATAAAATATGATCCTTTAAAAGAAGAGAAACAACTCATGGAAGCAAAGCAACAGGAACTGAAAAGAATAGAAGAAGCAAAACAAAAAGTAGTTGATCAAGGTAAAGAAAACAGTAAATAACAATGCTAATAAGAGAAGTAGAAAAGACCTAAATATTTATCATAATTGAATATTATTTTTCTCTGGAGATGCTGAGATTATTTCAGAAATATGATAGAATCTCATTGCATGGGGAATTTTAATGTGGTTTGTATGCTTTGTTATGTGTACAGGAATTTTACCTTATGGAAATTTATCTTAAGGCAAATAATATGTCTAGCTTATTATTATTATTAGGTTTACATATTTTTTATATATATATATATACACACACACACATATACATACTAGGTAAGGTCAGTTTTTAATGATAGCAATTAATTTTATCAAGCATATTTTCTTAATTTTCTAGCCTTTGCTTTTGTATTCCTTTTATATCAATTCTTCACCCTTTTGGAGATACTTAGTTTCTTGACATATTTCTATTTGCCTCTATCTGTTTATTTACCCTCTGGCTTCACATATTTTCCAATTAAACTTAGACAATATGTTCCATTACTGCAACCTCTTTTTCATTATTGGAAGCGGTGTCCTGAAGAAATCTAATTCCTTTTCACCTGTTCTCTGATCCTTACTGCCAGCTACTTTTTAAACTCTCACCTAGTGGGTTTTTTGCCTTGGCATGTAAATACGCTGTTCTTTATCTTGAAACATGAAGTCATTTTCTTAACCTAGTCATCTGTTTATGTTCTTCTCCTCTGTCATTCATTTAATAGTTAAACATCTTAAAATTAAAAAGTTTACTGACTTCACTGTCTCTGAAATGCATTGATTTTCTTTTAATAAAAAATAATAAGCTTCAATAATGTTTTACTTGTTGGCAAACATTAATAGAGATTTAACATGTAATTCTTGGCAATATCTCTTGTAATTCTGTTTTTTCTCTGTAACAGTTACTTTATATTATGTGTAGTCATTTATCCTTACCTCCAGTCCTCTTTCCTAAGTCTCTTAGGCCTTTTCTTTTTAAAAATTATTTTTATTTTATCAAGATAATATATATACATAGCTTTAAAAGTTAAGCAGTATTATAGTGTCCGGATTAAAAAAAAAAACCAACTGTTCCTGGCCCAGGCCCGCACCTATATTACTAAATATGGTGCTCAAACCTCTGTGTCTTGATTTATTTAGATATTATATATATATATATATATATATATATATATATATATATAAAACGTGTTATATGTAACATAACATGCATATTATCTATAACATAACATATTTTATAACATATAATTAATGACATTACATATTTTAAACTCATCTCGTGTTTCATTGGCATATATATGACATATATAATATATAACGTGTAATATATATATTACACACACATCCTTTTATGATGTACTATGAAGATTGACCCTATTTTTTCATCTTCTCTATATAGTTCTGTCACATTTTTGGTTAAATCAGAATTCATTGTTAATAGTATCATGGCTATATATAAATGTTTTATTTATATATAAATAAAGTGGCTTTAAGTATGACTGTTTATTTTGTAGGCTTTTAGTTAACCTCCCTGTTCTCCCATGTACAAAATTTGGATCCTATTAGGGCCATTTTCTCTAAAATAAACCCTTGTGTTCTCACTAGGGTGGGAAAGGGATGTTGCTTGGATATTGGGCTGGGAGAGAAGGGGACCTAACTTAACTGCTCCTTATACAGATTTAAATCAGTTCTTGTGTTATCTTCCTCTCTCTCCACTGTGTTCCATGTTTGCTATTTTTTGTTTGGTGGGGTTTCCAGTTCCTGTGTCTTTCCAGGGTTCTGTGACTTGGATTTTTGTTGTTGTTGTTGTTTGTTTTAAACTCATCTTGTGTTTTGTTTCATTACCCTGCAAGATATAGGCATTGATATGCTTTTCATGTAAAATGGATAGTTGGTTTTATTCAGGATTGGTACTTTATTGACAGTAATATGCAAAAAAAGAGCAAAGGGATTTAAGGTGTTGGTAAAATAACATATCATGGAATCTGAGCTGCATAAGGAAGTCAGGAGGAAGTAGTGGGTAGAGAAAGAAAGACAACATTTAATCGAATGACTAAATGAATTTATAAAAGAAAAGATTTTATTAGGTAGTGGTGAGAGTCAAAGATTAAAATATGATCCTCTGTCTTTAAAGAGCTTGTATTCTGTTGTCTACTTAATTCTATAATCTATTTATATGTATATATATTCATTTAACTCTGGTGTATTTGAGGTACATATGATTAGTATCTTCAGCTTTCCTTTATCTAAGGCCTCCTGGGCCAGCTGAATTTGAGAGTAATAGGCAATTAGAGGAAAAGATAGATTTATATGTATTATTTCTATATAGGAGTAGAAATATGAAAAGAGGAACAGAATTAGAAATAAAGAATATAGCTTTCATTGGCATTTTTAAGGGGAGAAAAAGGATAATAACTATGATTATCAAAGGCATATTTCAAAAAAATTAGGAACCTCAATTCTTTATTCTTCTTTATTCTTGGTTTTTCTTTTTTTTTGAGACAAAGTCTCACTTTGTCTCCCAGGATGGAATGCAGTGGTGTGATCTCGGCTCACTGCAGCCTCCACCTCTCTGGTTCAAACGATTCTCCTGCCTCAGCCTCCCAAGTAGCTGGGACTACAGGCATGGACCACCATACCTGCCTAATTTTTATATTTTTAATAGAGACGGGGTTTCGCCATAGTGGCCAGGTTGGTCTAAAACTCCTGACCTCAGATGATCTGCCCACCTTGGCCTCCCAGAGTGCTGGGATTACAGGTGTGAGCCACCTTGCCCCTCCAATTCTTGATTCTTTCTATTTCTTTGGAAAGTAATGGAACTTGAGATAGTTAATGCTGTTTTCTGAACATGAAATAGTTGATGAACTTCTTTCATCCTTGTTCAAAAGAAGAAAGAAGATCTTATTTCCTATTTTGTATTTACTGGGGGAGGAGGATATTCAACTGTTTTACACATCTATACACAGGCAACTTAATGGTGGTATCACTAATTTTGAGAGAGATTTCTGCTTTGCTGCTGTTAGTGGATTTTCTCATTTAAGTCTATTGTAATTCTTACCCAATAATCTTCATTTTTAAATATATTTTTGTACTCAGGCATAGGTTAACAGAAATTATAAAATTTAATGCCAGTAAATTCTACATGGTCTGCTTTAGTCTCATGGCACAATAAACTAGCTTTTGAAAAATGTTTACTTGCTTTTGAAAGACTTTTGGAAAGCAAGCTATTAGTGTTCTATTTACATATATATGTATATTTCAGCAAGGCAACGTAAGCATGTTACTTCAGTATGTGGATATTTATAGAGTATATTTTTCATTCAATTTTAAAAAAGGAATATTTGCAATTGTAGAACAACATCTGCCGGAAAAACAGGACACTTTTGCAGAAAAATTAGTTACACAGATCATAAAAAATCTTCAGGTGAAAATTTCCAGTATCCATATTCGTTATGAAGATGATGTAAGTATTTTAATATGTGATATTTGTTTTTATATTTATATGTAAGTTATTTTACTATTTAATGACACCTACTTTTTAATGGCCAATCTGTTAAATCCCAAAAGGTTACAGAGCTAAAGATGATGTGATCCTTCTTTTCTATAATTATAGTTGTAATTTGCAGTCCTTAGTGTTGAGTGCTTGATTTTACACTTTCCCAAAATGTTCAGACATTAGATCATGAAGGAAATGCCTTGGGAATTATGAATTTAGCAGTTATGTATTTTTAAAATACTTTAAAGTATGCTATATTTACCTCCTGGATGGAGTACTGGTCTAGCAATTAGTGGAGCTAGCCTTAAATAATTCCTTGATCCTGAATAGGTCATTTGTTTTCTCTTAACCAGATAATTATTTGCTTTATAATCCTATTTTGTTAGTCTTTTTTAATAATTTTTTTTGTAAACTGGAAAACATGCAGTATAATATTCCTGTGTAACACGAATACATTAATAATTAGTATTCTAATTTGTTTTAGGAAAAATATAGGAATGAAAGTTTTTCTGGAAAGTAATAAAATGTTTCTGAATGTTTGAAATAAGTTACTTCCCAAAAAGTTATCCCTCCCTCCCTTCCTCCCCCCACCTCCCTCTCTCTCTCTCTCTCTCTCTCTTTCTCTTTCTCTCTTTCTTTCTCTTCTCCTCTTCTCTCCCCTCCCCTCCCCTTGCCTCCCCTTCCCAAGACAAGGCCTCACACTGTCGCCAGGCTGGAGTGCAGTTGCCCGATCATGACTCATTGCAACCTTGACATTCCTTGCTCAAGTGATCCTCCCACCTCACCCCCACCCACCCACCCTGCAGTAGCTGGGACTACAGTTGCACCCCACCAGGCCTGGCTAATTTTCTTAACATTTTTTTTTGTAGAGGCAGGATCTCACTGTGTTACCCAGGCTGGTCTCCAGAGCTCAAGCAGTCCTCCTGCCTTGGCCTTCCAGAGTGCTGGGATTACAGATGGGAGCCGCTGCACATTGACAGTTTTTTCTATAAAGTGGATTTTATCCAACTACTAAAAATCTGAATAAATTTTACTTTCTTTCCTCTTTAGATCACAAATCGGGACAAACCGCTGTCATTTGGTATTTCCCTTCAAAATCTGAGCATGCAGGTATTTTGTTTATAAAAGAATCTTAACCATATTTAATGTGCAATATAGTCTATTAAACTGCTACTATTTGTATATGCCAGCATCAGAAATAGGTGTCTATGTAGAACGGGTGCACAAAGGGTCTTCATTGGATTGGAATCGAGGGTATGTAGATTCACATTTCAAAAAATGGTTGAAAATCAAATTCAGAAATATGAGGTCCTATTATTATTGGTAATTATGATGTTAGATGCTTTTGCTTACTTTAAGAAATCCATTTCCAAGTTTGTAATGAGTAAGTACCAAATACAAGTAATAAATGTTCATATCTGAAACTTCGATAAGCCTTGAAAAACAAAAATCTTCAGTTTTTCTCAATATCATTATTAATATTGTAGCATAGTGTTTTCCTGTTTAATTTTTGAAATTGAGGAATTTTAAAAATATAAGAACATGTAGAGAATTTTGAAACATATGCTTGCCTCCAGAATGGATGGCTGTTAAATTAAGAGCCTATTAAAATAGCCTATTTGCTTAAAGTCTTAAATATTTTTATAGGAATAAGCTGTTTTGGATAAAGTTTGAATCCCTTTTGTTTTCTACTTCCACCCACCCGTCCTTCCCCAGAGATAAGTATCCTAAATTTTAAAACTTTTATATAATATATCTATTAAAAATGTAGGATTATAAAAGTTTACGCGTTTTATATGACTCTTTTATGAGTTCCTTTTTGCACTTTCCAGTGTTGTTGACATTTATCTGTGTTACCACATGTAACAAAATTCATTCAGTTTAACTGCTGTGTATTTCATTGCATGATTTTATTTGTTGTATCTATTGGGTTTTGTGTAAGATTTCTTTTTAATTTTATTATTATTTTTAAATTGGGCAGCCTCCCAAGCCAGAGCAGGCTCAGAGAGACTCCACAGTTTCTTTTTAAAATGTGGCCCCACTGCAACGAAAAAAGAAAAAATGCCCTCCAAAAAGTTACTCAAATACTCTCATTAAGTTGAAAAATAAGAATGGAGAATTAGCCATTGGATTGGGCAATGTGAAGATCTTTGGTAACCGTGATAACAGTAGTTACTAATCATCACCTTTGGAAACTTGTCTGCCAGCCTAGACCTGTTCAGTTAGAAACTCTAGGATTTGGTTGCAGCAATCTGTGTTTTACAAAGCCCTCTAGGTCAGGGTTCCTGGGCCACAGAACAGGAGGTAAGGCCTGGGAGTGAGCATTACCGCCTGAGCTCTGTCAGATCAGAGGTGGCATTCGATTCTCGTAGGATCCTAGCGAACCTTATTGTGAACTGCGCATCTCAGGGATCTAGGTTGTGCCCCTGATGGAAAAGTTATCTCCTATGAAACTGGTCGTTGGTGCCAAAAAGGTTGGGGACCACTGCTCTAGGTGATCCTAATGCATGCTAAACTTTGAGAGCTACTATTCTAATTATCCATTCAGTTCGTCTCCACATAGAAACGAAAACCATCTTTCTGAAATAAAGATCTGATCACTTTATTCCTCTCAGTGGCTTTTCATTGCTCTTAGTTTTATCCTTAAACAACTTATAAACCCTTTTTAAACCGACCCCAGGCAATATACCTGGTTTTACTTTTTTTCTCTGTCTGTTTTGCATTATATTCTCCTGCATACTGAGCTACTTCAGTTGCCTGAATGTGCCATATATTTGTGTACTTTTGGGCTCTGCCTGTTGTGAATCATATTCCCTGTCGACCTTAGAATCAATAATTTTTAGTTACATGTTATATATTAGGTTATATATAACATCTCTTTATCCATCACACCCCTGAATTGGATGCTCCTGCCATGCCCTCTCAATGAAATGAGAGGGCATTTTTTTTGTAGAGACAAGGTCTCACTTTTTGTTGCCCAAATTTGTCTCAAACTCCTGGCCTCAAGCAATCCTCCCAACTCAGCCTTCCAAAGTGTTGGGATTACAGGTGTGAGCCACTGCACCCAATGATACCTGCAAATCTAAATAGCTCCTAGAACATTCTTTTATAAGTTAAATGAGTTATGAGTTTTAGAAGTTAAATGAGTATTTAACTTCTGCTGTGGCACTTACCTGTTGGAAGTTGCCTGTTTCTTTGTTTGCTTTTCTGACCCGCAATGAGCTCCTTCCTTGAAAGCAGACACTTTACTGTGGTCAGTTAGTATTTTTTGATGGAGTGATATGTCTTTAAAGGCATTTTCATGAAAGGGACATTGGTCTAGGGTATGGTAGATAATGATTTATTACTCTGCTGTTTCAAATGGAATGACCTTTTTACTGCCATTGTTTTTTTTCCTTTTCAGACAACTGATCAATACTGGGTTCCATGTTTACATGATGAAACTGAGAAACTGGTTCGTAAGGTAAATAAATACTGTGTTTGTCAACTCATGGACTTAAGAGAATTTTGGAAAGCCAAATGATAATATATAGATAAGGATGTATGTGAATTTTGCTTATTTGTTTAACTCTGTGATATGGCTCACTTAATTATTTGAGACTTCTGAAAATAGTGTATGATAAAAATTCTTCAAAGAAAATGAGACATCTAATAAATTTTATTTTCAGTTAATCCGATTGGATAACCTGTTTGCCTATTGGAATGTGAAGTCTCAGATGTTTTATCTTAGTGATTATGATAACTCCTTGGTAAGTAAATTTTTTCTGTATGTATTTGTTGGTATCATATTTTGCATGAGGTTTAATTCATTGTCATTTATCTAATATACTGTAGTCAGTATTTTTTCCTAGGCACAATCTATTAGCAGAATTTACAGATACAGGTGAAGATGTGTGTAACTATACACAAACATGAATACATACCCCCATATCTTTTTTTTTTTTTTTTTGAGACAAGGTCTTGCTCTGTTGCCCAGGCTGAAATGCAGTGGCACGATTATAGCTCACTGCAGCTTCTAACTCTTGGGCTCAAGCAATCATCCTTCCTGCCTCAGCCTCTTGAGTAGCGAGGACTATAGGCACACGCCACCATGCCCAGCTAATTTTTAAATTTTTTTGTAGAGACAAGGTCTCACTTTTTGTTGCCCAAATTTGTCTCAAACTCCTGGCCTCAAGCAATCCTCCCAACTCAGCCTTCCAAAGTGTTGGGATTACAGGTGTGAGCCACTGCACCCAATGATACCTGCAAATCTAAATAGCTCCTAGAACATTCTTTTATAAGATTAGTTTGGTGAGATGTTGTTTAACTACTTTAATATTTTGCCATAGCTAAGTTCTAAGTTTGAATTGGTTTTTAAAATTGCTTTTAAACATTTTTCTTTTGCAGATAATAGGATTTTTTAGGATAAAGACATATTGGCATGAATATGGCTAGGCGTGGTGGCTCACACCTGTAATCCCAGCACTTTGGGAGGCCGAGGCGGGTGGATCACTTGAGGTCAAGAGTTCAAGACCAGCATAGCCAACATGTTAAAACCCTGTCTCTACTAAAAATACAAAAATTAGCCAGGCACGGTGGGGCACGTCTGTAATCCCAGCCACTCGGGAGGCTGAGGCAGGAGAATCGCATGAGTCCATGAGACAGGGGTTGCAGTGAGCTGAGATTGCACCACTGCCCTCCAGCCTGGGTGACAGGGGGAGACTCCATCTCAAAAAAAGACATATTGGCATGAATATAAATAAAAGCAATTTGTCTTTTAATAGGACGACTTGAAGAATGGCATTGTCAATGAAAATATTGTTCCAGAAGGTTATGATTTTGGTAAGTACATTTTATAAGATAAAAAAAGTAGTTAAAGTAATTGGTATAAATTTTAAATTAGCATTGTTGCTATCACTGTGCTAGTTCCTGTTAAATTTCCTTCTATATAGTTAAATGTATTTATAATGTATATACAAAAGCAAATAATATTATATTTTTTAGTAACGTATTTTATTGTTATGAAGCTTTTGACTATATTTCAAAACTATAGGGGAAAATGTCCAACAAAAGATGTTAATAAATTATGATAAACCTCTAAGGATTATTCAGTAACAATTAGGGTAATATTTATGAAGACATTTCAAAATGGCAAGTAAAATTTAATAAGGCTAGCTAGTACAGCCTTTTTCGAAATAGTAAGATCACGCTGCATTTAAAATTTTTTTAATTTATACTTTTCTATGTTTTCCTAATTTTCCAAAATGAGCATCCATTACTTTTACAATCGGAAATGAATTACTAAAACAGAAAGAAAAAAATCAGTGCTGTTTCTCAGTTTCCCAAGTAGCTGGGACTATGGGCACACACTGCCACACCTGGCTAATCTCTTTCGTATTTTAGTAGAGACGGGGTTTCACCATGTTGCCCAGGCTGGTCTCCAACTCCTGAGTTCAGGCAATCTGCCCGCCTCGGCCTTCCAAAATGCTAGGATTACAGGCATGAGCCACCTGGGAACCTGGGAGGTAGAGGTTGCAATGAGCCAAGATCACGCCACTGCACTCCAGCCTGGGTGACAGAGTGAGACTCCGTCTCTACAAAAACAAACAAAAAAAAGTGCTGTTTTTTCTATGATAAGGGCACTTAATAAAAGTTGGTGATGGATAACTTAATTATTGAATTTGCATGCCTGATGTCATTAACCATAGAATATCCTTCCTGAAAGTATTTCCTTTCTTGGCTCAGTGATACTTTTCTGTCTATATTATACACCTTCATGACTACTCAAGTGATTCTTCTTTTTGTGCCCACTCTTAAAATAATTATTTTTATTGGTTTGAATTTAGTTTCATTTTCTTGATTCTCTTCTCATAGGAAATATTCAGAACAGATGAGTTATCTGTCATATGTGTTTATGATTTTCAAATCCATAATCGTAAATTCGACTTATTTCTCCTTTGCCCTGAAGTCATTTTTGTTGTATCAGAGTTCAGTGAGGAGAGAGAAAGTACTGAGTAATTTGAAGAGGACAAATTTAATATAAAGAATTACCAACTATAAGAGGAGACTGGAGTAACAAGGGACTGTCTCATAAAAATGCTAAAGATATAGACAGAAGAAACATCCCCTACCCTAGGGCTAAGACGGGGTGCCCAAAAGAGAGGGTCCCCCTCCTTCAGGACTGAGTTGTAGACCTTGTTGGAGGACATAGCGTGGCTTATTGAATGGCAGGAAATTATCTGTGGTGCTGTGCCAGCAAAACCTGTTGGTACTTCACTCTCTGGAACTTTCTGGAAATTACTTTTAGGGAGCCTCATGGAGGGGTGTCTCTCTGAATGCACTCCAGTACAAAACTGCCTTAGCAAGGTGCTGGGGGAAGTTGCTGGCATCTGGCTGCATCTAGCTGCCATGTACTGCATAAGGCCGGTGCTGAAGAACTCCGTGCTGGAGGAACCAGACACTGCAGAAGCTACCGGTTCTGTAGGAGCTGGGTGTGGGAGAAGCCGTGTTCTTGCAGGAGTCTATTGAATGAACATACTGGAACCAGGCAGCATAACTCTTTCCTCCTGCAGTGTCTCTCCAGTGTCCTCTACTGATAAAGCTTAACATTACGCCAGCTGGAAAAAGAAAAAAAAATTTTTTTTCTCTACATTCTCTGCCTTCAAAGGAAACATATTTAAAGATCCCCAAATCATTTTTCAGAGCAGGCTATGAAGGAGAAGTTTGGAGCTCAGAAGTAAAAAATTGATAACTGGCATACCTGTTGGAGAGCGAAGGGGGAATGAAGGGTTTCTTTTTGTTTGTGTTTATATTTAATCAGGGAGATGACAGCTTGTTTTTAGGCTGAGATGGGAATGATCCAGTAGAACATGACAAATTGACGATGCAGGAGAAACGGGGGACAGTTTCTGGATTGATGTAGGTGAAAGAGAATGGTGTCTAGTACGCAAGTGAAGAGCTTTGCTGCATATAGGAGCATAGTTAATTTATATGATAGAGTTTAGTTGTGAGAGAAGTCCTTATACTGAGTAGATGAGTAGATATGGTGATAAGAGTTGATGTAAATTCTCTTCTGAGCTCTTCAATTAAAAAATATGTATCTGAGGTATGTTAGGGTTCTCTAGAGGGACAGAACTAATAGGACAGGTGTATATTTAAAGATGAGTTTATTAAGGAGTATTGACTCACATGATCACAAGGTGAGATCCCTTAAATAGGCCATCTGCAAGCTGAGGAGCAAGGAAGCCAGTCTGAGTCCCAAAGCTGAAGAATTTGGAGTTTGAGAAGAAGAATTTGAATGTTTGAGGGCAGGAAGCATCCAGCACAGGAGAAAGATGTAGGCTCAGAGGCTAAGCCACTCTGGTCTTTCCATGTTCATCTGCCTGCTTTTATTCTGGCCATGCTGGCAGCTGATTAGATTGTGCCCACCCAGATTGAGGGTGGGTCTGCCCTTCCCAGTCCACTGACTCAAATGTTAATCTTCTTTGGCAACACCATCAGACACACCCAGGAACAGAAGTTGCATCTTTCAATACAATTGAGTTGACAGTCAATATTAACCATTACATGAGATGTTGGAGGTTTTTGGAGGGAAAAGAGGGTATGAAATAGGAATGCTAGGGGAGTGAGAGAGTGAAATGACGAGGGCAGTATTCTCAAAGTATGGTTCAAACTAGCAACATCATTTAGAAATGCAGATTTCTAGGGCCTTTCCCAGACCTCCTGAATAAGAACCTCTGGAGGTGAAGCTCAGCATTTGATGTTTTTGTATTTAATTTTTTATTTGTATAAAATTGTGGAGTACAATCCTTACATGGATATATTGCATAGTAGTGAAGTCTAGGCTTTCAGTGTTTCCATCACCTGAATAATGTACATTGTCCCCATTAAGTAATTTCTTATCATCCACCCCTCTCCCATTTCTCTACCTTTCTGAGTCTCCAGTGACTGTCATTCCATGCTCTATGTCCATATATACACATTATTTAGCTCCCACTTACAAGTGAGAACATGCAGTATTTGTTGTTCTGTTTCTGCATTGTTTCACTTAAGATAATGGCCTCCAGTTCCATCCATGTTGCTGCAAAAAATGTGATTTTCTTCTTTTTTTGGCTGAAAAGTATTCCATGATGTTCATGTACCACATTGTCCGGTTACCTGTTGATGGACACTTTGGTTGATACCATATCTTTGCTATTGTGAATAGTGCTGTGGTAAACATACAAGCGCTTTTTTTTTCTTTTTTTTTTTTGGATAGAATGGTTTCTTTTCTTTCGGGTAGATACCCAGTAATGGAATTGCTGGATTGAATAGTAGTTCTGTTTTTAGTTCTTTGTGAAGTATCCATACTGTTTTCCACAGAGGTTGTACTGATTTACATTCCCACCAACAGTAATCCCTTTTCTCCACATCCTCACCAACATGTGTCATTTTTTGTCTTTTTAATAAAAAAGACATTATAGTTTTAATTTTCATTTCTCGGATGATGAGTGATGTTGAGCAGTTTTTCATACACATGTTGGCCATTTGCATATCTTCTTTTGAAAAATATTTATGTTCTTTGCCCACTTTTTTTTTTTTTTTTTTGGAGACAGAGTCTTGCTCTGTCTCCCGGGCTGGAGTGCAGTGGCGCAATCTTGGCTCACTGTAAGCTCCACCTCACGGGTTCATGCCATTCTCCTGTCTCAGACTCCCGAGTAGCTGGGACTACAGGCACCTGCCACCATGCCCAGCTAATTTTTTGTACTTTAAATACAGATGGGGTTTCACTGTGTTAGCCAGGATGGTCTCAATCTTCTGACCTCATGATCTGCCTGCCTCGGCCTCCCAAAGTGCTGGGATTACAGGCGTGAGCCACTGCACCCAGCCCTTTGCCCACTTTTTAATGGAGTTGAGTTTTTTGTTGTTGCTGTTTGAGTTTCTTGTAAACTCTGGATATTAGTCCCCTGTATGATTGATGGATAGTTTGCAGATATTTTCTCCCATTCTACAGTTTGATATTTTAATAATCTCTCCAGGTGATTCTAATGAATACTAAAGTTTGAGAACCACTCAGATAGACTAGGGTTCAATAAGGTTCTCATACTTTGAGAACATTGCCTTTTTTTTTTTTTTTTGGAAAGGGACATGTAGTAAGTTAAATATTTTACATTTTGCAGGCCATATACAGTTCCTGACACATTCCTCTTTGTTTCTTTTAAACAACTCTAAAAGTGTATGAATCATCTTTGGCTCACTGGCTATACAAAAATAGGCTGTAGCATGGATTTGGATGATTCCTGGACTGAAGGACTGTTGTGTAATTGCTCAGCAGCATTAAGGATGCACTTGAGATTTATGACACTAAAGTGAGACCCAGCAGTATGTTTTTACCCCCGGCCGTGTTCAGCTCCTTAGGGGCACTGTGGAGTTAAGTTGGTTACTCCACACTGACGAAGTGAGAAGTTAAGGAGTCTATGCAAAGGAATGATTAAAATAACTGATGGTGGAACTTCAGTAAGGTGGGGATGGACTGAGGATGTGAAGCAGAGGTGAAGGGCAGAGAAAGGTTGGAGGATCAGTGAATTGTAGGTCCAGGGTAGCTTCTGTCACCAGCCACTAAATTTATTTATTTCTTCTGCTTTTTTTTTTCAATGTAAGAAGAAATACAGAAGAAAGAACAAGATCTTTAAGCATTTATTTATATTCAAATGAACATATTCTTGAATGTTTAATGTTTAAGAAATTAAATGTTAGTCCATATCAATGATTAAAATAAAAGGAATATATCATCTTTATATACAGATTAGCTTATAATTTAATGATGGATCTTTGTCTAGATTCTGCTATTACTGGTCTTCCTCTGAATTGTTCTTATTCTTTTTGGCACCAAACACAAAGAGTTGAGAGGAATTTATCTTAGATTATGGGTTCAGCCAAGCAGGTAATCCAGAGCAAACTTTCACTCTTCATCTCTCTCCTTTTACCAATTAAAAGGAAGAACACAGATGGATCTAGAGAAATTGATCAGAAATTCAGAAATTATAATTATATAATGGAAACCAGTGTTAATCCTCTTAGCATTTCTAATGTTCATTCATTCTGTAAAACTGTGTACTTGTATTAAAACTATTTTTTTGATTTTTTTTTTCTTAAAATGTTTCTGCTTTTAAGTATCATATTGGTATTTTGAGGGGGAGTTCAATTTGCCTTTATTGTATTTATGGAAGACAGTGAATTTTAAGTAGGAAAAAGATAAAGAATCTTCTCCACACATGGTTCATCTGACTGAACCATGGCAGTGTGAACATCTGGGAACTGTAGAAGGGGTATAAAATAAATGGAAATCAGTGTTTTCAACTTCATCACTTTATTGCCTTGAGACTTTGGAAATATAACTCAGTTTTTTTTCCATTTTTATTATTTTTCAGTATTTCGTCCCATATCTGCTAATGCCAAACTTGTGATGAATCGCCGATCTGATTTTGACTTTTCTGCCCCCAAAATAAACTTGGAAATTGAGTTACATAACATAGCAATTGAATTTAATAAACCACAGGTGATTTTCTTTAATATAATTTTCAATTGTGAATTATTGTTTGATAAAAGCAAAACTAAGATTTTAAATGTTTCACTAAAATTCATGATGTTATATGGTAGCATTTCCCTAAAAAGTCAGTAATGTAACTTTTATCTTCAGCAATTGAACAAAAAAATGTGATACATTTAAGAGCTTTAATTTTCCATTCTTTAGTATTTCAGTATTATGGAGCTTCTTGAATCAGTTGATATGATGGCACAAAATCTGCCATATAGGAAGTTCAAACCTGATGTGCCTCTTCACCACCATGCCAGAGAATGGTAAATGCCTTGATTTTTTTTTTTTTTTAGATTTTAAAAATACAACATAAAAATAAATTTCTCGACTTCAAGAATAATCTTTAAGATATACCATTTTTAAGGTCTGATACAAACCATAATTGATTTATAGCTAGAAATATATGTAGCTGCTTTAGCTTATTGAGTTAATGAAACTGATTTAAGGGATTCTTGCTAACACAGTTTACAACTCGAGATGCTCGAATACCATAGTTTTCATTTACTATGGACGGGTCAGTATATTTAGAATTATTACAAAAACAAATCCTGGTTTGTTTTCTTGCATTGTCTCTCCCCAACCCCCACCTCAGCTTCCCTATCAGATACACTGAACCAATATTATTAAACCTGTATTTTAAAAGCTAAAAATGTTACGGAGTCTATGCAGGATAATCCCATTTTAAAACTCAAAAGTCTTGTTATTCCAGTTTTTAAGCTATTCCCTAGTTTCTAGAAGTTACAATTACTCTTTCAGTTGACTATTTCAGTTATTATTCAGATGACTAAATGTTATTTGCCAATTAATGCCTTAACAGTTCTTGTGTAGAACTATATTTAACAAAATGGAGTGATTTTGCTTATTTTCACTTAAGAAAGAGGAAAGATTAATATTGAATGGATTATTAATGCAAATGGAGTTGGGTAAAAAGGAAGTACTCAGATAATATATCATTTTCCTAATCTTTGTATTATAGTTATGTATGTTGTTAGAGTAGAAGCAATGTCAGTAATGTTTCATACTGTTGATTTGAGGGTGTTAAATGTTTTTCTTTTTTTAACTAGGTGGGCTTATGCTATACATGGCGTTCTTGAAGTAAATGTTTGCCCCAGGTTATGGATGTGGTCATGGAAGCATATTAGAAAACATAGGCAAAAAGTGAAGCAATATAAAGAACTGTATAAAAAAAAGTTAACAAGTAAGAAGCCACCTGGTGAACTTCTCGTGTCTTTGGAGGTTAGCATTTAAAATGAAATTGTTGAGTGTTTTATACTACATAGCTCCTTATTGGTCTTCAGTGACTGATACTCCCTACCTTTCATTCCAATTTTTATTGACCTTTTCATCTCTTTTACTTAGACTTTTTTGTGCTTCTGTTCTTAACTTCAGCTGAATAATACAAGATTTGTTGAAATTCTCCAGTGAGCTTTTGAAATTCGAGATTATTCTCAATCGGAAGGAATTTGGGTTCATGCAAATAGTATGATTATGTCATTTTTAACCTCAAAAGTCTAAATAGTGTTTGCTACATTGATTCCAACTTCTCTGTGTTGGTTTCAAAGCCTTTTATGTGTCACCACTACATTTTCCCTATGTTACAATCTGACCATGCACTAATTTAATGTTTCCTGTACTCTGTATATTTAATGCTCATTCTTTTAGCCACGCCTATGCTCATAAATGCTACCTGCCTTTATCTCTCTACCTACTCAATTCTACTCATCCCTGAAGTTCTACTTAAGTCTTAGTGCTTGCATGAATGTCTCTGAATTTTCTGCTTATACAGAGCCCTTTTTCTCTTAATTTTTGTGGTATCTCTAGTCTCTACCAGTAGTTTTACATTTAATTATCTATCTTGAGATATTATTTTTGTATTAATCTTGTCTTTTAGCATTATGACATATTTCAAGAGGGACTCTTTTACAAATTGATGAACTATAGCTTAGAGAGATTAAGGGGAGTTAGTCTCTTGAAGTTAATGTAAACATTCTGAATCCAGAATGAATTTCTAATTTATAGATTAGATTGACTTTTACTTTTATTTTCAATGTGGGAGACTTTCTGAAGACCTAGGGCTGTTAGGAATGCCTGGGCTTAGAGTCTTTGGGGGATGGGTTCAGGTTGTCTTAGTCTTGAATCATAACCTGAGTCCTCCAAGTCTGGATAGGAGAACCCTGAATAAGTTATTCTGAAATAATAATGGGTTGTAGTTACTTCTCTTGGGGGAAACATAGTTTGATCATGAAATTCTCAAAAGTAATTATGGGTATGTCAAGATAGCTGTGATGAAAGATTTAGCTAATCTCAGCTTATTTCAATAGCTATGACAACTATGAAAAGTGTTAAGTATTAAAAACAAGTTTTAAGTGTATCTGGGTCTACTTGAAATACAGGCATACTTCACTTTATTGTGCTTTGCAGACATTGTGTTTTTTACAAATTGAAGGTTTGTGGCAACACTGTGTCTAGCAAATCTGTCGGCACCATTTTTCCAATAGCATTTATTCCTGTCTATGTGTCACATTTTGGTAATTCCCACAATATTTGAAACTGTTTCATTATTATTATATCTGTTATGATGATCTATGATCAGTGATCTTTGCTGTTACTGTTGTAACTGTTTTGGGGTGCCACAAACTGCATCCATATAAGACAGCTGTTAAATTAAGTTTAGACTAAAGCTGCCTCCTTACATATTTTAAGTTTGGCCAAAAGGTTTCTTTGTACGCCATAAACTATAGCTTAAATGGAAGTATAAACAGACTCTAGTCTACTCTTGTGCCAATCACCAAGTTTTGGCCAATCACATGTGGCCAGTTGTTCAAACCGTGTTCAAATAAGGTGAACACTAAGCTATAACCAAACCAGCTGTTTCTGTACCTCACTTCCATTTTCTCTATGTCAGTTTCCTTTTTCTGTCCATAAATCTTCCACCGTGTGGCTACACCAGAGTCTCTGAGCCTCTTCTGGCTCTGGAGGCTGCCCAATTTGCAAATTGTTCATTGCTTAATTAAATCTTTTAAATGTACTTCGGCTGAAGTTTTTATTCTAACACAGCAAACTTAATAAATGTTGTGCGTGTTCTGACTGTTCTGCTGACTGGCTGTTTTCCTGACTCCCTCTGCTTGGGCCTCCTTATTCCATGAGATAAAATATTGAAATTAGGCCGATTAATAGCCCTACAAAGGCCTCTAAGTGTTCAAATATAAGGAAGAATCATACGTCTCTCACTTTAAATTGAAAGTTGGAAATAATTAAGCTTAGTGAGAAAGGCATGTTGAAAGCAGAGATAGGCCAAAAGCTAGGCTGCTTGTGCCCAATGGTTAGCTGAGTCCTGAAGGAAATTGAAAGTGCTATTCCAGGGAACACATGAATGATAAGAAAGTAAAACAGCCTGATTACTGATGTGGAGAGTGTTCTAGTGGTCTAGATAGATGAAATCAGCTACAGCATTCCTCTAAGCCTTATCCAGTGCAAGGCCCTAAACATATTCTCTTCAATACTATAAAGACTGAGAGAGGTGAGGAAGCTGCAGAAGAAAAGTTTGAAGATAGCAGAGATTGGTTCTTGAAGTTTAAGGGAAGAAGCTGTCTCTATAACAAAAGTATAAGGCAAAGAAGAAAGTGCTGATGGAGAAGCTGCAGCAAGTGATCCTGAAGATCTAGCTAAGATCATTGATGAAGGTGGCTATACTAAACAGATTTTCAGTGTAGATGTAACAGCCTTTTACTGAGAGAGGATGCCATCTGAACTCTCCTAGCTAGAGTGAAAAAGTTAATATCTGGCCTCAAAGCTTCAAAGGACAGGCTGACTCTCTTGCTAGATGCTGACGTAGCTAGTGATTTCAGGTTGAAGCCAGTGATTCTTTGCCATTCTGAAACTCTTAGGGCCCTTAAGAATATGCTAACTCTACTCTGGCTATGCTCTATACACGGAACAGCAAAGCCTGGATGACAACATATCTGTTTACAACATTTTAAACCCAAGCTCAGACCTACTGCTCAGTAAAAAAAGATTTTTTTCAAAATATTATTGCTAATAGACAATGCACCTAGTCACCAAAAGCTCTGATAGAGATATACAAAGAGATGAATGTTGTTTTCATGCCTGCTAACACCACATCTGTTCTGCCACCCATGGATTGAAGAGTAATTTTAACTTTCAAGTCTTATTATTTAAGAAGTACATTTTGTAAGATGATAGCTGCCTTATGAAGTAGGCAGCTATCATTCCTCTGATGGATCTGGGCAAAGTAAATTGAAAACCCTCTGGAAAGGATTTGCCATTCTATATGCCATTAAGAATATTTGTGAATCATGGGTGGAGGTCAAAATATGAACATTGACAGGTGTTTGGAAGTTGATTCCAACCCTCATGGAAGACCTTGAGAGGTTCAAGATTTCAGTGGAGAAAGTCACTGCAGATGTGGTGGAAATACGAAGAGAACTAGAAGTGGAGCCTGAACATGTGACTAAATTGCTACAATCTCATGATAAAACTTTAACCAATGAGGAGCTGCTTCTTATAGAAGAGCAAAGAAAGTGGTTTCTTGAGATGAAATATACTCCTGGTGAAGATGAGAACATTGTTGAAATGACAATTAGAAATTTACATAAAATTAGTTGATAAAGCAGCACTGCTGTTTGAGAGGATTGACTTCAATTTTGAAGGAAATTCTGTAAGTAAAATGCTATCAAACAGCGTTGTACGCTACAGATAAATCAGTTGTGAAAAGAAGAGTCAATTGATGTGGCAAACTTCAGTTAAGAGATTGCAATAGCCACCCCAACCTTCAGCAATCACCACCCTGATGAGTCAGCAGCTATCAACATCGAGGCAAGATCCTCCATCAGCAAAATATTACAACTCGTTGATGGCTCAGATGATTGTTAGCATTTTTTAGCAATGAAGTATTTTAAAATTAAGGTATTTATGTTGTTTTCTTAAGACAATGCCATTGCACCCTTAATAGACTATAATGTAGTAGGAACATAACTTTTATATGCACTGGAAAACCAAAACATTTGTCTGACACTTGCCATACTGTGGTGATCTGGAACTGAATCTGCAGTATCTCTGAGGTATGCCTGTATCTTAATGATAACATACAGGCTGTACACATAATATGAAGGATTTACGATTATATATCTTTGTATAGATTTTTTTTGAGACAGAGTCTTGCTTTGTCACTCAGGTTGGAGTGCAGTGGCACCATGACCCCTCAGACTTAAGCTGTCCTCTCATCTCAGCCTCTTAAGTAGCTCGGACTACAGGCATGTGCCACCATGCCTAGCTAATTTGTATATGTTTTGTAGAGGTTTTGCAGTGTTGCCCAGGCTGGTCTGGAACTCCTGAGTTCAAGTGATTCGCCTGCCTCAGCCTCCCAGAGTGTTGGGGTTACAGGCATGAGCCACTGTGCTTGGCCTTGTAATTATATTTTTAGTTGAAAATGTAACTAATATGTTTACCCTTATCTGTAGTTTAAACCCAAATAAAATCATTTTAAACAATGCATGTACATATTTTAATATGTGTTTATAACTTGAAGAGTTTGGAACTCTTTATGCAGAATATGTATTATTTCATTTTTCAAAAAATTACTCTCTAATTTACTAATTTCCATGCTGATATATGTTCAAGCATTGCTTCCCAGAATTTAACATATGTATTATATTGATGAATGTTCTGTTGTTTGCTTCCTATTATATCTTTTCTTTAGTGCAGCCATTTGATAGATTATGTGCTTAAGTTAATTATGTAAAGTTATTTTTGTAAAGTTAACACATTTTTGTTTATATTTTTCAGGAGTTGGAAAAAACCTTGGATGTCTTTAATATAACTATAGCTAGACAGACGGCAGAAGTTGAGGTAATTCTTGGCTTTTCAATTAGTAAAAATAATTCTGAATTCCATATAGATATGACAGATGTGATATTATTAATCTTATACTGTAACATATTGTTTCCAAAAAGTGGTTCAATTTGCTTTTTAGTATTATAAGAAAATTATTTAATATTTTTTGGCACATCCATTTAAATCAGACAGATTTCTATGGGAAAAAATCTTTCTAAATATTTGGGCTTTTCAAATATTCAGTTATGAAGGTAAAAGCCAATTTATTTTTTTTCAATCATCATTTCTTATAAGATGGTGGAAAAACTATGTGGTACTCCTAAATTCTTATGTTCGACTAATGTTGCAGTTTCTGTGTTCTGTTATTAATGTGTATATTGTTTACATTCATTTTGCTCAAGAGGATAAGTTCTCAGAATGTCTTGCTTATATTTGTTTCAGTTGCTAAATAAAGGATAATGTGTCATTTATTTGAAAATTTATTCATTTTAGGTAAAGAAAGCTGGATACAAAATTTACAAAGAAGGAGTAAAAGATCCAGAGGATAATAAAGGGTGGTTTAGCTGGCTATGGTCTTGGTCAGAACAAAATACTAATGAACAGCAACCAGATGTTCAACCTGAAAGTATGTCCATTTCATTTTACAGCATAGTTAATCACTGGGTGTCAAAATAAAGTTTTGCCATTTTTTGCCTAATTAAAGTAAATAGACATTGAAATATATTTATTTAATTATATATAAAGTTATTACAAATAAAACTATTAAAACATTGAAAATGTGTATTAGTTTAAAAATAAAAAATAATTTAAAAATCATGCTAGTGCTTACAAAAAGAGCTTTATGCCCAGAGATTTAGTGAATGCATATAGCACAGTAATAAATAAATAAAAATTCCAAAGTGTTCTCCATTGTAAATTTTTATTGAAGTTGTTTCTTGGAAAGATTTTTGATTTTTAACTAACAGCTTAAGAGTATAGCTTTGGAGGTTTAGAGACTTAGGTATATGTTTTAGATCTATCACTTATTAGCAGTGTGTCTCTGGCAAGTTATTTAAGTGCACTAAACTTCAGTTTTATCATCTATAACATGGGAGGAAATTACAATGTTAATACTACCTACTTTTTATACTAAATGTGTTGATTAGCACAGTGCTATTGTCTAATATAGTTAGCCGTTTTTGAGCTCTTGCTTAATACAAATATTATAAATTAATGTTGCTAAACTTACATATTTAGCAATTTATATTTTGGATAATTACTTGTAAAATTGCCAGCCCCATTCAAACATTCAGTGTTTATAATTTCTTAAGAGCGTTCAAGAAAGTAAATTTCACATTCTGTTTATTAAAGGCAGATACATTGTGTTAATTTTATTGTTTTTATTTAAGAACATAAAGCACTTCTTTCTGATTTGTAGCTCTTGAAGAAATGTTGACACCTGAAGAAAAAGCTTTACTCTATGAAGCAATTGGCTATAGTGAAACAGCAGTTGATCCAACTTTACTAAAAACAGTAAGATGTTTTCTTGCCTTATACCTTAGAATATATTTATTTATTTATTTGTTTAGAGACAGGGTCTCACTCTGTTGCCCAGGCTGGACTGCAGTGGTGTGATCTCTGCTGCCAGCCTTAACCTGGCCTCAAGCAATCCTCCCACCTCAGCCTCTCGAATAGCTGGAGCCACAGGCATGCACCCTCATGCTAGCTAATTTTTGTGGTTTTTTTTTTGTTTTTTTTTTTTGATAGAGATGGGGTTTCGCCATGTTGCTCAGGCTGGTTTTGAACTTCTGAGCTCAAGCAATCCGCCTGCCTCGACTTCCCAAAGTGCTGGGATTATAGGCATGAACCACTGCTCCTGACCTTATGCTTTGGAATTTAATGTTACATATGTCCATTTTTAATCCTTTCAAAAATATATGTTACTGACTTGTTCTGTGATCTTTTTTCTGGGTCTGTAATTGCATTTATTTTAATTTCTAAGGTAGGGATAAATATTGTCTCTTTTTTTGGGGTCAATGTGATGATTCTTGAAGAAATAAAATGTCCTTAAAATATTTGGTGGTTTTTGAAATGAATGTACTATAAGAATATTTGTTATGCTTATATATATATATATGTTTTCATTTTATTCTTCTGAATATACCTTAGTTTGAAGCCTTGAAGTTTTTTGTCCACTTGAAAAGTATGTCTATTGTTCTAAGAGAAAATCATCAAAAACCTGAGCTGGTAGATATTGTAATAGAAGAATTTAGCACCTTAATTGTGCAAAGACCAGGAGCACAAGCAATAAAGTAAGTATTAATTTATCTTTTTTTATCATATATGAAAAAACTTCACTGTGTTCTTAGACATTAGGTCACAATCTTAGTCTTTTGTAAAGAGCACTATAGTTTCATATATCCTTTTGTGGTTTCAGGAAAAAGGTTTTTTTTTTAATTGTTAAGATAATACATGTTCAATAGAAAACCACATTCCAGTGAAACATAGGGCATTAAAGAATAATACAAAAATGATCAGCAACTACACTACACAAAAAGAAACAGCATTAACAATGTGGTTTTTATCTGAGAGTTTTTAGTTTTATTTTTTTTAAAGTAGCTTTGAGATGTAATTCACATACCCTACAATTCATTTAAAGTGTGTGGTTCATTGATTTTTCACAACTATATTATATAGTAATTTCACATTGGTATATTTACGAAGCTGTACAACCACCAGCACTGTATTAGTCCATTTTCATGCTGTTAATGAAGACTTACCCAAGACTGGGAAGAAAAAGAGGTTTAATTGGACCAACAGCTCCACATGGCTGGGGAGGCCTCAGAATTGTCAGGGGAGGCGAAAGGCACCTCTTCCCTGGTGGCAGCAAGAGAAAATGAGGAAGATACAAAAGCGGAAACCCCTGCTAAAAACCATCAGATCTCATGAGACTTATTCACTACCATGAGAACAGTATGGGGAAGCCACCCCCATGATTCAAATTATCTCCCACCAGGTCCCTCCCACAACACGTGGGAATTATGGGAGTACAATTCAAGATGAGATTTGGGTCGGGACACAGAGCCAAACCTTATCAACTACTATCTAATTCTAGAACTTTATTTTATTTTATTTATTTTTTTTGAGACAGGGTTTCACTCTGTTGCCCAGGCTGGAGTATGGTGGTAGGGTCTTGGCTCACTGCAGTCTCTGCTTCCTGGGCTCAGGCTAACCTCCAGCTTCAGCCTCCTGAGTAGCCGTGACTACAGGCGCGAGCCACCAACACCTTGCTAATTTTTAGAATTTTTGTAGAGATGGGGTTTCACCATGTTGCCCAGGCTGGTCTGGAGCTTGTTGGCTCAAAGCAGTTCGCCAGCCTCAGCCTCCCGAAGTGCTGGAATTACAGGTGTGAGCCTGGCTCATTCGAGAATATGTTAACAACTCCCAAAGAAACCCTGTAATCATTAGCAGTCACTCCCAAGTGCCCCCTTACCCAGCCCCTGGCAACAACTAATTTACTTTCTATTTGAAAGGATTTGTCCATTTTGGACAGTTCATATGAATGTAGTCATACAATATCTGGTCTTTTCTGTTTGGCATTTTTCACTTAGCATGATGTTTTCAAGGTTCATCCTGTTGTAGCATGAATTAGTACATTCCTTTTTATTGCCTAGTAATCTCTATTATGGACGCATCACGTTTTGTTTATCCATTTAACTGTTGAGGATATTTAGGTTGTTCCTTCTTTTTGGCTCTTCTGAGTATTGCAGCTATGAGTATTCATGAGTAATATTTTGTTTGGAGGTGGGTTTTAATTTTCTTGGGTAGACACCTGGGGTGGAATTGCTGTCTCATATGCTAATACTATTTAACCTTTTGAGGAACTACCAGACTGTTTCCCAAAGCAGCCTCACCATTTTACATTTCCATGAACAGTATATGATGTTTCCAATTTCTTCATATCTTCATCAACACTTGTTATTATCTGTTCTTTTGATTACAGCCATTCTAGTGAGTATGAAATGGTATCTCACTGTGGTTTTGATTTGCATTTTCCTGATGGCTAAGGATTTTGAGCTTTTTTTCTTTGTGCTTATTGGCCATTTCACGTGCATATCTTCTTTGGAGAAATGTCTATTAGATTTTTTTTCCTATTTTATGTTGGGTTGTCTTTTTATTATCGATTTGCAAGAGTTCTTTATATATTCTTGATACAAATCTCTTATTAGATAAACAATTTTCAGTTATTTTCTCTCACTGTGTTTTCTTTTTATTTTTCTTAATGGTGAAGTCAAATTTATATTTTTTTTGCTACACATGCTTTTCATTATAACTCAGAAATCTTTGCCTACTCCAGTGGTACAAATATATACTCCTATATATTCTTATAAGAATTTTATGCTATTTCCTCTTATATGTAGGGTTAGAATCCATTTTGAGTTAATGTTAGTGTGTGGTGTGAGGTGGGGGATTCAGCTTCATTCTTTTTCATGAGATTATTCAGTTGTCCTAGCACCATTTGTTGAAAAAACTATTTTTTCCCATTGAATGATCTTGGCAGGCTTGTCAAAATTTATAAGTTGATCATAAATGTAAGGATTTCTAGACTCTTAATTCTAATCCCATTGTTCTATATGTCTAGCCTTATGCCAGTACCCTACTGTCTTAATTATGGTGGCTTTATAGTAGAACTTGTAATCAGGAAGTATGACTCTTCCAGTTTTGTTTTTTTGTTTTAGCTGTCCTGATTTCCTTAAACTTCTGTATAAATTTTAAGATTATGTTGTCCATTTATGCAAAAAAATAAGCTCAGATTTGATAAAGATTGTGTTGAATTTTGTGGATCAATTTTGGGTGTACTGAACAAATTATTCAGCACAAATTATTCAGCTACTTATCTAAACAATATTAAGTCTTCCAATCCATGCACATTGGATATCTTTTCATTTATTTAGATTTTTAAAATTTGAACAACGTTTTACAGTTTTCAGATACAGTACACCTCTTAGGTTAAATTTATTTGCAAGTATTTTATTGTTTTTGATGATATAAATGGAATTGTTTTCTTAATTTCATTTTGGATTATTATGTGTATAGAAATACAATTGAGTTTTGTATACTGCACTTGTACCCTGCAACCTTGATGAACTTGTTTCATTAGTTCAATGAGTTTTTTTAGTTGATTCCTTAGGATTTTTTATATACATGATCATATAATCTGCAAATATAGTTTTACTTCTTCCATTCCGATGTGGATGCCCTTTCTTTTGTTTTCTTGCCTAATTGCCCCGGCTAGAACCTCCAGTAGTATTTTAAATAGAGATTATGAGAGTGGGCTTCTCTTCTTGTTTCTGTTCTTCGAAGGAAGTGTTCATCCTTTCACCATTATGATGTTAGATGTGAGTTAGGTGTGGTCTGCATCATTTTACAATCCCACCAGCAATGTACGTGGATTCATATTTTTTCCATATCATTCCCAACACTTGTTATTTTGTTTTTTTATTTTAAATTATAGCCATCCTTATGGGTGTTTAGTATCATATTGTGGTTTTGATTTGAATTCCCTTAATGACTAATGATGTTCAGCATCTTTTCATGTGGATATTGGCCCTTTGTATAAGTTCATTGGGTCTTTTTTTTAATTGAGTTATTTTTCATTTGTTGTTGAGGTGTAAGAATTCTTTTGTATTCTGGATACTAAACTGTCACCGGTACATGATTTGCAAATATTTCCTTCTATTCTTTATTTTGTGATTTCACTTCATTGATACTGTCCTTTGGTGTACGGAAGTTTTTAATTTTGAAGCTCACTTCATCCGGTCTTATATTTTGTTGTTCATGCTTTTGATGTCTTATCTCAGAAGGTTCACCTAAGCCAAGGTTGTGAACGTCTACTCCAGTATTTTCTTCTAAGAGTTTTATACTTCTGTCGCTTACATATACGTTTATGACCTGTATTGAGTTAATTTTTGTAAATGGCATAAGGAATTGGTACAGCTCATTTCATTTGCATGTGGATATCCCGGTGTCCCCTCACACTTGTTGAAGACACTATTCTTTCCTCAATGAACACTCCTGGTACCATTGTTGAAAATCAATTAGCCATAGATGTATGTATGGCTTTATTTTTGGACTCTCAATTCTATCTCATTTTTATTCTAGACTTTCACTGTGATTATCATTATACCAATATCGTACTGTTTTGATTACTGCAGATTTTTAGTAAGTTTTGAAATTGGGAAGTGTCTTCCCTATTTTGTTCTGCTCTTTCAAGAATGTTTTAGCTGTTCAAGGGTTGCTTACAAGACCTTATGAATTTGAGGATTCACTTTTCCATTTCTGGAAAGTGTCTCTTTGAAATTTGATAGGGATTGCATTCAGTATGTAGATTGCTTTTGGTAGTATTGCCATAATAACAATATTAAGTCTTCTGTGAACATGGGATATCTTTCCATTTAAATAAATGCTAAATAGATGCTTTTTCTGTTTTTATGAAGAGTTTCAGAAGGATTGTTATTAATCCTTCTTTAAATATTTTGTAGAATTCACTAGTGAAGCCATTTGGTCCTTGTATTAGTCTGTTCTTATGCTCCTAATAAAGAGATACCTGAGACTGGGTAATTTATAAAGGAGAGAGGTTTAATTGACTCATAGTTCGGTATGGCTGGGGTGGCCTCACAATCATGGCAGAAAGCAAATGAGGAGCAAAGTCATATCTTATATGGAGGCAGGCAAGAGAGAGCTTGTGCAGGGGAGCTCCCTTTATAAAACCATCAGACCTCATGAGACTTATTCACTATCATGAGAACAGCACTGGAAAAACCTACCCTCTTGATCCAGTTACCTCCCATCAGGTCTCTCCCACGACATGGGGGAATTATGGGAGCTACAATTCAAGATGAGATTTGGGTGGGGACACAGCCAAACCATATCAGCTGAATTCTTCTTTGTTGAGAGTTTTTGGTTACTGATTTACTCCTTACTAGTTATAGGTTTTACTATAAGTAAGTTTAAAAGGTTATAGTAAGTTTTACTATACTAAAGTTTATAGTAAAGTTTTACTGATAGTTTATAGGTTTATAAGTAGGATCTGTAGGTTACAGTAAAGTTTACTATAGGTTTTTAAGGTTATAGAAAAGTTTTACTTCCTATTAGTTATCTGATTTTCTATTTCTTCTCGAGGCAGTTTTTGTAATTTATATATTTCTAGGAATTTGTTCATTTATCTATTTTGTTGGTACTGTTTTTTGCAGTACTCTTTTGTAGTACTTTTTATTCCTCTATGGTGTGTCATAATGCCTCCACTTTGATTTCTAGTTATAGATATTTGCATCTTTAGTGTTTTTTTTCTTATTTTAGGTAAAGGTTTGTTAAATATGTTAACCTTTTCAAAGTGGCAACTTTGATTTTTTTTCATTCTCTCTGGTGTTTTTGTTTTCTGTATTTCATTTGTCTCCACTCTGACATGTATTATTTTATTCATACTGTGAGCTTTGGGTTTAATTTGCTCTTCTCTTTTTAGTTCTTTAAAGTGTAAAGTGAGGTTATTGATTTGATAATCTTTCTTTTTTAATGTAGGCATTTGCAAACAAAAATTTCCCTGTGAGAACTGCTTTGGATACATCCTGTATGTTTTGTAATATTGTGTTTGATTCGCATCCATTTCAACGTATTTTCTGATTTCTCTTGTGGTTTTTTTTTTAACCTGTTGCTTGTTTAAGAGTGTTTAATTTCCACATAATTGTGAATTTTTCAGTTTTTCTTCTATTGAGTTCTAATTTGATTCCATTGTGGTTGGAGAAGATGCTTGGTGTATTATTAAACTTGTTGAGATTTGCTTTGTGACCTAACATTTGGTCTATCCTGGAGAATGTTCCATGTGCTTGCACTTGAGAAGAATGTATTTTGCTGTTGTTGGGTAGAGTAGTCCATATTTGTCTGTTACATGTAGTTGGTTTATAATGTTGTTTAGGTTCTCTGTTACTTTATTGTTCCTCTGCCTAAATATTCCTCATTTAATGGAAGTGGGAGATTGAAATTTCTAAGTGTTATTGTGAGCTATTTCTCCCTTTAATTCTGTCAAGGTGTGATTCATATATTTTGAGGACTTTGGTGTATAAATGTTTATAATTGTTGTATCTTTGATGAATTGAGCCTTTTAATCAAACTATAATGACCTTTTCTTCTTGTCACAGTTTTCTATTGAAAGATATTTAAGTTAATTAATTAATTATTAATTTAGATACAGGGTCTTGCTTTGCCACCCAGGCTTGAGTGCAGTGGTGTAGTTATAGCCTCACTGCAGCCTTGAACTCCTGGGCTCAAGTGATCTTCCCACCACAGCCTCCTGAGTAGCTGGAATTAAAGGTGTGAGCCACCATACCTGGCTAAAGATTATTTTATATGTTAGTATAACCACCCAGCTCTCTCTTGGTTATGAGTTGCATGCAGTATATTTTTTCATCCTTTCACTTTCAACCCATATGTGTCTTTGGATGTAAAATGAGTCTCTTTTAGGCAGTATGCCTATGGTCCCTGACTTAGGCTAAGTATATTAAATACATTTTTGACTTGGAATATTTTCGATGGGTTTATTGGGAAATAATTAGTCATAAGTTGAGGAGCATCTGTATTGTTGTATCATGTTTTTTTCATCCATTCTGCCAGTCTCTATCTTTCCTTTGATGAGTTTAATTTCATTTACATTTAACATGTTTACTGGTAGGCAAGAAGTTCTGCCATTTTGCTATTTGTTTATTGTATGTCTTATACCTTCTGTACCCTCAGTTCCTCAGTACTGTCTTCTTAGTGTTTGTTAATTTTTTGGGGGATATATTTTTATTTCTTCCTCATTTCTTTTTCCAAACATATTTTAGTCATTTTGTTGAGGGCTACTATATAGGGATTACAATTAACAGTCCAAATTTAAGACAGTCAAATTTGAATTGACACTAACTTAACTTTAATAGTGTATAAAAACTCTACTCTTATGCAGCTCCATTCTTCATCTTTACGTTATCATTTTCACAAATTACTGCTTTACATACTTGTGTTCATTAGTCTAGGTTTATATTTGTTTTTATGTGTTTGTCTTTAAATCATAGAGGAATTAAAAAGAGGAGTTAAAAACCAAAAATGCAATATTACTGGCTTTCTTATTTGCTTATGTAGTTACAATTACAACAGTTCTTTATTTATTTGTATGGCTGCAAATTACTATCTAATATCCTGTCATTGCAGTCTTTAGGACTTCCTTTAACCTTTCTTGTAGGGCAGGTCTACTAATGACAGACAGACTCAGTTTTTGTTCATCTGGAAATGTGTTCATTTTTCCTTCATTTTAGAAGGATAGTTTTGTCATATATAGATTTCTTGGTTGACATTTTTTTTCATTTAGTGCTTTAAGTACATGATCTTGCTGCCTTTTGGACTGCATGGTTTCTGAGGAGAAATTAGCTGTTAATCTATTACATATCTTGTTATGTGATGAGTTGCTTCTCTCTTGCTGCTTTCAAGATTTTCCTTGTTTTAGCTTTTGACAGTTGGATTATAATATGTTGCTGTGTGAGTCTCTGAGTTTATCCTAATTGGAGGTCTTTGAGCTTCTTGGATGTATAAATTTGTGTTCTTTATCAAATTTGAGAAGTTTTTGGCCATTATTTCTCCCAGTATTTTTAATGTCTTTTTCTTTTTCTCATGTCCTTCGGAGAGTCCCGTAGTGCATATGTTGTTCCACTTGATGGTCTCCCACTTTAGGCACTGTTCATTGTTCTTCATTATTCTTTATGCTCCACAGACTCAATAATTTCAGTTGTCCTGTATTCAAGTTTGATGATTCTTTCTTTGGGCTGCTTAGATCCTCTGTGAAACCTCTCTGCAGATGGTTCCCAAATCATGATTGTTCAGCTTATGATTTTTTTGATTTTAGAATGGTGCGAAAGTGATCCATATTTAGTAGAAATCTTACTTTGAGTATCCATACAACCTTTGTTTTTCACTTTTCAGTACAGTACTGAATAAATTACATAAGCTATTTAACATTTTATTGTAAAATAGGCCTTGTGTTAGATGATTTTTCCCAACGTAGACTAATATAACTATTCTGAGTACATTTAGGGTAGGCTAGGCTAGGCTATGATGCTTGGTAGGCTAGGTGTGTCAAATGCATTTTAAACTTATGACATATTCAACTTACAATGATTTTATTGGGACATAACCCCATTATAAGTCAAGGAACATCTGTAGTGAAGTTTTCATATTGGCTGTTGTACTTTTCACCTTCAAAATTTCTGTTTGGTTCTTTTTAATAATTTCTGTCGATTTATATTCTGTGCTCAAATGTTATTTTCCTGGTTTTCTTTAGTCTTTGAGTGTAAGCTTATTTAACATGATGGCTTAGTGAACATAATGCTAGTCTTCCCTTTTCTGTGTAAGCTTTGTACATTTTTGTTTAAAACTTGATGTTTTGAGTGGTATAATGTGGTAACTGTGGAAATTAGATGTCCCCCCTCTCCATGGTTAGTTGTTGTTGATTGTTGAAGGATGTAGTTTTCCATTTGTTTACCTACTGTAGTGGGTAGAATTGTATCATCCAAAACATTGTCAATTTCTAATTCCCAGTACCTGCAAATATAGCCTTATTTGGAAATAGCCTTTGCAGATGTAATCAAGTTAAAATGAGTTCATGCTGTATTAGTGTTTGCTCTAATTGAATGATGTGTGCTCTTCAAAGGAAAGAGAAATTTGAACACAGACTCAGAAAATAAGACAGACTAGAGAAGACAATTTGCAGACAGACATAAAGAGGAGAATGCCATGTGACGATATCTTCTTAGCTGCGCCCATATTAATGTAGATTTTCTGTAACGTGGTGTGGGGATTAGAGGTGGGAAATGATCATAGCTCAGATGCCACAGGCTCTCCCTGTTCTTATCAAGTTTTAGTAGATTTTTTTGTTTGTTTTGAGATGGAATGCCACTCTGTCGCCAGGCTGGAGTGCAGTGGCACAATCTCAGCTCACTCCACCTCCTGAGTTCCAGAGATTCTCCTGCCTCAGGCTCCCGAGTAGCTGGGATTACAGGCATGTACCACCACACCCAGCTAATTTTTGTATTTTTAGTAAAGACAGAGTTTCACCATGTTGGCCAGGATGGTCTCGATCTCTTGACCTCGTGATCCGCCTGCCTCAGCCTCCCAAAGTGCTGGGATTACAGGCGTGAGCCACCGAGCCCAGCCTAGATTTTTTTGAATAAAAGTTTTTCTGTTTGCTGTATGCCCTTAGATTGATTTCCAGAGATTTTATAATTTTCACCAGTTCTTTCCCTGTTTGGTTTGCTGGGGAGAAGAGTTGCTGAGCTCCTCACATAGTCATTCTCGAAGTCCTGCCTCATCCTTGGTTTTTAAATGTTTATTAAATTGTTTTATTTTTTTGAGACAGAGTCTCACTCTGTCACCCAAGCTGGAGGGCAGTGGCATGATCTCGGCTCACTGCAACCTCCACCTCCCTGGTTCAAGCGATTTTCCTGCCTCAGCCTCCCGAGTAGCTGGGACTACAGGCTCATGCCCCCACACCTGGCTAACTTTTGTATTTTTAGTTGAGACAGGGTTTCACCACGTTGGCCAGTTTGGTCTCGAACTCTTGACCTCAAGTTATCCACCTGTCTTGACCTCCCAAAATGCTGGGATTACGGGTGTGAGCCACATGTCTGGCCTTTAAATGTTTATTTTTATTTTTAGAAGAAAACATGTTTATAGACTTGTGTTAAATATGCAAAACTTTTCAGTTTTACATTAAGCATTGTAGATTTACTGTCATTTTAATTTTAGCTTATCATAACTTTTTTACATATAAGTCAACACAAATAGGATTCTTTGTGAATTAATCTATGTCAATTTAGAGGAATCATTGTATGTCTTCTTTGATGGGAATGGACTGGAGTCAGAAATGCAAAGTGAAGTTGTCTTCATTAATTTTTTAAATCATTTTCAATTTTTAAAATCCTTCACAATTTTACTGATCGCTGACTTTTTTCTTTTTTTTTTAATGCAGATTTGAAACTAAAATAGATTCATTTCATATTACTGGCTTACCAGATAATTCAGAAAAACCCCGCCTCCTGTCTTCATTGGATGATGCAATGTCACTTTTCCAAATTACATTTGAGATAAATCCATTAGATGAAACTGTTTCTCAGAGGTGTATCATAGAAGCTGAACCTTTAGAAATCATATATGATGCAGTAAGCATTTTTTTAAATTACTAAGTTTTAATATAATTTAGTTTGCTTTGAGTTTGTGTTAATGATGTTTATTTTAACAGAGGACAGTGAATAGTATAGTGGAATTCTTCAGACCTCCAAAAGAGGTACATCTAGCACAGCTCACTGCAGCAACTTTGACAAAACTGGAAGAATTTCGCAGTAAGACAGCAACAGGTAAATGCCAATATTAATGTTGGTGAATTAAATACTGTATCCTATATTAAACTTTTATTTATGGTAGAATGTTTTTAGTAAAGTTTATTTTAAATTTATTATATTTCTAGACTGGTTTTAGTTTAACAGAAACTAATTTAGTACTTTTATGTTTAAAGGCAGATAAAACCATAATCATTTTTTACACTCAGAAAGTTCATACCTAGTAACCACATTTAAGTTAGTTGCAAAATTTTGCTTAGGATACTTGGACCTCTATTTATGACAAAAACTGGCCTCTCGTTTTCCTTTCTTAGAATGCGTTCCAGATTTTGATATATCAGCCTCAGGGAAAAAAGTTCTATCCTTTTTTATTCTCTAGGAGAGTTTGAATAAGGTCGGGTACGATTTCTTCCTTAAATATTTGGCAGAGCTTAATGGTAAAACCACTTGGTTTTGGAGATTTCTTTGTGGGAAAGTTTAAGATTACAGATTGAACTTTTTAATTAAATAGTTGACCATAGAGATTATCTGTATGATTTTAATGCTTTGTAATTGGTTGGGACTTGTTTTCTAGCTCAATGTATGATATTAAAAAAAATGTTCCTCATATGCTGAAAAGGCTGTCTTTTCATATCTATACCTATTCATTAGGTATGGATTGTTAATCCTTTACTTCAAATTTTTTGTATCCTTACTGGATTTTTTTTTTCCCCTTTTGTCACCTTGTTCTAACAGTTATTAAGAGAAATACATGAAAAATGCCTCATTATCAATGTAGATTTTTCTATTTCTAATAGATCTGTCAGTTTGTTTAAAAAAATAAATTTGGCTGGGCGCGGTGGCTCACACCTTTGATCCCAGCACTTTGGGAAGCCGAGGCGGGTGGATCACCTGAGGTCAGAGTTTGAGACCAGCCTGGCCAACATGGCAAAATCATAATAGAGACGGGGTTTTAATAGAGACCAGGTTTCACCAGCCTGGCGACAGAGCAACACCCTGCCACACACACCAAAAGTAATAATAATAAAAATTAAAAAAAAAATAAATTTTAAGACTGTCATTAAGTACATGCAGGAGTAAATTATTTTTCCTCCTATAAACCACATCTTTAATGCTTTAATTTTTTTCCCTTTGTACTTTTTTATTTTATTTTATTTTTGATCTGATGTCAGTATGAAGTACAAAGTTTCTTTTCGTTAGAATTTACCTGGTATATATTTTTTCTTATATTTTTACTTTTTCCCTGTGTTTTCAGATGTGTCATGTCAACAACATGTAATAGGATTTTTTCCAATCTAGATTTATGGTCCTTATTTTTTATTTATATCTACTTTTTGCATTTAATTAATTTATTTAGGCTTATGTCTAACATCCTATTTTGTGCTTTTGAATTTGGTTTTCCTTGTTTTATTTTTCTTGCCTTCCTTTGGATAAATTCTAGGATACCTTTCTTCCCCCTTCCCTACAATCTACTATTGGGAAGTTAAATATTCTCTATCTCTTTTTATTTTATAAATTACAGTATACATTTTTGTAAAAATATAAATTTAATGAAAAATTTTATATTCTCCTAGTCATTATATGGACTTTAGTACTCTTGAACTTTATATACCATCCCCATATACTATTTTTTTTACTTAAAAATACTTTATTGTACTGTATGTATATAGTTCATGGTAGTTTACAATTACTTGTGCATTTACTACCTTCTTTGCTCTTCATTTCTCTTATAGCTTACACTTTTTATTTGATTTTATTTTCTTTCTGTTGGAAGTTCATTTTTTTTTTTTTTCAACCTCTGCCTCCTGGGTTCAAGCGATTCTCCTGCCTCAGCCTCCCGAGTAGCTGGGATTACAGGCACCCACCACAACGCCTGGCTAATTTTTAAAAAAATTTTTAATAGAGATGGGGTTTCACTGTGTTGGCCAGGCTGGTCTCAAACTCCTGACCTCAGATGATCTATCCTCCTCGACCTCCCAAAGTGCTGGGATTACAGGTGTGAGCCATCGGACCTGGCCTGGAAGTTCATTTGTAAACTTCCCTTGTAAATATTTTCTCTTGTAAGAATCTGCTGGTGGCAAATCTGTGGTTTGTTTTTGTTATGTTTTTGTTTTTTTTTTTTTTTTTTGACAGTGTCTTGTTCTGTCAGCCAGGCTGGGGGTGCGGTGGCATAATCTCGGCTCGCTGCAACCTCTGCCTCCCAGGTTCAAGCAATTTTTTTGCCTCAGCCTTCTGAGTAGCTTGGATTACAGGGGTATGCCACCACACCCAGCTAATTTTTGTATTTTTACTAGAGATGGGGTTTCACCATGTTGGCCAGGCTGGTCTCGAACTTCTGTCCTCAGGTGATCCATCTCAGCCTCCCAAAGTGCTGGGATTACAGGCATGAGCCACCATGCCCGTTGCATATTAGCTTGACATGATACTACTGTATGTAGAATTAAAGGTTGATGTTCATTTTCTCCTTAACACATTGAAGAGGGCATTCTGTCTTTAGGTTTTCATTACTGATGTTGAGAATTCAGGTGTCAGTGTGTCTGCTGTTTTTTTTTGTACATTATCTACCCTTTTCTTTTACATATAAGAACTTTTTATCTTTTGTATTCTGTTGTCGCAATTTGGTGTATCCAGCTATAGATTTGCTTTATATATCCTTTTTGGGATTCACTGGATTTCATGAATCTGAGTACTGGGATTTTTAATGAGTTCTAGAAAATCTATCTGGAAAATTCTTAGCCACTAACTCTTTACATATATTCTCTTCTGGAATTCTGGCTAAATGAATTTTAGCCTTTCTTACTCCATCTTCCATTCTCCTTAACTTCTGTATCCTGCTTTCTTTCCATCTGTTTCTTCTCTGTGTTACATGCTGGGTAATTTCTTCTAATTTATCTTCTCATTTACTGAGTCCTTCTGTAGCCATGCCCAATGTGGTATCAAATCTCTTCATTAAGTTTAATTTCAGTGATTATATTTTTCCCTTTAGGAATTCTGTTTTGTTAAATTTAAAATCTGTGTTGTCATTCTTTTTTGGTTTTGTATTTCCCACGGATATCTTTACACTTGTCTTTTTTTTTTTTTTCAGAGATCATAAGTACAGTATTTTATATTCTGTCTCACCAGTTAATTCTCTCTCTTCAGATAGTCCGTTATATGAAGACTTTTGTGGTTCTGTTTTTCCTATCTTCTGTCTTTTGTTTTTGTTGGTACTTACTTATGGTAACGTGTGTCTTTTTATGCTTGGTAATTTTTAATTGTAATCTGCTCATTTTCCTTAGAATATTATTTGGGAGAATTCTCTGAAGCCTGAGATAAGTGGGCCTTCATTTCGGGAAGATTTATATTTCTTCTGCCAGGTACCTTGGGTATGTTGGTGGCATAGCTAAATTAATTGCTTAAGATGTTCTGGACTGCCAAAGAATTCTTGGGCTACATACCTCCTTGAGGAATATATCATACTTATCATTCACAGAGGTATTACCTTTTTCTCCTAATTTTTCTCACAGCCTTTGTTTGCATCCCCCTGTGAGAGTGTTTTAGGGAGAGGAAGGTTTTACTTCACAATTATTCTTTCTTTGAGTGAGTGTCCTTTAAGATTTCAGATTTGTGAGGAGAACTCTTGCAAGACTCTCCATCTTTGTCTTCTGTTTCCTGTGTTCTGAGAGGCTGAAATTATCTTTGGAGTAAGATCCAATTTCATTGTCAAAGTTTTAAAATTCTGGTTTTGTTAAGCCTGGGAGTACACTTCTAATTGAACTCAGAATTTGTCCCATTTTGGTGGCTATAAAACCTGGCATGAAATTATGATTTTTCTCTTGCCATTTTTATTATATTCACTTTATCCTTATTGGTAGATATGAGATATACTATCTGTCATTTTCCTTTGTTCTCTTTCCTAAGATAAAATAATTTAGATGAGTCAAGAAATCACATTTTGATAAGACCTTCAGGAAATGTCTAACTAGTTGTCTTTTGTTAGGCAATATTATAATAGGCATCTTGATTCATTATTAATTTTTCTTTTTTCACAGAAAAGTGTGTGTTATATTCTTCAAAATATATGTGTCTTCTCTGGCTTTTGCTCATTTTTCTCTACTATTTTTATATCTGAATAGTTTTAAATTAGATTGTACATGAATACCTTACCTCTAGAAACTGTAGGGTTTGCATTTATTCCTGTATTCTTTGTTAAAATCTGGGAATTCCATTCCTAGTTTACATTCTGTATATTGGTATATTATATACTGAGTAGAAACCAAAGCATAAGATCAGGCTACTTCTAGTCAGTTTTTCTTGATTGATAGAAACTCATAGTTAAATACAAATTAATCATATTGGAAATCCACTATAGACATTCAGATTTTGAGATTTTTTATCTCTAAGATTTATTTACCTCAACTTTTATTACTTAAAAAAATTACCAAACAGTAAATATCCACAATATAAAGTTCACATGTTACAGAAATATGTTTTAGAAAGTGGAAGTCTTCAGTATTTTACCTTCTGTACATAATAACCTTTAAAATTTGAAGTCTGTTCTTCCAACTTTGTTTTCTTTTCTATACCAATAGTATAAAAATGCTAATTCTATGAAAAAAAATGGAAAGCTTCTATGATAGGTTTTTGCACTTAATTTTTAAAATTTAATATATTTTGGATTTTTTCTAGAAAGTTAAAATTTACCTATTTGTGAAGAGACTCATATATATTATAATGATTCTGGTTACTTAGGTTCTTTCCTTCCCTCATATTCCTCCTTTCTTCCTTTTATTTTGTTACATTCTCCTCTATTAACATCCTGGTTTCTTTCTTGTATTATAGGTTGAGTATCCCTTAGCAGAAATGTTTGGGATCAGAAATGTTTCAGATTTCAGATTTCTTCGGATATTGGAATATTTGCATTTTACTTACTTGTTGAACATCCTTAATTGGGAAATAGGAAATTCAGAGTATTCTAAGCAGCATTTTCTGTGAATATGATCTTTGAGGATCATGTTATTGTGGTGCTGAAAAAGTTTTAGATCCTGGAGCGTTTTGATTTTGGATTTTCAGATTAGGGATGCTCAGCTTGTTATTTTCCCCTTCCTTTCTAAGAACTCAAGGTCTTTCAGGTCTTTTTGTTGTCAACTATGGCATGAGCTTACAGAGCCTGCTCAACTAGTTATCCTTTGTCTCTGGCAGGAAAACAGATGTGGTCGTTTGCTAAAACTCTTCTTTCAGAGTACAAGGTTCTCTGATAGGATCATAGTGAATCATTTTCTTTCAGTTATTTCATTTATTTACTCATTTAAATATATATCAAGAGCCTAATCTATATGTCAGACACTATGCTAGGTTTTAGGGAACATAGCAATGATCAGAATGGATGTAGTTCTTGCCTATTGATAGATGTTATACTCTTATGGATAGGACAAATATAAAACTAAGAGCAATATACTGGAAATTTTTGATTAATGCTGTATGGGTCCAATCAGGAAAGAAAAACCACACAGTAATTTTGATAGGTATGTTTAATGTAATGAATTATTAACTGTAATGAGGGACTGTTTTGTTACTCCAAAGAGTAACTTTAAAGAATGTAACAAGAGGCCAAGCGCCATGGCTCATAGTTGTAATCCCAGAGGTTTTGGTGGCCGAGCGGGGAGGAACACTTGAGGTCAGGAGTTGGAGACCAGCCTGGACAACATAGTGAGACCTTGTCTCTACAAAAAATTACAAAATTAGTCAGGTTTGGTGACGTGTACCTATCGTCCCAGCTACTTGGCAGGCTGAGACTGGAGGATTGCTTGAGCCCGGGAGGTCAGGGCTGCAGTGAGCTATGATAGCAACTCCTACATTCCAGCCTAAGTGACAGAGTGAGATGCTGTCTCCAAAAATACATATATTTAAGAAGAGTAGTTATGAGGAATATAGAACTGAGACAGCGTTCCCTAGGAAGAGGTCTCTCTCTTCCCTGAGAATTGAAATCCACACTTTGTTGGGAGAAGGAACCTCTGTGAGTCATTGAATGGTAGAAAAGCCATTCTTGTGTCTTTCTGGTAATCTGCTCTCTAAAACTTTCTGGAAATCCATCCTCTGAGGTAAAAAGGAAAAATATTCATGGGGCAATGTCTCACTGCCCTCGTTCTGCTGTGAAACCACCTGAGGAGGGTTCTAGGGGCAGAATACTGGCTTTTGAGTGCTGTTATGTGCACATTATGCATTGTGTTGGAGAAAGGCACAGTGTTACAGGATATTGCTAAATGAGTGTACTGGAACCAGGAAGCCAGCTCTTTTCTCCTGCAGTGTCTCTCCTGTGTTCTTTATCTATTTCAGTGCTAGTTGGCAAAGGAAAATCATTTAAGCAACTCAGATCTACTTTCACAGAGCAGACAAGTGGGTGAATTTGGAGCTGAGTGAGGAAACAATTCTATAATCAGCCCAAATGCTGTGAAAGAAATGAGAATGGATAGATGCCCCAATTTAGTCTTGGTGGTAGTGTCAGAGAAGATCTCTGAAAATTCAACATTAAGATCAGATATATATGTAGGATCCACACTGCTAAAGGGTATAAGAAAGAGCCTTCAAGGTGATGGTCCACTGTGAAGAGCTTAACTTAGCAAACAATTGGGTGAATTTGGAAGTTGTAGAAAGCTGAATTGGTTCTAATGTAATGAGTGAGGGGAGAGTGGAGGGATGTTAAAGATGCATACTCTTGATTATGCAAATATGAAAGTCATATTAAGCAGTTAGGATTTTGTTGTAAGTGCAATGGAAAATAGGGGAGAGACCCAATCAACCTAAGGTCAAAATAAAATACTCCCCACTCCCTTCCATTAAAAACAACTTAGAGAAATCATTGTGTCCTGGTATCAAGAAAGGCTTTGTTGAAACTAAGGCTTGTGGTAGGACTTCCAGGGAGTACCAGAACTTAGATTTGTAGAAGCCAGAATACTTGAGGAATCCTTAGACTAGAGATGGAAATGAAGATAGAGAAATGCTTAACAGATAGTCTCTGGAGAATCTTGAATGTCAGATTGACCCTTCTGGATGCTTCTTGTTACTTTAGTAAAATCATGCCATCTGTGTTTGAATCCAAATCATTTGGGGAAAAAGAATGAATAACTGTTTGAGTCAATTCTGCTCTTAAGTTTCAGGCTAATTGGATGGTCTTCAGAATTTTTGATGATCTGTCAGTCTGTTTTCAAACCTCTATCTCACCTCACCTTCCATCCTCATTTTAAGAGATTTCACTTGAATTTGCTTCTTACAGGCTATGGGAAATGCCAGGGTTTTTTCTTCCTCTCTCTACTAGAGTCTTGCTTGGGCTACCTGTGCAAGGCCGTTGGAATCCCTTAAAGATGACACAGTTTTGATAACAGTTTCTCATATTTCAAGGAAGAGCTGTCCCAGATGTAATTTATTAGTGTTATTTTTATAAAGACTACTGGAGGCAGCGTAATTTGTGAAGAAAAGAGGTTTATTTGTTTCATGGTTCTACAGGCTGTACAAGAAGCATGACTCCAGCATCTGCTTTTGGTGAGGGTTTCAGAATGCTTCCACTCATGGCAGAAAGAGTTGGGGAGCCCACATGTGCAGAGATTACATGGCAAGAGAAAGGAAGGAGGTGCCAGGCTCTTTTAAACAACAAGCTCTAACTAAAAGAGCGAGAACTCACTCATTACCATGAGGACAACATCAAGCCATTTGTGAGGACTCTGCCCCCATGACCCAGACAGGTCTTATTAGGGTCCCACCTCCAGCATTAAAAATCAGGTGTCAGCATGAGTTTTGGAGGGCTAAAATCCCAAACTGTAGCACAGGCTTAGGTTATTTATTTTCTATTTTAATTTAAATAGATATTTAAAACAGAAGGTATTTTAATTACTTTTAATTTATTCATTTTCTTTCTGTTGGCTTGTATATCAAGCTGATTATGTGTTGGCACTTGACACTTGCTCAATGTCTGCTTTTAAGCTTTATAATTGTATATGTATTTTATTTGTAATTTTAAGTACATTAAAATTGTTGACATATTCTTTAATTTGAACATGTATTCTTTAATAATAAATTCTTAACTTTAAAGGTTATATTCAAATATACTGACCTGCCTACATTTTGTGTGTGTGTGTGTGTGTGAAAAAATGTGCCTTTTTGTTTGAGTGTCAGATCTTTTTAAACTTTTTAAGTCAAATATCTTTCATTTACTCTAACTGATTTGATGGCTGCTCATATAATTTTTTCTTTAAGAAAGGGTTCACATCTCATAGAAAATAATTTGTTTAGATTTAAAAGCTGATGCTGATACTGGACTTAGGGACATAAAATAGATGAATTTGGTATACTAATCACATGCAAGTGAATGAATTAAATTTATTAGACTAAAAAACTCCAAGTGAATGAAGGACCTAGGGAATGGAAAACTCTGGTTTGTTGCCTTTTCTGGTTTGCATATGATTTTATTGAAGATGATTTGATAATCCAGGATTTTTTATATTCTCAGAATAATATTAAGATCAAGTGTTATTGTTCAGTATGGTAAATGTAGCTTATGAAGTTTATGAATTGAGAAGTATCTATGTAGATTCTAAGAGTTGTTGTGAGTAAATATTTTATGCCACTGAAACTTTTTTTTTGGTCTGTATCTTCCCAATTTTACCCAAATTGAGTTTATAGGTTAAAAATTTTTTTTGGAAGAATCACTCCAATTTTGTACTCAGCTATATTTAAATAGGAGTACATGCATTGGCAGGTATTTTAAATTTTATATTGGAAGTATTTTGCTGAGGTCATTTTAAAATTAATACTAATTTTACATTAAGATTGTTTTATCAGTTCATATATTTAGTGATTCTGTATTTCTCGAGTAATTTGTGAAAAGTATTCATAGAAAAGATTTACATTTTTCCAGGTCTACTGTATATTATTGAAACACAGAAAGTTCTTGATCTCAAAATTAATTTGAAGGCTTCATATATTATTGTCCCACAAGATGGAATTTTTAGTCCTACATCAAATCTGCTTCTTTTGGACCTTGGTCATCTAAAGGTATATACTAATAATATTTGATTTATGATACAGCATTTGGGGTGTTTCTTTGTTTTAAATGTATTTTGTTTTTTAAACAGTTTGATTTATTGCTTTTTTTCCTAGATTTGTGGTAGATAAGTAAGATTTGAGAAATCTCCCTTTCTGTTAAATAAAGTGAAGTCTCAATTAGGTAGTTTTCCTACACTTATGAAAGCAAAATGACCAATTAAACTCTGCAGGGCAGGTTTGAATCTAAGCTTGATTGACTGATTGATTGATTGATTGATTGACTGATTGATTTGAGACAGAGTCTCACTCTGTCGCCCAGGCTGGAATACAGTACTGCGACCTTGGCTCACTGCAACCTCTGCCTCCTAGGTTCAAGTGATTCTCAGGCCTCAGCCTCCTGAGTATCTGGGATTACATGTGCCCGCCACCACGCCCACCTAATTTTTGTATTTTTAGTAGAGACGGAATTTCACTATGTTGCAGACTGGTCTCGAATGCCTGTACTGAAGTGATCCACTTGCATTGGCTTCCCTAAGTGCTGGGATTACTGGCGTGAGCCACCGCGCCTGGCCCGAATCTAAGATTTATATTTGTAGTATTTGAGAGTTGTGCTTGAGAAGCTTATTTCTTTCTCAATTTAGACCTATTACTTGATTACTTAAAGTATATAGAATGATAGAGAATTGTGGAAACAATCAAATACGTCTTCATCTTTCTGAAATTTTTTGTGCATAAAACTATATATATATTGACATTTTAATATTTGTATTTAATAATTCTAAATTGAGAAATGGCCTTCTTCTGTTTACCTAAGTCATTTCCCTTTTTTTCTTTCTTTTTTTTTTTTGAGACAGAGTCTGGCTCTGTGGCCCAGGCTGGAGTGCAGTGGCACGATCTCGGCTCACTGCAAGCTCCGCCTCCTGGGTTCATGCCATTCTCCTGCCCCAGCCTCCCGAGTAGCTGGGACTCCAGGCCCCCGCCACCACGCCCGGCTAATTTTTTTTGTGATTTTTAGTAGAGACTGGGTTTCACCATGTTAGCCAGGATGGTCTCGATCTCCTGACCTAGTGATCTGCCCACCTCGGCCTCCCAAAGTGCTGGGATTACAGGCGTGAGCCACCATGCCTGACCCTTTTTTTCTAATTATATACTTTTTTCTTTCCAAATTTTCAGTAGAGAATACATTTTTTTGGCGGTATTCTAGATCTGTGCTCTTCACTATAGTACCCACTTCCCAGCCACATGGGGTTATTTAAATTAATTAGAATTAAAATTAATTCAGTTTCTTAGTCATATTAGCCACATTTAAGAGTTTAATAGTCAGAAGTGGCTAGTGGCTACTGTATTTTTTGTTTTTGTTTTTGAGACATAGTCTCACTCTATTGTCCAGGCTGGAGTGCGGTGGCGTGATTTCAGCTCACTGCAACCTCTGCCTCCCGAGTTCAAGTGATTCTTCTGCCTCAGCCTCCCAAGTAGCTGGGATTTCAGGCGTGTGCCATCAAGCCCAGACAGTTTTTGTATTTTTAGTAGAGATGGGGTTTCACCATGCTGGTCAGGCTGGTCTTGAGCCCCTGACCTCAAGTTATCTGCTGGCATTGACCTCCCAAAGTGTTGGGATTACAGGTGTGAGCCACCGCGCCTGGCCTGTATTTGACAGCATTGATATAGAACATTTCCATTATTGTAGAAGTTCTACTGGACAGCGTTGCTGTAAATCATTAAATGTAGAGGAATATCTATCACAATTTAAAGAACCAAGAGAGGTGGATAATATTAGAATGCTTTTTCTGGCCACTTAACAAAAATACGTGCCTGTCCTTGATACTGACATCTTCCCTTATCCTATTTTTAAAAATTCTGCATTTGTTAATTGTGTAAACGCCCACTGGGTATATATTTATAATAAAATTTATACAGCTTATTATTCATATTTGAATTTTATTCAGTTGTTTCAAGGGCAGTGTGGTATAATAGAGCATAAGGTTAGGAGTAAGGATATCTAATTTTGTGACTTTAGGCAATTTGCTTAACCTGTTACCTAAAATTTATTACTTTTCAAACAGAGATAATCTTTTTTTGAGTGTTTACTTCACATGAGCTATATAGAGGGAAAAAAAGTTAAAAAATGTATGTGTACACACATGTATTTTTATGAGTAAGATCTTTATGTACTATTGTGGAGTCATCTCCAGGATGTTTAAGTGAAAAAAGTAATGCGCACAGTATGCCAATAAAGGAGAGATACAAATATAACTTGCCTGGAGTTGCATAAATGGCAGAGTTGGAACTAAAATTCAGCTATCCTATTTAATTCTGGACTCTTTTACTTCTTATTGTACAGCCATGTCAGTATTTGTCATCATGCCATAGAAACATTTTATAAGCTAAATTTGTCTCTTGATCTTGCTCTTAATCAGAAGGCCTCTTATCACATTTAAAAAATTTGTAGACATATTATTCTTCAGGACCATCTTGGTTTCTTTTAATGCAAGTAAATGGGAAATATATCCTAATATGTAAAAATTTACTTTATCGCTCTCCTTATTATTATATATCTCATCGATGAGGACCTTTCTAATAGCCTTATTATGTATGCTTACTTGTGAATTTATCCTCTCCTATTAACATTTTATAAGTCTAAAAATTAAACACTTTATACTTACATTTTGAAGTATTTTGCATAGTCTAAACTATTAAAATTAACTTGAAGGTGACGAGTAAAAGTCGTTCTGAATTACCAGATGTGAAACAAGGTGAGGCCAATCTTAAAGAGATAATGGATAGAGCTTATGATTCATTTGATATTCAACTTACAAGTGTACAGCTGCTTTACAGTAGAGTTGGTGAGTATAAAATGCATTATTTGTTGATTGATTTTGTTGAAGTGATTAATTAGGTTTTTAGACACTTTGAAGACCTTCCTCTTAAATGTGTTAGAACGTCTATATTTTTGAATTAGAAATGATAGTAAATATTGTCTAGCTGTTCTTACCAGGAGCAGTCTTGCCCCCCCAAGAGACATTTGTCAATATCTGGAGACATCTTTGGTTGTCACAGGTAGAGCATGAGTGGCACTCCTAGCATCTAGTGGGTAAAGGTGAGGGATACTACTAAGCATCCTACGATGTTCAGGCCAGTCCCTCATAATAAATATCAGTAGTGCTGAGGTCGAGAAATCCTGATCTGTACCAATGTTTTCCAGCCTTTGACCAAAGTTGGCCCATATTGAAAATGATATTGGTATTACTACACAGTTGGATAACCAGAAGACATTGCTCAGGGCCAGAAGTAAGCAGCCTAGGGGCTCTGACAGTCATGGACAGCCATACAAAGACGAGGGTCACTCTCCTAGACATACTTGTATCTCATTCACTGTGGTATACCAGTCAGGAGTCTGATTTAGAGCTAGTTTTGAAGATGAAGTCAAAGCCAGAAATTCACTTGCCAAGAGCCATTTAAGTAGTTAGGGAGAGACCCCAGACTCGTTCAGCTTTCTTTTCGTTCTGTCATACTGCTTTTGAATCCCTAGAGTGTTAGTGAACATGCAGATAATTCAGTAAAATTTGATCTGTTGAAGAGATCCATATGTAGAGATCTAAGTGTTTGTATGCAGTCAGATTTTAATTACCTGAGCTAACCAATAAAAGGAGAAACAATGAGAATCCAAAGTAGTTGTTATCAAAATTGTTAATTTGTATAGGACTGAAACATTTTATTTCTTCAATTATATTTGCTTCAGGATAGTGAATGTAGTTTGTATTTTTATCATATTCTAATTGTGGTGGAGGAAACCCAAAGGTATAGTGGGTGGCAGAAGTACGTTATTTTCAGAATTCCACAAATTCTTTTTCAGGGAATAAATTACTGGGTTTGGTTTTCCTTGACTGGGATTTTATCTGACTCATAGAATTATTATGTTCAAATGAGATAGTATATATGAAAATGCATTATATGACTGAGATCCCATTAATCTTGTTATGAATTTTTAAAGTTATTTCTTTCTGATTATACCTATTTCAGAAAATCTGAACAACTGAGAAACCAAAAAGATAAACCTTTATGTTACTGCTTAGGCAGGAACACTATTGATATTTTGTTGCACATCCTTTTAGTATGTTTTTCAGTGTGTGTACCTGTGAATATATGGGATGTGCTTGTTTGGTGTTTATATTGGAGGTATTTGTGAATGTATTTTTTTTACATGATTTATATAGTTTTATATCCAGGTATTTTTTCTTTTACCAGTAATATTTTGGTCACTTGAACTCATGGTTTTTATTGTCTATATTATGCTATATGGCTATGGTCTCAGTTATTTAACCATTCCCTTATGGAACATTTAGGCTCGTAACTCTGCAGTGATTGTTGCCAATCAACAACATCCAAGTAGACTTGGATGTGAATTTCAGTTTTATCACTAGCAGATTGATCATAGGCAAATTATAAATTCTTTTGAGTCTCAGTTTTCTAAAGTGGGATTATTATACAGAATTTTGAGAATTAACATTTAAACATTACCTAGAAGAGTAGAAATTATAAATCTTGAATAAATGGTAGCTTTTATTAGTTACTGTTAAAGAACCTCACTTTTTACTACCTTTTGCATTATTGCTTTACTGCCATGTTACTTTTTTGGGTAAGGTATGTGGTTGGTGTAGTGATTGTCAGTGGATGCGCAGTAGATTTGATAACCTACTGATTGTATGTACCTGAGAATGTGACATTAAGATTACCTAGATGTGGGGAAATTTCCTCATATAATGGAATGTGTGACTATGAAGTATTAATAGTTATTTTAGGTTTTGTGTGTTATAGTTACGTTAAATATGAACTATTTTCTGTACTTAGGTGATAATTGGAGAGAAGCACGAAAACTCAGTGTATCTACCCAGCATATTTTGGTACCCATGCACTTCAATTTGGAACTGTCTAAGGCCATGGTTTTCATGGATGTAAGGATGCCCAAGTATGTACTGTTTGTTTCATGTGAATATGGATTTTCTGGGTAATTCTGTAGCTAGGGAAATACCATACTTAACTGACTCTTCCTTGTGTGTGTGGTGAAATGTATATAACTGACTCTTCCTTGTGTGTGTGGTAAAATGTATATAAAATTTACCATTTTGATAATTTTTAAGAGTATAGTTCATTGTCATTAGGTTCACGCATGTTGTTATGCAACCATCACCACCATTCATTTCCAGAACTGTTTCTCTTCCAAACTGAAACTCTGTACTCAATTAAACAATAACACCCCATTTCACCCTGCACCCAGCCCCTGACAACAACCATTATATCTTCTGTCTTTATGAATTTGACTATTTTAGGTGCCTCATATAAGTGGAATCATAGAAAATCAGATTTTGTGTGCCTGGGTTTCTTCACTTAGCATAATGTCTTCAAGATTCATCCATGTTGGAGCATATGTCAGAATTTCATGTATTTTTAAGGCTGATTAATATTCCTTATATGTTGTATATACTATGTTTTTATTTATTCATCCTTCAATGAACATTTGTGTTGTTAATGCTGTTTGGCTGTTGTAATAATGCTGCTGTGTACAAATATCTGCTTAAGTCCCTGATTTCAGTATTTTTGGGTGTATACTCAGAAGTAGAATTGCTGGATCATATTATAGTTCAGTGTTTAAGTTTTAGAGGAGTGCTGTGCTGTTTTTTATAGCAGTTACACCATTTTACTTTCCTACCAGCACAAGAGTTTCAATTTCTTCACTGCCTCTACAACACTTGGTATTTTCTGTTTTTTTATTTTAATAGTCATCCTAATAGGTGTGAAGTGATGTCATTTTTCTAATGCTTAGTGATGTTGAACATCTGTTCTTGTGTTTGTTGACCATTCATGTATTTATTTGGAGAAATACATATTCAAGATCTTTGCCCATCTTTTAATCTGGTTATTTATTTTTTTCTGTTTTTCGAGATGGAGTCTCCCTCTGTCACCCAGGCTGGAGTGCAGTGGCATGATCTTGGCTCACTGCTACCTCCACCTCCTGGGTTCAAGTGATTCTCCTGCCTCAGCCTCCTGAGTAGCTGGGACTACAAGCGCATGCCACCACGCCCAGCTAATTTTTTGGGTTTTTGGTAGGGATGGGATTTCACCGTGTTAGCCAGGGTGGGCTTGATCTCCTGACCTTGTGATCCACCCGCCTCAGCCTCCCAAAGTGCTGGGATTACAGGCATGAGCTGCCGCACCCGGCTGAGTTGTGAGAGTTTTAAAATATATTTTGGATATTAACTCTTTATCAGATATATGATTTGCAAATATTTTTTCTCACTCTGTGTTTCCTTATCACTCTGTTGATTGTGGCCTTTGATGTCTAAAAGTTTAAAATTTTTATTGTCCAGTTTATCTTAGTTGCCTATGCTTTTGGTGTCATATCCAAGAAATTATTACAAAATCCAATGTCATAAAGCTTTTCTTCTTTGTTTACCTTAAAGAGTTTTATAGTTTTAGCTTCTTTTATTTAGATCTTTGATCCATTGAGTTAATTTTTGTATGTGACATATAGGATAAGGACCGGCCTTTATTCTTTTTTTTTTTTTTTTTTTTTTTTTTGAGACAGAGTCTCGCTGTCGCCCAGGCTGGAGTGCAGTGGCATGATCTCGGCTCACTGCAGGCTCCGCCCCCCAGGGTTCACACCATTCTCCTGCCTCAGCCTCCCGAGTAGCTGGGACTACAGGCGCCCGCCACCACGCCTGGCTAATTTTTTGTATTTTTAGTAGAGATGGGGTTTCACCGTGCCAGCCAGGATGGTCTTGATCTCCTGACCTCGTGATCCGCCCGCCTCGGCCTCCCAAAGTGCTGGGATTACAGGCGTGAGCCACTGCTCCCGGCCTTATTCTTTTGCATGCAAATATCTCATTTCCTCTATACAATTTGTTGAAAAGACTGTCCTTTTCTCATTGAATGGCCTTGGTACCCTAGTTGAAAATCATTTATCCATATATGCAAGAGCTTATTTTTGGGCTTTCTGTTTTATTCCATTGGTCTCTATGTCTTTATTTTCCTGTACCACACTATTTAGATTACTGTAGCTTTATAGGAAGTTTTGAAATCAGGAGATGTGAGTTATTTAACTTTGTTCTTTCGATTGTCTTGGCTATTCGGGATCCTTTGGTATTCCATATGAATCTTAGCATGTTTTCTTTTCTTGTAAAAAATGTTATAGAGATTCTAACAAAGAGTGTATCAAATCTGTAGATCCCTTTGAATAGTATTGACATCTTAATAATATTGACTGTTATAGTCCATGAACATGGAATATCTTTCTATTTATTTGTGTCTTTGATTTCAGCAACATTTTCTAGGTCTCAGTACTAAAGTCTCTTGCCTCATTTCTTAAGTTTATTCTTTGTGATGCTATTGTAAATGAATTTAAAAATTTTGGGGGGATTGTTTATTGTTAGTATGTGGGAACTTAACTGATTTTTATATCCTGCAACTTGTGAATTTGTTTACAATTCTAAGTTTTAGGATTCTAAAGTTCTAACAGATTTAAGATTTTCCACATATAAGATCCTATCATCTGTGTATGGAGTTAATTTTTTTCCCTTTCTGATATGGGTGCCTTTTATTTCTCTTTCTTGCCTAATTGGTCTGTCTAGAATTTTTTAGCACTCTCTTGAATAGAAGTAGTTTAGGTTGGCATCCTCACCTTAATCCTGAGCCCAGAGGAAAAGCTTTCAGTATTTCACCATTGAGTATGATGTCAGCTGTGGGGTTTTTATGGATGACCTTTATTATGTTGAGGTAGTTTCCTTCTGTTCCTAGTTTGCTAACTTTTTATTATGAAAACGTGTTGAATTTTTTCAAATCCTTTCTGTGCTTTGAGATGATCATGTGATCATGTAAAAAATGATCAAGATGATTTTTTTCCTTCATTCTGTTAATGGGGTATGTTACCTTAATTGCTCTCTATATATTAAATCATATTTCTTGAGTCCAGCAAAAAATCCTTTTATTCCAGGAATAAATCCTCTTATTCTAGGAATAAATTCCAAGAGTAAATGATATATAAACCATGTAATGGGCTATTGATTTAGGTTTGCTTGTGCTTTTGGGTTTTGCATTAATATTTTTCAGATATATTGGACTACAGATTTCTTTTCTTCTAGTATCTTTGTCTGGCTTTGGTATCAGGGTAATGCTGTCTTTATAGAATGGATTAGAAAGTATTCCTGCCTCTTCAGTTTTTGATTGTTTGGTAGAATTCACTATTGAAGCGATCAGATCGTGGGAGGTTTTCTTTATTGGGAGGTTTTTGATTACTGATTCAGTCTCCATAGTAGTTTATCCAGATTTTGTTTCTTCATAATTCAGTGTTGGTAGATTTGTGTTTCTTGGAATTTGTTTCATTTAAGGTTATCCATTTGTTGGTGTAAAATTGTTTGTAATTGTCTCTCTCTTAACAGCCCTTTTTGTTTTGTAAAATGAGTAGTAATGTTACCACTTTCATTTCTGATTTAAATTGAGTCTTTTCTGTTTTTTTCTCAGTCTAACTAAAGGTTTTCAATCTCGATCATTTTGAAGAACCAACTCACATTTTTGTTGATTTTTTTCTCTATTGTTTTTCTATATTTTATTTATTTCTGCTTTCATCTTTGTTATTTTTTTTATTTCGGGTAGCTTTAGGTTTAGTTTGCTGTTCTTTTTCTAGTTCCTTAAGGTGTAAAGTTAGGCTATTGATTTTAGGTCTTTCTTCTTTATTAATGTAGGTGTTTACAGCTATAAAGTCCGCTTTTGGCAGACTTTTGCTGCATCCTATGAATTTTGGTATGTTGTATTTTCATTTTCATTTGTCTTGAGTTATTTTCTAATTTCCCTTGTGATTTCTTTGATCTCATTGCTTGTTTAACCATCTGTTTTTAAATTTCTATACACTTGTGACTTCTACACTTTTTCCTTCTACTCTTGCATTCTAGACTCATTTCATCATTATTGGAAAAGATACTTCTTATGATTTCACTTTTTTAACATTTTTTGACGCTTGGTTTTTTACCTGACGTATAATCTGTCCTGGAGAATGTTTCATATGCACTTGAGAAAAATGTCTATTTTCCTGGATGGAGTGTTCTATATATGTCATTTTAGTCCAGTTGGTCAATTTTATTGGTCCAGTCCCCTGTTTCCTTATTAATCTACTGCCTGGTGTTTCTATTCAGTATTGACAGTGAGATATTGAAGTCTCCTATTATTATCAAGGAACTGTCTGTTTCTTCTTCTTAATTGTGTCAGTGCTTGCTTTATATATTTTTGAACTCTGATGTTTGGCACATATATGTTTATAATTGTTATGTCTTCTTGGTGAAGTTATACTTTCATTATCATTATGTAATGTCCTTCTTTATTGCTTGTAACAGTTTTTGATTTGCAGTCTATTTTGGCTGTTTTTGTTACAGGCATCCCTGCTCTCTTTTGGTGATTATTTGCATGGAATGTCTTTCTTCATTTTTTTTTTCACTTTTAACCTGTGTGTTTTCTATGAGTTAACGTGATCTCTTGTAGACAGTATGTAGTTGCATCCTGTTTTTTAATCCATTTTGTCACTTGAAGTTTTTAATTGAGAAAAAATATATTTACATTTAAAGTAAATACAGATGGGGAGGACTTACTTTTGTCATATTGTTATTTGCTTTCTGTATGTCTTACAGCTTTTTTGATCCCTCATTTCCTCCTTTAATGGTGCCCTTTGTGTTCAGTGGATTTTTGTGTGTGACATGCTTTGATTCCTCTCTCATTTCCAGTTTTGTATATTCTACAAGTATTTTCTTTGTGGTTACCATAGAGATTGTGTATAATATCCTCAAGTTATAACAGTCTATTTATTTATTATTTCTTTATTTTTTTAGACAGGGTCTTGTTCTGTCACCTAGGCTAGAGAACAGTGTTGTGGTTGTAGCTCACTGCAGCATTGAACTCCTGTGCTCAAGTGATCCTCCTGCCTTGTCCTCCTGAGTAGCTGGGACTACAGGCACACGTCACTACACTCAGCTAATTTTTAAATTTTTTTGTAGAGATGGGTCTTGCTATGTTGCCCAGGCTATAACAGCCTATTTAAGATTGAGGCAGGTTGCATAGTCTTATACCTGTAATCCCAGCACTTTGAGAGGCCGAGGTGGTAGGATTGCTTGAGGCAAGGAGTTTGAGACCAGCCTGGCCAATGTAGTAAGACCCTGTCTCTACAATAAGTAAATAAATAATTAAATAAAATTAGCTGGGCATAATGGTGCATGCCTATAGTCCTAGCTACTTGGGAAGTTAAGGTGGGAGGATAGCTTGAGCCCAGGAGGTTGAGGCTACGGTGGGTTATGATTATGTCACTGCACTCCAGCTTGGGTGACAAAAATTTTAAAAAGTGAAAAATAAAACTGATACCAAGTTAGCTTCAATTGCATGCAAAAACTCTACTTGTTTCCTGTTTTGCCCCCTCCAGTTTATCTTATTGATGTCCCAGATTATATTTTTATGTATTCTATACCCATTAACAAAGAATTGTAATTATTTCTTATGCATTTGTCTTTTAACTTATGTAGAAAATAAATAGTAGAGTTATAAACCAAAATTCTAATAACATTTGCTTTATACTCATCCATGTATTTACATTTACTGGGATTATTATATTTCATTGTTAGCTGAAGCTATGTGCCTGAGATCCTAAGTAGAGAAGTCTGTTGAACTAGACTGGGCCATTTAGATTATTTATTTCTAAATAGTTTTAGACTGTAGGTAGTCATTTAACTTCTTCCTTGTAACAGCACCTTTTTTCTCCCTTACAAATATTCAGACCTCAGGCACAGATCTATTTTAAAATTTAACCAAAGGCTTTTCTCATCTAACATCTACCAAACACTTCCAGGAGAGTTGCTACTAGCAAGGCAACATGAGAAGGCTTCATGCCTAGTTAAAGTGTACTAGGAAGAATAGAGGGAATTAGAGAGACTCTGGCCTTTTCCTATATGGTACATGGGGTGGACATTGTTTTTAATACTTATTATACTTAACATGTAAAAGGGAGAGACCCACACTCTTTTTTGTTGACCTTTACCTCATAGTGACTCTATCTACTAACAAATATTGTCCAGGGCCCTAAATCTTACTCTCCTAGATTTTCTTTTCTTAGAAAATCAAAGCATGCACTGAGAGTCTTGAGGCAGAGGAATGGCTAGAATTTGGTTTAAGAGACAGAAGGAAAGAAAACCATGCTACGCATTCCCTTGTTTTTTTTCAAATCCAGCTTTAGATATGGTTCAATTTAAAGAGAAAAGGCTTAATTCTTTTCATTTCTCCCAAATTATGTCTGCTGCTTGTTTACTCTTTTCTACTGTTTCTTGTAAAGTTTTTCATTCTGTGATAAAGATTAAAGATCTGTGCGATTTCTTGTTGTAAGCATATGACTAAGAATTGATTTTTTTTAGCATAGTTTAAGTACTTTTCTTCTTGGTAAGTATGCTATAATCTTGGAAGTTACAGGGTACCAGAAAAAGTAGGTGATATTTCTCTGAGGGAAGAAAAGGGCAGCTTTTATCTTGGTTTGGACTTGCTCTGTCAGTATATGCTTAGGAAGAATTTATGTCTTGTGATGCAGGGAATATGTACAGCATAGCAGGAATTAAAATAGCTGATTATAAGGGTACAGGGCAGAAATGACAATGACTTAACTTAGAAAGATGAAATCTTAGAAGTTATTTGGTTTCTATTTTATAATATTGTGAGCAGTATAAAGTGGATATGATATGTCAAATCCTGAAACTCCACAGGTGTCAGGAACATTCCCTTGAAAGTTGAGCTGCGTTAAGTTGAAGGCAAATAAAAGGATGCTTGCTATTTGGTAGATACTGTTTTGGTACCCAGCATCTTTAGACTGCGCAACTTGCAGATTTTTCAAGAAAGTGAAAAAAAGTTTAAGTGCATTAAGAGAACCGATTCATAATGTTTAACAAAGTTAAACTACTACTACGCTTGTGATTAATTACAAATATTTAAGGTATTGGAAATAAAAGAAAGCTTGTAATTTTCTGTAGGACTCCAGTACATTTTTAGAAAGATAACGTAAGTAATCAGTGTGCGTACGTGGAAAAAGTAATTTTTAGGGAAAATGCAGGGATAAAAATGGGGAGTGAAAACTTTCTCTCTCTCTCTCTGATAGTGAAAACTAACTTTCTGTCTCTCTCAAAGGAGACTGTCAAGGCAATTAAAAGAATAATAAAGCACTCTGATGTGGTTTTGCTCAATGATCTTTGATACATAGTCTCATGAGCAGGCTATTTGCACTGCCAAACCTTAGTTTTCTCATAGGAAGCATGTACATATAGGAACTTAAATAGAGAGCAAAAATAGGTTGTCTGCCTCATAGATTGTGAGGACTGTTTACAATAATGCATGTAAAGTGCTTTCCTCAGTGCCTGTCACATGAGAAACACTTGATTAGTAGTAATTGTCAATTGTATATAGCAAACAGTAGAAGGACATTACATGAAATAAGAACATAAACCTCTGAAAAATAATGAGTTTAGCCCATCTAATGAAACTGGTTAATACGGTAAGACGGAAATTGGAATAGAGATTTTTAGTGTTTAAAATCACATTTGATTCAGATAATTTGAGAACAGTCTTTTTAATTAGTGCACTTAAATCAGAATAATTCCTTTATAATTACTTATTTTTATCTTTTCAAAACAGATTCAAGATTTATGGAAAGTTACCTCTTATTTCTTTACGAATCTCAGATAAAAAACTACAAGGGATTATGGAATTGATTGAAAGCATTCCAAAACCTGAACCAGTAACTGAAGTATCTGCCCCTGTCAAATCATTCCAGGTAATGTTACTTTCAAAATTAATATAAGCATGAATTAAGAAAGTCCACAAATAGTATTTCAAACAATCACAGGAATTTTATATAAGACAATTTGCAATTTGTTTTGAATAGACATTAAGAAAATTACTTTTTTTTTTTTTTTTTTTTTTTGAGATGGAGTCTCGCTCTGTCACCAGGCTGGAGTGCAGTGGCGTGATCTCTGCTCACTGCAAGCTCCGCCTCCCAGGCTCACGCCATTCTCCTGCCTCAGCCTCCCGAGTATCTGGGACTACAGGCGCCCGCCACCACGCCCGGCTAATTTTTTGTATTTTTAGCAGAGACGGGGTTTCACCGTGTTAGCCAGGATGGTCTCGGTCTCCTGGTCTTGTGATCTGCCCGCCTCGGCCTCCCAAAGTGCTGGGCTTACAGACGTGAGCCACCACGCCCAGCCAGAAAATTACATGTTGAGAGAGAAATTGAAATGGTAAAAAGTATAAATAGTTAAGAAAGATATAAAATAATAAATCTACTTTTCTAATTTCTGCAGCCTCCAATCCCTCTCCTGAGCAATAACACTGTTAACTACTGCTTCTCTAGTTTTTAAAAAAATTTTTGTGGCATATACTAGTACACACATGCACAAGAACATGCATGTGTGTGTGTATGTAGTATGTGTGTGTATACATACATGTATATATTCATTTTTTTTTTTTGAAACAGAGCCTATCTCTGTCACCCAAGGTGGAGTGCAGTGGCGCAATCTCGGCTCACTGCAACCTCTGTCTCTTGGGTTCAAGCAGTTCTCTGCCTCAGCCTCCTGAGTGGCTGGGATTACAGGCGCCCGCCACCACGCCAGCTAATTTTTTTTTGCATTTTTAGTAGAGACAGGGTTTCACCATCTTGGCCAGGCTGGTCTTGAACTCCTGACCTTGTGATCCACCCGCCTCGGCCTTCCAAAGTGCTGGGATTACAGGCGTGAACCACCGTGCCCGGCCTGTATTCTTTTATTTTTAAAATTAAATGAAATCATTATACACACTATTCTGAATCTGTATTATTTTCACCATTATTATCATATATGCCTTAGATAAATTTTTATGTTAGCACATACAGATCTACCTCATTTGTTTATGGTGATATAGTATTTCATTTTCTGCATATACCATCTTTTGCTTAATATATCTTCTTTTGATGGATATTCACATTATGAGTGTTTACAGTTATGAAAAATACTGCTTTGAACTTCCTCATATATATACATATATATGTGTGTATATATATATTTGCTTATACTTTTATTCATAGGATAAATTCCTAGAAATGGAATTGTTGAGTAAAAGAGGATGTGAATTTTAAATTTTGATTATTTTGCCAAAAAAAAAAAAATTTTTTTTTTTTTGGGACGAAGTCTCCCTCTTTTGCTCGGGCTGGAGTACAGTGGCACAACCTTGGCTCACTGCAACCTCCGTCTCCCAGGTTCAAGCGGTTGTCCCATCTCAGCCTCCCAAGTAGCTGGGACTACAAGTGCGTGCCACTACACTTAGCTGATTTTTGTATTTTTAGCCGAGATGGAGTTTCACCATGTTGGCCAGGCTGGTCTTAAAATCCTGACCTCAAGTGATCTGCCTGCACTGGGCTCCCAAGTACTGGGATTACAGGCGTGAGCCACTGTGCCCAGCCCAGATTTGCTTAACTTATAGTTTGCTAACAGTGAATGAATATCTTTCTCTGCTTTCATTACTGAGTATTAGCAAATGTTAAAATTTTATTCGAAGTGAAAAAAATGTCTTCTGGTTTTGATATGCTTTTTTAAATAAGTAGAACATACTTTCCTAAGTTTACTATTTTAATTTCTGTTTTTGGAAACTGCTGTTCATGTCTTTTTTCTATTGGGTTATGGTTGTCTAATTAAGGAAGTAACCTGCTTGTCATTTAAAATTACTGTTTTTTCCTCATTTTATTGTTTGGTTGTTTTTTATCTCATATGTAAATTTATTTTTGCCAGGCAGAAGCGTTTTATTTTTTACATAGTCAATTTTTTTTTCCTTCATGATTTCTGGACTTTGTATTATGTGACTTTTCCCTTTCCAAGAGAATTTCAGAAAGAAAAAAAATATATTCACATTTCCCTCCATTTTCGGGGGTAACAGGGGGTTCTTTACTCATGTTTAAATGCTTTTCTTTTGAAGTAGTTTCAAACTTGAAACATTCCAAAAATAGTGTAAAGAAGGTTTTTTTTTATTATTATATTTTAAGTTCTGGGATACATGTGCAGAACATGCAGGTTTGTTACATAGGTATACACGTGCCATGGTGGTTTGCTGCACCCATCAACCCGTCATCTACATTAGGTATTTCTCCTAAAGCTATCCCTCCCCTAGCCCCCGACCCCTCGACAGGCCCCAGTGTGTGATGTTCCCCTCCCTGTGTTCATGTGTTCTCCTTGTTCAACTCCCACTTATGAGTGAGAACATGCAGTGTTTGGTTTTATGTTCCTGTGTTAGTTTGCTGAGAATGATGGTTTCCAGCTTCATCCATGTCCTTGCAAAGGACATGAACTCATCCTTTTTTATGGCTGCATAGTAGTCTATGGTATATATGTGCAGCATTTTCTTTATCCAGTCTATCATTGATGGGCATTTGGGTTGGTTCTAAGTCTTTGCTATTGTGAACAGTGCTGCATTGAACATACATGTGCATGTGTCTTTATAGTAGGATGATTTATAATCCTTTGGGTATGTACCCAGTAATGGGATTGCTGGGTCAAATGGTATTTCTGGTTCTAGATCCTTGAGGAATTGCCACACTGTCTTCCACAATGCTGGAACTAATTTACACTCCCACCAGCAGTGTAAAAGTGTTCCTGTTTTGCAACATCATCTCTAGCATCTGTTGTTTCCCAACTTTTTTTTTTTTTTTTTGAGACGGAGTCTCGCTTTGTCGCCCAGCCTGGAGTGCAGTGGTGCGATCTTGGCTCACTGCAAGCTCCACCTCCTGGGTTCACGCCATTCTCCTGCCTCAGCCTCCCGAGTAGCTGGGACTACAGGTGCTCACCACCACGCCCAGCTAATTTTTTTGTATTTTTAGTAGAGATGGGGTTTCACCATTTTAGCCAGGATGGTCTCAATCTCCTGACCTCGTGATCTGCCTGCCTCTGCCTCCCAAAGTGCTGGGATTACAGGTGTGAGCCACTGAGCCCGGCCCCTTTTCCCAACTTTTTAATGACCGACATTCTAACTGGCATGAGATGGTATCTCATTGTTGTTTTGATTTGCATTTCTCTAATAACCAGTGATGATGAGCTTTTTTTCATATGTTTGTTGGCCGCATAAATGTCTTCTTTTGAGAAGTGTCTGTTCATATCCTTCGCCTACTTTTTGATGGGGTTGTTGGTTTCTTACTTGTAAATTTTTTTCAGTTCTTTGTAGATTCTGGATTTTAGTCCTTTGTCAGATGGATAGATTGCAAAAATTTTCTCCCATTCTTTAGGTTGCCTGCTCACTCTGATGATAATTTCTTTTGCTGTGCAGAAGCTCATTAGTTTAATTAGATCCCATTTGTCAATTTTGGCTTTTGTTGCCATTGCTTTTGGTGTTTTAGTCATTTAGTCTTTGCCCATTCCTGTATCCTGAATGGTATTGCCTAGGTTTCCTTCTAGAGTTTTTATGGTTTTAGGTCTTACATTTAAGTCTTTAATCCATCTTGAATTAATTTTTGCATAAGGTCTAAGGAAGTGGTCCAGTTTCAGTTTTCTGCATATGGCTAGCCAGTTTTCCCAACACCATTTATTAAATAGGGAATCTTTCCCCCATTGCTTGTTTTTGTCAGATTTGTCTTTAAATAGGGAATCTTTCCCCCATTGCTTGTTTTTGTCAGATTTGTCAAAGATCAGATGGTTCTAGATGTGTGGTGTTATTTCTGAGGCCCCTGTTCTGTTCCATTGGTCTATATCTCTGTTTTGGTACCAGTACCATTGCTGTTTTGGTTACCGTAGGCTTGTAGTATAGTTTGAAGTCAGGTAGCGTGATGCCTCCAGCTTTGTTCTTTTTGCTTAGGATTGTCTTGGCTATACGGGCTCTTTTTTGGTTCCATATGAACTTTAAAGTAGTTTTTTTGAATTCTGTGAAGAAAGTCAATGATAACTTAATGGGGATAGCCTTGAATCTATAAATTACCTTGGGCAGTATGGCCATTTTCACAATATTGATTCTTCCTATCAGTGAGCATGGAATGTCTTTCCATTTGTTTGTGTCCTCTCTTATTTCTTTGAGCAGTGTTTTGTAGTTCTCCTTGAAGAGGTCCTTCACATCCCTTGTAAGTTGGATTCCTAGGTTATTTTATTCTCTTTGAAGCAATTGTGAATGGGAGTTCACTGATTATTTGGCTCTCTGTTTGTCTATTATTGGTGTATAGGAATGCTTGTGATTTTTGCAGATTGATTTTGTATCCTGAGACCTTGCTGAAGTTGCTTATGAGCTTAAGGAGATTTTGGGCTGAGGCATTGGGGTTTTCTAAATATACAGTCATGTCATCTGCAAACAGAGACGATTTGATTTCCTTTCTTCCTATTTGAATACCCTTTATTTCTTTCTCTTGCCTGATTTCCCTGGCCAGAACTTCCAATACTATGTTGAATAGGAGTGGTGAGAGAGGGCATTCTTGTCTTGTGCCAGTTTTCAAAGGGAATGCTTCCAGTTTTTGCCCATTCAGTATGATATTGTTTGTTGCTTTGTCATAAATAGCTGTTAGTATTTTGAGATACATTCCATCAATACCTAGTTTATTGAGAGTTTTTAGCATGAAGGGTGTTGAATTTTATCGAAGGCCTTTTCCGCATCTATTGAGGTAATCGTGTGGTTTTTGTCACTGGTTCAGTTTATGTGATGGATTACGTTTATTGATTTGCATATGTTGAACCAGCCTTGCATCTCAGAGATGAAGCCAACTTGATTGTGATGGATAAGCTTTTTGATGTGCTGCTGGATTTGGTTTGCCAGTAGTTTATTGAGGATTTTCACATTGACGTTCATCAGGGATATTAGCCTGAAATTCTCTTTTTTGTGTGTGTCTCTGCCATGTTTTGGTAGCAGGATGAGGCTGGCTTCATAAAATGAGTTAGGGAGAAGTCCCTCTTTTTCTATTGTTTGGGATAGTTTCAGAAGGACTGGTACCACCTCCTCTTTGTGCCTCTGGTAGAATTCGGCTTTGAATCTATCTGGTCGTGGGCTTTTTTTGGTTGATAGGCTATTAATTACTGCCTCAATTTCGGAACTTGTTATTGGTCTATTCAGGGATTCGACTTCTTCCTGATTTAGTCTTGAGAGGGTGTATGTGTCCAGGAATTTATCCATTTCTTCTAGATTTTTGTAGTTTATTTGTGTAGAGGTGTTTATAGTATTCTCTGATAGTAGTTTGTAGTTCTGTGGAATCAGTGGTGATATCCTCTTTAGCATTTTTTATTGTGTCTGTTTGATTCTTCTCTTTTCTTTATTAGTCTGGCTAGCAGTCTATGTATTTTGTTAATCTTTTCAAAAAACCAGCACCTGGATTCACTGATATTTTTGAAGGGTTTTTCGTGTCTCTATCTCCTTCATTTCTGCTCTGATCTTAGTTATTTCTTGTCTTCTGCTACCTTTTGAATTTGTTTCCTCTTGCTCTTGCTTCTCTGGTTCTTTAATTGTGATGTTAGGGTGTTGATTTTAGATCTTTCCCGCTTTCTCCTGTGGGGATTTTAGTGCTATAAATTTTCCTCTAAACACTGCTTTAGCTGTGTCCCAGAGATTCTGGTTGTGTCTTTGTTCTCATTGGTTTCAAAGAACTTACTTCTGCCTTAATTTCATTATTTACCCAGTAGTCATTCAGGAGCAGGTTGTTCAGTTTCCATGTAGTTGTGCGGTTTTGAGTGAGTTTCTTAATCCTGAGTTCTAACTGGATTGCACTGTGGTCTGAGAGACTGTTTGTTATGACTGCCATTCTTTTGCATTTGCTGAAGCTTGTTTTACCTTCAATTATGTGATCAATTTTAGAATAAATGTGATGTGGTTCTGAGAAGAATGTATATTCTGTTGATTTGGGGGTGGAGAGTTCTGTAGATGTCTATTAGGTCCACTTGGTCCAGAGCTGAGTTCAAGTTCTGAATATCCTTGTTAGTTTTCTGTCTTCTTGATCTGTCTAATATTGACAGTGGGGTGTTAAAGTCTCCTGCTGTTGTTGTGTGGGAGTCTAAGTCTCTTTGTAGGTCTCTTAAGAACTTGCTTTATTCTTTAAGAATGTTGAATATTGGCGCCCACTCTCTTCTGGCTTGTAGGGTTTCTGCAGAGAGCTCTGCTGTTAGTCTGATGGTCTTCCCTTTGTGGGTAACCTGACGTTTCTCTGTGGCTGCCCTTAACATTTTTTCTTTCATTTCAACCTTGGTGAATCTGACGATTATGTGTCTTGGGGTTGCTCTTATTGAGGAATGTCTTAGTAGTGTTCTCTGTATTTCCTGAATTTGAATGTTGGCCTATCTTGCTAGGTTGGGGAAGTTCTCCTGGATAATATCCTGAAGAGTGTTTTCCAACTTGGTTCTATTGTCCCCGTCACTTTCAGGTACACCAGTCAAATGTAGGTTTGGTCTTTGCACATAGTCCCATATTTCTTGGAAGCTTTGTTTGTTCGTTTTCATTCTTTTTTCTCTAATCTTGTCTTCATGCTTTATTTCACTAAGTTGATCTTCAATCTCTGATATCCTTTCTTCCGCTTGATCGATTTGGCTATTGATACTTGTATATGCTTCACGAAGTTCTCATGCTGTGTTTTCCCACTCCATCAGGTCATTTATGTTCTTCTCTAAATTGGTTATTCTAGTTAGCATTTCCTCTAACCTTTTTTCAACACTCTTAGGTTCATTGCATTGGGTTAGAACATACTGCTTTAGCTCAGAGGAGTTTGTTATTACCCACCTTCTGAAGCCTGTTTCTGTCAATTCTGCAAACTCATTCTCCATCCAGTTTTGTTCCCTTGCTGGCAAGGAGTTGTGATCCTTTGGAGGAGAAGAGGCATTCTGGTTTTTGGAATTTTAGCCTTTCTGCACTGGTTTTTCCCTAATCTTTGTGGATTTATCTACCTTGAGTCTTTGAAGTTGGTGACCTTCGGATGGGGTTTCTGTGTGGACGTCCTTTTTGTTGATGTTCATGCTGTTCCTTTCTGTATGTTAGTTTTCCTTCTAACAGTCAGACCCCTTTGCTGCAGGTCTGCTGGAGTTTGTTGGAGGTCCACTGCAGACCCTGTTTCCCTGGGTATCACCAGCGGAGGCTGCAGAACAGCAAAGATTGCTGCCTGTTCCTTCCTCTGGAAGCTTCGTCCCAGAGGGGCACATGCCAGATGCCAGCCAGAGCTCTCCTGTATGAGGTGTCTGTCGACCCCTGCTGGGAGGTGTCTCCCAGTCAGGAGGCATGGGGGTCAGGGCCCCACTTGAGAAGGCAGTCTGTCTCTTAGCAGAGTTTGAGTGCTTTGCTGGGAGATCCACTGCTCTCTTCAGAGCCAGCAAGCAGGAATGTTTAAGTCTGCTGAAGCTGCACCCACAGCCGCCCCTTCCCCCAGGTGCTCCGTCCCAGGGAGATGGGAGTTTTATCTATAAGCCCCTGACTGGGCTGCTACCTTTCTTTCAGAGATGCCCTGTCCAAAGTGGAGGAGTCTAGAGAGGCAGTCTGGCTACAGTGGCTTTGCTGAGCTGCAGTGGGCTCCGCCCAATTTGAACTTCCAGGCAACTTTGTTTACACTGTGAGGGAAAAGCTGCCTTTTCAAGCCTCAGCAGTGGTGATTCCCGCTCCCCCCACCAAGCATCCCAGGTTGACTTCAGACTGCTGTGCTGGCAGTAAGAATTTCAAGCCAGTGGATCTTAGCTTGCTGGGCTCCATGGGAGTGGGATCCGCTGAGCAAGACTGGCTTCAGCCCCCTTTCCAAGGGAGTGAAAGGTTCATCTTGCTGGCATTCCAGGTGCCACTGGGGTATGAAAGAAAGCTCCTTCAGCTAGCTTGATGTTTGCCCAAATGGTTGCCCAGTTTTGTTCTTGAAACCCTGGGCCCTGTTGGTGTAGGCACCCGAGGGAATCTCCTGGTCTGCCGGTTGCGAAGACTGTGGGAAAAGTGTAGTATCTGGGCTGGAGTGCACCGTTCCTCATGGCACAGTCCTTCAGGGCTTCCTTTGGCTATGGGAGGGAGTTCCCTGATCCCTTTGTGCTTCCGGGGTGAGGCAAAGCCCCACTCTGCTTCAGCTCGCCCTCCGTTGGTTGCATCTACTGTCTAACCAGTCCCACTGAGATGAGCCGGGTACCTCAGTTGGAAATGCGGAAATCACTGGCCTTCTGCATTGATATTGCCTGGAGCTGCAGGTTGGAGTTGTTCATATTCAGCCATCTTGCCAGCCACCAGTGTAGAGAAGTTTTATCCCCAGTCTGTTAGAGAGTATGTTACTACCTGGGCGTGGTGGCTCACATCTGTAATCCCAGCACTTAGGGAGCCCGAGGCAGGCAGATCACTTGAGGTTAGGAGTTCGAGACCAGCCTGGCCAACATGGTGGAACCCCGTCTGTACTAAAAATATAAAAATTAGCCAGGCATGGTGGTGGGCATCTGTAATCCCAACTGCTCAGGAGGCTGAGGTAGGAGAATCACTTGAACTCTGGAGGTGGAGGTTGCAGTGAGCCAAGATTGCGCCACTGCACTCCAGCCTGGGCGACAGAGCGATACTCCATCTCAAAAAAAAAAAAAAAGAAAGTGAGTTAATGTCCCATTACTCCTGAATACTTTAGTGTTTTGTTGTATTCTTTTCCTAGTCTGTTGGTGAGTTTTTTTGTTTCTTTAATTGTCTTTTGGAGGGCAAAAGTTTAATTTTGATACAATTGACTTTAGCAATATTTTCTCTAGATATTGAGCTTTTTGTATCACATCTCTGCAATTTTTGCCTAATTTAAGGTCAAGAAGATTTTTCCCTATGTTTTTTTCTAGAAATTTTTTAGAGTTAGGTTTTATACTTAGGTCTCTCATCCATTTAATTTTTCTATATGGTGCTTGTGATGGGATCCTCTTTCTAGTTTTACATCTGCACTTAGTTATTTCCATTTTGTTTGTTAAAAAGACTATTCTTTTACTATTGAGTTGACTATATATGTGTAAGTCTATTTCAGACTCTTCCAGTGATTTCTGTGTCTATCATTTCCATCTGTTTCTGTCCTTTTGTTGATATCATACTGTCTTAATTATACTATAACTTCATGTCTTGAAATCCAGAAAGGTTAGTCCTCCAACTTTTTGTATTTCCAAAATGTTTTCGACTGATTCCTTTGCCTTTTAGAATCAACTTATCAATTTCCACAAAAATTCTGGCTGAGATTTGGATAGAAATTGTATCATTAATTTGGGAGAATTAACATTTTAGCAGTATTGAGTCTTTCAGTTCATTAACATGGTATATCTCTCCATTTGCTTAGGTCTTTTTAAGTTTTTAAAAATTGGTTATTTGTAGCTTAAGCATCCGTTTGCTAATATATGTTGTTAAATTTGTACATAGTGTATGGGCTGAATTGTGCCCTTCAAAATTTATATATTGAACCCTAATTCTGCTATTTCACATTGTGACTGTATTTACAGATAGGTTCTTTACAGCAGTGATTAAGTTAAAATGAGACCACTAGGGTGGGCGCTAATCCAGTTTGACTGGTGTCTTTATAAGAAAAGGAAATTTGGTCTCACAGAGACACCAGAGATGCATGCACACTGAGGAAAGCCCATGTGAGGACACAGAAAGGAGGTCATCTGCAAGTTAACGATAGAGGTGGCCTCCAGAACTGTGAGAACATAGATTTCTGTTGTTAAAGTCACCCAGTCTATGCTATTTTGTTATGGCAGCTCTGGCAATCTCATATACGTTTTGGTACCAAGCAGTGAGTTGTTGCTTAACAAGCACTTAGAAATGTTGAAGTGGCTTTAGAACTGGGTAATGGGCAGAGACTGGAAGAATTTTGAGGCACATGTTAGAAAAAAACCTAGATTCTATCGTTTAATAAATTATTGATATAAAATATGGACGTTCAAGCTGTTTCTGTTGAGACCTCAAGTGGAAATGAGGAACATGTTATTTGACATTGAAGGGAATGTGGTCCTTGTTATAAAGTGGCAAAGATCTTGGTTAAATTATGTTCTAGTGATGAAGTTGGATATTTAGCTGTGGAGATTTCTAAGTAAAATGTTGAAGGCATCGTCTTATTTCTCATTGCAGCTGGTCAAATCACTTGAGGCCAGGAGTTCAAGACCAGCCTGGCCAACACGATGAAATCCCGTCTCTACTAAAAATATAAAAATTAGCTGGGTGTGGTGGTGCACACCTGTAGTCCCAGCTACTCAGAAGGCTGTGGCACAACAATCACTTGAACCTGGGAGGCGGAGGTTGCAGTGAGCCGAGATTGTGCCACTACACTCCAGCCTGGGTGACAGAAGGAGAATCTGTCTCAAAAACAAAAAAAAAATTGTACAATATGTGGTTAATATGTGTTTGATTTATTACAAAGATGCCAGCCTAGCTAAGTGGGGGAAGGATCACCTTTTCAACATATGGTTCTGAAACAACCGGATTTCCATGTGGAAAGTAAATTAATTTCAACCCTTATCTTATATGCGGAATTTAACTTGAAGCATAGACCTAAATATAAAGTCCACAAGTGTAATTTCTGGAACAAAAAATGTAGGTTAAAATTTTGAATCCTTGCAGTAGGTAAAGATACCTTAGGATATAAAAAGCGCAAATATAACAGGAGAAAAAAATAAATAAATTGGACTTTATAAAAATTAAATTTTTCTGCTGTTTGGAAGACATTGTTAAAAAAGGTGAAAAGGCAAACCATCTAACCATCCACTTGGGAAAAATAGTTGCAAAAATATTTTTACAAGTCCAGACTTGTATCTAGAATATATGAGAAGACTAACAGCTCAATAATAAATGACTAAACAGGTAGCATGAAAAGATGTTCGACTTTATTACTCACCAGAAAAATGCAAATCAAAGCCACATAGAAATACTACTACACAATGGTTAGAATGGCTAAAAATAAGAAGAATGGCAATACCATGTCAAGGTGTTGCCATGACAAGGATTTAAAACTCTCATATGTTACTTGTGAAACTTGAAAATAGCATAACCCTTTGTAATTTAGTTTGGTAGTTTTTAAAAATAAGGTTAAGTATATACTTACCATATGACTTGGGAATTCTACTCCTAGGTTTTTACCCAAGAGAAATGAAGTCACATGCCTACCAAAAGACTTGAACTAGAATACTCACAGTAGGGTTATTCATAATAGTAAAAAGTTGCATAAAACCCAATTGTCTATCCAGAAGTGAATGGATAAGGAAAAATAGTATATTCATACAGTAGACTACTACTCAGGAAAAAAAATACTAATACATGTAGCAGTGATGGGCAGTGATTGAGTGTAGGGGGAGCTTCCCTCAAAACTCCAGGGCATTTTAGGGAATAGAACGCAGGATTACTTGGCAATTCATTTAAGAACTTAACAAAACTTGTATTCTAAAACCTAACAACTACATTATAAAAGAGGAAAATAATAGCCCAGTTTCACTAATAAATGTAAGATACAAAAATTTCAAAACATTAAAAGTTGAAATTAAGGTAACATAGTTGTTACTTTTGGGAGGATGCCTAATGATTGCAAGGAGCTTAAGGGAGGCTTATGAGTTGCTTGTAATGTTTCATACTGGACCTGGGTGGTTGGTAGGTTGAGTGTGTTTACTTTCTGAAAATGTATTGAACTTTAGAGTTTATGTACTTCGTGTAGTAGATTATAATGTGCTTAAAAAAAATGCTGCTGCTGCTTCCAAAATGAGCAGAATTTCACAGAATGGCAAACACAAATAACCAAGGAAGCTATTTGTGTTTGATATGATATGTAACCGTTATGCATTTGTGAAATTGTAATTAAAACTAGGATGACATGGCCAATGAGACTGATATAATTTGAAATCTTTGAACACCCTAAGCATTGTGAGGATATGGAGAGATAGAAACTGTGCTGCTGGTGTTAGTGTAATGTCTTATCACCACTTTTGAAAATGGTTTGATAGTGCTCAATAAGGTGAACATATATAATTTTACTGTTTGGGAAAGTTTTATCCACAAGCACCTATGGGCATATCAAGGATGTTTATAGTAGTGCTACAAGCAAAAGCAAAAATCTATAAGCAACACAGATACTCACCAACAGTATAGTGGACAAATAAGTAGTGGTTTCTTCATCAGTGCAATACAATATCACAGTAAAATTCAGTTAACTATCAGTGTGGTTAAAATTTAAACATTGTTTTGTAAAGGAAGTCACAGGAAAATGTATGTCATATATGCTACAGTTTGGAAAGAGGCAGGGGTAAACGATGCATTATTTAGATAATCATTCATAGGTGCTTTAGTACAAACAACTAAATAAAAGCAAGATCATGATGAGAGGTAGGGAACGTGACAAGGAGGAATGAGATCCGGGAGGAACACATAAGAAGATGCTTCTAGGTCAGGATGTGGTAATGTTTTATTGCTTGGCTGGGTTGGAAAATTCAGATGTGTCTTTTATTATTATTTTTTTAAACTGCAAAATTTGTTTTTATATATGCTGTATTTCTCCAAACTGTAAAAAAGTAAATTTCCTGAAATACCTTTCAGAGATCAAAAATAAAAGTAAGTTCCTCAATTCTAGAGGCTTTAAGTATTGTGACTTGTGTGTTCCTCACAGATGTCCTGATTTAATACTATGTTGACTTAAAATATAAGATCTGTTTCTACTCAAAGCCTGTCATCAAGGACATTATTAAAACAGTTCTACAATTTTTATTTAGCCTTAAAATTGTAAAACTACTTCTTTAAAATCTGCGTTTTATAATGTATTTTTCTAATTTAAACCTGATTATCTTCTCAGTTAATTCAAATTGGATAGCTTTTTGTCAAAACTGTTGTAGAACTTTGAATAAACATTTTTTGAATAAGCGGTGAATAAACATTTTTGTGCTAATCAACATTGAATTACTTTTCTTTCAGATTCAAACATCTACTTCTTTGGGAACATCACAGATTTCACAGAAAATAATTCCTCTCTTGGAACTTCCATCTGTTTCTGAAGATGGTAAAATGAAACTGCTTAAGGATATTTTTCTTATTTTATTAAAATAATTTCTGTTTTGAGGCATATTTTTCTCAAAGGACCACACAGAGGAAGGAAAATATCTTTTCCTTTTAAAATCTAGGTTCTTGACTGAGGCTCTATGAATGGAAGACAGATTAACATGAGAAAACAAGCAGATTTACTAGCATTCATATTTCATGGGTACATGCAAGAAGCTCAGGAATGAGTAACTCAAGGTGGTGATTAAAATTTGGGTTTATATACCAGTTTGGGCTTAAACAAAGGAAAAGAGGTTTTGGGCTTCAGGGATAGGGGTTGCTGGGGAGGCAAGGTATATGGGAAGGCGACCAGAAAAAGTATGGTACACAAGGGTAAAGTTTGTTACGCAGATATGTCAGTGTTTTCTCCGTTGATAAGAATGTCTTGGGAGTAAGAGTCATCTTCCCTGGTACAGAAAGGAAGATACCTTTACAAGGTAGATTTCTCTTATAAATGTTAATTTCCCTTAGAAAAGGGAAACTTAGGATCTGTCTTCAGAGCTTTTCCTGTGTCTGCTGTTTCTTAAAATAATTGACTCAGTGTAATCCTTATGCCAAAAAGACATGTTTTCGAGTGGCGTATTTTGGTCTTCTGTAGTCATATAAGAAATTTAAGGCAATAGCAGATATTTGTATATTTTCAGGAAATTTTAACTAAAATTTATTTTAAATAGCACAATTCCTTAAAGTTGCTTTTGCAATGGGATTTTTTTGGTATAAAGTTGAACAGAAAATGACAAGGACCAGCCAGGCGCAGTGGCTCATGCCTGTAATCCCAGCACTTTGGGAGGCCAAGGCGGGCGGATCATGAGGTCAAGAGATCGAGACCATTCTGGCCAACATGGTGAAACCCCACCTCTACTAAAAGTACAAAAATTAGCTGGGAGTGGTGCTGCACACCTGTAGTCCCGGCGACTCGGGAAGCTGAGGCAGGAGAATCGCCTGAACCCAGGAGGCGGAGGTTGCAGTGAGCAGAGATCGTGCCACTGTGCTCCAGCCTGGTGACAGAGCGAGAGTCCGAATCAAAAAAAAAAAAAAAAAAAATGACAGGGACCACTAATAAGTTAATTATCTTTATTTGGCTGTGAGTTAAAAAACACCACAAAACTTCACAGATGTCTTAATTTCTAATGTGTTTTTTAGTTATTTGGAAAATTTTGCTATAGTATATTTAAAACATTTTTAAAAATATAATTATTAAAGGAAAATCATCAATAATTATCTACATTTACATATAAAAATATATAACTATTCTGATACCAAATATGTGCTTTTTAATGACCGTATTAGAAAAGGTGTATGTCTATATTTTTAAGACTTTAAAAATTGATAAATGTTAAATAACAGAAACTGCCATGTCGATTCTTGGTTTCTTAGAGAACAATTTTTCTTTATTTATAGTCACCAGAGAGAAGTTGTTTGTGAGATCATCTACTTTAACTTCAGTCTTAGTTTATTAGGGATATACTTCTGATTGTTTCATTTAAACCTAGTTTTAATGGTTTTACTAAGTTATCTAATGCTTTTTCAGTCCTTTTTAATATCAGCATATGTGTATGCTGATGTGTATTACATATCAACGTATATGTACATATACCTATATTTGTGTATATATATGTATACAAAGTAGTGCTTGATCTCAGTTTACTTCATTCAGACTCTGCTGCTAATATTGCAGAGTTTATACCTAAGTCCTGTTACACTATCCAGGTAGAGTGAGCATATTAACATATTACTTTGAGTATTCATGGTGTGTATAATCATCGGCATTGGCATTTCCTGTAAAATTTAAGCAATTTTAAAATAGACTATTTCAAAAGATGGGCTTCTTAAGCTAAAGATTACATCTTAATAATGTTCCATGCTTCTTTATAACCAAGAATGTTATTTAAAAGTAGAGTATCCCTTTGTTTAAAATGGACAATAAAAAAGTACAGTAATGTCTATATTATTTTCTGTTTATTTCGGTTCTCATGTTAATATTTGATATTTAAAAGAGAGCCTTAGTGTTTTAGTGTTCATATTTATTTCTATTGAAATACTGTTAAATTGATCATTTTAATTATTGACTTAAATAATGTTCTGTGAAATGTAGATTCAGAGGAGGAATTTTTTGATGCACCATGTAGTCCCTTGGAAGAACCTCTTCAGTTTCCAACTGGAGTTAAAAGTATTCGAACCAGAAAGTTACAAAAGCAGGATTGTTCAGTAAATATGACTACATTTAAAATAAGATTTGAAGTACCAAAGGTAGGTACTACGGTAAAATTAACATGGCTTAATTTGTTTGCTGTTTCTATATTTACAGCTTACTATATAGTCTCATTGTTAAGAAGCACTATCTTTTTCACCCTAATTAAAGTAATTCCAGACTTGCTGTGTGATTCTTGGTCACTCCCCGCCCCCCCCTTTTTTTTTTAAATAAGATTAACTTCCTTAATCAAGAGTGAAGGATTTAAATTTATTCAGTACATGTTTTTGTGAAAACGATTATTTATGTTGTGTGTGTATTGTATGTCTGTGTGGGTATAAAATCTCTCCTAAATTTTAAATAATAATATATCAATTGTATGTATACCTCATATATTCACATGTAACCACTATGCACATAAACATGTTTTTGTTTTATGTAGTGGTAATTTCTTTTTTCTTTCTTCTCCAGGTTTTGATCGAGTTTTATCACCTTGTTGGAGATTGTGAACTATCTGTGGTAGAAATTCTTGTTTTAGGATTGGGTGCAGAAATTGAGATTAGAACATACGATTTGAAAGCAAATGCCTTTTTGAAAGAGTTCTGCTTAAAATGCCCAGAATACTTGGGTAAGAATCTCTATTTTTTAAAATAAATAAATTAATTTCATTGTTTGACTACCTGCTAGAGAGTTTTCAATTCTTTAGGCTCTGAATCAGTACATTTGCTGAAATATTCTCAGAGAACCATTCCTTTTTGAGTTAATCTTTAACTTTTATAGTTGGTAATGTGGGGGGCACACCGGAGATAAAATGAAGATAATTTTATTCATTATGGAAAATCAGATGATAATGGTTGAATTTTAAATCTACTTAACTGAGTATTGGAACACTTAATTAGTTTTCTATTGTTGCTATAACAATTTACCACAAACTTAGTGCTTAAAAACAACACAAATTTATTATCTTAGAGTTCTGTATGACAGAAGTCTGACACAAGTCTCACTGGGCAAAACTCAAGGTGTCAGTAGGACTTCCTTTTAGGAGGCTCTAGAGGAGGGTCCATTTCATTGTTCAGTCAGGTGTTGACAAAATTCATTTACACATGGTTTAAGTCTATGTTTCCTTGTTGCCTGTTAGCGGATGGCTGCCCTTAGGCCTCAGTTGCTTTTTTGCACGTAGCTGCTAACCACAATAAGGCATCAGATCCTCCTCATGTTGCCATATCTCTAACCTCCTCTTCTGTGTTTTGCTTCCACTCTTAAAACTCCAGTGATTAGATTGGACACACCTCTATAATTCAGGATAATATACCTTTAACCTTAACCTTAATCCCATTTTCCAAGGCCCTTTTGCCATATGAGTTAACATATTCTCAGATTCCGGGGGATTAGAGCGTAGGTATCTTTGTTGGGGGCAGAGGGCAGTATTCTCCTTACTGCAAACCTTTTGTGTTCGTAATGGATATATGATCCCTAAGAAACTATTCTGTTTCCTATGTTAGGTAATTAGGAGGGTTGTATTTATATTTCTTCATTTACATTTTTTGGATTTTTCCTTGAAAGATAATTGTGAATAGTAGAGGCAATTATTAGGACACCAGTTTCATTTTATTAAACTCCTTTGTAGCATAATAATATTATGTATGAGCAGAGGTGGAAATAAAATTTTTTAAATAGACTATTTTTTAGAGCAGTTTTAGATCATGGGACAATTGAGCAGAAGGTACAGAGATTTCCCATATACTCCTTGTACCCACACCTGCATAGCCTTTTTCATTATCAACATCCTCCACTAGAGTGGTACATTTGTTACAACTGATGAACCTACACTGACACATCGTAATTACCAAGAGTCCACAATTTACATTAAGGTTCACTGTTGCTGTTATACCTTCTGTTTGGACATGTATAATGACATGCATCTACCATTACCTTCTCATGTGGAGTAGTTTCACTGCCCTAAAAATCCTCTGTGCTCCACCTATTTGTCCCTCCCTCCCACTTAACCCCTGGCAACTGGTGATCCTTTTAGTGTCTCCATAGTTTTACCAGCATGTCACATAATTGGAATCATATATATCCTTTTCAGATTGGCTTCTTTCACTTAGTAATATATGCTGAAGTTACCTCCATGTCTTTTCATAACTGGGCAGCCCATTTCTTTTTTAGCAATGAATGATATTCTCTTGTCTGGATGCACCACAGTTTATTTATCCATTCATGTACTGAAGGATATCTTGGTTGCTTCCACGGTTTGGCAATTGTTAATAAAGCTGCTGTGAACATTTGAATGCAAGTTTTTGTGTAGACATAAATTTTCAGTTTCACTGGGTAAATACCAAGGAACATGATTGCTAAATCATCAAGAAACAGTTTGCTCTAGTAATTGGAAAGAAAAGTAAACCAACGTGACAGTGTTCCCTAGTAACCCAGGAACTTTATAGCAGTTACTAAGTTTTTTTTATTATTATTAGTTTTATTTATTTTTATTTTTTGAGATGGAGTCTCGCTCTGTTGCCCAGGCTGGAGTGCAGTGGCATGATCTCGGCTCACTGCAAGCTCCACCTCCTGGGTTCATGCCATTCTCCTGCCTCAGCCTCCTGAGTAGCTGGGACTACAGGCGCCCGCCACCACGCCCAGCTAATTTTTTTTTTTTTTTTTTTTTGTATTTTTAGTAGAGACGGGGTTTCACCATAGTCTCAATCTCCTGACCTCGTGATCCGCCCGCCTTGGCCTCCCAAAGTGCTGGGATTACAGGCGTGAGCCACCGCGCCTGGCCACACTTATTAAGTTTTATGTTTATTCTTATGTTTGCTTTGCCAAGAACAAAGGATTAAAAAACCCTTGCAAACAGAAAAAAGAGTATACAATTATTATTGCGCTTATTTCTGTAATATTTTTGTTTCTGTTTTCTCAGAGGGAGTGAATAGCAGTTTCTTGCACAAAGTAAATGATCAGTAAATGGTTCAATGAATGAATAAATGTGTAAACAAAGTGGGAACTTTTTTAAGGCTTCAAGTGTGGCTAGCACTTGGAGTAGAAAACAGGTTTATGTGCTAAGCATTAGGTTTGGAGAACTCTGTGCAATTTGTGGCATTTTTTTCTCAGGAATTGTAGGATTAGTTTGTAGTCCTTTCTTCCAGTCTTTAGATACTAATTTTCTAGCAACCGTAAGTCATTTGGTGATGAGAGTTTTAAAAGCTTTCTATAAATTCTCTTCTACACTGGTTTTCTTAGTATAGCACATTTTGAGCAGAAGCAGTAATATTAAAATGGGAGAGTTCCTTTATTCCCCTCGCAGGACATGCCACAGGGGTGTGTATTTCCCTAGAGGGAGCATGCAGATGGGCAGGTGCAGAGGCTGTGGGGAGTGCTTTTGGGCTCCGGCCCCAGGACAGCATCTAGGGGTAGGTGTCTACAACCCCTGAAGCCCAAGGGGCATGTGTTACAGTATGCTCTTTCAACTTTGCCATCTGCAGACAGCTTTTGTTAATCACCTCGATAGACCGTCTTCCTTATCGCAAGGGCAGGGGGCCATTGTGACTGCCTGAGTTCTTGCCCAGTGTACCAGAAGAATTGGATGACATGTGGGCTGGAAGGATGAGTGCAAGGTTTTATTGAGTGGTGGAGGTGGCTCTCAGCAAGACGGATGGAGAGCCGGAAGTGGGGGATGGAGTGGGAAGGTGGTCTTCCCCTGAGGTTGGGCCACCCAGCAGATGGACTCTTCACTGACAGCCCCTAGTTGAACTACCCCAGCGTCCGGACGTCCACGTCCTTCCTCTTCTCTCTTTTTCTGCCATGCTGCCCTGCCACTCTCTGCCACTCTCCACCACTCTTTTCCTCTGCTCTTCTCAATGCTCAGCTGCTTGTATCTGTGCCCACTAAGGCCTTGGGCTTATATGGGCACAGGATGGTGGGTATGGTGGGCCAAAAGGCAACTTTTCAGGTGCAAAAACAGAAATGCTTGTTCTCGTTTAGGGCCTCCAGTTTTTAGGCTTGAGGGTGGGGCCTTTGCTGGGGAACTGCCCTCTTCTACCCAGTATTTCCCTGTCTGCTGTCCATATCAGTATAACTAATAAAGACTGATTACATGGTAATAGGGTTTATTTTAATCTAAACTAATATACAGAAAACTTAATGTTTCATCTCATTCCCGGTCTGTCTTCTGAACAGCTGGGTTTTCAAGGACTCTGATGATTTCCTTTTTAGTTATTTCAGTGATCCAGGGCCAGAATTCTCTTCCTGCCCTTTCATTGTTCCTAAAAACCATTCTAGTTTCTCTTTAGTTGATTCCTGTTTTTTCTTACCTTACCTCCTATCTAGGTTTAGAAGGGTATGAGACTTCAGTGTTGTGGCACATGAGGAGGTAAGGGAATTGTGAGGAGAAATTAAATTTTTAGAGTTTAAAGAACAAAGAAGTAACTTGACTTGGGTGAGGTAGAATCCAAGGTCCAGAACTCATATAGGAAAGCCTTCTTTTGCAATTACATAATTAATAAGATTGCTTGCATTTATTTTCAGTTACCTTTCCGATGAAAAGATAATTTTTAAAAAATTATTTTTAGATGAAAACAAGAAACCAGTTTATTTGGTTACAACCCTGGATAACACAATGGAAGACCTGTTAACGCTGGAATATGTAAAGGTAAGCAGTTTCATTTATATCTGCTTAATATGGTAAGTATGCTGCTGAAATGTTAAGTTTTGTAAGTTTGGTATTATTCAGTTTATTTAATCTTCACTGTAACATAATCTCTTTGTAACTCCTAATACTAAGGTTTTTTTTATTTTGTCATCTTGTATTAAATAGTTGTGATTTATAAATACTTCATATAGCAAAATAAGAAGATTGTGTTCTAAGTAGAAATGACCTGGAGTTTGATTTTTTTTTTCTCCCAACAGGGGTACTGAGAAAGAAACACACTTTTTAGTCTTGTTAGAGTGTATTGTTTTATGTGATACAAGATGATGCTTTCACTTTCTTTTCCACTGTTTTGTGAAGTTACTTGATATTCCTAGGGTCAATAACTCCATTCCTTTTTTATTGATTTATGATATTCATTTTATCGTTTGTTAAGCTTTTCTATGTACTATGGTCTATTTCTAATTTTTCCATGTTTCTGCTGACTTCCGTGTTTCTGCGTCAGACTATTTTAATAATTACTTTATAATAAGAATAATGCAGAAAGCATTTAATCACTTTAAAACCATTTTTGCTATCCATTATTGACTAGATGTCTTAAGATTTTTGTTGTATATGCATTATATAGCTTTTATGTAGCAAAAGTATTCTAGACCTAAAGAAAATGGATAAAGAAAATGTGGTATATATACAAAATGAAACACTATTCAGCTTTAAAAAAGGGGGGGAATCCTGTCACTTATGTCGACATAGATGAATGTGGAGGACATTATGCTAAGCAAAATAAGCCAAGCACGGAAAGACAAATACCTCATGATCTTCTTTATGTGTGGAATCTAATAAAACTGAACTTATAGAAGTAGAGAGCACAGTGATGGTTACCAGAGGGTAGCAGGGATGGGAGGGAGGGAAGGAGAGGGAATAGAGAGTTGTCAATCAAATGGTACAAAGTTCCAGATAGACAGGAAGAATAATTTTTGAGATCTGTATACAGCAGGGGAACTGTAATCAATAATAATGTGTTGTTTATTTTAAAACAACCAAGAAAGTGAATTTCAAATGTCTCACCACAAAGAAAGATAGGAAAGCGAGGTGACAGATATGTTAGTTAGCTTAATTTAATCATTTAACATTGTGTACATATATCAAAACATCACATTGTCCTCCATAAGTGTATATAATTATGATTTGTCAATCAAAAATATTAAATTTTTTAAAAAGAAAAAGAAAACACAGAGTATTTGGATACTTGGTGGACAATTCTGTCACAAATTTTGTTTTTAAATACAGGAAGAATTAGGAAGAACCGTACAGAGTTGTTGATGACCGAATGATTATTCTCCACACTTGATAATATCCAACATTTCCTCTCTTAATAATAAGAATGATAGTACGTAACATTTATTGAATACTTGCTATGTGCCAGAGAGTCCAATACTTACATTTTCTTTTGTTCTGGTGAAGCGGTTGCTTATTTAGGTAATTATATGTGTGTGTATATGTGTATATATATATATATATATGTATATGAACAGCTGGAAAATTATATAAATGTGTATTAGGACTATAATGTGATTGTATATGTATGTCTTCCTAACGTGTTCTAACAGATTTGTTTTCTCTTTGGATAGGCTGAAAAGAATGTACCCGACTTGAAAAGTACCTATAACAATGTTTTACAATTGATTAAGGTATGAGTAGATAATTTATTTTTTAATTATGTACTATTTCTTATGGAAATTATTTTCTAACTGGAATTGTAAGATCCTTAAAGATAAGAAAATATTATAAATTATATCCTTTATGCCACAAAGCATAGTGCCTTGTAGAGAGCTGGCAAGCAAATATTTATTGACCTATCACTAAAATCAGCTTTGTTCTTTAGGTAAATTTTTCCTCTTTGGATATTCATTTACACACTGAAGCACTTCTGAATACAATAAATTATCTTCATAATATCCTTCCGCAATCAGAGGAAAAATCAGCCCCAGTGTCCACTACAGAGACTGAAGACAAAGGAGATGTCATTAAAAAATTAGGTATGTTTTTTAAAAATTTAGCATCAACTTTTTTTTTTTTTAACCATGTAGGTCAATAAATCTAGACCCTGACTTTATTATTAACTTCAAATATTGGCTTCAGAATTCTGTTGCCTAGGTTAATATCTAGAAGGATTCATTATATGCCAGGATAATTTTAGAAAATAAAGGAAACTACTGGCGAAGAAAATGTTGCTTTTGTTTATCGTATATAATAATTGTTTTTAGTTTAAGATTATATAGTAGGAGTATTAGATTAAAAAATTTTTTTTCTTCCACCTCCCAGTAGGAGGATTAGATTTAAATTAAAATTTATGCATTTCATGACATTATTTTAGATTAGACAAATATGACTAACAAAATTTGAGTATTGTCAGCTGGGTGCGGTGGCTTATGCCTGTGATCCCAGTGACCCAGGGAGGTGAGCGCTGTGGGGATTGAGGCTCAAGGATCACTTGAGGCCAGGAGTTCAAAACTAGCCTGGGCAACATAGCAAGACCCTGTCTCCAACAAAATTTTAAAAATTAGTTGGGCATGGTGGTGTTTGTCTGTAGACCCAGTTTACTTGGGAGGCTGACACATTAGAATCACTGGAGCCCAGGAATTCAAGGTTGCAGCGATCTTTGAGCTACAATTGCACCACTGCACTCCATCCTGGGTAACAGAGAGAGACTCTGTTTCGAAAAAAAAAAACAAAAAAGAGTATCAGAGCATATTTTAAAATCAGAGTATAGTACTTTCGAAGCAGTGAAAAGTTGCAATTTTGATAATGACAAGTATCACCTAGTAATTATTGGTTCTCAAAAAATTTTGAAATTTATAGCTACAGTGTTTTAGTTTCAAATGTTTAGTTTCTTCTTGAAACAGTGTTGTCTATTTGCTTTTGTTTTTGTTAGATTTTATTGTTTTTTAGAATTTTCAATTCAGTAGGGAATATCATACCTTGCTTTCAACTGAATTGCAGATCAGGTTTTCTCTGATATCACTATTTGTGGTGATATTTCAGTTACTTTATAAGTATAGTGAGGTAACTACTAAATGTTTTTCCTCATGTTTTATAATATGAATTTTTTTTTGCAGCTTTAAAACTATCCACAAATGAAGATATCATTACTTTGCAGATTTTAGCAGAATTATCGTGTTTACAGATCTTTATTCAAGATCAGAAATGTAACATTTCTGAAATTAAGATTGAAGGTAATAAAATTTCACAAAAAGCAAATTAAAAGACATTAAATGAAAGAAAAGGCAGTCATTCTTTTGTTCCCTTAGGGCTTGATTCTGAGATGATTATGAGGCCTTCAGAAACTGAAATAAACGCAAAGCTAAGGAATATAATTGTTTTAGATTCTGATATAACAGCTATATACAAAAAGGTAAGAATTCTTTTAATTAAATAATAGTACATCATTAAATAGGATTGTCCTTTAAGAGTGGTCATAGGTATCATTTGGACATTTGTCAGAATTTAGTAGTATGGCTTATTATGTGCATGGGTTTTGGAGTCAGGCATAATTGGGTTCTTAGCTCTACTCCTTAGTAGCTGTGTGACCATTAGCAGGTTACCTAATCTTGGACTCTGTTTCTTTATTTGTAAAATGAGGATTACAGTATCTCATAAATGAGATAAGTACGAATAATGCTGCAGGAACAAAGTTTTGGGAGAGAACCTAGTAAATACCTTTTTCACTTTTTTTTTTTTTTTTTGGTTCATGTACTCTGAATCTTGTAATGCATTTTAGATACATTTGAGGGTCTGAAGTCTGAGGAAGTGAGATTTTTTATAAAGCTTATTGTCATCAGCGATCACTAGTATCGTTGTTGTAATAATGATAAGAGAGTCCTTTGAACTGGATGATTAGTTGTTGAAGGTTAGGTAATTTGTTACTGGTTATAAAACAGTGAGGTTCCTGCTGCAGAGTTGAACAGGCAACATCCTACCTGAAGCAGGCAGGATTATGTATTTAAGGAGGTTAAAGGAATATCAGATAGTAGGATCAGGAAAAACTGAAGTACTTGTTGAGTCAGGAAGTCAGCATTTGGAATATGTTGAGAAGAAAGGAAATAGATAAATAGATTTTGCCAGTAATACTGTAGTGATGAACTGATTTTTATGTTTAAAAAATTCTTATTTCTAATATCTTCTTGTTATGGCTTATTTAGTGGGATAGAAAAACAGTTCCAACATCAAAAAGAAGTGACTCATAGCAATAAGGAACAAGAAATTTTCCAGAAGCCGTGGTTTTATTTGCTTCTATTGCTTTTATTTTAAAAATCATAAGTATCAGAGTATTTAAGAAATAGGTTATCCATTTTATTTTCCCTATCTAGAAAGTAAAGCTCACAGAAATAAAGTATCTACGAAAAGTTATACAGAACTGAGAGCATGATCCAACCCATTGATTTTTTTCTCTGTAATTTTATTTTATTTTATTTTTTTATTTTTTTTGAGACAGTCTTGCTCTATCACCCAGGCTGGAGTGCAGTGGCGCAGTCTTGGCTCACTGAAACCTCCACCTCCTGGGTTTCAGTGATTCTCGTGCCTCAGCCTCGTGAGTGGCTGGGATTACAGGTGCGCACAACCACACCCAACTAATTTTTATATTTTTAGTAGAGACAGGGTTTCACTGTGTTTGGCCAGGCTCATCTCAAACTCCTGGCCTCAAGTGGTCTGCCTGTCCCGGCCTCCCAAAATGCTGGTATTACAAGCATGAGCCACTGTGCCCGGCCTGTAATTTTATTTTTAATATATCTACAAGGTTAAAAATTCAGTTTACAGAAAGTTACAAAATAAAAAAAATCTTTCTCCTTGTCTTCTTGCACGATTTTCATTTCCCTTTCCCTGTTTCTTTGATTCCATTGTACATGGTTTTTAAACAAACTGCCTTGTTTAGTAACTTTCCACGTGTCAAAGAACCAGAGAGGCATAAGGTTTTTGCCCTTATGAAATCAGACCTGATTATGAATCAGTTTCATAAGCCTTGTACAGCGATATATATTATTGTGCCAGTTTTAAGTGTACTGAGACATTGAGGCCCTCAACTTTAAGGGTGGGAGCCCCCAGACCATTTGTTTGACTCTGTCTTGGAGCAGCATCCTCCATTTACTGTAGCACCATTGGACAAATACTGTTTTTATTTATATATGCCATAAGGTAAAAAGGATTCTTGCTGACCTGATAGTCTCATGAAAAACATATCATAGTAAATTAGTTTCTGATATCTTCTTCATAAAAAATATTTTGAAAGTAAAGGCTTAAAAAAATCCAATTTTTAATGCTTAATTCTTGGTGATGGGTACACAAGTCTTTCTAATTATTCTCAACTTTTCTGGCCTTGTTATTAGGCCAACACTTGCTTCATGAAATGAGTTGGGAAATGCTTTCTTCCTGTTTTCTGAAAAATTTGTATAGAATTTGCATTATTCCTTAAATGTTTGATGGAATTATCAGTGCAAATATTTTTTGTGTATAGTTGAGTCTGGGATTCACTTTATTTTATTTTCCATATGGCATTCAGTATCCAAAGGAGATCCACACACTGCATTTGATTGATATACCACTTAAGTCTGTTATAGTTTATGAATTTCCTTTAGTTTCTTCTCTGCCCTTGTGTTAGCCATTTGTTGCTATCTTATTTATTCTGTACAATTTTCCATAGCCTGTATCTTGCTGATTATGTTTTCATGCTATTTAACATGTTACTGTATCCTGTGTTTCCTTAAATCGGTATTTAAATCTCAGGGCACAGTGAGATTCAGGGTTTGGGAGTAGGGGTTGGCAAGATACTTCATAGTTGGTAGTGTGTGTTTTCATAGGAGGCACATAGTGTGTAGCTGTCTTTTTTTTCTTTTCTGTTTTGCACTGTCTTGGAATATTTTCTTTTTTTTATGTTAGAAGCTATTTGTTGTTATTTCCTGTAATTTGGTCTTGAAGTCTGTGTCTGGAGAGTGGCCATAAGCCAAAATAGCCACTTTCTAGCTTGCAGGCATGTTGGTCAGATGGGACATCGGGGAGGCAACACAACAAAACACCCTCGAGGGGTGCCCACCAGGGAGGCTGACAGGAAGTCTGGAGGCAGTAGGGACGTTTCTTCATTTATTAAATGGGAGAGTTCACCAGTCTTTATGCTGGTATCACCAATCATTTTGGCTTTTCAAAAGTTTATTCTCCAGTAGATTTCTTAGGCAGGGCTCATAGGAACAATAATCCTTATTTATATTTGCAGGGTAGTTTGACTGGATTTTAAATTCTTGCCTTGAATTTTCTTTTCTAGATGATCTTAAAACATATTACTCCATGTCTTATGGCCTAGTATTGGTGTTGACAGTTCTGATGACAGTTTGACTTTCTTTCGCTTCTAAGAACTTTGCCATTTTCCCCAGACATTCAGAGCTAATTTGAAGCTTTATGTAGGGACTTTGGACAGGTAGACATCACAGTTGATGGTCAGGAACTGGTCTAGCAATTTTATGGGTTCTCAGATTGAGAGTATCTCTTGTTCTTAGGCTAGTTAGTTTCCGTTGAGAAAAATACTATTAAGTATAAGCCTGGCAGCCTACATTCCAGAAGCCAATTGGTTGAAAGAAGTGGAGGCCTCATCATTTAGTTTATAGATTTTTGCTTAAAATAACCACTTTTTAACATGGTGTTTTATTAACCGTCTTTCTGTACCTGAAGTCTCCTAGACCACAGCCTTTCTGCTCTAAACTCTGTCGAGCAAATCTGTTCTGTTGAACTCGGAGAGGAACAGTCATATAGTCCTACTCATGTGACATGCAGAGGCTATTCGGTTTATTCTAAACTAATTTACCAGTATTTATATAATTATATAGATACAATTTATACATTAATATATATGTAAATTATATATGTATAAATACTGGTAAATAAATTAAGAAAAAACTAATTATATATATTATATAATAATATATTTTATATATACATAAAATTCTCTCTCTCTCTCTCTCTCTCTCTGTCTCCAATCACACAATCACAGCTCACTGCAGCCTCGACCTTCCCTGGCCCAGGTGATCCTCCCACCTCAGCCTCCTGAGTAGCTAGGACTGCAGGTGTGTGCCACCAGGCCCAGCTGATTTTTGTAGAGATGGGGTTTCAACATTTTGCTCAGGCTGCCCTCAAACTCCTGAGCTCAGGCGATCTACCTGCCTCGGTCTCCCAAAGTGCTGTGATTACAGACATGAGCTGAGCCACAGCGCCTGGCCTATTTGAGATACTATAGTCAGCAAAAGATAAAAAGCCCTTCTCCACGTGGAATAAATAGTAGTTAATCAGTAATATAAAACAATATTAGAGAGTGATATGTGCTTTGAAAACCAAGAAAGCAGGGTAATGTGACAGGTAATAATTCACGTGGCGTATTAGGATTATCAAGAAATGCTTTTTTACAGTAGAAACATTTGACAGAAATCTGAGCTGTGGATTTGAGCCCTGTTGAAAGAGCTTTCCAGGTGGAGGAAAGAGCAACTATAAAAGCCTTGTAGCAGGAAGGTGCTTGCTATATTCTGGGAGGTTTTAGGGCCCTCAGTAACCTTTGGGTAGAATTATTTATTAGTTTCTGTTTTGGTTTAGTTTTTACTTTTTAAAGTAAGATTTATTGAGACAATTTACCTATAGTAAAACTTACCTCTTTTAGTTATAATTCTGTGAGTTTTGACGAACATATACTGTTGTGTAACTTACCTTCAGCATATACAATGGGTCTGTCAACCCTAAATATTCACTACTGCCCTTTGAGGTTAGCCCTTCTCCCCATCCTAGCACCTTAGAATCACTGCACTGTTTTTCGTTCCTGTAGTTTTGCAGTTTCCAAAGTATCAAATAAATGGAATCATGCAGTTATGTAGTCTTTCACGTTTTTTTTTCTTAGCATGTGAGATTATAATTTTTGTCTTTTTATGTCTTGATCAGCCTGGTTAACGATGTATCGATTTTATTGATACTTTGAAAGAACTGGCATTTGTTTCAATTGAATGTTCTCTGTTTTTAATTTTATTTATTTATGCTCTTTTAAGATTCCTTCCTTCTGCCTGCTTTGGATTTAATATGCTCTTCTTAAGGTGGAAGTTTAAATTATTGATTTGAGAATGTCTTTCTGTTGTAAGCATTTGCTGCTATAAATTTTCCTTTAAGCACTGCTTTAGCTGCTTCCTGTAAGTTTTGATATGTCATATTTTTATTTTCATTCAATTCAAAGTATTTTCTAATTTCTCTTCTGACTTTCTTTTACCCATTGTTTATTTAGAAATATGTTATTTAACTTCTAAATATTTTGAGATTTTCAGATCCCTTTCTGTTACTGATTTCTAGTTTAAATTCATTATGGTCAGGGGAGAAACCGTTTCAGTTCGTTTAAATTTGTTGATGTTTGTTTTATGGCCCAGAACATATATGATTAATCTTGGTGAATGTTTCAAGTGTACTTGAAATTAATATGTGTTTTGCTGGGTTGAATGTTCCATTTGGGCAAGTAGGTTGGTGGATAGAATTATTCAGGCTACTGATTTTCTGTTTACTGGTTGTGTTGAAGCCTCTGATTATAACCATTGATTTGCCTGTTTCTCCTTTCAGTTCTTTAAGTTTTTTGCTTTGTATGTTTTGGAGATCTCTTGTTAGGTACATATAAATGTGTATGAATTTTATGCCCCTTTTGTGATTATGTGATGTGTCTTTTTATCTGTGGTAACTGTGCTTGTTCTGAAGTCTACTTTGGTAGTAATATAGCCATTCCAGGTTTCTTCGGTTAGGTTTGAATGGTCTATCTTTTTCTGTCCTTTAGCTTTTAATGGATGTTTTCTTGTTTAAAGTGGGTTTCTGTTTTTTGATGCAAAGTCTCACTGTGTTGCCCAGGGTGGTCTTGAACTCCTGTGTTTAAGCTCGCCTCAGCCTAAGTAGTAAGTAGCTGGGATTATATGTGCATGCCACCACATCTGGCTTAAAATGGGTTTCTTACAGTCAGTGTATATTTAGATCTTTCTTTTTTATCTAATCTGACAATCTCTTGGCTTTTAATTTGTGTTTAGACTATTTTATAAAACTAATTATTGATATGATTGGATTGTAATCTGATATCTCTAATTGTTTTCTGTTCTCTAATTTTGTTTATCCTATTGTATTCCTCCTTTTGGCCTGATTTTTGATTAATTATCATTTATTTTATGGTTTCTCTAGGGTTTACAATGTATATATCTTTAATCATAGTCTATCTTCCAATAATATTTTATTGTTGTACATATAGTGTAAGAATCTTACAATACCATGCTTCCAATTCCCATTTCCTATCTTTCTTGGTATCATCATAATTTGCTTTACTTTGGTGCATGTTGAAAACTCACAATGTGTACCTATTGAATTTGGTTTAGTCAGTTTTCTTTGGAGCAATTAGTTTTCTAAAGATGTTTTATATTTTTCTTCATTGCAACTCTTTCTGTAACTACTTCATGTAGTTTCTGTCTATTGTTTGTATTTCTCTCTGAAATACTTTCTCATTTCTTTTTTTTTTTTTTGAGACAGAGTCTTGCTCTGTCGCCCAGGCTGGAGTGCAGTGGTGCAATCTCAGCTCACTGCAACCTCTGCCTCCGGGGTTCAAGTGATTCTTCTGCCTCAGCCTCCCAAATAGCTGAGATTACAGATGTGTGCCACCACACCTGGCTAATTTTTGTATTTTTAGTAGAGATGGGGTTTCACCATGTTGGCCAGGCTGGTCTTGAACTCTTTGACCTCAGGTGATTCACCCACCTAGGCCCCCCAGAGTGCTGGGATTACAGGCGTGAGCCACCGCATCTGGCACTTTCTCATTTTTTATAATGCAGGTCTGCCAGTAATGACTTCTCTCAGTTTTTTGGGTATAGATGAGAAGGGAGCTGGGAAAAACCTTTATTTCACCCTAATTTTTCTGAGTGACATTTTTGCTGGGTTGTGTTTTCCCCCTTTCCAACTGTTAAAAGATGTGATTTCATTGTTCTTTGTTACACATACTTTTGATGAGAAATCTATGACATTTCTTATTTTTGTTCCTCTGTACATAATTGGTCATCTTTTTTGACTGCTTTCAGGATTTATATATGGTGTGACTAGATGAGTTTAATTGTGTTTTGATATTTGTCCTGTTTGGGCTTTTCTGAGCTACTTGGATGGATCTGTCTTTCAATATTTTTCATTTTTTTCTTCAAATAGTTTCTTTGCCTCTGTCTCCCTTTCTCTCCCCCACCCCCTGGCTCCCCTGTTTTCTCCTCCTCCACTTTTTCCCTGTTCCTCTTCTTGAATTCCTGAAATTCTTGCTGGATTTCTGTTTATAGTCCCACAGCCTTTGGATGTTCTGTTCAAGTTTTTTCCCCATTGTTTTCTTAGTGCCTTTTAATTCAAATAATTTATCTTGACCTATTTTCAAATCTACTGATTTTGTCCTTGGCTCTGATGAGTGTACTGACAAACCCACTGAAGGTATTTTCATTTATGTTACCATGTTTTTTAATCTTTAATATATCCCTTTGACTCTTCTTTTTTCCATTTTCTCTGCTATAATAATATTCACCATCTATTCATGCATATGTTCCACTAGAAGCCTTTACCATATTAATCATAGTAATTAAAATTAAAAATTTTAGTTTCAACATTGATGTTATAGATGAGTCTGATTCTGTTGATTCCTTTATTATTTGCTTGAATTTTTTCCCTTGCTTTTATAGGGCATCTCATAATTATTGATCGAATGTCAGACATCATATCATGCATAGCAGGAGTCCCCAACCCCCGGGCTGTAGAACGGTACCGGTCTGTGACCTGTTAGGAACTGGGCCGGACAGCAGGAGTTGAGTGGTGGGCGAGGGAGCATTATTGCCTGAGCTCCGCCTCCTGTCAGATCAGTGGGGGCATTAGATTCTCATAGTAGGGTGAACCCTATTGTGAACTGTGCATACGCAGGATCTAGGTTGCATGCTCCTTGTGAGAATCTAAAGCCTGATGCTCTGAAGTGGAACAATTTAATCCCCAAGCCATCTCCCCACCCTCCAACCCCCCAGCCCCACTTTTGTGGAAAAATTGTCTTCCACAAAACAGCTCCCTGTTACCAAAAAGGCTGGGGACCACAGATGCATAGCATAATAGAGACTGAGGTAAATATCATAGTATTTATGTCTGGAAACGGGGATGCCTCTTTTCTGCTAAGCTATTAGCTTGGGGTGGGGGGTTGAGCTTAGGTTGGTTTGAATTCCAGATTAATACGATTTCCTTCACTACATTACTGCTTCAGTTTCCTTTAGTTGTACCTTGTGCTTAGGGTGGCTGGAGGCTGTGTTGCTCAGATTTTGCTCCGTGCTGAGCCTTTGACCTTTCTTCTACTCTTGTACCTCAGAAAATTCTCTTTCCACATTCTTAGCTCTTTCCTAGATGTTAGAGGCTCCTGCTGCTTGTTTCTTAGTGCTTGTGAGCTTGATGTATTTGGGGAGAAGGCAAGGTGGTTTGGATAGGCTTGTTAGTGTTCTTGTCCATTTTCACTCCTAGCCAGGGCTGTTTCTGTGAGTCTCAGAAATGGAGTATTCTTGGCCATCCTGCCCCTCCTCCTCATGGCATCTGATTGATATCTCTCGTATTTCCTATGTGGGATTGACTATCCTTCCCTTCCCCAGCAGAGGGAGACCTCTAATCATCTGGCCCCAGGAGAGTTCTTGTTCTTCCCCTAGAGTTTTATTTTATTCTTGTCCCTAGGATACTGTATCTTCACCTGTGCCCTGAGGGAAACAAGGTTTACTGCCCTTCCCCTAGTTTCTTATGGCTATTGTTTTGAGTAGTTGATAATCTTGGTGGTGCTTTGGGCCTTTTCTGCAGTGGAGGCTCCTCACCTTTTCCAGGGTCATACCAAGGAAAGCCTTCTCTTGTTTCCCACTTGCACCCATCTCCCGTCTTTCTCAAGAGCTCCTCACGTGTGTGGCTCTCAGGGATTCTGCATCTCACATTAGTCCACACTTATCCTTTATCATTTTAGCTGAATTATTCTTACCTATATTGTATAGTATCTGACATCTCTTTCTCCTCTCTACCACAAGTGAGCTGGTGCTTATTTTCTCTCTCTCCCTGAAGGTACCTGTTTGTCCTTAGATTTTTAGGGATCTTTGTTGTCCTGTGACCTCAGATTGCTAATGGTTTTAAGAAAGTTATGATATCATAGTTTATCGGGTTTTTTTTCCTTTTCTTAAGGTTTGGAGGGGCCCTCACTCCAGCTTTGTGCACCCTAGGCAGAAGCAGGACTGTAGACTTCTTTTCAGCCCTGTCTTGTACCTCAGCCTTCGGAGGTCACTTATACCTCTGGTTCTGGAGGATTCTTTGTTCTGTAGTTGTAACTGATTTGCTTGTTGATGGCTCTTCAGCTCCCTGTTCTTGCTTGCTTCTAGCATTTAGGAGAATTGAGAAAGTTATGAGCTTAGTGCTCTGTCCCTCTTCCAAAATTTTTTTTAACATTTTACATCTCCTGTTGTCGCCACCATTTTTAACTGTTATTGCAGAGCTTGAGATTTTTAACCACTGTAGGTAATTTCTGGTTGGCAATTAAGATGGCCCTTTACAATCTGATAAGGAACAGAAGTATAGCAATAGGAGGAGACTCCTTTGAAGAATCCAGAAAAATCTATTCACATACCTCAAATCAGGAATAGATTTCAGTAAGGTGTAGATATACAGTGTTTTTCAAATTTTTGTCAGTCAATCAAGAAATACATGGTTACTCTCATTACGAAAGTATACTTGCAAAATGAAAATGCATATTCAGATATTTCCTCTTCTCCATTAAAAAAAAAAGAAAAAAAGCTGGAGCCACACCTACTACCTTGATTTTATGACCCACAAAGGAAATTGCCACCACCAATTTGTAAAAGTTTGTAGTGTAGGTTCCAATAAACCAGTTACAGTAGAATTGTTGCCTCATTTGTACTTGGCTTGTGAATACTTGGGAGATTTTCTAACTATGTTTTGTTATTTTTTACTGTTTTATTTTTGTACTGAAAATACATCATTTCAAAAATGGATTGTGATAATTAAATTTTCTCTTATTAAGGCTGTTTATATCACTGGAAAAGAAGTTTTCAGCTTCAAAATGGTTTCTTACATGGATGCAACTGCTGGTTCTGCATACACAGATATGAATGTGGTTGACATTCAGGTTAATTTAATAGTTGGTTGCATTGAAGTAGTTTTTGTCACGAAATTTCTATATTCTATATTGGTAAGTATTTTATTAAATTATTATTTATTTTATACTAATTGGAAATTGCTATATGTCAAATATGGATGAAGACTAGTAAGAATTCCTTGCTTGAGATTTTTTCTGATTTTTTAAATCTTCTGGGTACCATTTATTATACATAATAAATGTGTAGTTCCTTATTTATATAACATCGTTTTGACATAGGAATATTCTAATTAATTGAAATATATATTTCATATAGTAACATTAAGTTTATGTGCATTATATATCATAAATATGTTATATATTAATTAGAACCTTCGTTTTATATGTCATTGGCTTAAGTCTTCGTTTTACCTGACTTGCAACTATAATTTAAAAATACTGAATATATAATTGAAGTTTGTTTTGGTCTGAAGTCATCATTAAGAAAAGGTTATTTTAATTTTCTAGAGACAAGGTCTTGCTCTGTCACCCAGGCTGGAGTGTAGTGGCATGATCGTAGCTCATTGTAACCTTGAACTCCTGGATTCAAGTGATCCTCCCGCCCCAACCTCCTGAGTAGCTGAGACTACAGGCACATATCACCATGCACATACCACCAAGCTAATTTTTTTTTTCTTCAAGTTTTTATAGAGATGGGGTCTTACTCTGTTGCCCAGTCTGGTCTTGAACTCCTGGCCTCAAGTGATCCTCCTGCTTTGGCCTCCCAAAGCGCTGAGATTACAGGCATTATGTCTGGCCCAAGAAAATCATATTTTCGATTGCATTGTCATTCTGTGAATATCAGGGACTTTAAGGAGTTAGATTTAACCCCTATATGACTCCACCCTAAGGCATTTCGGTTCTTATTTCGGCTTTTCTTGTTTCATTTTGTTTCGGTTTTTGTTTTTCCCTTGCTGTCAGCTGATATTTTTTCCTGTGGGTGTCACACCTATCTCCATAACATCACTATTCATTCTTTTAAAATGCTGTCTCAGTGTTTTAGTGTATGAACTAGGTAATCAAATCTAAGGCTGTAGTGGAATAAATAGGCCAAGTGTGGCAATTCTTATAAGCAAGAAAAGTATTTGCGTGTTCATTTGAATGTATTTGGGAATGTGGAGCCCTCTTTTGTTATTTCAAAATTCTAAGTTAATTCCATATAATGTTGCTGTTTTGTGATCTTTTAAGCCATAACATCATTTTGTACACAAAAATGTAAAGATAAACAAGTATTCCTTGTTGAATTTCTTCTCTTTTAAAAAAAATTAGAGTTGGGTTCTTGCTCTGCAGCCCAGACTGGAGTGCAGTGGCGTGCTCCTAGCTCACTGCAGCCTCAAACTCATGGGCACAAGCAAATCCCATCTCAGCCTCCCAAGTAGATTAAATTAGTAGGGACAACAGGCCCTGCTAATTTTTTATTTTTAATTTTTTTTTTAAGACACGATCTCGCTGTATTGCCCAAACTGGTCTAGAACTACTGGCCCCATGTTATCCTACTACCTCAGCCTCTTAAGTAGCTAATTTATTTTTATAACCAAAAAAATCATGTCACTTGAGCCCTCTTGTACTTATACTTAGAAATTACTAAAATGTTAATTTTTTCTTTGAACATGAAAATTAGGTATAAGAGTATAAATATAGATAATTATATTTTATGTCATTGAAGTTTTTTTTTGGAATTTGGAAATTGGAAAATTATTTTGAAACTTCTTAAACATATTTTATTTATTTATTTACCTTACAAATATAAATAAGCTCTCTGTCCACTGAGGTTGTATAGAGAAATAGGGTTGTTTTTCATTAGGGAAAGTGAGATAAGGGAAGTAGATATCTGTAAGACATTCCAGTGATCCCATTTAGCTTTGTTCTGAGGACTAGATTTTTATTTTATCTGTGTCTTTGTGTTTCTCAGTTTTTGTGGCAGAAAATTAAGATTTAATATAGACAGTAAGATTTTGAATAAATAATGCTTGGTTGTATCAAGTAAAAGTTTTTTTTTAAATGGAGGTAAAACCATAAATATCAATATATATTTAATAAGTCGTATTTATTAATAACCTTAAGAATATAATTCTGTTATCTTACAGGCTTTTATAGATAATTTTCAGGCAGCTAAACAAGCCTTGGCTGAGGCAACTGTTCAGGCAGCTGGAATGGCTGCTACTGGTGTAAAAGAACTCGCACAAAGGAGTTCCAGAATGGCACTGGATATTAACATCAAAGCCCCAGTTGTGGTCATCCCGCAGTCTCCAGTTTCTGAAAATGTTTTTGTTGCTGATTTTGGACTAATTACAATGACAAATACCTTTCATATGATAACAGAGAGCCAGAGCTCTCCCCCACCTGTTATTGATTTGATAACAATAAAGCTGAGTGAAATGCGACTATACAGGTAAGCTTTTCACAAGTATATTTGTGTGGAATGCAATATTTTTCTAACTTTTTAAAGACTTTGATGTCTTGAGTAGTCTGTTTACAGTGAGATTTTATTTTATTAATTATACATAACTTAGTGATTCTCTCTTCCTTAAGTATATTTTGGCAAAATCAATTATAGTCTTTGCATTTTAAAAAACCTAGAAAGTGTTTGAAAATTTCTCCTTAGGTAATTAGGAAAACTATAAAATTTATTATCTGAGGAAGTATATTTGTGCTTTTTTGTGGTTCATTATAAATTACATGGCTATGGAAAAAATGAGGAATTTCTAATGTAATATGTTTATTCACTTTGCAAATACATTATCATCTTATCTTCTCTGTCGGTTGTTGCTGTGGCTCTGATGCTGTAATTTAAACGAACATGCAGTAGCATACAACCTTATTCGTTAACCTGTATTCGTTAAGCATAGGGTTAGGAATTAGGCGGATAACCAAATGTTCAAATAGTTCGAGAGCTTTTATACTGTGTCCTCTGTGTTTCTGTGCTATTTCTAATTGCCCATTCTGAATTTATGCCCTATTTTCCAACTTGAATCCTTCTCTATTTATACTTCTCAACTGCCCTCTTCCTTCTTTCTGTCATTTTTCTTTGATATAATTCTCTTGCTTGTCTCTTCACCTTATTTTTGTCTCATTTTTTACTTAACTAACTCCCATTCTCTACTTCTCTTTAGCTTCCTATGAGTCTGTCTTTCCCTCCTGTGCTTTCTTTGATCAATTGTATATTTTTAAAGCAGCTTTATTGAGACATAATTGACACAGAATAAGTTGCATATCTTTAATGTTATACCATTTTATAAGTTTTGATATGCATACATTTCTGACAGTTTATGTACAGTTGTATTACTTCTTCCTTAAGTATTAGGTAGAATTTACCAGCGAAGCCATCTCGTCTTAGAGTTTGCTTGTGGGAGATTTTTAAATGATAGTTTTCATTTCTTTAATAAATTTGGGGCTATTCAAGTTATTTTTTCTTGAGCGATCCTCCCTAATTTCTTAAAAGAATTTATCCATTTCATCTAAGTTGTAAAATTTAATGGCATAAAGATTTTCATAATGCTCCTTATTTATTAATATCTGTAATGATGTGTCCTCCCTCATTCCTGATATTTATAATTTCTGCCTTTGTACTGATCAATCTGGTTAGCGATTTATCCGTTTTATTGATCTTAAGCAGTTTTTGGTTTTATTTTTTTTTCTTTTTTTGTTTTCTCATTCATTGATTTCTGATTCAATATTTATTATTCTGCTTACTTTAGGTTCAATTTTGCTCTTTTTATAAGTTTTTTTAGGTGATAGCTAAGATTATTGATTTGAAACATTTCTTCTTTTCTAATATATGACGTGCTATAAATTGGAGTACTTTATAATATTGTGCTATGAATTTTAAGTTACTCTATAAGTCTGTGTAGCTCTCTTCTCTCTGGTATTTTATCATATAAACTAGCTACCTTGGTTTCTCTTGGACTCTCAGCTCTTATCTTCTCTACTCTGGGGCTTTCCTGGCCTTCCCCTGGGTCCCCCCTCCCTGTACCATGGCCTGTTAATTATGGTAAAACAATAGTAAACTGGGACAATCGTAGGGCTCACCTCATTTTTTTTTCCAACTCTTTGGAATCACTATCCATTTTTGATGTCTTGTGTCTTGAAAACTATTTTTAAGTCAATTTTGTCTGTCTTTTTTTTGGGGGGGCAGGGTTGTTTCAAGCAGGAGTGTTAAACCATTCATGTTACTCCATCCTAGATGGAAGGAGAAATTTCTGTCACTTGAGCATTTATTAAGCACCAAATCTATCCCAGGCATTGTGCTAAGAATAAGAAATATAATAGTGAGCAATCTTTATAAGGGATTAATAAGTAATCCCTACCTCATTGGGTTGTTGTGGTAGGTACTGTTTAATAAATATAGTGGGCTGGTGCATAAAATGGGATCACATTTTGAAAAGGTTCTAGAAATTAGGTCAAAAGGAGACAAAACTAGAGGTTGGAAGGATAATTTGGTAACTATTGCAGTAATTCACATAAGAATTATAGGTGACTTAGTCTAAGGTAAGGGAGTGAAGTAGTGGAGAGCTAACCAGAATTTATAGTAACTGATGGTTGAATGGGTGTGGGAGTTAAAGGAGAAGAGAAATTAAAATTCACTTTAGGTTACAGGCTTGGAAATCAGCGTTTGATGATGATACACTTCACTGAGATAAGACAGAACAATGCAGAAAAACCCAGTAGAATAGAGATAGTAATTATTTCTCTAATGGGCAAAGTAGCCTGAAAGTGGTTGCATGACTTCTACATGGAGAGATCTTGAAAGAAATCCAGAAGGCAGTGGAATATATGTGCCTAGGTGATGCACATAGGTGATGTTGTTTAGACTTCTAGGTTTAGGAGTTCTTAGTAATAATTTGTGCTAGTCACTGAAGCCTTTGGAATGAGCACAGTCACAAAGAAAGCTTGTAGAGTGGGACATATGAAGAAGAATGCTGAGGAATACCAGTGTTTAAATAATTGACAGAAAGAGGAACCCTCAAAAGAGACGAAGTAGGAGCAGACAGAGAGATGAGAAGCCAGGAAAATGTATTTGAGGCAGCAGTGAGGGTCCTGCTGATATTGTTAACCATGAATTAATAGTGTATCATTTTTTTTTCATGCAGTACTTGGTATTTTGTATTTGGAATCCAACAGTCAGTTGGATTGAGACAAAACTGAATTTTTTGCCAAGCAAGTGTGACCGAAGGTAGTGGAACAGGATTTTAATGATTGAGAATCATGTTGATGGATAATAGAGAGGTGATATAGTTTGGCCATGTCCCCACCCAAATCTCATCTTGAATTGCAGCTCCCATAATTCCCACATGTTGTGGGAGGGACCTGGTGGGAGATAATTGAATCATGAGGGTGGTTCCCCCATACTGTTCTCATGATAGTTAATAAGTCTCACGAACTCTGATGGTTTTAAAAGGGGAAACCCCTTTGACTTGGCTCTCATCCTCTTTTTGCCTGCCGCTGTGTAAGATGTGCCGCTGTGTCTCCTTTACTTTCTGCCATGCTTGTGAGGAAGGGGTCCAGTTTCAGTTTTCTGCAAATGGCTAGCCAGTTTTCCCAACACTATTTATTAAATAGGGAATCCTTTCCCCATTGCTTGTTTTTTCAGGTTTGTCAAAGATCAGATGGTTGTAGATGCGTGGTGTTATTTCTGAGGCCTCTGTTCTTTTCCATTGGTCTATATATCCGTTTTGGTAACAGTACTATGCTGTTTTGGTTACTGTAGCCTTGTAGTATAGTTTGAAGTCAGGTAGTGTGATGCCTCCAGCTTTGTTCTTTTTGCTTAGGATTGTCTTGGCTATACGGGCTCTTTTTTGGTTCCATATGAAATTTGAAGTAGTTTTTTCTAATTCTGTGAAGAAAGTCAGTGGTAGCTTGATGTGAATAGCATTGAATCTATAAATTACTTTGGGCAGTATGGCCATTTACCACAGTGAGATACCATCTCACACCAGTTAGAATGGCAATCATTAAAAAGTCAGGAAACAACAGATGCTGGAGAGGATGTGGAGAAATAGGAACACTTTTACACTGTTGGTGTGCGTGTAAATTAGTGCAACCATTGTGGAAAACAGTGTGGCGATTCCTCAAGGATCTAGAACCAGAAATACCATTTGACCCAGCCATCCCATTATTGGGTATATACCCAACGGATTATGAATCATTCTCCTGTAAAGACACATGCACACGTATGTTTATTGCAATACTGTTCACAATAGCAAATGCTTGGAACCAACCCAAATGCTCATCAATGACAGCATGAATAAAGAAAATGTGGCACATATACACCATGGAATGCTATGCAGCCATAAAAAAGAATGAGTTCATGTCCTTTGTTGGGACATGGATGAAGCTGGAAACCATCATTCTCAACAAACTAACACGGGAACAGAAAACCAAATACCACCACATGTTCTCACTCATAAGTGGGAGTTGAACAGTGAGAACATATGGACACAGGAGGGGGAACATCACACAGCGGGGCCTGTTGGGGTGGGAGGCAAGGGGAAGGATAGCATTAGGACAAATAATTAATGTATGTGGAGCTTAAAATCTAGATGACGGGTTGATGGGTGCAGCAAACCACCATGCCACATGTGTAACAATGTAACAAACCTGCACATTCTGCACATGTATCCCAGAACTAGTATAAAAAAAATTAGAATTATATTGTTTTGTGCTGTAAATAGCTTTTTTCTTAATAATATGCTGTAAGTTTTCATGTCATTATTTTGAGTGCATAAATTTTTCCAAATATTCCTGTTTTTAGAAAATCTAAATCTGCCTTTTGTTAGAAATTTGATTCTAATATATATACAGTTTTGCTATTATAAATAACACTATATTGATGATTGATATCTTTATTACATCAGTACTTTTGTAATTGTCTACTCATTTCTTTGGGATAATTCATTTCCTGAGGATGAGTTCCTAGAAATAGAATTACTCAGTTATAGAGTGTAGCCAGTTTTTCCTGAAATAATTTTAAAATAATTGATAATTGAAAATGCAGTTGCTGGGCACGTTGGCTTACGCCTGTAAACCCAGCACTTTGGGAGGTTGAGGATGGCAGATTGCTTGAGCTCAGGAGTCTGAGACCAGCCTGGGAAACACGGTGAAACCCCATCTCCACAAAAAATACAAAAATTAGCTGTGTGTGGTGGCATATGCCTGTCATCCCAGATACTTATGGGACTGAGGCAGGAGAATCACTTGAGCCTGGAAGATTGAGACTGCAGTGACCTGTGTTAATGCCACTGCATTCCGGCCTGGATGACAAAATGAGACTGTCTCAAAAAAACAAACCAAACCCCAGAAAATGCAGTTTAGTTACAACTTCTTAGAAAGTGCATAAAGAAAAATAGGAATTCATGTTTGTGACTAGGTTCTTTATACATTAATCCAACTTGACTGCAATTTAGCAAATATTTATTCATTATATGGCACATGCCAATCATCTAAGTACTGACAAAAAGCAAAGAATAAGATGAACATAGTTCCTGCCCTCATGAAGCTTTCATTCTAATTAAAAATATAGAGGACATAATAAACTATTAAAATGCAATATATTAAATGCAGTGATGGAAAAAGTATAAGGTGCATGTGGGAGCACGTAGGAAAGGTGTATTTTATCCATATATTGGGTAGTACTGATAAGAAAAGTTTTTCCAGAGAAAGTAATCTTTTGACATAACAGTTTTCTTTCTCATAGTTTGTCCAAAGGACAGAAATTTACTCAAAGATATATAGATGAAGATATAGATATAGATATATAAAATACAAGTATTTATTATGGTGAAGAATTGGAAAATATGAAATTTTAATCATAGAAGGTTAATTAAAATACTAGTATAGCCATTTATTCTGATATGGCTATTAAAATTATATATGCATCCTAGCCTAACTGAAAAAAAGAAAAGAAAACCTATGTGTGCAGCATTCCCTATGGGGCTTTTAGATTCCTTAACCTATTACCATTAAGCGGAGACTGCAAGCATGCAGGCATATGTAAGTTTGGTGTCACTCTATCATTCATTCATTAAATGGCTTGGTACAAGGCATTTTGGGAGATCCCTGATGAACTCTCATATTTCTCTCCTATTGATTAAATGATTGCCAAAATTCTACAGTCATGGTGTTATATCTTAGTTTAAGGATTTGCTGCTAATTAAAATATAAGTACATTATTGAGGAGTAACACTTTGAGATTGTCACTTTGAGGTACAATGGGAGGCTTCTATGGTCACATTGTTACTTGAAGGGGTTCAATTGACCTACATTTTTCTTCATTCCTGAGCATCAGTCTTACCTTTATAAGTGCTTGGAAAGGCAAATATAGTTCAATTTAAATTGTATGTATTCAGCTATTTTAACTCATAGAAATAAAAATTGCATATGGTGCTACTTATTTTTTATAAAGTAAGGGAATATGTGATATTCTGTTACTTACCTAAATCAGTGAGTTAAAATGTTTTTATAATGATGTCTTATATAATGTTTGTTTACAAATTACATAGAGATATTTTTTTTTTTTTTCCCGAGACAGTGTTTTACTCTTGTTGCCCAGGCTGGAGAGCAATGGCATGATCTTGGTTCAATGCAACCTCCGCCTCCTGGGTTCAAGTGATTCTTCTGCCTCAGCCTCTCAAGTAGCTGGGATTACAGGTGCCCACCACCACGCCTGGTTACTTTTTGTATTTTTAGTAGAGATGGGATTTCACCATGTTGGCCAGGCTGATCTCGAACTCCTGACCTCAGGTGATCCACCCGCTTTGGCCTCCCAAAGTGCTGGGATTACAAGCATGAGCCACCACTCCTGGCCTACATAGAGATAATTCTTATTTTAATGGTTTACTATACAACTTACAACTTATATACTTTTGCACTTTTTACCATATTCCAAAATTGTATCGAAAAATACATATTTTTCCCCTTTTTTTTTTTTTTTTTTTTTGGAGACAGAGTCTTGCTCTGTTGACCAGGCTGGAGTGCAGTGGTGCGATCTCGGCTCACTGCAACCTCCACCTCCCAGGTTCAAGCAATTCTCCCACCTCAGCCTCCTAAGAAGCTGGGACTACAGGCGCATGCCACCACGGCCAGCTAATTTTTGTATTTTTAGTAGAGATGGGGTTTCACCATGTTGGCCAGGCTGGTCTCAAACTCCTAACCTCAAGTGATCTGCCCGCCTCAGCCTCTCAAAAGTGCTGGGATTACAGGTGTAAGCTACTGTGCGTAGCTCTATTTCTGTATAATATAGAACACTCAGCTCAGTGTAAGTCACCCAGGTTTCTAGTGGGATAGAACATCACTCAACTCATTTTGACAGATAAAAAAAAAGTCTGATAGATATTTTCCCTTTATACCCAACAAATTATTGATTTCTGCTATTTGCATATAAAAGGATAAATTTAAGTTAATCTTTTTTTAACTACCTGAATGTATATGAAACAATTTAAAAGAATGTTATCTCTACTTATAGATCTCGATTTATTAATGATGCATACCAGGAAGTACTGGATCTACTCCTGCCATTAAATCTTGAGGTTGTGGTTGAACGAAATTTATGCTGGGAGTGGTACCAGGAAGTTCCTTGTTTTAATGTAAATGCTCAGCTGAAACCAATGGAGGTAACTTTTTTTGGATACTTATCAATTTTTGTTTTGCTTGTTGAAAAATACTGCTTGGGGACATAAGGCATCATTTGAGTGGAATTTGTATATACATAATCACCTTGGTCAGAATTGAAATAGTGATTATATTAAACTAGAATTCATTTTAAAATGGTCTTGATTTATTCTTTTAACAAATATTACTGGAGATAAAGTGGCAAGGAAGCAATGACATTGTCTCTGACTTCATGGAACTTGCCAGTCTAATGCAGGGGTTGGTGGTGATGGTGATCTGGAAGGTATAGTAGTAGTTAGATAGTAAAAAAGTAATCAGACACATAATTAAAATAGTTATAAATTGTGGTAAATTTAATGAAGTGAAGGGGTGGCCTGCACCTCCACACCTGTGGGTATTTCTAGTCGGGTGGGATGAGAGACTGAGAAAAGAAATAAGACACAGAGACAAAGTATAGAGAAACAACAGTGGACCCAGGGGACCAGCACTCAGCACACCAAGGACCTGCACTGGCACCGGCCTCTGAGTTCCGTCAGTTTTTATTGATTATTATTTTCATTATTTCAGCAAAAAGGAATGTAGTAGGAAAGCAGGGTGGTAATAAGGAGAAGGTCAGCAAAAAACGTGTGAGCAAAAGAATCTATGTCATAATTAAGTTCAAGGGAAGGTACCATGAGTGGACGTGCACGTAAGCCAGATTTATGTTTCTCTCCACCCAAACATCTCAGTGGAGTAAAGAATAACAAAGCAGCATTACTGCAAACATGTCTCGCCTCCCACCATAGGGCGGTTTTTCTCCTATCTCAGAATTGAACAAATGTACAATTGGGTTTTATACCGAGACATTCAGTTACCAGGGGCAGGCAGGAGACAGTGGCCTTCCTCTATCTCAACTGCAAGAGGCTTTCCTCTTTTACTAATCCACCTCAGCACAGACCCTTTACGAGTGTCGGACTGGGGGACGGTCAGGTCTTTCTCATCCCACGAGGCCATATTTCAGACTATCATATGGGGAGAAACCTTGGACAATACCCGGCTTTCAAGGGCAGAGGTCCCTGCGGCTTTCCACAGTGCATTGTGCCCCAGGTTTATTGAGACTAGAGAATGGCAATGACTTTTACCAAGTATACTGCTTGTAAACATTTTGTTAACAAGGCACGTCCTGCACAGCCCTAGATCCCTTAAACCTTGATTTCATACAACACATGTTTTTGTGAGCTCCAGGTTGGGTCAAAGTGGCTGGGTCAAAGTGGCTGGGGCAAAGCTACAAATTAACAACATCTCTGCAAAGTAATTGTTTAAAGTACAGGTCTTTTTCAAAATGGAGTCTCTTATGTCTTCCCTTTCTACATAGGCACAGTAACAGTCTGATCTCTCTTTCTTTTCCCTACAATGAAGGACACAAATAATAGGCATGGTGCTGTAGTCAATTAGATATATTAATATAGAATTTATTGGAAAGATCTAGGTTAGAAATACTAATTTTGGTGTCACCAGCATATAGATGGCATTTAAAGCCATGGAAATATATGAAATAATCTATACAAAGGAAGAGAAAGTATTAGAAGAATTCATAAGTTGAAAATGAAAATGGCAAATGTGTCACCACCTTAGTTTTACTTTCTTATTGGTTGACATTGCTTCAAAGATCTCTCATGGAACTGCCCACAAGTTCATATTTTTTTCCCTTGACTGGATGAAAGTCAAAAGTGTGTCATAGGCTTTGCTGAAGTGATAGCAACATATGCTCTGGGAGGTTTCTTTAAGAAACCTACTTAACAAATCCTTCTCCCCACCTCACAGTTTCCCTTTCTATTTCTTTCTGTAAAAATTTTATTGATTATGAGAAAACCATCATTTTAGAGATTTCAGACTTTTTTTCTTTTTTTTTTTTTTGAGATGGAGTCTCGCTCTGTTGCCCAGGCTGGAGTGCAGTGGTGCAATCTCAGCTCACTGCAAGCTCCGCCTCTGGGGTTCACGCCATTCTCCTGCCTCAGCCTCCCGAATAGCTGGGACTACAGGCATCCGCCACCGCGCCCGGCTAATTTTTTGTGTTTGTAGTAGAGACGGGATTTCACCGTGTTAGCCAGGATGGTCTTGATCTCCTGACCTCGTGATCCACCCCCCTTGGCCTCCCAAAGTGCTGGGATTACAGGCGTGAGCCATCACGCCTGGCCGAGATTTCAGACTTTTAAGTCAAACGTATATTCAGAGCATAAAACATGATGGCATTATGAAAATCTTAGTGTGTAAGATAATAATGGCTGCTTTAACTTACAGGGTAGGAGATGGAAGTTATCTTTTTAAGATAAATATTTGAAGTCTATTTATATTGGTAAGATAACAGATAGAAACTCATAAAACATATAGAAACTTATAAAACATAAATATTATGTTCCACCCAACATGCTGGGGCAGTTGCTATCCCACTGGGCCCAGTTATTAGGCATATTTGTGTGGGGCAGCAAAGACACTGCTTTCTCATGCTCTTCCCAGGTAGAATCCATACAGAATGTCCTGGTGATGCTGCCAACAATCTGCAAGTGCCCAGCTGCCTTTTGAGGCCAACCCTCTAGGGTAAAGTTGGGGCTTCCCTTACTCTAATTCACCTGAGTAGTTGGTTAGCTGCTGTTGCAGCTCACCCCAGAGCCCAGATATTTGTTCTCTCCTGGGCCTCATCTTCTGTGCCAGGGAGAGGCTAGAATTGGTTGTGAAATCATTTAGTCTAATGCATCCAGACCAAGTGGAGCAGCTTGTGATTTCTGACTTGTCAGATTTTCAGTGGTTGCATACACAGCCTGTCCTGACATGTAGATACTGCAGATCAGCAGCCCCAGGATCCTTACAGTTCTTTGAACTTCCTCCACTGAGCTCCTGGCAAAAGTGAAGGAAGAGTGCCAATTAATAATCAGTATTTGAGGTGCATGCGATAGACAGATACTAACTGGAAGACATGGTTTAGAAGTTGTAATATTTATTTTCATCTTATTATATGAACTCTTTTTGCAGTGTCTGCTACATAGTTACAAACTAAGTGTCATGAATAAAGAATGAAGGAATGAAAGCTTAAAAAAAACCCCAAACATTAGTAGTATGTATAAGGTACACATGGACTTAATTTTAAAACACTAAATTAGTGTGTCATCTTTGAAATGCAGTCAAAGAAAGCTTGGTTACAAGTAAAACTTGTTAAATATTGTGGGATTCAAATTATCTCCTTGGGGTCATAACAGCTAAAAATTCTTTTTGTTGTTTTGACAAACTTAGAAGTGAGCCAAACTCAAAGATCTTTTTTACATTATTTCTGTTGTGTTAGGGTTCTCCAGAGAGAGAGAGAGAGAGTGTGTGTGTGTTTGTGTGTGTGTGTGTGTGTGTGTGTGTGTGTGTGTAAAGAGAGGGAAAAGGGAGAGACTTATTTTAAGGAATTGGTGTACATGATTGCGGATGCCACCAAGTTCAAAGTCAGTCTACAGGGTAGGCCAGCAGGAAGGATATCCAGGGAAGAGGTAGTGTTGGAGCTCGAGTCTGAAGGCAGTCTGCTGGCAGAATTCTTGCTTAGAGGAGGTCAGTCTTTTTTTATTGAAGGCCTCCAACTTCAATACAAAGCAATTGGATGAGGTCCACCTACATTATGGAGTGTAATCTGATTTACCTAGAGTCTAGAGATTTAAATATTAATTTCATCTAAAAAATATTTTCACGGAAACATTTTATGTTTGACCACATACCTAGGTACTGTGACTGAGCCAAAGTGACATACAAAATTAACCATCACAGCTATTAAGGCAGGTCTTATGCTGTTGATTTGGGACTAAATTTGTAACAGCTAGGATTTGAAATTGGCTCTTTATTTTTTTTTTTTTTTTTTGAGACAGAGTCTCTGTTGCCCAGGCTGGAGGGCAGTGGCGCGATCTCGGCTCACTGCACTCTCTGCTTCCCAGGTTCAAACAATTCTCCTGCTTCAGCCACCTGAGTAGCTGGGATTACAGGTGTGCACTATGCCTGGCTAATTTTTGTATTTTCGGTAGAGTCGGGGTTTCACCGTGTTGGCTGGGCTGTTCTCTTAACTCCTGGCCTCAAGTGATCTGCCTGCCTCAGCCTCCCAGAGTGCTGGGCTTACAGGCGTGACCCATCACACCTGGCCTGAAATTATTAGCTCTTTGAGTTAGTTCCTAGTTTATGTGTGGACCTAAGCATATTAACCATTTAGCTTCAGTGTCTTATAAATATAAATATCAGGATTGCATTAGCTGGGCATGTTGGTACATGATTGTAATCCCAGTTTCTTGGGAGGCTGAGGTCAGAGGTTGAGCCCAGGAGTTTGAGGCTGCAGTGAGCTAGGATTGCACCACTGCATGCCAGCCTGGGTGACAGAATGAGACCCATTCACTAACTACCTAACTAAATAAATACATTTCAGGATCATATTCCATAGACCTAGGACTTTTTCGAGGTTCAAATAAAATAGTTCATGTAAAACACATTGTGAACTCTAAAATTTTTGGTAAACCAAATGTATCATTTTTTATTCTACATTTGTAAAATGAGGTGCTTACTAACCAAAAAAATCCAAAGTAGACAGATAACTACTGAAAGTTCATTTTAAAGGTTTAAAATTACTATATTATTTGGTACATTAATAACAAATAGTTCTTTATTCATAACTTCATTGGTATTAACACCTAATTTAGTTCTATATTTCACAAGCTACTAAAGAGCACATGGTCATTTAGAAAACTGAATATTCAGTTTGTAAAAATGTTTAATTGGTGTGGTAGAGGATTGAAACAGTCTTTCATTTTTCTCCTCTGAGAATTTTAACTGCAGTTAAATTCTGCAATGAAGTAGCAGTGCTAAAAAGAACAAATCTTTTTTTTTTAACAGTTCATTCTTAGTCAAGAAGATATAACAACTATTTTTAAAACATTGCATGGCAATATATGGTATGAAAAAGATGGTAGTGCCTCACCTGCTGTAACAAAAGACCAATACAGTGCCACTAGTGGAGTTACTACTAATGCTTCACACCATTCAGGAGGTATGTTTTTAACTTCAAATTTCTTTCTGCTTTCCTCTTTCTCTCTTTTTTCTTCTATCTTCTTCCCTCCCCTTCCTTCTGTCTTTTCCCTCCTTCCTCCCCTCTTTCTCCCTCCTTTCCTTCTTTCTTTCCTTCTTTTTGTTTAGTTTGGGCAAAATAAGATTTGTAAATCTGTTTCTAATCAGCTAATTCCATTCAGACATCTCTAAATTGTCTATGTTATTAGTCGTTGTGTTGATTTTTTTTCTTTGAATGAAAGTTCCTAGTTCTGTTGTAACAAAATTCCTCAGTATATATTCATGTTTTCCTGACTTCCCTGTAGCTCCTCATTTTCCATTTTTCTCCCTTTCCCCCATCTTCTCCCTATCCCTAGTGTGGCATATATCCCAAATGAATCTTTTATATTGATATTAGGAATATCAAAGTATTAGAGGTGCAAAGAGAGGATGATCATTAGTAGATGGTGGAGTTTAACAAATATTTGGGAGATGGATGGAACAGAGTAGAAGGAAGCAGAACTTAGAAAGAGCCTTCATCTAATGTTGGATCCAGTGTGCTCTGTGGAATGTGGCTGGTTTCTGAGCTCAGCACCAGCGCATACAGAGGGTCAGTTAGTGCTGGGATGACATTGCTGCATAAGCATAAAGTTCTCATTCTGGCATTATAGGGGATCCTCAGACCTACCTACCTCAAAATGAAACCTACTAGTTCACAAGACTCACCTTTGCAAAGCCCTGAGGTGTTACACAGCATTTTTACTCAGGGAGAATCCTAACAGAAAACCAGCTTTACATTTACAGCATTGTAGGAAACCCCACCCTTACTAGCTGGAATAATCAAACTAGTCCTTTATTGTTAAATATGAATGGTCAGATATGAAGAAAATTGTAAAAACCCCAAGCATGAATGAAATTAAGATAAATAGAATCATGTTTTCTGAAGGAAACAGACAATTGAGGTGACAGAAAAGGAAGTAGACAAACAAAAAAGAAGCTCTGACATTCTAAGAGGATTTTGAGAAGATAATATAAGAAATGGATCCCACCACCACCAGCTCACCCAAGGATAGGAGAGTTGCTGGAAATCCAAATATTATTGCTGAAAATTTGAAACAAAAACACTGAACATGTAATTAGAAGTATTGAGTTGGAATATTTGGTTGAGGCAATCTCCCAGGACGGAGAATAAAAAAGCACAGGGATGGAAAATGTGATAAAACTTAAGAGTGATGTTTTAGTTCAGAAGGTCCAATTCCAGAATGAGTGTTACAGAAGAAATAATTGAGGAAATGGAAGGCAATTCTTTAAAGAAGTATAGTACTCTCCTTTTATCTGCAGGGAATATGTTCCAAGACCCGTCGATGCCTGAAACTTTGGGTATTACCAAACCTATGTTTGGATAGTACCCAAACTATATTTTTTCCTATACATACATATGTATCATAAAGATGAATTTATAAATTAGGCACAGTAAGAGTTGAACAACTAATAAAATAGAACAATTATAACAATATACTGTCATAAAAGTTACGTGAATGTGGTCTGTCTCTCCAAGTATCTTAATATTTTCAGACACCAGTTGACCTGACCACAGGTAATTGAAAGTGCAGGTAAGGGTGAGCTGCTGTAAACTGTCCAGACCTAAGTAAATATTGAAGGAAGCTCTTAGCTATAATGAATCTACTGAGTTTCCAGCAGATTGGGTAAACTAAGATTCCACATACAAACACATTTTCATGAGATGTCAGAATGGTAAAGCTAAGATTTTCTGAAGTTTCAGAAAAAAAAAAGGCTGCCTGTCAGGGACTTAGAAAAAAAATGATTGCATGATTGATTTTTGTTGTTTTTTATTTATCATCAATAAAACATGATGAAATAGAATCCCTGGATGGTAGAAGACAATGGAGGAATCTATTCAGAATTCTAAGGAAAGTGGTTTTTGAAGCTCAGATTCTATACACAGCCAAGCCATCACCCAAAATGTGAAAAGAAAATAATTCTCAGATTTCCTGTGACTCAGTTTTCTTAGACTTCTTCATACCCATTCGTAAAAGAAATTAGTTTGAAAGTGTATTTCAGAAAGTCAGGAAATCTAGGAAACAGAAAAATATGGGGTTAAAAAAACCTAGGCCTACTCAGGAGTGCACTGAAAAGGAATCTCCAAATTATCTATGTGAATAGGCTAGAAATTAACTGGCTTTCATTAAAAAGTAAATGAGAATGCTTTAAGGAAAGAAAAAAAAAGCCATATGGAAGAATGTCTTATAGAAGAAAAATAGCATGAATTCCACATAGTATGTAGGATACAGAGTTAGCTATATTATATAACTGATACAGACAGGAAAGTGTTTTCTGCGCTTAAGAAAGAAATTTCTATACCATGGTGCAGAAGTGAAGTGGACTAAATTTTGCATAATTTTGAGCCATTGTTAGAATGTGAGAAGAGAACCTCTTATTTTTCAGAGATGCACTCATCGTGACAGTGTAGCAGCAGAGGCAGTATTACTGTAAATCTCATTGAAAAATACTACATGGTCATAGTTAAACAACACATGGAATACTTCTTATGTAAATAAAAAAGTAAATGTTATGAACTATGATAACTTAGAAGTAAAGACATTACTAACCAAAGCTGTAAAGAGGAAGATGGATCAGGGGAAACAAATAGTAAAGCCTTAAAGAGTGAGAGAAAATGTCTGCAATTGATGTAACAAGAAATAGATGTTTGAATATGTCATTTTAATCGTTTTCTTCTGGAAATTTTTACACATATACCAAAGTAGAAGGAATAAGGTAATGAACCCACATGTACTCATCACCCACTTTCACTAATTTTTTTTTTTTTTGAGACAGAGTCTCGCTATGTCACCCAGGCTGGAGTGTAGTGGTGCAATCTCGGCTACTGCAAGCTCTGCCTCCCGGGTTCACGCCATTCTCCTGCCTCAGCCTCCTGAGTAGCTGGGACTACAGGTGCCCACCACCACACCCAGCTACTTTTTTGTATTTTTAGTAGAGATGGGGTTTCACTGTGTTACCCAGGATGGTCTCGATCTCCTGACCTCGTGATCCCCCTGCCTCGGTCTCCCAAAGTGCTGGGATTACAGGCGTGAGCCACCATGCCTGGCCCACTTTCACTAATTAATATCATATGGCTACTTTGTTACTGCCCACACTCTGCTCTTCCCCCTTCTTCCTCCAGCCCATAAGATTATTTTAAAGCAAATCCCAGATACTATACCATTAATTGCTATTTTTCCATAAGCAATAAGGACATTACTTTTTAAATATAGTAACATCATCACCCTAAATATTAGCAGTGCTTCCTTAAGACCATGAAAATATCCAGTTAGGGTTCATCTTTCTCCTAAATGTCTCATTACAAGGCCTGGTTTTTTTTAAATAATGATAAAAGTGTCAATTCACAAAGAAGATGCAACAATCCTAAATGTGTGTATACCTAATAACAGAACTTTAAAATATATGCAGCAAAATTGACAGAACTAAAGAAGAAAATACACATATACAGAATCATAGTTGGGGATTTGAACACACCACTCTTGGTAAATGATAAGATATGAACAAAAAAATCGGAAAGAATATAGAAGATTTGAACACAGTCAACAAAATTGACATAATTAATGTAATACAATGTTACACTCAGTTGCAGAATACCTTTTTGTTTTTAAACACTTCCTGGAATGTTTACAAAGATGCACCATTTTGTGGACCATTAAATTTTCTGACCACATTGGATTAAATTAGAAGGTAGTAACAATAGGATGTGAAAAAGCTTGAACAATTTCTAAATAACCCATAGATCAAAAAGAAATGACAAGGGAAATTAAGAAGTTGTTTGAACTGAATGATCATGAAAATAAAATATATCAGAATTTGTGGAATGCAACTAAAACAGTGGTGAAAGAAATTTGTAACTGTAGAGTAAGATATTAGAAATGAATAAGTTTTAAAATCAAAGATTAAATCTTCTACCACCAGAAACTAGAAAAAGAATAGGAAATTAAACCCAAAGTAAATGAAAAGAAGACAGTAATAAAAATAATAGAATCCAACAAAAGAAAAACAGAGAAAATGTTTAAATGTATATTTTTTCAAAATTTTAGATTTCTGTTCATTAAAGATACAGTAACAAGATAGGAGAAACCCAAGCCTCAGACTTGATGTATGTATCTTTTATCCAGAGTACATTAGCACTTTTATAAATTAATAGCAACTTTTTAAAAGCAAAATAATGACCAAAAGATTTGGATACTTGAGAGAGGATGCTATGTAAATGGGCAGTGAACACATGAAAACTTGTTCATATAATTTTTTTTTTTTTTCTTTTTTGAGATGGAGTCTCGCTTTGTCACCCAGGCTGGAGTGCAGTGGTGTGGTCTCAGCTCACTGCAAGCTCCGCCTCCCGGGTTCACACCATTCTCCTGCCTCAGCCTCCCAAGTAGCTGGGATTACAGGTGCCCGCCACCATGCCTGGCTAATTTTTTGTACTTTTAGTAGAGACGGGTTAGCCAGGATGGTCTCGATCGCCTGACCTCGTGATCCGCCTGCCTTGGCCTCCCAAAGTGCTGGGATTACAGGTGTGAGCCACCATGCCCAGCCGTTCATATAATTATTTATCAGGAAAACTTCACAGTTCACCAGATGAGATAAGTTGTAGAAGACTGACAACATCAAAGGTTGACAAGAATGTGGAACAGCTGCAATTCTCACATACGACTGATAGGAATGTGAAATAGTATTACCACTTTGGCAAAGAATTTGAAAGTTAATATGTACCTACCTTTAACAGAGCAATTCCAGACCTAGGTATCTACTCCCACCCCACCCCAAAATAAGTGCATATATACACAAAATGACTCATTTAGGAATACGTATAGCAGACTTATTTATAGTAGCCCAAATCTGGAAACAACTCAAATGTTCATCAATAGGAGGATAAACTATTTCATTCCATAGAGTGCATGACTAGCTATAAGAGTGAACTACTTGTACATGCAGCAACATGGTTGAATCTCAGAAACATTATTTTGACTGAAAGAAGCCACACACAAAATAGTACAATCTGTATTACTCCATTTATATGGAATTTAAAAAATATACAAAATTCGTCTATGATGATTGAAATTAGAATGGTAGAGAGGTTGGGAATTGGCTAGCAAGTGTTAAGAGGGAACTTTCTGGAGGGATATAAGTGTTCAGTATCTTAATTGAAGTAGTGACTATGTGGAAATATACACTTATCAAATTTCATCAAATAGTTCATATAAGATACATGTATTTCATTGTATGTAAATTTTTATCACAATTGAAAATACATTACCTGGCATAATGGTACTTTTCTCTGAAGTTAGATATAATGAGAATTAGAAAGTGCTGCGTTTTCATTTTAAGCTCATTTAATATGTGCATATAATGCCTTGATTCAAAATTCAAATGTAGAAAACAAATTTTGAATTCTTCTGATTAGTAGAAAAATTTTAAAAATGTCTCTTGGTTTTAGTTTTTTAAAGTAAAATTTGAATACTGAATTATGTGCCAGTTACTGTAATATGCATTTTACATGTGCTATTTTACTTAATCTCCAAACATACTCAGTGATTAGTTCTATTTTTCCTTGGAACAGAACAGAAGTAGGAACAGAAGCATCAAGAGGAAATAGAAACACCAAGTGTTCAATTAATATTCCCAAATTATTATGGAAAGAGTCCTAAGCCAGAAGTTACTGAGTTTTACATCTGAATTTTCTAATATTTTATTTTCTTGAATGTCATTTTACTATACCTGTTTAATAATTCTATTAAATCTATTTCAAGGGTATTTTAATGAGCTACTTTTCATGATATTTTCTTTTATTAAATAACTTTAATTTTTTCAAGGAGCAACTGTGGTGACAGCTGCTGTGGTAGAAGTACATTCACGTGCCTTACTAGTTAAGACAACACTAAACATAAGCTTCAAAACTGATGATCTCACCATGGTGCTGTATAGTCCAGGTCCTAAACAGGTAAGTCCAGGAAGAAAAGAAAATGTATTTTCACATGTGAAATTTGCATAGGTTGATGTTTTTAAAGTAACAAATGTTAATATTTAACATTTATTTTGTAGTATCTGTCCCTCTGAGAAAAATGATCTTTTTACTTTAATAATAATTATAACTATTTCCCTTTTAAATGAGTTATCTATCATATAGCTAATGTGAAAAATAAATTGTAAAATTAAAGTGATATGTATATATTTTTAGCCTTTCATTAGAGCCCTTCGGAGACAGAATTTTGATGTTTGTTATAAGCAGAGGCAATAATTTGTAGTAGTTCATATCATGAAATACACTTTAGACTTGTGTTTCTTTGTAATTTTGTGTTGGTTTCTCCTTTCATAGGCTTCCTTTACAGATGTTCGTGATCCTTCTCTGAAACTTGCTGAATTTAAATTGGAGAATATTATAAGTACTTTAAAAATGTATACAGATGGCTCAACATTTTCTTCCTTCTCATTAAAAAACTGTATTTTAGATGATAAAAGACCTCATGTCAAGAAAGCAACTCCTCGGTATGTATTGTAATGATGTTCTAAGGTTTTACTTGAGAAATCGTTGATATATTTTACAGAATTCATCTCCAGAATTGCACGTTCATTTTCTGAGTGCATCCTAGGTTCTTTAAAGCTTCAATTCAGTCAGCTCGTAGTACTCGGTTAACATTTAAAATGTCCTGGTTCTGTTATGTACTATTCTTACTGGATAATTGATAGATTGGTTGAGTAACTAGAAATAATCAGTGCAATTAAATTGGTTTTTACATTCTTTAAATTACATTCTCTAATATAAATCTAATATAAGTTATTGTTAATCCATGCTAATTGCAATGGGAAGTACATAAAAAATTGAAAAGAAAAAATATCCTGAGATTCAAACTCTTATAATTTATTGAACATACACTTCCTCATTTATGATACATTTGTGTTCCAGAAGTTTGTAAGTTTGTTATTTGGAACACTTTATGGATCTTCCCAAGAGACATGACTTCAGAATGCTTTTTTTTGTCAGTAAAAGAGATAAGAGGTCTTTGAGTTTTACTCATATGTTTGATTACTTCTAAGTTACTCATACATAGGAATTGTTGTTATTGTGTTTTCCAGAATGATAGGACTGACAGTTGGTTTTGACAAAAAAGACATGATGGATATAAAGTACAGGAAAGTCAGAGATGGTTGTGTGACTGATGCGGTCTTTCAAGAAATGTATATTTGTGCAAGCGTAGAATTTCTGCAGACTGTTGCAAATGTCTTTCTTGAGGCCTACACCACAGGCACTGCTGTAGAAACCAGTGTGCAAACATGGACTGCTAAGGAAGAAGGTTAGTTATTGGCTAAAATATTTAATATTTGTTTTATTGAAGTGCTACAACAGGACTTAACCTTGATTAGCCTTTTAGATCATCAAAGTAAATGCTTTAAGAAATTAAAATTTTATTTTTCAGAGTAGAAGGAAAACCTTAATGTGTTTTCTTGGAGGATGTATAGTTTGCATTTTTTAAAGGTGTCAGTATATATTGCATTTAAAAATTATGAAACCTATGTTAGAATAAGTAATTGTACTTCTCTTCAGGCAGTAATTTGAAGGAATTTGTCTAGTGGAAAAAAACAAGCAGAGCAAATAATGAACCAACCATACCTTTTCACAATTAAGATAATATTTCAATTTAAAGCACTCATTTATTTTTGTTGTATTTATTCCTAGCTTTTAACGTACGGTTTCTCTATTATCTTTTTATAATATGTGATTTACTGTGGTATAGTAGAAAGAGTATCAAGTTGAGAGTTAGAAACTAGATTAGTTTCTAGGCTTTCCAATTAAATAGTGGAGATTTCCCCTCATTTAAAAATGTTCTTATGCCTATAGCTTCTTCAAGTCTTTACTAAGGGTTGTAGTTGATTCCTTTGGGATCTAAGATTCTTTTGTTTTACTTTTTACTATTATTTCATTTTAATATTTTCTTATAAATAATAAATTATTCATAATATATAGCAAATATTTTAATCTATTTTTATTTGTTTTAGTACCTACACAGGAATCAGTGAAGTGGGAAATTAATGTTATTATTAAAAATCCTGAAATTGTGTTTGTAGCTGACATGACAAAAAATGATGCTCCTGCTTTAGTCATTACAACACAATGTGAAATTTGCTATAAAGGTAACCTTGAAAATAGTACAATGACTGCTGCCATTAAAGATCTCCAAGTGAGAGCCTGCCCGTTTCTTCCAGTCAAGAGAAAAGGCAAAATCACTACTGTGAGTTAACTATTTGATCATCTGCTTAATTGTAACTATTTTGGATGTAGTGTATACCATTTTAGGAAACAAAAACTACCTACATGCTTTCCAACCTTGCTCTGTAAAATGTCTTTCTCTCTGCTTAGAGAGCTTAATTTAGAATATTATTTACCAGCTTTGAAACTCTTTCATTCTTCCAGATGCTGCTCATTATTGTTAGTATTTGTGGGAATATTGTCACTAAGAAGTTGGGTTCATCTTGACAGTTTTCAGTTAAGATCTACTTTGACTTTCTAACCATGTCAATTCCAAATTGCTCTTTGGACTTTTAAGACTTTCTGCCAGTTGTTTGCTGTGTTGTTTCAATTTTATTGTTTCAACTTTTTTCTCCCGTTTGGATGTTTTTGCTCAAATAATGAGTTTTTCCTTGTCTCCATGTAACTTCATTTGAACCTTCAGCCATTTGCTTTGACATACTTCACATTGATATTTTACTCTCTAGTAACCTCTTGGCCTTCCTCCTCTTCATAACTCTACTTAAAATTCATTCCTTTACAGACATCTTTTCAAGTTAACTGGCTGACTTCCAGCGAATACTTACAAAAATATTTGAGCTTCTGAAGGAGTAATAGAAGCATAAGTTTTTGTTTGTTTCTTTGTATTTTTTTCCTGATGCTTGGTATGCATCTATAGAAGCATAAATGTTCTAAACATTGTCACCATAGAAATATAAGATGTAATTTTGATACAATGAATACATATATATTAGGATATAAGATAAACTGTTGCCCAAATTTGCAAGACAGTTGGCCCTCCACTAAGCAAAGAGAGAGAATAGAAAATGGAGGGTATACCAATTCTCTCTTAGTTTTTGACTTAGAAGTTTTAAATATATATTTCTTCTATTCACATCTTTTTTGGCTTGAATATAGCTGTATGACCACACTTTACTTCAGTAAAGGTTGGAGACTGTGGTATTTTTTTCTGAGCTACCTTGTGCTCAGATAAAACTTCTATTACTGTGGAAGAATAGAACAGATATTAGGTTCTAGATGTCCTTTATATGGGATAATTAAGGAGTGTATTATTAAGTCACTTTTTAAATAGTTGTTTTTATTAACTTGTTTATTTGACATACCTATTACTAGGAAAGTCTTTAAATAGAAATATTTTTATATTTAAACATTAATTTAGTGGTATTGATTTTTCTCTCATAGGTTTTGCAGCCCTGTGACTTGTTTTATCAAACTACTCAGAAAGGTACAGATCCACAAGTGATCGATATGTCAGTAAAATCCCTGACACTAAAGGTAAATTAAAATATAATCATTTGAATATTTAGTGCACTTAAAAAAAGTAGTAAAGCCTAGAAAGTTATTATAGCAAGTCTTTTAATTGTTATGCAAACAAAATAGGTGTGTTTTTGAAAATACGTTTTTATGAGATATTTACAAAGTAATATTATTTAATACACATTTTATGAATGTTATTCTATATTTTATTATTTACATTTGTGTGGTTAACATCTAATATCCCTAATAAATATTATTGAAATTACTTTATACTTCATCAGTTTAATAATATCTGCAATTCATGTATATTAATAATATCATGTAATTCATGGAATAATATCTGCAAGATTCATGTAAATATCTGCAAGATTCATGTAAACACATAACAAGAATTATGGTAATTTAAAAAATTTTATAAACAATAAATTGTATCTTCTATTTTGTGGTAGTAATGTTAATTCAGTATTTAATTTCTCATAATATATATTTAATATTTCTTGACGTAGTATGTTTGAAAGTGTTTTGTATAGACTTATTAATTTTTTTCCATTTAGGTTTCACCAGTTATTATAAATACTATGATTACCATAACTTCAGCACTGTATACAACTAAGGAAACCATCCCAGAAGAAACGGCTTCTTCTACTGCACATTTATGGGAAAAGAAGGATACAAAGACTTTAAAAATGTGGTTTCTTGAAGAATCAAATGAAACTGAAAAAATAGCTCCCACAACTGAATTGGTACCCAAAGGCGAGATGATAAAAATGAACATTGATTCTATTTTTATAGTTCTTGAGGCTGGAATTGGTCATAGAACAGTACCTATGCTTCTGGCAAAGTCACGTTTTTCAGGGGAAGGCAAAAACTGGAGTTCCCTAATAAATCTGCACTGTCAGCTTGAGCTAGAAGTAAGCATATTTTTCCAGTTTTATAACAGATAATGATACGTATGGAATATTATGACAGATAATGATACATATGGAATATTATGGAATCTTGTGTAGCTATTTAAGCTTATTGTAAATATGATATTGGGTCAAAAACTTTTAGAAAAAAGTTTTCAAATTTTGCCCTTGAATAATTGCTTTTATGTATACATTCCTTTTACTTTTAAAGTACATGTCCACATTAAGTTTATATTTCAACTGATTTTATCAACTTAAAGATAATATATTATTCGACAGTTGTTGATTAGATTCAGAATATTTTTTTTAAAGAGTTAAATTGAGGCCAGGCCCAGTGGCTCACCTGTAATCCCAGCACGTTGGGAGGCCAAAGCAGAAGGATCGCTTGAGCCCAGGAGTTCAAGATCAGCCTGGGCAACATGGTGAAACCTTGTCTCTACTAAAAATACAAAAAATTAGCCAGTGGTGGTGGCTCACACCTGTAGTCTTAGTTATTCGAGAGACTGAGGTGGACGATCACTTGAGAATACCTGGGAAGTCGAGGCTGTGGTGAGCTGAGATCTTACCACTGCACTCCAGCCTGGGGTTCAAAGTGAGACCCAGACTCAAAAAAAAAAAAAAGAAAAGAAAAGAGTTAAAGTTGAATACCCTTTTTTTTTTAAGGATATAGACAGAATTTCTGAATATGTGGATAATAATCTCTTCTAATAGAAATATGAAGAATTAGAAATATATGCCTTATACTTTTATGTAATGTAGAATCAAGGAAAGATGCTTAAAAAGGGGTTTTATCTGGACTAAATTGTGAAGAGCGAATATGTACTATGAAGTTAGCCAGGTGAGGAAAATGCTGAGGGAGTGCTTATAGGAAGCTACTGAATGGCATGTAGACTGGTTTTTATATAGAAGAAATAACAGGGCTAAAAAACATGGTGGGAAACAGGATGGAAGATCATTTTTAATTTAAAAAATTCTCTCTGTAGGTGCATTATTATAATGAAATGTTTGGTGTATGGGAGCCTTTGCTTGAACCCTTAGAAATTGATCAGACTGAGGATTTTAGACCATGGAATCTTGGTATCAAGGTATATCTATATATGTCTATGTGTGTATATATATATATATGTATTTTAAAAGACTTTATTTTTTTAAGAACAGATTTAGGTTCACAGCAAAATTGAGAAGAAGGAACAGAGATTTCCCGTATACCACCTACTTCTGCACATGTATAGCCTCCCCCTTTATTAACATTCCCTCATCAACGTATATTTGAAGACTGAAAAAATTTTCCAAAATTGAGAATGTTTATACCACACTCGACACTTTATTTTAATCACAACAAGGTTCAGGTTGTCTCATCATGAGCCTTGCCCACATGCTTCCTTGTTTGCCCTCTGAATATAATTTTCAAATCTAAGGCCAATGTTGCCTATGCTTCTAATACAATTATGTAACAAGTATTATGTTACTTGTTACATAATTTAGAACAATTTAGAACATAATTTAGAACACAGTTTAGACATTGTTCTAAATATTTTAATCCTTACAACAACTCTTGGAGGTAGATACAGTTTTTATTTAACATGTGAAGGGACTGAGACCAGGGAGGTTAAGAGACTTCTTGAAGTAATAATAGCTACAAAGTGGAAAAGATGGGATGCAAATCCAGCTGCAGAGGCGTTAAATCCACTCTAAACCACTATGCTATAATGCCTGTGTCATCATCTTGTAGGTTGTTGTCTATCCTGAGTTTCCTTCATCCTTTGGATGTTTGCATGTGTGCAGGAATGTATATTATTTGTTTGAAATATATTGTGGATTTATATAATCATGAGAATCGGGGCCTTTAGGTGGATGAAATTTTGCTTCTGAAGCAAGAGACTGCAGAATTACTCACGTGTTTCCTACCTAATAATGACTTGGTCAACCTGCAGACAGATTTTCAGTGGCTTAAAGCCAGTTAAAGTAACAACAGAGGTGACTAGCTTAGCATGTTGAGCTCTTTTCATATTAGATCACTTAATTTTATTTTCCAGATATTTTAGATGAAGGATATGAAAAGGAATTCCTTGGTGGTTTTTAGGTTAGAATACACATGGTCAGCAGATCTGTGACTCCTAAAAAATGGTAAAGGGTATTGATTCTTATGAGCTCTAGGTTTATAACACTGTTCTGCTACTATTGTCTGCCTTTGTAAGTCTCTAGGTTTCTGTTCTTTATTATTAGCATGACCAATACATTAAGTTACTTTTTTCTGTCTGAGTTTTTATGTTGCTTTGAAGTATGTGCTTTTATATTCAGATCCCGGGTACACATAGTAATTTTAGGTTTTTATTTTTCCTTCTAAATTGTGTCTGCCATTTTACTATCACTGATGATGACATGATTTATTTTCTCTAATACTTCTGTCCTTTATGACCTTAGTTGGCTGATGTCCAAGTAATTTCAATAAGGCAATAGAACTTACTGAAATTAGAAAAGATAAAATGTACTGACCTTTCTAATGTTGGTATTGGGATTTGTCTAGTTATGTTGTGTTCTTAGAATTTTTCCTTATATTTCTATGATTTATCATTTTAGATGAAAAAGAAAGCAAAAATGGCCATTGTTGAGTCAGATCCTGAAGAAGAAAACTACAAAGTGCCAGAATATAAAACTGTCATCAGTTTCCATTCAAAAGACCAATTAAACATTACATTATCCAAATGTGGTCTTGTAATGTTAAACAATTTAGTCAAGGTAAGAAAAGAAATTTGAAACTTTAAATATTGAGATACTTGTCTGATTGATCTGTCTGTTGAATAAGAAGTTTAATAACTTAGTTGTCATTTGTCCTTTACTGTTCTCCTTGTCATTTAATTTTACACATTTCATTTTATTTAGCATAACTCTTTCTTATTAGGCATTTACAGAAGCTGCCACTGGATCTTCAGCTGACTTCGTAAAGGATCTAGCACCATTTATGATTTTAAATTCCCTTGGACTTACTATTTCTGTTTCGCCAAGTGATTCTTTTAGTGTACTCAACATTCCTATGGCAAAATCATATGTATTGAAAAATGGAGAAAGTTTAAGTATGGATTATATCCGAACCAAGGACAATGATCATTTCAATGCAATGACCAGCCTAAGCAGCAAACTCTTCTTCATTCTTCTTAGTAAGTAGTTGAAAAATTACCTTCCTGGGGCTATTTTGTTTTAAATTACAATTTACATGTTATTTTACTCTTTTGTAGAATCTTAGCAAGGTTTTTTTTGTTTTTGTTTTTGTTTTTTTAAAATATCCTTTCTAATAGGTCAAGAACTGTTTTTTGTCTTTGCAGTGTCTTGGTTACTATTGTTACTAAAACTTTGTATTCCAAACTCTTTCTTTATCCTCTGCATTATTTAGAGCATGGCAATTTACTGCTTTGTTGTTGGGAGGAAAAATATTAGATCTCGCCCTCATTCTGCTTTTATAGACCGTGGATGTTTAGATGTTTGTGGGGGTTCTTTTATTCACATTTGGTATCCGTTGATAGTATTCCACCAGTTTTGCAACTGAAAGAATTCTAAGTGTGAATTCATGCAGATGGCAATTTTTAATGGCTTTAGGATTTATAAATGGTTTTTTTTTTTTTATGTTCTGCCTGTTGAGATGAAGGTTTTTTCCTTTGTCTTTTCTGCTTCCCAAAAGTTTTTCATTTTTATTGGAGGTGAAATATATACATTCTTAAAGTATCATAATATGTAGTCATTGTGAAGTTAAATAGTCCCAGAGCCTCACCTACACCACTTTTTGATACTCTGGCATTTAAGTAATTATTGAGGAGGGCATCATTTAAAAGATTAATTAGACATAGGGGGGTAGGCTACTAAAATAGCTTGTGTTTCTAGTTAGAAAATAACATGTAACAGGTGTTTCAGGTGTTGTCATAGCGTTGTAATTAATGTTCTTATAAATTTTACGTCTTTTTTTTTAACATTTTTATGGATGGGATGGTAAATGAAATTTATGCAAGTAAGTAATTTTATCCCCAATACAACATGTGTTTTAGGTAAATATATATAAAATTTTATTTAATCAAGTCCAAGATATAAAGGAAAAGTGACACAAGTTGTTGGAAAAATTAAAAACAAAAATTGTAGTCACCTTGATATTTACCAATGTCTACCAAAAGGTATTATGCTCTGGTTATTCTGACAGCAAACCAGAGATCAGTATTCTTGTATTTTATAGTACTTGCTCTCATTACTCATTTTTGAAACGTTTGCTATTGTTGTCTTGGGTTAAACTCCTGAATGGGAGTTTTTTAATTAATGCTGTGGAAATATATGCTGGCTTCTTAAAATATCCCTTTTATGGACTATATCCAAAGACTCTAGTGACTATTATTTATAAGTTTAAGAATCATCTGAAATTTCTAATATGTAACATATGTAAAATTAATATGTAATGAATTATAATAAAAACTTTTAAACATACTTACTTAATTTAGCACCTGTTAACCATTCTACTGCTGATAAGATTCCTTTAACAAAAGTGGGACGACGTCTGTACACTGTAAGACACAGAGAGTCTGGCGTTGAAAGATCTATTGTTTGTCAAATTGATACAGTAGAAGGAAGTAAGAAGGTCACAATTCGCTCCCCAGTGCAGGTATGAAATGATCAATTTTGGGGGATGTCCTGTTATGCATATCTGTGTGCTAATAAAATTAAAAACAACAACAACAAATTATTACTGAAAGAATATAAACCGTAACAGTAATACAGCTGATATCAAAAAGAAGACTCACTACCACCAGTTGCGCTACTTGGTTATGACGGGTGGTAGGAATTTGTTCAATATACTTCTTATAATTTTTTAATAGGAATATTTTGTAAAATCTTCTTACGGTATTTTTTATAAATAGTCATCAGTGTTTTGCTTTAGGTCTTTGTAATGTATTTATATCCTTTCTATTTGATTAGATAATTTTTAGAGAAATAAAAAAATTTTACAGCTTTATTGAGGTATGTACAATAAACTGCATATATTTAAAGTTGATGACTTTTGACACAAAAATGCACCTTTGAAACTGTCATCACAGTCACGGTAATGAACATATTTATTTCTTAGAAAAATTTTCTGTTTCCCCACTTTCCCATTCCCAGGCATCCACTGATCTGTCCTCATTGTACATTAGTTATATGGCCTAGGATTTTACATAAGTGGAATACAGTACAGATGGAGTTTGACTTTCATTCAGAAAAATTTTGTATGTATGTGTCAACTTATGTGTATCCATGTTATTACATGCAGTTACTTGTTGTTGCTCAGTAGTAATCTATTATATGTATATGCCGCATAGCCATTTTGAGTGAACCTTTGTATACAGTGTGAAGTTAAGAATTGAGGTTTTGCTTTTTTTTTCACCATATGGATTTTTTTTCCAGAGGATTTTAGGTCCTTCTCATTTTTATATAAATTTGAGAATCAGATTATCAATTTTATAAAAAATCTGGATAAAATTGGCTTGTCCTTTAATTTTTAAATTCTGATTACTCATTGATAGTATTTAGAAATACAGGTTATATTAACCTCTACTTGCAGATTTAACTAGACTTACATATTCTAGTAGATTTGTGTAGATTTAGATAGTTATGATAGCTGCAAATGAAGACATTTTTACTTTTTCTTTTTCAATCTGGATGTGTTTTATTTTATCTTGTTTATATTGCCTATCACACTGGCTAGAATACAATTCGAGTAGAAGTGGTGAGAGCATGTTTTTGCCTTGTCCATTCTTTCACCTTTAAACATGATTTGTGTTGTTTTGTAGATGCCTTTTCTTAGGTTGTAAACGTTCCCTTCTATTCCTAGTGTGCTGAGAGTTTTTATCAGAGTTGATTTTGGATTTTGTCAGATGCTTTTTCTGTACAAGAGGAGGATATATTTTTTAATTTGTTAGTATGATGAATTACATTCACTGATTCTTTTTAAATATTAGATCAACCTTGCATTCCTAGGATTAATCTCACATAATCATGACGTCTTACTAACCTTTTAGTATATTGTTGGATTTTGCATTTATATTCATGAGGGATATTGGTCTAGAGTTTCAATGTCTGTCTTTCTGTCTTTCTTTTCTTGAATCTTGCTCTGTGTCCAGGCTGGAGGGCAGTGGTGCCATCATGGCTCACTGGAGCCGCATCTCCTGGGTTTAAGCAATCCTCCTATCTCAACCTCCCGAGCAGCAAGGACTGTAGGTGCACACCACCACACCTATTCTCCCATCTTGCTCCGCCTCTCATTGTTTAACTTTTTAACTCATTAAAGCAGCAGTACCCAACCTTTTTGACACCAGGGACCTGTTTCATGGAAGACAATTTTTCCACGGGTGGGGGGCTGGGGCATATAGTCTCAGGATTCCTTTCTTAGGAATAGAAAGCTCCACCCATGTGTGTTCCCATCCCCTGCAGGGACACCAAGTTAACAACTATCTACACAGAAAAAACACCTTCATAAGAACCAAAAATCAGGCAAGTACTCACAGTACCTGGATTTAACCACAGATCATCAGGCATTAGTTAAATTCTCATAAGGAGCATGCAACCTAGATCCCTTGCATGCGCAGTTCACGCTCCTATGAGAATCTAATGCTCTGGCTGATCTGACAGGAGGCAGAGCTCAGGTGGTAATGCTCTCAAGCCTGCTGCTTGCTTCCTGCCGTGCAGCCCACTTCTTAACAGGCCACAGACCGGTACAGCCCATGGCTCAAGGGCTGGGGACCCATGCATTAAAGTATATTTAACGTGGGGTTTCTGTAGCCACCATGTAGTTAGACCTTGTTTTTTTTTTTTTTTTTTAACATAATCTGAAAATCTGTGCCTTTTAACAGGGATAATTAAACCACTTATATTTAAAGTTGTTGTTGATATGGTTGGGCTTAAACTTGCTATTTTTTTTTTCTATTTGTCTCATTTGTTCTTTGCTTCCATCTTCCCTTTGTTTTCTCTTTTTTTTTATTAATTGAGCATTTTTGTTATGGATTCATTTTATTTCCTTGTTGGCTTATTGGCTGTATCTCTTTATACTTCCTTGTCTTTTTGTTGTTGTTGTTGATACTTTAGGGCTTTATTACATACATATTGTATTAGTCTACCTTCAAGTAGTATTTTGCCCCTTCACATACAGAATCAAAACTTTAGACCAGTATACTTCCACTTCTCATCTCCCACATTCGTATAATTATGTTCATACATTTTTGTGTCTATGTATGCTAGCCACCCCATAATACAAGTTACTATTTTTCTTAAATGAATTATTTATGTTTTAAATAGGTTTAAAATACAAACTGTATTTGATATTTATTATCACTTTTTCTTCTTTCAGTAATCTCACAGTGTGGATCTGCTGGTGATGAATTCTTTCAGTTTTTTCACATATATGTATTACAGATATTTTCACTGGGCATAGAAATCTAGATTGGCAGGGTTTTTCCCCCCATACTTTAAAAATGTTGTTCTGCTGTCTGCTGTATTGCATTGTTTCTGATCAGAAGTCTGCTTTTTTTCCTATATTTGCTTTTCTACAAAATGTGTCAATCTTTTCTTCAGCAGCTTTTGAGATTTTTTTTCTTTATCATTGGTTTTGAGCAATTTGGTTATGATGAATCTTACTGTAGTTTTTTTTATGTTCCTTGTATTTGGGGTTTACTGACCTTAAAAATGTGGATTTATAGTTTTGATCAACTTTAGAAAACTTTTTGCCATTGTTTCTAAAATTTTTTCTGTCTTTGCCCTCTCTTCTCTCCTTTAGGTACCAGTTAGATATACGTTAGGGTGTTTGAACTTGCCCCACAGCTCAGTAATGCTCTGTTCATTTTTACTTTTAGCTTTTTCCTCGTTTCTTTTTTCATAGTTTCTCTTGCTGTGTCTTCAATTTCCCTTCTCTTTTTCAGTGGCCAATCTGCTATTGACCCCATCTGATATATTTTTCTCAATAGTAGTCTGGATTTTTTTGTTTTTTTATTTTCCATTGTCTCTTTTTAACATCCTTAGTCTTCTAACTTTTTAGTGATATTGGATATAATTTTAATAAATGTTTTAATGTCCTTGTCTACCAATTCTATTACATGTCATTTCTGGTTTGTTTTATTGATGTTTCTTTTCATTATGGTAATTTTTTCATTCCTTTAATGTACCTGATAATTTTTTATTGGTTACCTAAAACTACTGTATATATCAGAACCAGACTTCATTCTTCCTGTTTCTTTTAGACGGATCTTTACTGAGCCTTAGATAATCTACACATGTCCTGATCATTACTCAGCTGAAGTTTTGACAGGGAGGGGACACTCAGTTTTCCAGAATTCTGTCCGTACAGCTCTTGCCTCTCCATGCAGGTCTCTCCCCTCAAGTACAACATGCTGTGAATTTCAGTCACGTTGGCTTCCCCAGATTTTCAGATCTTGTCTCTTCAACTTGGCTGCCTGCTCCTCACACAGCAGACTAGAAACTCACTCTCCAGACAGCAAGCTGGGTAGTCATAGGGCTTATGTAGTTTTTTTGTTTTTGTTTTTCCCTTGTGCCGCCTCTTGCCCCGTATCGGAAACTGTGGTTTGATGTTTGTTGTTTTTCTTCCTGCTTTTTAGTTGATTAGGGTGGGAAGCTATATCTGGTCCCCGTTATTCTAGCATGGCTGAAAACAGATATCCCTTCTCTTTCACTTTTTATTTAGTTAACTATTTTAAAAGGTGACTAACAGCTGCACTCATTACTGCTGATTATTTTGCCATTTAAATAGTTGAACATGAATTTTGAATTTCTTACAGGTACTATGTGTAGAAATATTTCTGTTGCTTCAAATGTATAGAGCAAATAGTTTTTCTAGAATTAAAAATATAGTACAGTTAAGATTATTCATTTATGAAATTCTTAGTTCTCATGTTTTATATGCTGCTATGAAGTTTTTAAAGTAGATTTTGGTAAGATATAGAAAGATTATAAGATAATTGTTTTACTAAACAACTTGTTATTATCTATTCCAAAGATAAATATGAGTATTTGGAGGTTTTCTGATATTATTATTATTATTATTATATATTAATCAGAATAATACATTTTTGCCTGACCATTATTTGCTACTTACTGGATGAGATAATCTTCATACTTTTCTCTCTAAAGAAAATTGCAACAATTCAGTCACCTCTTCAGGCTCCAATTCTAATTCTAGTTCTCTTGCTATATCCACCATATCTGCAGTGACTTGCTCCATTGAAGTCCTGAATTCCTCAAAGTCGTCCATGAGGGTTGGAACCAGCTGTTAATTTTGATATTTTGACCTGTTCTCATGTATCACAAATGTTATTAATGGCGTCTAGATGATGAATCCTTTCCAGAAGGTTTTCAATTTACTTTGCCCAGATCCATCAGAGGAATCACTATCTATGGGAGCTGTTGCCTTAAAAAATGTATTTCTTAAATAATGAGACTAATATTATTTAAGTCAAATATACAATGTTACATATAATATTAAGAAGTTGAAATTACTCCTTGATCAATTTGCTACAGAATAGATGTTGTGTTAGCAGGCATGAAAGCAACATTAAGCTCCTGTACATCTCCATCAGAACTCCAGTGACAATGTGCATGGCCAATGAGCAGTAGCATTTTGAAAGGATTTTTTTTCCCTGAGAATAGGTCTCAGTAGTGGGCTTTAAAAATTCAGTGAACCATGCTGTAAACAGATGTGCTTTCAAAGTCAGTCTTTGTTTTTCCATTTATAGAGCACAGAGTAGAGTTAGCATATTCTTAAAGGCCCTGGGATTTTCATAATGGTAAAAGAACATTGGCTAACTTCAGGTCACTAGCTTCATTATCCCTTTAAGAAGAGATTCAGACTGTCCTTCGAAGCTTTGAAGCTAAGCATTGACTTCCCTTCTCTAGCTATGAGAGTCCTAAATGTCATCTTCTTGCAACAGAAGGCTGTTTTGTCTAGTTTGGAAATCTGTTGTTTAGTGTAGCCATCTTCATCAATGATCTTAGCTAGACCTTCTGGATAACTTGCTGCAGCCACTTGCCACTTCATCTTGCACTTGTGTGTTATGCAGGTGGTTTCTTCCCTTAAACCTCGTGAACAAACGTCTGCTTCCAACTTTTTTTCTGCAACTTGCTCATGTCTCTCAGCCTTCATACAATTGAAGAGAGTTAGGGCCTATCTTAGGAGAATGTTATAGCTGGTTTGATCTTCTATCCTGTATTAGGCCGTTTTCATACTGCTGTAAAGAACTGCCCAGGACTTAGTAATTTATAAAGGAAAGAGGTTTAATTAACTCATAGTGCAGCATGGCTGGAGAGACCTCAGGAAACTTACAATCATGGCAGAAGGCAAATGGGAAGCAAGGCACTTTCTTCACAAGGCAGCAGGAAGGAGAAGTGAATGCAGGAAGAACTACCACACACTTACAAGACCATCAGATCTCGTGAGAACTCATTCACCATCACGAGAACAGCATGCAGGAAACTGTCCCCATGATCCAGTTACCTCCACCTGGTTTCTCCCTTGACACATGGGGATTGTGGGGATTACAATTCAAGATGAGATTTGGGTGGGGGACCTAGCCAAACTGTATCATATCCAGACCACTAGAGTATTCTTCCTGTCAGCAATAAGGCTGTTTCACTTTCTTATCATTTGTGTGTTCACTGGGTTAGGACTTTTAATTTTATTCAAAAACTTTTCCTTTGCATTCACAACTTGGCTGTTTGATGCAAGAGGCCTACCTTTTAGCCTATCTCTGGTTTTGACATGCACTTCTTAACATTAATCATTTCTAGCTTTTGCTTTTGATTTAAAAGTGACAGACATGTGCCTCTTCTTTTTATTTGAAAGAGGCCATTGGAGGGTTATTAATTGTCCTAATTTCAGTATTGTTGTGTTTCAGAGAATAGGGAGGTCCGAAGAAGAGGGAGAAAGTGGGGAGAATGTCCAATTTGTGGAGCAGTGAGAACACACACATTTATTGATTATAACACATATAGTTAAAATGAAAAGATTGAAATATTGTGAGAGTTACCAAAATATGACAGTGAGGCACTTAGTGAGCACATGCTGTTAGAAAAATGGCACCAATAGACTTGCTTGATGCAGGGTTGCCACAAACCTTTAATTTGTAAAAAATGAAATATCTGCAATTCACAATAAAGCAAAACATTATAAAACAAGGTATGTGTATATATGAATTTACTACTTTTGATAGTCAGGAGAAATGGTATTATTCAAAATAAAATTTGCCCACAGTTACACAGCTAGTAATCAGCACTGCCAGTATTTATCTCAGGTTTTTTTCAGTTTAACATCTATGTTCATCCTGCTATCATATTGCTGTTGTGTAGTCATAAACTTTAGGAATTGTTCCAGCAGGATAGCTTACCAGCTTACCTGCAACACGCTTCTGTTTCTTTCTTACCTTTGTAGTTTTTGAGACACAGGGTCTTGCTCTATCGCCCAGGAGTGCAGTGGCATGATCAGTGCTCACTGCAACCTTGACCTCCCAGGCTCAATAATCCTCTCACCTCAGCCTCTGCAGTAGCTCGGACTACATGTCTGCACCACCATACCTGGCTAATCTTTTAATATTTTGTAGAGACAGGGTCTCACTATATTGCCTAGGCTGCTCTTGAACTCCTGAGGTCAAGTGATCCTCCTGCATCAGCCTCCCAAAGTGCTGGAATTATAATAGGTGTGAGCCACTGCGCCCACCCACTTTTATACAGACGGATGCTTCCTTTTCCTCTGCTCCCTTAGACTTTTCAAGCTTATGCTCATTCCGTTTTCCAGACTTTTGATCTTTCCTTGAAATTTCAACTACTAGTTATTCTCAGCTTCCAACCAACTTTTTCCGCACTAAATTTGAAAGGGAAAACAAAGGAAGCAATATCAGACTTTGGTAACTAACTTCACATTCCAAACAGGCACCATTTAGAAGCATGTGTTTCTTAATAGGCTCCATTTACATCAGTGATAAGTTGAATGTGAAGTTTATTTGGAATTATATTTATAATCAGAAAATATGTTGGAAAACTTGCAGTTAATGTCTGTTGTGGAATGCTCTGGATGTTGGTTATTGGTTTGATAGTGGACTTTGAAGTTTATTGTAATACAGATGTCTCCATCCACACCATGGAATTTAAAAAATATAGACATTTAAAAATGTTTCCCTCAAATTAAAAAAAAAAATACATGAAGTTGAAGTCAGCTGTTTTGTTTCCCTCTTAGTCCACATTCCCTCCTTCCTTCTTCCTTGAGGTAATATCAATTTGGTGATACGTTGTGTATATTTCCAGTACCATATTTTAAAAACTATTATTCCTGTCCAGAAAATATATACTTGTGTTTTTAGTGTCTTACAGAAATGTTACACTGTTCACCTTGTTTTGCTATGTTCTGTTTTCATTCAGATATTCGAAGTGTAACCATATACTGATATATAGGTCATTATTTTAATGATGTTACATGATTATATGGATTTGAAGAAAATTTTCTTATTTTTCTATTATTGAGATTGTTTTCATTTTCATTTTTTTTTATAATGAAAGTGGTGTGGTGAACATCAGTGTCTTGAATGAATGTAGTGAACCTGAATGAATACACATGTGTAAACATTTCTCTAGGTATGGAACTAGGAGCAGAATTCCTAAGAAGAAAGTACATTTTCATTTTTACTAAGTTTTTGCTGAATTATTCTTCAAAGTTATTTTATCAATTTACATTCTACCAGTAGTGTATGTGAGTTCCTGTTCACATCATTTTCAACTGTTGATATCACCATACTTCTGATTTTTTTTGCAGTTTGTTGGTATTAAAAGATACTCCATGAATATAATTTGTATTTTCTTGATTACTAGGAATGTCAAGTATCTTTTCATCTGTTTATTGGTCAGTTTTTCCATTCTGTGAATCATGTTTACATTCTGTTCCTGTTTTCCTCTTGATTGCAACTTTTTTAATGATTTTTAGGCTTTTTGAGTGTGGTGGTTATAAACCCTTTGTCAAGTATATTACAGATATTTCCCAGCCTGTAGATTGTCACTTTTATCATATAAATATTTAAAATTTTGATTTTTTTCTGTGAATTTTTTTCTACTATTTTTATCTAAACAAAAACTTATCTTTAAACAAATTAGTCCCTATCCTAAAATCAAAAAGATATTATCTTATTCCCCTGTAGGATGCTTAAAGTCTGTTTTTGAGATTCCTATTATATAAAACTATAGAGATTTTTCTTGTATGTTTTAGGATAAATAATATGTTTGTTTCTTTTCTAATTTATATAAGCAAGATGAATATTGCCTGATAGTTCCTTTGTTAAGATAGTTACATGGACATATTTTTTTTACACATCTTTAGATTCTTAGATTAATGATACTAAATATTATTTGTTTTTCTTTCCCAGATAAGAAATCATTTTTCAGTCCCACTGTCTGTTTACGAAGGGGATACCTTATTGGGAACTGCCTCACCTGAAAATGAATTCAACATACCATTAGGATCTTACCGGTATTTTGTCTTTATCATTTTATTTACTCTAAAATCTCTTGTAGAATTTTTAGTTTCTGATTTCACATGGATAACTTTGATCAAATCCATCCTGCTAATAGCTTATCTAACGTATTTAGGTTTCAGTGCACTTAGATCTTAAAAAAGAAGTATTATTTAATTTATTGTAATAACTTATACCAAGCACACTATATATGCTTTTCTCTTAAATATAATTATATTTTGATTGCAATATAACCGTCATAAGCATAGTCATATGATTATGAGTTTTAAAAATGTCTAATAGATCATGCCTGGTGGTTTCTGAATTTATATATACTATTATGAAGTAATTTGTACTTCTCAAAGGTTTTATAATACAATTTTTTTGAAATTCCTTTAGTAAACAATATTTTATCCTTTTCTTTTCATATTTGTTCATTGTTCAGGGTTGGAGTTGTAATATAAATAGAAGTATATACTATATTAATTTTAAATTTTTAAAGTAATTAAATTTGATACAATATGTTTTAAGAAAATATTAAAATTATAACAAAATATGAGCTAGTCTTATAGATTTTATATCATAACAAGTAAGTATTAGTCAAGATATGTAATCTGGAATTGAAAATAATCTCTTATGTGGAAATTGAACCTTATTGGAGAATAAAACTGTTCTCAGAATTAAGCATTGTAGTTTGTTTAAATACCATTTTAGAATACACACTAGAAATAGGTACTTACCTCAATGCTACAGAAGGACAGAGGCAAAACTGCAAACAGTGCTTACCTGTTCTCTTGTCCAGAAGTTCAGAATGGGATCCTCAATGCTCCGAAGACAATCTAGCAGTTTTAGGCACCTATTTTCACATAGATCGACCTGCTAAACCTAAAGAGTGTTTTATTGCTTAGTTCAGACTTGCTGAGGGAAAGAATTGTATTGTTGAGAGAACAACAAAATAGTCATTTACAGTATCTGACCTTGCTCTAGAGAGGATTTGGGGTGGGTTACAAGACTAGATTAAATATGGCATGTAAGATATATTTAAAAATTTCTGTGAAGAACTTTCATTTTCTTCTTGGATAATAAAAGTTAATGATATTCTACTTTTTAATACATTTCTGCTATATATTTTGTATCTCTGTCCATAGTAGAGAAAACAGTACCTTTATACTTTTTCCAAGGCTGAATATTAATTTGTTACATGATAGTTAATCCATCTTAATGAGAATTAGTAGTGATTAATTCATCTTAATGAGAATTGTTACTGACTAAGTACTTCATCTTAAGTAGAATTATTAGTGACTAACCAGCTTGGATTTCTCATTAGGCATTTTTTTTTTTTTTTTTTTTTTGAGATGGAGTTTCGCTCTTGTTGCCCAGGCTGGAGTGCAATGGCGGGATCTCAGCTCCCAGGTTCAAGCGAGTCTCCTGCCTCAGCCTCCTAAGTAGCTGGGATTACAGGCATGTGCCACCATGCGCAGCTAATTTTGTATTTTTAGCAGAGACAGGGTTTGTCCATTTTGGTCAGGCTGGTCTCGAACTCATAATCTAGGTATTCTTTTAATCTAGTACTTCAGTATAGGTGCACTTATATTTAAGATGTGAGGTTTTAAATTAACAAATGGCTATCTTTCTCTATTCTATTTCTATTCTTAGATTAATGATACAGATAAATATAGATGCAGATAAACACAGGAAAACAATTTATATTTTATTAAAATATTTAAGTAGAATTTAAATATACTGATTCTTTTATTCATTTAACAAATATTTATCAAGGTTTTCTGTGGGTGAGACACTCAATACCAAGATGAATTGCATGTGGCTATTGCCATCAAAAGATGGATATATTACATAAATGTATAAAGTAGGAAACAGTGGGTTATAGAGAGTTATAGAAAGTGTTAGAGTTGCCAAAAACTGTGGAAAACATAAAAGGGATTAATGACTGACTCCTGGGCAAGATACATGAAGTACGGTAACATCTGTAATATAGTAATATGGAGATTAGAAGGAAAAGGCTATCTAAGAGGAAGGCATGCATGAACAAAGATAAGGAAGCATGAAAGCATAGTGTTAAAAGGAATAGTTGGGAATTTGTTGGAATGTAGAGTGCATGTTGGAAGATAAAATTTGAAAGATAAGTTCACAGTTAGATGGTTGCTCCCTCATTTTCTTGCTCCATTTTTATAAATTTTATCTCCATCTATTAGTTTGATCTGTTTTTTTCTTCTTGTCTCAGATAATTTGATGTTCTGTTTCAAGACCATTCACACTACCATATCTTCTCATTTAAAACCTCCTGTCATTGATTATCTTTCTTTCCTGTTTTCCTTATTCATTCCTTGAACTTTCCTTTGACGTTTTATATTTCTCTTACTCAGATTTTCTCTTCAGAACACCCTTTTTGGGAAAATTGTCACTTGGCAAATACCTTGCAGTCTGTCTAGAAAGAGCCAACCACTCTGCCCTCAGTCTACTCTAAACATATGTTTTTTGGTACCTATCACAATGCAGTAGTTATCTTTTAACATTTTAACATTTCCCACCTGATTATGATCTTACTCATTTGTTTGTTTTCAATTTTGCCTTCTTGTTGGTACATAATAGGTCCAATAAATGTTTTGATAAACTGGATAAGTGTATTACGATTAGTTTAATTTGGAAAAAATTAAGGTTTTGTCTTTAAGTATTAGAAGTAAGAGTGGAAAATAGAATGAAAATTATAGAAGGAATGTAGAAGTAGAATAGGCTATATCTGTTAACTGTTTTGACAAATAATTTATATGCTTCAGTCAGGTAAGAAGGAAGTCTAATTGTTTCACAGTCCAGGGTGCCAGTAGCTGGAAGTCACTGAAAAAGGACATGCAGAAAAGTGGGTAGAGTGGGTTCAGTGTTCAGTCTAGCAAATTTAAGGTGCCATCAGAAATTACTACAGAAATACATCATAGATATTTGACATTTTAGGAGTAGAGCTTAGGAAAATAATCAGGGTTGAAGATAGTTTTGACCATTGTTCATCTATAAAGGACAGTGTTGTCTCATAACTATAGCTAATTAGTTTTACAAATATAAAAATATTTATGAAATGTTTATTCTTGGCTACAGTGTGGGTTCAAAAATTAAGTATAAAATATTGCTGAAATGTAAACAATGTAATATTCAAATATAAAGATTAACCATGTGACAACCAATAATTTTGTCACCATTTTCTTAAAACTACTCTTCTGCAATGGCAAAAAAATCCAAAATTGACAAATGGGATCTAATTAAACTAAAGAGCTTCTGCACAGCAAAAGAAACTATCATCAGAGGGAACAGGTAACCTGCAGAATGGGGAGAAATTTTTGCAGTCTATCCATCTGACAAAGGACTAATATCCAGAATCTACAAAGAACTGAAAAAAATTTACAAGAAAAAAACAACCCATCAAAAAGTAGGTGAAGGATATGAATAGACACTTCTCAAAAGAAGACATTTATGTGGCCAACAAATGTATGAAAAAAAGCTCATCATTACTGGTCATTAGAGAAATGCAAATCAAAACAACAACAAGATACCATCTCACGCCAGTTAGAATGGCAATCGTTAAAAAGTCAGGACACAACAGATGTTGGAGAGGATGTGGAGAAATAGGAATGCTTTTACACTTTTGGTGGTAGTGTAAATTAGTTCAAGCATTGTGGAAGACAATGTGGTGATTCCTCAAGGATCTAGAACCAGAAATACCATTTGACCCAGCAATCCCATTACTGGGTATATACCCAAAGAACTATAATAAATCATTGTACTATAAAGACAGATACACACATATGTTTATTGCAGCACTGTTCACAATAGCAAAGACTTGGAACCAACCCAAATGCCCATCAATGATAGACTGGATAAAGGAAATGTGGCACGTATACAGCATGAAATACTACGCAGCCATAGAAAAGAATGAGTTCATGTCCTTTGCAGGGACATGGGTGAAGCTGGAAACCATTCTCAGCAAACTAGCACAGGAACAAAAAACCAAACACCGCATGTTCTCACTCATAAGTGGGAGTTGAACAAGGAGAACACATGGACACAGGGAGGGGAACATCACTCCCTGGGGCCTGTTGTGGGGTGAGGCGCTAGGGGAGGGAGAGCATTAGGAGAAATACCTAATGTAGATGATCGATTGATGGCTGCAGCAAACCACTATGGCATGTGTATACCTCTGTAACAAACCTGCACTTTCTGCATATGTATCCCAGAACCTAAAGTATAATTAAAACAAAAACACTAAAGCAGAAAAAAAAATAATAAAGTAAAATATCATACTGATGTTTAAAAAAAAACAGCACTGTTCCGCATCTATTGACTACGTTTTAATAACATTAAATATTGATTGAAAACTTTCATTTGATTAATGTTGGAAAGCTTGCGATTATTTTTTCAATAGTAATTTTTTTTAGTTTATGAATTCAGTCATGGCATTTATTTCCTTTTAGGCCCATGTATCCAGAAAAGCCAAATTCTTTCAGTTATATATGCAAGTCACAGATGATTCTATGTGGTTTTCTTTGCATATATAACTGATACGATTCATGTATTTTTATATGAAACCATTTATAAGTGTACTTTTAAGATAGTAAGTTTGTAAGAAAAATATTCTCCTCTTAAAAGTCAAACAACTTGATGAGCTTCCAGAAAGTTAAGATGATATCTATTTATCTATCTTTTTTTTTTTTTTTTTTTTTTGAGGCTCTGTCGCCCAGGCTGGAGTGCAGTGGCGCAATCTCGGCTCACTGTAAGCTCTGCCTCCCGGGTTCTCTCCATTCTCCTGCCTCAGCCTCCTGAGTAGCTGGGACTACAGGCGCCCATCACCATGCCCGGCTAATTTTTTTGTATTTTTAGTAGAGACGGGGTTTCACCGTCTTAGCCAGGATGGTCTCAATCTCCTGACCTCGTGATACGCCCGTCTCGGCCTCCCAAAGTGCTGGGATTACAGGCATGAGCCACCGCGCCTGGCCTTATCTATCTTACTTATATCGTAAAAAGTATATGAAAATATAAAAATGTACTACAATATTATGAAAGGAGGTAAGTTTGTTATTCTAAAGCTGTAATTATATAGTTTAATATGTTTTCCTTTAAAACATTTTAAACTGTATCATTTAATCTCATGCAGATCATTCATTTTTCTGAAGCCAGAAGATGAGAACTATCAAATGTGTGAAGGAATTGACTTTGAAGAGATTATAAAAAATGATGGTGCTCTTCTAAAGAAGAAATGTAGATCTAAAAACCCTTCTAAGGAATCATTTCTCATTAATATTGTTCCAGAAAAAGATAATTTAACATCTCTATCAGTGTATTCAGAAGATGGTTGGGATTTACCATACATAATGCATTTGTGGCCACCTATCCTGCTCCGAAATCTTCTTCCTTACAAAATTGCTTATTATATAGAGGTATCGGCAAACTGATTTAGTGCCTTCCTGTTTTTGATTTTGTAGTTTCAGTTTTTTAAGATTAAGATCAATAAAAACTATTTTAAAGATCTAATAAAAATTAGAATACTAGTAAAGAATAGGTAATGCAGATATTCTTTTGCAACAAGTATGAGAATTATTATTGAAATAACATTTAAGAACTAGACTTCAGTGACAAAAAAGCATGCTACATTATGTTGTATTCTTTTAGTGCTGATTTTCTTAAAAGATTGTATACTTTGTGAAGTTGCTTTTTTTCTTTCATACTCTGTGTGGTTTCTTCCTGTTGTTATAGGAATCCATACATCTTAAGATTTTATGTAAATATTTCATTTGCAGTGCTTATCAAATGGAAGAAAGTAGTTCTTCATTGTCATCTATTATAGGTTTATTTTACTTTTAGAATTACCATTTGCTTTTTAAAAAAATTTTTTTGAGACTAGGTTTCTCTCTGTTGCTCAGACTGGAGTGCAATGATGCGATCATAGCTCACTGTAGTCTCAAACTTCTAGGCTCAAGTGATCCTTCCACCTCAGCCCCCCGAGTAGCTGGGACTACAGGTGCATGCCATGCCTGGATAATATTTTTTAATTTTTAATTTTGTAGGGACAGGGACTCACTATGGCTTGTCTTGAACTCTTGGGCTCAAGTGATCCTCCCGCTTCGGCCTCCCAAAGTGCTGGAATTACAGGCATGAGCCAGTACACCCAGCCGTTTACACTTTTCTGATACATGTCTCTTTTGGAGGAAAAAGTTAACATATTTATGGTTTTAAATGTGTATTTCCATATTGAATAACAAATTATCATAGTGGTTAAGAATTTGTACTTTGCTGTCAGGTAGATTTGAAATTGCATCCTAGCTCTGTCATTTGCTAGCTGTATGTTCTTAAGCAGGCTTTATTGCTTTTCTAAATCTTTTGCTGTGGTCTGTAAAATGAGAATAATAATAAAATTTGCTTGGTTAAGACATGGGGGAAATCAAATTAGATTGTGTATGTAAAGGATTTGGTACAGTGCCTCCCAGACACAGGGTTGCCATTTATTTATCACTCTAGCACTACCACCACCATTGTTATTTTGTGGAATATTATTTAACTTGTAAAGAATCAAGAACTCCTTACTTTTGCTTTAATTAATTTAAAATCATGAGATGAAGAGATTCCTATATTATAATAATAGGAAAAGAATAGGATAGAGATGCTGGAAAAACTGGTGAGATATTCAGATGTACTGTCAATTTATATTTCTGTTCTCATAGAACTTTTAATTGGATGCTGTTAGTGATCACATTCTGTCTGCCAGTTTCCAAAGGGTGTGATCAGTTTTTAGAAAGACAATTGAGCCATGGTGTGGGGAAGGGACTAGAGGGGACAAGAGCGGTTAGGGGACTCTTAAACTGAGACGTCATATAGTGACATGAACTAAGATAATAGAAGGGAGGGTCGAGGGAAATGAGCAGTTTGGAGAGATACATATGACGTAATAATATAAACAGTGATTGGAAATGGGTGATGAGGGATTGTGGAGGTAGTAGGGATTACTTATTTTGGATTACCATCAGTTTTTGCCCACATTTTACGTTGTTTTGTAGTTTTCAAAATAAAAATCACGAGTGGTTAAGATTGTCTTTTTGTCGTTGTTTTACCAATTATAGTGTTTTATGTTTATAATTTCCAGGGGAGTTTCCCATTATGTTATTTAATCTTCACAGTTTGTCCTTTGAAGTAAGTCATTTAGACCATTTTACAAATACAGTAGCTCAAATCTCAGATTAAATACCGTGTAGAGGTTTACACAGTTGACAAAGTTAGAACTTGAATGTAAGTCTTCTGACTTGTTCTGATAGGTATTTCAAAAGCATTTTTTGCAGCATTTGGAATACATAAATAGAATTTTGAGGCATATTATTCTGCAACATTTTAAATTTTGTTTTGTTTTTTTTTTTTTTATTACAGGGAATTGAAAATTCGGTTTTTACTCTAAGTGAAGGACATTCAGCCCAGATTTGTACTGCACAGTTGGGTAAAGCCAGGCTACATTTAAAATTACTTGACTATCTCAATCACGATTGGAAAAGTGAATATCACATAAAGCCTAATCAGCAAGACATTAGTTTTGTCAGTTTTACTTGTGTTACAGAAATGGAAAAGACTGATTTAGATATTGCTGTCCATATGACTTACAATACTGGTCAGACAGTTGTGGCATTTCATAGTCCTTATTGGATGGTCAATAAAACTGGCCGCATGTTACAGTACAAAGCAGACGGAATTCATCGAAAGCATCCACCTAATTATAAAAAGCCAGTTCTCTTTTCTTTTCAGCCAAATCACTTTTTTAATAACAATAAGGTATGCGATGTTTATTCTGTTTTTCCCTTGTCTTTAGCTACTTGTCACTTTTTAGTTTTTAAAGTTCTGAGTAATAAATATTATGAAACTTGGATAGAAATAACTTGTTAAATATTTGAGGCCAAAAAGATTAGAATTTAATATTATAAAGGTTTAGTGCATTAACAATATAATATTTTGTTTATGCTAAAAAGTAATTTATCAGTTTAAGCAGGAATTTTTAAAGGTACCTAAATTGTGATGTATTTGGAATATTTTTTTCCTAGGTTCAACTTATGGTAACTGATAGTGAGTTGTCCAATCAGTTTTCAATTGATACTGTTGGTAGTCATGGAGCTGTTAAATGTAAAGGCCTGAAAATGGACTATCAAGTGAGTTCATTCTATGCTTATCAAGAAACTTTTATTTTAAATGTTTCTATTAACTACTTAATTAAATTTTATAAAGATGTTATACATAACAGTTTTTGAGCTGTTAATTTTTTTTTCTTAGGTTGGTGTCACTATAGACCTGAGCAGTTTTAACATTACTAGAATTGTGACATTTACCCCTTTTTATATGATTAAAAACAAAAGCAAATACCATATATCAGTGGCTGAAGAAGGAAATGATAAATGGCTCTCTCTTGATTTGGAGCAGGTGGGTAGATGAATTTCAAAAATATACCTCTTTGGATTCTATTTTCTCCTTGAAGTTAGATACCTAAAGTCACCATGTAATGTTTTAACTCTCCCCTTACTCCAATTTTGTTTTAGTTTCATGAATCTTTATTGAATATTTGTGCCCTGCTCTAGATAGATGGGAAGGTTCAATTTTTAATAATTAGGTAACTAGGAATGCCCAGCTTGTTAAGGGAGGTAGACGTTTAACAATTACTAACCACTTTGGTTAAATAAAGCAGCCAAAGACTAGATAAGATGTAAATGCACCAAAGAGAAGGAAATTACTTATTCTCTCTAGGAAGCTATTAGGAATGCTTTCAGAGAGTAGGGTAAGCCAGACTCTTCTTCAAGTTATTTGAGGAGAGTAGTAACTTAGAAGTGAAATTTTGATTTTGTGCCATCATTAAATCTTTGAATAAGAGTTTTCTGAATGACTGACAGAGGTTGATGGAATATTTTATTTTTGAAGAACTTTTATTCTAAAAGTTAGGATTAGAGAAGTTTTTGCTGTTTCTATTCATTATTCCTTTTTGCATACAAAACCGTCCTTGTTGGGATTATTCTTGAAGTATATTCTTTAGAATTTCTTTTAGAGCTGGTTTTGAAGGTAAATACCATCAGTGTCTCTAGAAAAATCTCTCTGGCGGGAGGGACAATGATCGGGATATAAACCCAGGCGTTCCAGGGGGCAACGGCAACCCCCTTTAGGTCCCCTCCCATTTATGGGAGCTCTGTTTTCACTGTATTAAATCTTGCAATTGCAAAAAAGAAAAAAAAGAAAGAAAAATCTCTCTGGCTGCCTTCAGTCTTCTCTTTGTCTTTGATGTTCTGCAGTCACACTGCTATATGTCTATATGTGGTTTACTTTTTATTTACCCTTCTTGAGGTGCTTTACCCCTAGATCTGTGGATTAATGTATTTCATGCTTTCTGTAAAATTTGCTACTATTGTTTCTTTAAATATTGCCTCTCCTCCATTCTTCCGTTTTTTTCCATCTAAGCCGTTAAATCAGACATGTTGGACATTCATACTCTATCCTCCATGTCTCTTAATAGCTCTTTTATATTTTCCAACTCTCTTTGCTTCATTCTGAGTAAGTTCTACATGGACATCTTTCCTTTTTTTTTTTTTTTTTTTTTTTTTTTTTGCTTTTGCTGTGTCTGAACTACTATTTAAGTCTTCAACTGAGTATTTGAATAATTATAGTTCTTATTCCCAGAAATTTCACCTTTTTTCAAGTATATTCATTCTTTCAACAAATATTGTTTATTTTTTATGTGACTTGCAATATAATAGTTAAAGCCACAGTAGTTAAAGCCCATCTTTATGTAGTTTACGTTTTAGTGGGTATAAGGGGAAACATTAATAATACCGTAATCAATTAGTATATAGTATGTTTCAAAGTGACAAGTCTAATGTGGGAAAGTCTGATGTAGGATAAGGGACATTGAGAGTTCAAGAGCCAGGGGTGGTCTCTAATTTTATGTAAGGTAGTTAGGATGGGACTCATTGGAGTGACATTTGAACAGTGCCTTCGAGGAAATGAGAAAGTTAGCAATTGTCGAGAGCTCAGCTGAGGAGGAGAGAGCTGAGCTGCCAGGTGTCGGAATAGCTGATTAACACAAACCACAATGAAAGTAACAGTCAAACCTTTAATCACTTACTGTGATAGTACAGATTGAGCATCCTTAATCTGAAAATACGAAATCAAAAATGCTCCAAAATTCGAAATATTCCAAAATCCAGAACTTTTCAAGTGCCACCATGATGCCACAAGTGAAAAATTCTACACCTGACACTTTATGTTTTTCACTTTCTTAACTGTCATTTTTTTTTTTTTACTGTTAAGTACTTATGTGTGAATAAGTGTAAGAAAATGATTGTTTATTGGTAACACAAATTGAGAGTCAGAAATGATGGTGATGCCACACAACCACAGATTGTCAACATGGGTGGTTGAGATAGTGACACATTCTCTTTCTGATGGTCCAATATGTACAAGTTTTGTTTCATGCACAAAATTATTTAAATATTGTATAAAATTACTTTTGGGCTATGTGTATAAGGTGTATGTGAAACATAAATGAATTTTATGTTTAGAGTTAGATACCATCCCCAAGATATCTCATCATATATATGCAAATATTCCAAAATCCAAAAGAAGTCCAGAATGTGAAACACTTCTGGTACCAAGCATCTCGAATAGGGGATACTCAACCTGTGTAAGCAGGAGGCTAAATCAGAGAAAGCACAATTACCACCTGTGCTGGAATGGCACTGGACAAGGGTTAGGTGGATCAGCACAAACATGGGGATTGTCTCACCGTCTAGGAAACCTTGAACAAAGTGTCCGGCAGTTTTATGGACCTGGGGGATGGAGTAGGACAAAGCGGAGGAGCTAGGAATGGAAATATGCTGAGCACTGAGAGTAGACAAAAAGTGTCTTCACTTTTTGTGAAGTGACTATACCCTTGTTTTAAACTGATCATCTGTGTTCCAGTTCTCAGCTCAGGCGCTCCCTTTCCCCCGATAAAGAGGTCCTGCAGGAGCTCTCAAGGAAGGCCTCTGCCAAAAAGCTCTCATAAAGAGCTTCCGAATGAAGTGCCTGGGCTAGGAATGCAGACATGGATAAAAGCTTTGGGACAGGGTTGCTTGAATCCTTAAGACTGCAGTGCCCTGGCTGTGCGCAAAGTCAGGTTATATTCCTAAGCATGTCTCATATCTAGTTCCATTAATTCCATTTTATGGTTGAATAAAACTGTCTTTAACAAGCTAAGACACTTAGCTCTAACAACCAGGTTCTGCTACATTGTCCTCAAGTCATGTGATGATGATCAGGTATCACACATGAGCAGTCTCACTGAAATATATGAAGGGATCAGTCTGGTCAGGGCCTAAGATGGAGTTGACTTAATAGCTTACAGACAAGGCTGGTTCTTCATTCTTTTTCTTTTAGCTCTGTTTCCAGATTCTTTTGTCCAGTCTTCTCTGTAGTACCTTGACTATCTCCTATTCTTTTAGTTTGGTTTCCAGATCACTCACGTTGAAGTTATTTCGTACAATTCTGAGCTTCTTTCCTACTCTGAACTTTGAATACTACTTTTACTTTTTTACCCTTATTTGACAACCAGATGCTAGATTTAATACTTGTTTTGCGTACTTTGATTTCTGCCTAATTTCCAGATAATGTTCATACCTGATTTTGATTTTTAGTAACTGAATGTACACTTGTTTTAAGCCTGATCATCTGTGTCCCAGTTCTCAGCTCAGGTTTCTTGCTGATTTTTCAACCCTTCTCTGTAAGATCATGACCACATTAAAGTCTCTTTTCTCGCCAGCAGTTCACTTACCATAGCTCTTCAATTTGCTATCCACTGCTTCTTGAATGCATAGTGCTGACAAGTGACAATCCATCTTCAAGTTGAAAGTTTACAGCTGTTTAAACAACCCAATAACTAGAGCAGTGTTAAAACAGGTTTTTTTATAGTTTAAGTCTATTCTGATGGGAATATTAAGATGATTTATATATTTATGGTGAAATCTGTTTATTTTTATAAACATATATAATGTATATTTTAGTGTATCCCCTTTTGGCCTGAGTATGCTTCTAGTAAACTTCTTATTCAAGTCGAAAGGAGTGAAGATCCTCCCAAAAGGATATATTTTAACAAGCAGGAAAATTGTATTCTATTGCGTCTAGATAACGAGGTAAGTTTTTTTTTCTTTTTTGCATGTGTCATTAGGAAAGCTAAAATATACTGACTAGTATTGTATTTATTTTTTGTATCAAATAATTACTTCTGTTGATTTTTCCCCTTTCCCCAAAAACGAACAAACATTTCTTTTTGTAGAAGGAAACAGAGATCTAAGATAATTTAATTGTTAAATAAAAAGTTAGTTGGGGCCGGGTGCGGTGGCTCACGCCTGTAACACCAGCACTTTGGGAGGCCGAGGCAGGCGGATCAGGAGGTCAGGAGATTGAGACCATCCTGGCTAACACGGTGAAACCCTGTCTCTACTAAAGAAATAGAAAAAATTAGCCGGGCGTGGTGGCGGGTGCCTGTAGTCCCAGCTACTCGGGAGGCTGAGGCAGGAGAATGGTGTGAACCCGGGAGGTGGAGCTTGCAGTGAGCCGAGATCGCGCCACTGCACTCCAGCCTAGGCGACAGAGCAAGACTCCGTCTCAAGAAAAAAAAAAAAAAGTTAGTTGGAATGCCTGGAATACTAGAATATACCACATCTGGAATGTCACCTATCTGTAATACAGTGATTGAGATTATAGATTTCCAGAAATGCAGTACAAAATTCTGAATTGTTTTCTCAGTCATCCCAAAAATTAAATTATCAAGTTATGAATAGTCTGTTCTTAAATGTTATTAGTTAATATTCTTGGGAAAATGATTACATTAAAATGTTTTCTTTTTCTTTCTTCTAGCTTGGAGGTATTATAGCAGAAGTGAATTTGGCCGAGCATTCTACAGTTATTACATTTTTAGATTATCATGATGGAGCAGCTACATTCCTCTTAATAAATCACACAAAGAATGAACTTGTTCAATACAATCAAAGGTAAGATTATCACAAATACAGTAACTCTTGATGGTGTAAGTCTAGATGATGAGGCACAGTTTTTTTTGATAATTTCTTAAGAGTATAAACACTGATAATAGCATTGTAGCTGTGTAAAACAGTGTTCCATTAAAAAATGTACTTGAAGCATGTAGGGGTAAAACTGACTTGATGTCTACAATTTATTTTGAAATGCTTCAAAGAAAGAAAAATGGAAGAGCTGAAGCAAGTGTGGCAAAAGCTTGTTCATTGTTGACTCTGATGAGGAGTCTGTCAGAGTTTGTTAGGAGTCTCTGAATTTTGTCTATTTTTGAATTTTTTCATGTGTTTAATATAGTGTAAATATGTAAAATTTCAGATTTTTTTTTCAAACAGTAGGTACCCTCTTGTTGAGCTGTCTTGGGGAAAGGACTGCTTCCTTAAAGGCTATAATTGAATCTTCATGGTTTAGGACTACTCTTCAACATTATTCATTTTATTTGCTGTTATATCTTCTTAGTGCCACTACAGGTTATGCAAGTTTCTGATCCTCTACTTAGTAGTTCCAGGCTGTCTTGAATTTATTTTGTTTCCTTTCTTTCTTTCTTTTCACCTGTTACTTTTCAACAAGCACATATTTATCATTGCACTTCCACTTTCCTTCCACTGCTAACTGTACAACTTCTAATCATTGATTAAAATCAAACAGACATTGAGTAGGGACCACAGGGCTGGACTAGCAAGTACCTAAAACTCGTTTGGGGTAGCATTCTCTCATCTATTTAAGATGTTAAGAAAGAGGGATGCCTGTTTTTTTTAATTATCCATATTATAAAAATAATAAGTTGTTTCTAAACATGTGTGCAAGTGTCTTTTTAATATAATGACTTCTCTTCCTTTGAGAAGATACCCAGTACTGGGATTGCTGGATCAAATGATAGTTCTGCTTTTAGTTCTTTAAGGAATCTCCATACTGTTTTTCATAGTGTTTGTACTAGTTTACATTCCCACCAGCAGTGTGAAAGTGTTCCCTTTTCACCACATCCATGTTAACATCTATTTTTTTTTAATTTAAATTATGATCATTTTTGCAGGAGTAAGGTGGTATCTCATTGTGGTTTTAATTTGCATTTCCCTCATAATTAGTGATGCTGAGCTTCTTTTTATATGTTTCTTGGCCACTTGTATATCTTCTTTTGAGAATTGTCTATTCATGTCCTTAGCCCACTTTTGATGGGATTATTGTGTTTTTGTTTTTGTTTTCTTGCTGATTTGTTTGAGATCCTTACAGATTCTGGATATTAGTCCTTTGTCGGATGCATAGTTTGCAAATATTTTCTCCCATTCTGTGCGTTGTCTCTTTACTCTGCTGATTATTCCTTTTGCTGTGCAGTAGCTTTTTAGTTTAATTAGGTCCCATCTATTTTTATTTTGTTGCATTTGCTTTTGGGTTCTTGGTCATGAACTCTTTGCCAAAGCCAGTGTCTAGAAGAGTTTTTCCAGTATTATCTTCTAGAATTTTTATGGTTTCAGGTTCTACATTTAAGTCTTTGATCGATCTTGAGTTGATTTTTGTATAAGGTGAGAGATGAGAATCCAATTTTATTCTTCTACATGTGGCTTGCCCACGATCCCAGTACCATTTGAATAGGAGATAGTCAAAGTACCAGAAAGAAGACTGGACAAAAGAATCTGGAAACAAAAGAGCTAAAAGAACAAGAGTGAAGAACCAGCCTTGTCTGTAAACCATTAAGTCAACTCTATCTTAGGCCCTGGCCAGACTGGTCTCTTCACATCTAGTCCCTTCACTAGAATAAGGTGTCCTTTCCCTACTTCATGTTTTTGTTTGTTTTGTTGAAGATAATTGGCTGTAAGTATTTGGCTTTATTTCTGGTTTCTCTATTCTGTTCCATTGGTCTGCATGCCTATTTTTATACCAGTACCATGCTGTTTTGGTGACTATAGGCATTGTAGTATACTTTGAAGTAGGATAACGTGATGCCCCCAGGTTTGTTCTTTTTGCTTAGTATTGCTTTGGCTATGAGGGCTCCTTTTATGGTTCCATATAAATTTCAGGATTTTTTTTCTAGTTCTGTGAAGAATGTTGATGGTATTTTTATGGGAATTGCATTGAATCTGTAGATTGCTTATGGCAGTATGGTCATTTTCATAATATTGAATCTACCATCCATGAGCATGAGATGTGTTTCCATTTGTTTGTTAAATTTAAACTTTTAAATAAATATTCCCTTCTTATGTAATCTCCCCTGCCATTATCCTAGTTCAGTAACCCTCCATTTCTTATCTATTTGAGTAGATTTTTATGCGTTGTTTTGTTTTATTTGAGTAGATTTTTCTTTTTTGTTTTGTTTTGAGACAGTGTCTCAATCTGTTGCCCAGGCTGGAGTGCAGTGGTGCGATCCAGGCTCACTGCAGCCTCCACCTTCCAGGCTCAAGTGATTCTCATGCCTCAGCCTTCCAAGTAGCTGGGTTTACAGGCATGTGCCACCATGCCTAACTACATTTGAGTAGATTTTTTATCTATCTCTATATATCTAGTCTTATCTTTAGTAAATCTCCCATTTTCCACTAGAATGAGTTTTCTAAAATAAGAAATATAATCATATCTCTCTAGTTTAAAGTTTTTCTTTTTTTACCCATTTCTTTAAAAATATACTTCTAGGCTGCCTTTCTAAACATTTATCTTTCCGTGGCCTAAATCTTACCCTATACAAAGTGAAGTTTTTTTTTTTCCTGAATGCTCTGGGTCTTTCCATGTGTTTTTACCTGAATAGGTGTTTCTTTCAGCTAGAAAAATGCCATTCTGTAATTATTAAAAAATCAAGAAACAACAGATGATGGCAAGGCTGTGGAGAAATAGGAACGCTTTTACACTGTTGCTGGAAGTGTTAATTAGTTCAACCATTGTGGAAGACAGTGTGGTGATTCCTCAAAGACCTAGAACCCAAAATACCATTTGACCCAGCAGTCCCCTTCCTGGGTATGTACTCAAAGGAATAGAAATCATTCTCTTATAAAGATAGATGCACACACATGTTCACCGCAGCACTATTCACAATAGCAAAGACATGGAATCAACCCAAATGCCCATCAACGATAGACTGGATGAAGAAAATGTGGTACATATACACCATGGATACTATGCAGCCGTAAAAAGGAACGAGATCATTCCTTTGCAAGGACATGGATGGAGCTAGAAGCTATTATCCTCAGCAACAAGAACAGAAAACCAAACACCGCATGTCCCTGCTTATAAGTGGGAGCTGAACAATGAGAACACATGGACACAGGGAGGGGAACAACGCACACTGGGGCCTGTTGGGGGCATGGTGGCAGGGAGAACATCAGGATAAATAGCTAATGCATGTGGGGCTTAATACTTAGGTGTAGGTTGGTAGGTGCAGCAAACCACCATGGAATACATTTACCTATGTAACAAATCTGCACGTTCTGCACGTGTATTCTGGAACTTAAATTTAGGAAAAAAAAAAAGAAAAATGCCATTCTATGTGATCCCTTCCCTTGCCACCTTAATCTATGTACCCCAGTTTTTGATAGCACCTTTACATATGTAGATTGCAGCATTCGTCACATTGTGTTACTTTCTTGTGAGTTTGAGACATGTACACACAGATAGTGAATAGTCTGAGGACTATGGTTAGTTTCCCTTTTCTTGGAATTTTCATTGCCTGTCCCAGGTAGTCCAGTACGTTTTTGCATAAGGAATACTCTGCAATGAATTAAACAGATTAAAATTTGTATGAATTAAGAGCATTTTTAAATATTTTTAAACCAAATTTATTTGATAATCAACACATTTACATTTGATTTTTTTTTTCATGGAAAAATGAAGAGTATGATTTTGTTTTCTCCTCCACATTTCCTTCTCTTGGCTTTTAAAAAAATATGGATGTTATTTCCTGCATATAAAAGTAATAGTTGTTAAATTACTGTTTTAAAAAATACTACAGAAAAAATGTGAAAGAGGACCATAATCCCTGTAATCCAAATACTGTCAACATTTTGGTTCATTGCTTTTCCTTTCCTTTCCTCCCTCCTTTGTTCTCTCCCTCCCTCCCTTTCTTCCTTCCTTATGTATCTCTCACATTTGACAGCTATTGTGAGCATATCAATTTGCTTCAAAGCACAATTTTTTTTTCTTTCTAACTTTTATTATAGGTTCAGGGGTTACATGTGCAGGTTTGTTACATGGGTAAATTGCATGTCACGGGGTTTTGGTATACAGATTGTTTCATTACCCAGGTAATAAGCATGATACCCAATAGGTAGTTTTTCGATTCTCACCCTCCTTTTACTCTCCACCCCCAAATAGGTTCCCGATGTCAGTTGTTCCTTCTTTGTGTCCCTGCAAAGCATGATTTTTACTGAATGCGTGATATTCTATCATTTAGATGCTCTACAATTAAATAAATACTTAATTGTTCAGAATTTTTATTTCAACTTTTATAATTTTAGAATCAGTTTATCTTCTTTTTTTGTTGTTGTTTATTTGTTTTTTGAGATGGAATTTTGTTGTTTTGCCCAGGCTGGAGTGCAGAGGCGCGATCTCAGCTCACTGAAACCTCTGCCTCCCAGGTTCAAGCGATTCTACTGCCTCAGCCTCCTGAATAGCTGGGATTACAGGTGCGCGCCACTATGCCCGGCTAATTTTCATATTTATAGTAGAGACAGGGTTTCACCATGTTGGCCAGGCTGGTCTCAAACTGCTGACCTCAGGTGATCCACCTGCCTCGACCTCCGAAAGTGCTGGGATTACAGGCATGAACCACCGCGCCCAGCCCAGTTTATCTTCTAATAACGATCCTCAACCCATTTGTAATCATTGTAATAACTAGTTTATAATTCCTTACCATATTTTTTTGTAGTATATTGTCTTCTAATGATTTTTTGGAAAATACATATTCTGTTTCGGTTATGGATAATTCCTTTTTTGTTATTGAAGGTTTCGATACATTTAAAATCAATTTTAAGATTGAAACAGTATCTGCTAGCTTACCCATAAAAAATTGTAATGCTTTTTTACCTTTTCTTCAACCTCTTTCCAAATTCTTACTTTCTTGTGAATATAATTTGGTATGTTTTCAAACAGATTAATATAAAATGGTTAGCTTTTCAAAATATGTATTATTTCATTCAAGGCCCTTTTGGTATTTGCATTGATTTTAATGTTTTAACAAAAAAATGACTTTCTTAAACTGGTTTAATTGTTCACTACAGGTTCCTCAATATTTCTATATCCTAGTTGTTAAAATGTTGTTCTGAGTTCATCTCTAGCTTGGTTGGAAAAAGTCTGAGTTATTTTTTTAGTAAAGATTTGTGGATAGTGTTATGCTATTGCTTGTTCGAAATGTCTTATTCTTACAAATTTATGACAATTTGACATAAAATTTTAAGTGATAACGTTTTTCTCAAAATTGTATAGGTATTGTGCCATTGTTTTTTGATATTAAACATCATTGAACTGTGAGAGTAACATTTTTATTTTCTTGCGAGTGACTATGATTTTCCTAGATATGTGTTAGGGTTTTTTCCCCCCTATTTTCTTACAAAGATATGTCTAGAATGATACTGTTTTCATTTATGTCTGATACCCAGTGAAGTCTTTTAAATCTGCAGAGTTAATTCCTTCTTCTACTCAGAAGAGCTATATTTTATTACTTGTTTGGTTTATAACTTTTGTAATGTTTTTTTCTTTCTGAGCATCTTTTTGTGAGTCAACTGAATTTCTTAGATGTGTATTTCATGTTTTGTGATTTTAAAGAATAATTTAGTTACTTTGTTTTTGCTCTAGTAAGACCAATACTTAGGAAAGAGTTACCAATTAAATTATCTTAGAATTGGTATAAATAGGGTAAAATAGTTGGAATAATTTTCCATAATTAATTTGTATTAAAAAATTGACAAAACAGTTTTAAAGACTTGAAGACCTTTATTTCCTAAGTAGAACATGTATTTTCTAAGTGGGAAAATAATGAGAAATATTCATTAGTGAACCCTTTTTTAATTGTATAAGGTAAGAATTTCAGCCTTGTTTTAATCAGAACGATCACAGATCTCAGTGAACTAAGAATTAATGAAGTATTATTTTAGTTTTTTTTTAATCTCTTCGTGTACTTGCATTTAATTTAACGCGTATTTTTGCTACTGTGTCAGTTCTCTCAGTGAAATAGAAGATTCCCTCCCTCCTGGTAAAGCCGTGTTTTATACATGGGCTGATCCGGTGGGCTCTAGAAGGCTGAAGTGGAGATGTAGAAAAAGCCATGGTGAAGTAACACAGAAGGATGTAAGTATTGGGTTATTATGGTGTTCCCAGCAGCCTTTTTTAAAAAAGGTATTTGGGCCGGGTGCGGTGGCTCACGCCTGTAATCCCAGCACTTTTGGGAGGCTGAGGTGGGCCATGAGTTGGAGATCAGCCTGGCCAATAAGGTGAAACCCTGTCTCTCCTAAAAATACAAAATTCACTTTGGGAGGCCAAGGCAGGCGGATCACCAGGTCAGGAGTTTGTGACCAGCCTGGCCAATATGGTGAAACTCCGTCTCTACTAAAAATACAAAAATTAGCCTCGCATGGTGGCGGGTGCCTGTAGTCCTAGCTACTAAGGAGGCTGAGGCAGAAGAATCGCTTGAACCCGGGAGGCAGCGATTGCAGTGAGCCAAGATCACGCCACTGCACTCCAGCCTGGCGACAGAGCAAGACTCCGTCTCAAAAAAAACAAACAAAAAACAACAGTATTTGATTTTCAGCCTTCCTAGTTTTAAGGACTTTTTGTGGCCACACTTCTGAAAAACTGCCAAACGTCTTCAAAATAGTATTCAAGTATTTACTTAACCAAAAATGTTTAAAACCAAAAGTAGTCTTATTTTGTTTACATCATTTGCTTCTACTGTGTTATAAAGAATAAAGTTGTGTTTAGAGAAGTGCTTTCAGCATTCACCTGAAAAACAAATATGTTCTCTGCATTGACAATCATACTAGGTAGATTTAGCTTCTGTAAGGAACATTTAAGGATCCACTGAGTGAACTAAAACAAACTTATTTCTGAGTGGCAAGCTATGATGATAAAGTTATGCACATATATTTTCTGGTAACATTTTAAATACTTTCAGAAAATTTTTAAAAGTTTTTAATCCTTCAAGATTCATCTTAATTTGACTCCTGATGTTTTTTTTTCTTACCACTGGTGATTTTTTCTTCCTGCTTATCAGTAGGTGGTATTTTCTCATTGTCTTTCAGTGCTGCTGTTGAGGAGTCTGCTGTGGGTATTGTTTACATTGTATTTAAGAGGATTGCCTATAAGTGGCCTTTCAGTTTTAAAAATTCATTACTATTAGATTTATTCAGGAAAAAAAATTGTACTTTGATATAAAAAGTCTTATTCATTTGATCTGTTGATTAGTACTTTGCATATTTATATCATAGTGATAGTTTGAAGCTTATAAAGATAAATCAGACATTCACTGTAAAATATTAGAAAGACTTCAGTGAAATAAGTTAGTCTTCTTGATTCTCAATGTGGTTTTAGTGATATACATATATATACTTAGAAAGTATTACAAGTAAGGTAAGTATCCCCAGATAATTATTTTATGGTAACAACTCACAGTTTTTAATTTCTGTATATTGCAACGTGAAGGTATACTATATAGTAAAATTTTCTGAAAATCAGAATATTAACTAGAAATTAATGGCTGAATATTAATTATGAGAATTTGCTATGTTTATCTTGTCATTGACCCTCAAAACCCTGATATCAGCACATTTATGTGAGATTCCTGCAGAAATAGCCTCATGATGAATATACATGCTTTGTAGAACATACAATTGAGATACAAGATATTTTTTATCCTGTTTGATTCAGCTATGAAAGGAAATGTGAATTTCAAACTGAAACAACTTTTAATACATATCACATTGCTGTAGTCTTAGAATAAAGCAGAAAAAAATACTTTGTGTTACAGATTAGCCTACGTGGGAAGGTTCAATTTTATTAAAATGTTTAAATTAAAAAAGTAAACAATTGGCCTGTCTTTATGAGTAATAATTTTATAACAGATAACATCAAATGATTTCAATAATGTAAATTTGCAAGTATTCTACAAATATTAATTCATTTAGTTGCCACTAACCCCATGAAGTAGGTGCCATTAATAGTCTCATTTTATAAATGTGAAATCTAAATTTCATGTTCTTTGGGACCAAATTCTAATTTTTTGGTTTTTTTTTTTTTTTGGTGGTTTTATTCTAGGATATGATGATGCCTATAGATTTGGGGGAAAAGACAATATATTTAGTTTCATTCTTTGAAGGTTTACAACGCATTATTTTATTCACTGAAGATCCAAGGGTATTTAAAGTAACATATGAAAGTGAGAAAGCAGAGTTAGCAGAGCAAGAAATTGCAGTGGCATTACAAGATGTTGGAATTTCTCTTGTCAACAATTACACGAAGCAAGAAGTAGCCTATATAGGCATTACAAGGTTAGATGCATTAAATTTTGGATACATTTAAATGATCAGTTTCTAATTGTTAAGAAATTGTTATTGTAAAATCTCAAATGATTTAGTTTCAGTTTTGTGCTTTGACTATTCATTGATACTGTGGTAGTGCTAGTTTTAAATGTGCTTGAGGGAATTTTTTGCCTTTTGAAATAAAGATATGGCAGAAATCAAATTTATAAACTCCTTATTATGTTAATCCTTCCACTTATCTAAAAAGTTATATTTATTCAACTTGCCAAAAGTATGTTTTGCATATCATACAAAATGCTTAGTTCATTTTCCATTACCATCTAGCACAGTTCAGGGTACATATGCTGTAGCTGTTGGAGGATTAACATAGACAATCACTTTCTAATTTGACCTTGGCACTTTAAGATCTAATAAGATCTAATAAGGTGATCACTGTATTTATCATTTCTCGTATAAGACATCACCATTAAATCTTTTATCTCTCCCTTATGTCCTTATTATTCCTATTCATAAACAGTTGTTTTAATTTACATATATTAGTGCTTAATGTGAGAATATTTCTTCTGTATAACCAGGATAATGTAATTTTAATCCTTTTCTTGAATTAAATTCTTGAATATATATAAAGGTATATGATACAGATGTAAATTTAGTTTTCTATGTACATTAATCTATACGTGTCCCTGACCTCTTATTGAATTGAATCAATGCCATTTTAAAAGGAATATTAAAATCTATATTCTTAAGAATTTTTATTCTCAAAAAATGTTTTTACTATTTAAATAGATCAAATACACCATAGATTTTTAAGACCTTTAGACCTATTATATGTTATCTTCTAAGCTAAGTGATGTTAATGCAAAGATGAATAATACATGGTCTCTACCTTTCTGTTTCTTAAATGAATATAAGTTCTATAAGGAATAAACAAATAGAATGCTTTAATAAAATTAAACAACTTAAATATTTAAGTAACATATGAAAGTAACATATGAAAGTGAGAAAGCAGAGTTAGCAGAGCAAGAAATTGCAGTGGCGCACTCTATATCCTAGATAACTATTTTATACTTGTCTCCCCTTAAACCCCCATTGTGTCAGCTTACTACCTTGCATTCCACTTCACTGAAAAAATTGAACCCATCAAAAGCAAACTTCCAGAGACCCATCTCACCCCCCAATATCACAGCTTGCTATCTACCAGCGTTTGCATACTACTTGCTGTACTGACATACTCTCAACAGTTTACAGTAGATATATGTGCTCCTGTTTAAACAGATTTTTCTCTACTTTTGCACTGTACTTCATTTCCTCTTACCTACTTGAGGACATTGTTCCAGCAGTCCTCTTCTTCATCTCTCCTAAGTCAACAGCTTTTGGGTCTCTACTGAATTGTTTCAGTGTTACTTCTCTCAACATAAAAAATTCTCTTGAGCCTACTTTCCTTGCTACCTGTTGCTCATTTCTTTCTTTGCATTTATAACCAAACACCTCAAATGTACTGTCTGTTTCAAAGGAACTTAACATATCCTGTGTTCTCCAACTATTTTTCATCCATTTTCTCTTTAACCACTCCAAACAGGGTTTTGCTTTCAACACACCATGAAACTGGTTTTGTCAGCATTACCAGTGACCTCCATAATGCCATATCCAGTGTAGAATTATCGGTCTTTACTTAATAACATTTAACACAGATCCCTCCTTGATGTAGTTTCTTTCACGTGACTTCCAGAATACCTCACCATCTTGGTTTTTCTTCCTATCCAGTCTCATTCATTGGTTCCTTGTCTTCTCTCAACTGCTTACATTGGCTAAATGCCTTGAGGCTCTTAGACCTGGTCCTTTTCTCTTGTGGATTTCAGTTTTATGATTTCAAATACTGCCCAGAATTTCTCTCTTAGGTATGTCTTCTGTCACACCTGTCATCTGACCTTAAGACTTCATATATCCAACTGTGCATGCAAAATCTCTATTCAGATATCTAAGAGACTTCTTAAACTTCATATGTGTACACTAAACCTTTTATTTCCTCCTTCTACCAAAACTCCAGCTTTCCAATCAGAGTTAATAAAAAATAGCTCCTTCTAGTTATGCAGCCCAAAAATATTGAAATTGTCTTCGATTCCTCTCTTTATCTTACACCCCAGACCTAATTCATCAAGAAGATCTGTGCTGGTTCTACCTTCAAAGTGCACATAGATCTGACCACTTTTCTAGTATCTCACTGTTAATAGCCTCATCAGGGCCATCACCATTTTTCAACTGGCTTACTGTAGTACACTAACAAGTTTTCCTGCTTCTAATCTTGACTCCACTCTTTTTTCTTTCCATCCACTTCAACACAGAGTGTATTCTTAACGAAATGTAAGTCAGATTATGTTGTTAGTTGTCTTATAACCGATCAGTGGTATCTCATCTCACTCAGAATAAAACTCAGAGTCTACAGTGGTCTACAATGCTTTACATTATTTGGCCCCCCACTATAAGTCTTACTTTATTTTCTATTCCTAATGTGTTCCTGACATGCCAGCCTCCTTGCTCTTCTTCATATACTGCAAGTGTGCCTCCTGCTTTAGCTGGCCTCTCTACCTGAAATGTTTTCCTCCTCTTGTCTGCTGGATAATTCTCTCAGCTCATTTAAGGTTGCCAAAATCTCACTTTCTCAATGAATCCCCCATTGACCACTCTAATATTGAAGACCCCACCACTTTACATATTGCAGTTCTCCGGATCCCCCTTGCCTTGTCTACATTTTCTTCTTTCAAAAGCATTTTCACCTCCTACATATTAAATTTTACTAATTTATTTTGTTTACTATTTATTTTCACTCCCCCACTAAAATGAAGCTCCAGAATGACAGAGATGTTCACTGATAACGGCTGTAACACCTAGAATAGTGCCTCAGTAGTAGCTTAATAGGTAGTAGTTGAATGAATTCATGTTTTTAAATTTGTAATATGCTCACTTGTAATTGAGGCTGTTCTGAAATTTTAGTGAAGGTATTGTAATTCATGTAATAAACCAGTTAAAATAAATGTTAATAACTTAGTATTAAATACTATGATTTTTGCTTTCTTAAATAAGTTCTGATGTGGTTTGGGAAACAAAGCCCAAGAAGAAGGCAAGATGGAAGCCAATGAGTGTAAAGCACACTGAGAAGTTAGAGAGAGAATTTAAGGAATATACTGAATCTTCTCCTTCAGAAGATAAGGTTATTCAGTTGGACACTAATGTTCCGGTAATATTTTTAAGTACTGATGTGAAGTTTTAATTTTTTGCCTGTCGTAGTTTGGTGAATCACTAGTGAAATTTAAGGAAAGTTTGGCTTCCTTATAAAACAAAATAATCCTGTCATACATACCTTGTATAAAATGTTTTAAAGAGGTGTTTATCTATATTAAGAAATCAGGCTGGGCGCAGTGGTTCACACCTGTAATCCCAGCACTTTGGGAGGCTGAGGCAGGCGGATTACTTGAGGTCAGGAGTTCGAGACCAGCCTGGCCAACATGGCAAACCCTGTCTCTGCTAAAAATACAAAAATTAGCCAGGCATGGTGGCAGGCGCCTGTAATCCCCGCTATTCAGGAGGCTGAGGCATGAGAATGCCTTGAACCCAGGAGGTGGAGGTTGCAGTGAACCAAGATGGCCCCACTGCGCTCCAGCCTGGCTGACAGCAAGACTCTGTCTCAAAAAAAAAAAAAAAAAAAAAAAAAAGAAAAGAAAACTTTCTTTTAAGATACTAGATGCTAATGATCTGTTCTTTGGGTTAGCAGGAAACTTAAAAATGTTTTATTTTTTCACTGTACTTTCTTTAAATATTTTATTTTTCCTTTATTCATTTTTATTGTGGTAAATTTTAGTACATTTATGTAAAAAGTAATGCAGTGAAGCTTTGTAAGAATTATATGAATATGTGAATTTTATGGACATGGGATATTAAGATCTAAATCTAAACTAATACAAATATGTAGCTTACTGTTTTAAAAAGTTTTTGGCATTAATTTCTAATTCTAGTCATTTATAGATAAATTAATTTTTTCATTTGGGGGGACATATTTTTCAGGTTCGCCTAACCCCTACTGGTCATAACATGAAAATTCTGCAGCCGCATGTAATAGCTCTACGAAGAAATTATCTTCCAGCATTAAAAGTGGAATATAACACATCTGCACATCAATCATCATTTAGAATTCAGATTTACAGAATACAGGTAAGTCTTTCTGAAAATATAGGCAAAATTGTATTCTAAAGGAATGCAATAAGAAACCAGATCTATTCCCATGGTCTGCTTTATCTAGTATTCAGTTTCAATGTTGTGCTAGCCTTTTTTTTTTTTTTTTTTTTTGAGACAGAGTCTCCCTCTGTCGCCCAGGCTAGAGTGCAGTGGCGGAATCTCAGCTCACTGCAAACCCTGCCTCCCAGGTTCAAGCGATTCTGCTGCCTCAGCCTCCTGAGTAGCTGGGATTACAGGTGCCCACCACCATGGCCACCTAATTTTTGTATTTTTAGTAGAGACGGGGTTTCACCATGTGGGCCAGGCTGGTCTCAAACTCCTGACCCCAGATGATCCACCCGCCTCGGCCTCCCAAAGTGCTGGGATTACAGGCGTGAGCCACCGTGCTTGGTCACCGCTAGACTTTTTGATTCTTTTTGTTCCTCAAATCCTGTTATTCTGGTCAGGTTGTATAATTGACATATTAATATACTGATGTGTTTTTATTTTCTTAGATCCAAAATCAGATACATGGTGCTGTATTTCCCTTTGTGTTTTATCCTGTTAAACCTCCAAAGTCGGTCACCATGGATTCAGGTTTGTTTTTATTTTTAGATTTCCATAAAAGCAGTTGTATTAGCTATTTGATTTACTTTACTATAAAAATATGAAGTGAAACCATTCTTGGGTTTAATTTTTATAGGATAATTGGAAAATTAAACTGCTTGAAAAAGGACCAGCAAGTACTATACACAACTAACTTTGATAAGATTTTGAGTGAATCTTGAAGAAAAGATTGATTAGAAACATATATTGAAATTTTTAGAAATACTAATTTAAAAAGCAGATAATCTGTAAACCTGCGATTTAAAAACCTTTAAAGCCTTTGAATGAACAATAAGGAAGTTCAAATCTAGAGTGTTTTCTAACAGCAGAAACTGTCCTATGTTCTCCAAATAAGAATAACGGACAAGTCCTTTCTACCCTTTTCTTTCCCTTTGCCTTTCTTGTTTCCTGCATATCCCTCTTCCCCCTACTTTCTCTTCCCTCCTCACTACCCTACTTAACTTTCTTCTCCCCTTGCTTTCCCACCTCCACCCCACACCACTTCTTCTAAACTATCCTGGGGGGAGTACTCTTTATAACTCGCTCAGAAGCTTTTTGGCCAGTATAATGCGTAAGCCCTTCCACCTAGAGGTCTGGAGCAAGTCCCCAGAATCTGTTTTCACAAAGTTTCCCTGATGATTCTAATGCATACTTCTAAACTGCTAATTGTAGAATTAGTTATCTTCAGAGTAACTATAGATAGTTTTAAAAACAATGCTAGAGTCTGAAATTAAGATTGTAGTAGATTTTGCCAATATCAGTAATTTTAACTGATATTTATTATTTAGTAAATGATTTAATTTTCCATTGTGGTGTATATTGGAAGAAAATGCCTAGCTTTTGCTTAAAGCATCATGGGAGTAATTATATTTATAACCTTTACAGCACCAAAGCCCTTTACAGATGTCAGTATTGTCATGAGATCTGCAGGACATTCCCAGATATCACGTATTAAGTAAGTGTCTTAATACATTTCTTGTATATTTATTTAATGTTTGATTTAAATATATGAATTGTTTGTACTCTTTAAATGTTGGACAAGTCAAAGATTTAAGCATAAAATATTAATTATAAACGTCAAATAAAAAAATATAATGTTGTGGCTCACGCCTGTAATGCCAGCACTTTGGGAGACCTAGACAGGCTGATCACTTGAGGTCGGGAGTTCGAGACCAACCTGGCCAACACGGTGAAACCCCAACTCTACTAAAAATACAAAAATTAGCCAGGCGTGGTGGCACGTGCCCAGAGTCCCAACTACTCAGGAGGCTGAGGCACGAGAATCGCTTGAACCCAGGAGGCAGAGCTTGCAGTTAGCTGAGATCACACCACTGCACTCCAGCCTGGGTGACAGAGCAAGACTGTCTCAAAAAAAAAAAAAAAAAGGCGGCTCTGGATGAAATACATCTAGGTATTTATAATCATTGTTTCTGGATTTTGGATATTTTATTATTCTCTTGTACTTGTATTTGTTTTTTGTTTGGGGTTGTCTATAATCATATATTGTTTTGAAAAAGGAAAACAATAATATTTTCGTCTTCACTCACTACCCATTCCAAGAAACAGAAGATGGACTGAAACATCTATGTAATAATCTCCTGTCTAATTTCCCTTACCTTGTCACCAAGATAACCTATCTTTATTTCCTTGCTGTTTAAAATATAGTTTTATTGTTCATGTGTACCTAAACATTATGCCTTTTAGTTTTAATTTTTTTCTAATTTTTAGAAAATTGTTTCAGGCCGGAAATAGATGTTGGGACTTGCTTTTGTTCATTCAACATTTTTATTAAAATTTATTCATTTTGTTGTATGTAGCCATAGTTTATTCATTATCACTAATATATAATATTCTGTTTTATGACTCTGTATGACAGTTTACTTATCTGGTTCCTCTTTATGGCCATTTTCATATTTTGACTTTGTTGCTGTTATTAACAGTGTTCCATGATTTTTTAAAATTTAGTCAACTAAATAGTCCTAAGTTTCAAAGTTCTAATATTGATCTCATACTTTTTTCTCATCTAATTTTTGTAATACAGTTGTTAATTGATGATTTTTAAAAAATGTTTTCTACTTTGTAATACAGGTATTTCAAAGTATTGATTCAAGAAATGGATCTCAGGTTAGATCTTGGGTTTATCTATGCTTTAACAGACCTTATGACAGAAGCTGAGGTGACTGAAAATACAGAGGTAAGACTTAAAATAATAACATTTGATGGAAAGGATTAGGGAAAAGATATTATTATAAATTTTTAAAGGTATTAAAATGACTTTGTTGCATTTTAAAAATACAATTAAATAAATTTTATTACTCTCTTGTGGTACATACCTTTTTAGAAATCTTATTTTCTGATGATAGAAAATTAGCAAACAGGAGGAAAGGCTTGGGGTGAATAGCAGGGAGAAAAGGATAATTTGTCATGTTCACATCACTTTTTTCCTCTTTTATTTTCCTGGATTACTTTGGCTTTGCTTTCACTTTAATAATTTAGAAATTTAGGGTATGTCCAGGATATTTAATGGGAGAAAGGATAGGAAAATTAAAAGGTGGTATCATCTGGGTGACTGGAAGACCATAAAATCATAGTTATAAAGTGGGTCAGATATAGTCTGTTTTTCACTTGCCCTCATAGATTCATGGATGGAGAAAGAGCAAATTAGTAACAGTCTATTGAGGTATAGATCACATACCATACATTTCACCCATTTAAAAGATAGGGTTCAATGACTTTTAATGTATTCACAAAGTTGTACAATCATCATCACTCTCTAATTCCGGAACATTTTCATCATCCCCAAAAGGAACTGCCTGTGCAGCCACTGATACACTTTGTGTCTTTAGGTTTGCCTATTCTGAATATTTCATACAAATAGAATCATACACTGTGTAGTCTTTTGTGAAGGGCTTCTTTGACTTAGAATAATGCTTTCAAGGTGCATCTATGTTGTAGCATGTATCAGTACTTCATTCCTTTTTATGGTTAAGTGATATTCCATTATATGGATGGGCCACATTTTGTTTATCCATATATCTGTTAATGGACGTTTGGGTTGTTTACACATTTTGGCTTTTATGGATAATGTAATGAATACTGGTGTACAAGTTTTTATTGGACAAAAACTTTATTAAAAGTCTTAAACTATTTAAACTTAATCACCATGTGATTAAGCAATTCCAATCCTAGGTATATAGCCAAAAGAAATAAAATTTTATTAGAAGTGGAATTGCTCAATCACATAGTAACCTTATATTTAATCATTTGGGACTGTTAGGCAGTTGTGCAAAGTGCCTCCACCATTTTACATTCTTACCAGAGCATATGAGGGCTCTGATTTTTCCATATTATCCCCAACACTTGTTACTATCTGTCTTTGATTCTAGCAATCATAATGGGTGAATGTGAAATAGTTTGTCATTGTGGTTTTGACATGTAATTACCTGATGACTAATGATGTTGAGCATCTTTGATATGTTGATTATCCTTTAATATGTTAAGTAGTTAATTTGCATATCTTATGTGAAGAAATGTCCATTCAGATCCTTTGCTTATTATTTAATGAGTTATTTGTCTTTTTTCTTATAAAAGTTATTTGCATATTCTCGATACAGGTCTCTTATCAGATACATAATTTTCAAATATTTTCTCTCATTCTGTGTGTTGCTTTTTCACTTTCTTGATGTTGTCTATTGAAAATCAAAAGTTAAAGTTAATGAAGTTCAAATTATTTTTTATTTTGTTGCTCATGCTTTTGGTGTCATTTCTAAGAATCCTTAGCCAAATCCAAGGTCATGAATATCTTACGTTTTACGAATTTTAAAGATCTAGCTCTTATGATTAGGTCTTTGATCAATTTTTAGTTCATTTTTGTATATGATGTATAAGGATCCAAATTATTCTTTGGCATGTTGCTATCCAGTTGTCCTATTACCATTTCTTTAAAAGACTATTTGTTCTTTGAATGGTCTTGACACCCTAGTTGAAAATCAGTTAACAACACACATGTGATTTTATTCCGTCGATCTGTGCATCTGCCCTTGTGCATTGCACACTGTCTTAGTTATTGTTTTGTATTAAGTTTTGAAATTGGGACATATGTATCTTCCTACTTTGTCCTTCTTTTTCAAGATGGGTTTGGCTGTTCTGAGTCCTTTGAAATTTCATATGAATTTTAGAATCAACTTGTCAGGTTCTTCAAAGAAGTCAGCTGGACATCTGATAGAGACTGCATTGAATCTGTAAATCAATTTGGGAAGTATTGCCATCCTAACAGTATTAGGTCTTTCAGTCCTTGCACATGACATGTTTATCCATTTATGTAGATTTTTAATTTTTTTTAACAATGTTTTGTTGTTTTTCAGAGTGTAAGTTTTACACATTTTTCATTAAATTTATTCCTATGTATTATATTCTTCTTATAGTATTATGAATAAAATTGATTTTTTAATTCCATTTTTGGATTGTTCATTGCTACTGTATAAAAATGCAGTTGATTTTTTTATACTGATCTTGTATTTTGCACCCCTACTGAATTGTTAGCTCTATTTGTTGTTCCGTATATTCTTTTGGGATTTCTATACATAAGATCGTGTCATCTGAGAGGAGAGGTAGTTTTACTTCATTCTTTCTGATCTGAATGCCTTTGTTTCTTCTTCTTCCCTAGTTGTTGTGTCTAGAAATTGGTGACACATTAAACAGAAGTGCCAAGAGCAGACATTCTTCTTTTGCCTCTGATCTTGGAGGGTAAATTTTCAGTCTTTGAGTATGATATTGACCCTGGGTTTTTCCTAGACATCCTTTTTCAGGTTGAGGAAGTTCTTTTCTTAGTTGGTTGAGTGTTTTTAATCATGATTATATATTTTGTCATTCTTTTTCTGCATCTATGGAAATGATTGTACACTTTTTGGGTTTTGTTCTACTGATATGTTTTATTACATTAATTTTTTTTTTTTTATTTTTTTTTTTTTTTGAGACCTAGGCTCGCTCTGTCTCCCAGGCTGGAGTGCAATGCTGCAAAAGCAATCTCAGCTCACTACAACCTCCGCCTCGTGGGTTTGTGCAATTCTCGTTTTTCAGCCTCCCTCCCGAGTAGCTGGGATTACAGGCGTGTGCCAAAATGCCCAGCTAATTTTTGTAATTTTAGTAGAGACAGGGTTTCACCATGTTTCTGTGTTTTTTTGTTCTGACCTCAGGAAAACTCCTATTTGTCACTTTCTCTGATTTTCTCCTGCAAACTATTAGGTCTACAGGTTAGCCAGTATCTTCTGTAAATCAATGACTTTCCTTTTAGTTGTCTTTCACCACATCTGCTGTTTCTGAGAGCCCTTAGGCTCGAACTGCACTATATGTTATAAGTGAAATTAGTTCCTTTGGGAAGAGATTAATAGTTACCTGTTTTAAAACCTACTTTCCCCATCAGCAAAAATCCCTAAACCAGGCCTCTGAAGCTGGCGGTGGGAACAGTTGTGACACCCTTCTATTTGAGTAACACCCCAGTTTAGGAGCTGAGCACTATGTGTGGTGGGGTAAGAGGGGCAGTGGCCTGAGATGATCTCAGCTTGCCTTTGCTGGCATGGAACCACCACATTACAGGCCTGGGCAAGAGTGATCAGAACTCTAGTATTCTCAGTGGTACTGTACCCAAGGCAGAGCTTTTTTACCCTGCACAGAGGCTGGACAGAGAAAGGAAGCCCTGCCAAGTACGGTGGCTCACGCCTGTAATCCCAGCACTTTGGGAGGCCAAGGTGGGTAGATCACTTGAGGTCAGGAGTTCGAGACCACCCTGGCAACATAGTGAAACCCCATCTCTACTAAAAATACAAAAATTAGCCAGGCGTGTTGGCAGGTGCCTGTAATCCCAGCTACTCAGGAGGCTGAGGCAGGAGAATTGCTTGAACCCAGGAGGCACAAGTTGCAGTGAGCCGAGATCGCGCCACTGCACTCCAGCCTAGGTGACCAGAGCGAGACTCCGTCTCGAAAAAAACAAACAAACAAAAAAAAACCCATAAAGGAAGCCCCCGCCTCACAGTTGCACTCAACCATAACTTAACCTCAGCAGCAGGTAGCTGGGAACAGGATGAGAAATGCTGACGTCCTGTTCTTCCCAGGAAGGAAGTCCTCCAATTGAGGACTGGGCCAAGAAGGAGCTCTGTGTTCTTGGGTATACTAGTCTAGAGTAGAATTCTGGCTCATTAGTCTGGGAGAGGGGACAGAGGGAATGGCCTTTGTTAAAACACCACGGATTCGCTTTTCTTACCAAATTCTTTAGGTTTTCTTAAATAGATGTTTCTTCATTTGCTTATGACCTTAAAACCATTCCTAGAGGCCTTAAATTTGTTGTTGTTGTTGTTTAAATTTTATCAGTTTAGCTGGGGTGCTGGTTTGAAGAGCTTCCCACTGTCATTTCAGAAATTGATTTCTAAATATACTTTTTATAAGGCTATCATTTCTTATGTTTTTATGAATATGTTAAAATGTGAATCTTGGGGCTCATTTTTCAACACATAGAAGTTACTTCCGTCTGAGCATTTAAAGGAGAAGTATTGATGAATATCAAGAATGAAACCACCAATCAATTAATGCAAAATTGTTTTCAACACCTTCTTTATTTTATTATATTACTGATCTGTGTAGGATGCATTAAAGCAATTACAAGTAGACTACAAAATACAAGTTGACTGTATGATTATGTTTAAAGAAACAAATATACCCAAGAGAGTGTTGATGGTATGGATTAATGTCATTTTGGGATAAGATTTATAGTCACATGGAGAAAAGCTTAGTGTCTTTTAATGGTTTGGATAGAAATATAGAAGATAATGCTTGTTGGTTTGTCAGTGGCAGACAGAACTGTCCTATAGATAGAGATGTTACTTTCCCTTCTGAGGCAATCATAAGCAATGTTGAGTCTGGATCTTATAGAAGAGTTTTGGCAGTGTGTCTTCTATTTGCTTAAATATCTCATGCAGGTAGGTCCCTTTAGTTTTAATATTTTGTGTTCCTTTTATAGGTTGAGCTTTTTCATAAAGATATAGAAGCTTTCAAAGAAGAATATAAAACAGCCTCATTAGTAGATCAATCACAAGTCAGCCTCTATGAATATTTTCATATATCTCCTATCAAGGTAGGAGAAAGTCATTTTTATTGTCCTTGATAATCTAGGTAATAGCAAATTGATGTAGCATTTATATTGTGTTCTTCAGTAATATATAAAATCTGTAAATATACAATTAAACTAAGTAACAAAGGAATTACCCTTTTACATTTTTATTTATTTTTAAATAACTTTTTATCATGTGGAGCCACCTATAGCATGTATTTATGTTTATAATTTGACCTAACATTATTTTACCTTGATTTTCTGTTAAGCTGTTAGGTGACAATTTTCAAAATTTTGCATATGATGATTTGTGTATTAGTTTTAAAGTAATTTATAAAGTAGCCTTAAGAACTGAAGACTGAATGGTATCAAATCTAAGTTAGTTTTTAGTGCAAAATTCCTATAAGCTAATTATACAATAATAGAAGAAAATTACTAAACAACCATATATGTAGAGTATATATGCAATACAATACAAAAGTGTTTTTTAACTGGCTATTAACTTCTGAAATAATTGAAACATATACTTTTGGAGATACAAATACCTTTCAGCTTATGACAGAGTTACATCTCAGTAAAGCCATCATGAGTTGAAAATCTTGTAAGTCAGAAATGCATTGAATACACCTAACCTACTGAACATTAAAGCTTAGCCTAGCCTGTCTTAAACATGCTCAAAACAGCTGGGCAAAATCATCTAACACAATGCCTATTTTCTAATAAAGTTATTATAAAGAATTTTGAATCAAAATTCAAAGTACAGTTTCCACTGAAGGTGTATTGCTTTTGCAGCATTGTAAAGTTGAAAAATCATAAGTGAAACATAAGTCATATAAGTTGGGGACCATATGTATTTGAGTCATTTTCAACAGCTTCAACTTTTAGATTTTTAATGTTATTAACAAATATATAAAAATTAATATTTTCTTAGGTTTGCCAAAAGAATGGGATAGGATTAAATATCATGCTATCTTAAATTGTTGAATTGAAGATTTAAATAGAGCTATGTTAGATTTTAAATTTCTTCATATTTCTACTTAGTGATTTTAACATAATCCAGATAACTTTGAAATCTTATTTATGGTGTAGTGAATTTAAAATTAAACTGATTTTTTAAGAGTTAAAATTGTCAATATGAAGAAAATACTTTTAAATATTTATCTCTTTATCTTTTTAGTTACATTTAAGTGTTTCACTGAGTTCCGGCAGAGAAGAAGCTAAAGATTCAAAACAAAATGGAGGACTGATTCCAGTTCATTCTTTAAATCTTTTGCTGAAGAGTATTGGTGCCACACTGACAGATGTACAAGATGTAGTTTTTAAGTATGTTTAGTATTCAAATCTGTAAATTGATGGAAATATTTCTATTTTATATGTCCCTAAAAATTTCGTAAATGAAAAAGTGTGTGAAGTACGTTGCAGATCATAGGCAAAATGAGGTTTTTGCATTCAAGTGAAGTGCAATCTGAATAACACCAACGTATGATTTGCTAACCCCTAATTGCTAAATTACAGAATTATTAAACAATTTCCTTAAGAAAAAGAGTCATAGGCCATGCAAGTTTCACATTTTAAAAGATCTTTCTGGCTTAGGGAAGGATAGGATGTGTATGCCCAAAGATATGGTGCCTGAAATGTATGGATTTGAAGCTAATAGGAATAAGACTCTTCAAAGCATTTGCAACTAGAACAGAATGAATGCGATAATAGGGGAAATGAAAGGATCAACTTTAAGTGTTGTAATCAGGAATTTATATTTTAATATGAGTCATAATGAAGCTTATAGAGTATCTGACCAAAGAGATTCAGAATGTCTGAGTTGAGACTTTAGAAGAGAATAACCCTTTCAAGTAGCATCTAGAATTGATTATTAAGAACAGTCGTAAGAATCAATAAGTCCAACACGAGGTAACACTGAACCTGAAGTTAGGTAAGTGTCAAATAAAAGTACACAGGTATGATGTTAGCAGAAATAGTATTCTACTTAGCAACAAGAAGCATAGAGCTTTTCAGTTACTGTATCAGGTATATGCTATGGATGGGTTATAAGTAAGCTAATCTTAGTATATATTCTGTGAATGGAGTTATAAGTAAGCAGGCAAAACCTGCTGCAGCTGAACCTGGCCATTCGTGAGCAACCTCTTTATCAGTGTGTCAGACATTTTCTATGTGGGCCATGATAGGACAGAATTGGGAAATAAAGTTCTAGTGGTACATGAATGGGATTCACAGGATCTCAGAACTCTCGAATTTACATGAAAATTTATGTGTACTGGTGACTTGTCTGAAGATAAGATCCATGTCTTTTATCAGATTCTTAGAAGGTTCTTTGATTAGGATATGCAGAGATGTATGTAAAAAGTAAATTTCCTGATTGGCATGGGAAAATGTACTAGAAGGAAAGGTTTGGAGAAAAGATTCTAAAGAAAATAAAGCCACTCATTAATATTAAAAATACTTTCTTCATACACATGTACAGACAATATATTTTTACGCTTTTTTCAGGCTTGCATTTTTTGAACTCAACTATCAGTTCCATACAACATCCGATCTACAGTCTGAAGTCATAAGACACTATTCAAAACAGGTTTGTCTAAGATTATATTACAGAGGGACAGAGTGATACAGACTGGTAAAACCTTTTGTGTCTATACATATATAATGTGGAACTATTGAGGAACTAAATAGCCATTTTCAAATTATTAAAGCATGGGTATTTTCCTCAGAATTATAAAAAGAAATTAAGCTCAATCACTATTTGAATTTTTTGTCCTTATATTTTTTAGCCACTGAGAGAAATTTTTTGTGGATCAGCAGGACTGGAAATAAATAAATCTTTAAATAAAATATTAACTAATTTATCACACTTAATTAAAAAATGGGTTCATGGAAACTATTAGTAACTAACTGATGAACACGGGATATTTTTAGTGTAACTAGTTGTTAAGTCAGCCAGATGTATTTTTTTAACAGATGTTTTTCCACTTCTAGAGAGACTCTTGGGTTTTAGGATATAACTTAGAGTATCTGATATAGCTGTGGTATGACAGATCACTGAGCATGACTCAGGAGATTTGGATTTCTCCCACTTTTGCCATATACCCACTATGTGACCCTGAGTATCATCTGACTTATATGTTTCTCCAATCTATAAAACGGTGGTGGTAATGACAGTGGTCACAGATAATTGTAAAAGTGAAAGTATTTTAAATATTCTAGAGCTTTACATGAATATAATGTCATATTATTTTTAATACTATAATACCAAATTACTTTTTAAAAGCTAAGAATAGCGATCAATAAGCCTGGCATGGTGGCTAACGCCTGTAATCCCAACACTTTGGGAGGCTGAGGCTGGTGGATCACTTGAGGCCAGGAGTTCGAGACCACCCTGGCCAACATGGCGAAACCCCATCTCTACTAAAATCACAAAAATTAGCCAGGCATGGTGGTGCATGCCTGTAGTCCCAGCTTGGGAGGAGGAGGCACAATAATTGCTTGAACCCGTGAGGCAGAGGTTGCAGTGAGCCGAGATGGCGCCACCGCATTCCAGCCTGGGCAACAGAGCAGGACTGTCTCAAAAAGAAAAAGAAAAAAAAGAGTAGTGATTAATAAAATGAGATGGTTTAGGAGTTGAAATTGGCATTAAAGGTGTTGGCCTGAGAAAACTGGGCGTGTGTTTTAAATAATGTATAAGAAAAAATAGATCTAATTATCTGAATTGATTAATGTTCATATTTTATTTTTAGGCCATTAAGCAGATGTATGTACTCATTCTTGGACTTGATGTTTTGGGAAATCCATTTGGCTTAATTAGAGAATTTTCTGAAGGTGTAGAAGCATTTTTTTATGAACCTTACCAGGTAAAATAGTTATTTTTGTGGTTGTGCAATATGTCACTAATACTTTTGAATAGATAATACTTTTCTATTGTTAAGTTGAGTTAATAAGTGCAAACAGATTTTGGAACACACACAAAAGGACATCATTTTGCAGCAAACAATGGTAAGAGGTTTTGGGGGACATTTTTACCCTTTTCCTCAAAATTTAAACTTAAGATTTTGTTAAGCTACGCTGAATTGTAAGTGTTCTCTTGGAATATAAAAGGTGGATAAAGTAGAAAGAAGATCACCACATCTTGCTTTGCACAGTAGTGTGGAACTATAAAAATAATCATGCAAACTGACACCTGGCCAAGCAATCTTAAAAATCAGTGGGAAAAATTATGATTGTTCTATGTCCTTTAAAACTTTTTCCCAAAAGACTCCTACTTCCACGTATAAATGTATAGGGAAATAAAAAATAAAGTTAACATTAATTTTGCACATTGTAATTAAAAACATTAAAAGCATTAAGAATTTTAAAGTGTTTATTTGAAATTTTTATTAAAGACTTATCAAGAGTAGTTTGAACTGTGCTTGCATTTTGCTCATAAACTTACAATATGGACCAAGCACCTTTCTGTACTTTGGTGAGTTGCCGTACTCCTTTCTAAGGGTCAGCGTCTAACATTATATCCTTCACACTTTCAGCGTCCAGAAATATCCCTAGGAATTCTTTTAATGTGAAACTTTTTGCTGATATTACTTCCTCTGGGACAACATTATCCATTTTTGTTACTACCTCTTTCGTCGTATATATCCGTAAGCTCATCTTTAAAAGTGAATATAACTCACTCACTCATTTATTTACTATTTGGCCCTTTAGGGAGCCATCCAGGGTCCTGAAGAGTTTGTGGAAGGAATGGCACTAGGACTTAAGGCACTAGTTGGTGGAGCTGTTGGTAAGAAACAGAATATCTACCAAGTATTTTTGTGCTAGAAAGTAATGGCATCATTACTTTTACTAAAGATAATTTCTGTCAGGTGGATTGGCTGGTGCTGCCTCCAAAATCACCGGTGCTATGGCTAAGGGGGTAGCAGCTATGACCATGGATGAAGACTACCAACAGAAGAGAAGAGAAGCCATGAATAAGCAACCAGCTGGTTTTAGAGAAGGCATCACTCGTGGAGGAAAAGGCTTAGTTTCTGTAAGAAATTTCACAGGGTTGTGAAGATTTTGGGAAATATCTTTTAAACAAACCTACATTTGCGAATAAGGAAATAGACATGATTCTCACTCCTTAAATTATTATTTGGATATTTTAAGAGCAGTGGGTGGTAGCATATAAAACATGTCAGTAGCCTCTAAAACATTCTGTTTAAATAAAATACTTAGGAGATCTGTTAATTCTTATGCTATATAAAAAGCAGAACTCTGTATTTTTTGTGTAATCCAAACTTGGTTCTTCTAGGCATCATAAAAAAGTATTGTAAATTTTCAGTTGTGTTTTCCTTCTAGGGATTTGTTAGTGGCATAACAGGAATTGTTACAAAACCAATCAAAGGCAAGTATAGTAGTTCCTTTGCAAGTCTTTCTAAGTTGATTCTGTTTTCATTCTTGGATGCAATTGTCAAAAACTCTTTTTTCTTTCCAGGAGCTCAAAAAGGAGGAGCAGCTGGTTTCTTTAAAGGTGTTGGGAAAGGTTTAGTAGGAGCGGTAGCAAGGCCAACTGGAGGCATCATAGACATGGCTAGCAGTACATTTCAGGGAATAAAAAGGTAAATCCTCTTTGGTGTAAGATATGAGTTAAAATGCTGAAGCCATGAGAAATGGAATTTATCTGCTCTTTGGCTTCAGGCATTTAGTTATTGTCTTTGTTTTGTGCTGCTATAACATACCACATAATACCACAGACTGGGTAATTTATAATGAACAGAAATTTATTGGCTCACGGTTCTGAAAGTTAAGAAGTCCAAGATTGAGAGGCAACATCTGGCTAGGGCCTTTTTGCGGTGTCATCCCATGGCAGAAGGACAAAAAGAGGGCAAGAGAAGAAAAAAGGGAACCAAAGTCACCCTTTTATAAGGAACCCACTCCCACAGCAACAGTATTAATGCATTCATGGGGGCAGATCCTCATGGCCTAATTACCTCTAATTAGGCCCCACCTCCTGGCTGGGGATAAAGTTTCCAACACATGCTCTTGGAGGGACACATTCAAACCATAGCAGTTACCAGCACTACAATATGGCAGGTTGCATATGGTCTTCCTAATTCATTTTGATTTTTTTTTTTTATTATTATACTTTAAGTTTTAGGGTACATGTGCACATTGCGCAGGTTAGTTACATATGTATACATGTGCCATGCTGGTGCGCTGCACCCACTAACTCGTCATCTAGCATTAGGTATATCTCCCAATGCTATCCCTCCCCCCTCCCCCCTCCCCCCACCCCACCTGTGATATTCCCCTTCCTGTGTCCATGTGATCTCATTGTTCAGTTCCCACCTATGAGTGAGAATATGCGGTGTTTGGTTTTTTGTTCTTGCGATAGTTTACTGAGAATGATGATTTCCAATTTCATCCATGTCCCTACAAAGGACATGAACTCATCATTTTTTATGGCTGCATAGTATTCCATGGTGTATATGTGCCACGTTTTCTTAATCCAGTCTATCATTGTTGGACATTTGGGTTGGTTCCAAGTCTTTGCTATTGTGAATAATGCCGCAATAAACATACGTGTGCGTGTGTCTTTATAGCAGCATGATTTATAGTCCTTTGGGTATATACCCAGTAATGGGATGGCTGGGTCAAATGGTATTTCCAGTTCTAGATCCCTGAGGAATCGCCACACTGACTTCCACAATGGTTGAACTAGTTTACAGTCCCACCAACAGTGTAAAAGTTTTCCTATTTCTCCACATCCTCTCCAGCACCTGTTGTTTCCTGACTTTTTAATGATTGCCATTCTAACTGGTGTGAGATGGTATCTCATAGTGGTTTTGATTTGCATTTCTCGGATGGCCAGTGATGATTAGCATTTTTGACAAAATTCAACAACCCTTCATGCTAAAAACTCTCAATAAATTAGGTATTGATGGGACGTATTTCAAAATAATAAGAGCTATCTATGACAAACCCACAGCCAATATCATACTAAATGGGCAAAAACTGGAAGCATTCCCTTTGAAAACTGGCACAAGACAGGGATGCCCTCTCTCACCACTCCTATTCAACATAGTGTCGGAAGTTCTGGCCAGGGCAATTAGGCAGGAGAAGGAAATAAAGGGTATTCAGTTAGGAAAAGAGGAAGTCAAATTGTCCCTGTTTGCAGACGACATGATTGTATATCTAGAAAACCCCACTGTCTCAGCCCAAAATCTCCTTAAGCTAAGAAGCAACTTCAGCAAAGTCTTAGGATACAAAATCAATGTACAAAAATCACAAGCATTCTTATACACCAACAACAGACAAACAGAGAGCCAAATCATAAGTGAACTCCCATTCACAATTGCTTCAAAGAGAATAAAATACCTAGGAATCCAACTTACAAGGGATGTGAAGGACCTCTTCAAGGAGAACTACAAACCACTGCTCAAGGAAATAAAAGAGGATACAAACGAATGGAAGAACATTCCATGCTCATGGGTAGGAAGAATCAATATCGTGAAAATGGCCATACTGCCCAAGGTAATTTACAGATTCAGTGCTATCCCCATCAAGCTACCAATGACTTTCTTCACAGAATTGGAAAAAACTACTTTAAAGTTCATATGGAACCAAAAAAGAGCCCGCATCGCCAAGGCAATCCTAAGCCAAAAGAACGAAGCTGGAGGCATCACACTACCTGACTTCAAACTATACTACAAGGCTACAGTAACCAAAAGAGCATGGTACTGGTACCAAAACAGAGATATACATCAATGGAACAGAACAGAGCCCTCAGAAATAACGCCGCATATCTACAACTATCTGATCTTTGACAAACCTGACAAAAACAAGCAATGGGGAAAGGATTCCCTATTTAATAAATGGTGCTGGGAAAACTAGCTAGCCATATGTAGAAAGCTGAAACTGGATCCCTTCCTTACACCTTATACAAAAATCAATTCAAGATGGATTAAAGACTTAAACGTTAGACCTAAAACCATAAAAACCCTAGAAGAAAACCTAGGCATTACCATTCAGGACATAGGCATGGGCAAGGACTTCATGTCCAAAACACCAAAAACAATGGCAACAAAAGCCAAAATTGACAAATGGGATCTAATTAAACTAAAGAGCTTCTGCACAGCAAAAGAAACTACCATCAGAGTGGACAGGCAACCTACAAAATGGGAGAAAATTTTCGCAACCTACTCATCTGACAAAGGGCTAATATCCAGAATCTACAATGAACTCAAACAAATTTACAAGAAAAAAACAAACAACCCCATCAAAAAGTGGGCGAAGGACATGAACAGACACTTCTCAAAAGAAGACATTTATGCAGCCAAAAAACTCATTTTGATATTTTTTAAGTTGCTGCCATTGCATTGTTTCAACTTTATGAAGTTCCCCTTTATTTTTCATTCATTCCTAGCAGGCTTGCAGGAGCAGTTTGGCAAGTTAAGCAAGCTTTTCAGTTATCTTAGTTTAAATACATTAATGCTATATATCAATTATAAAATTAGCAAATATAATCTGTATCCTTTTTATGAAATGAAGAATGGCATTTTGTATTTCTTGGTTCAAACTCAGTTTGTCTTCACCCTTCCTTTATTATCTTATTTTGTTATAAGTTGTTATAGTAGTCCCTCTTGATCTGCAGGGATCTGCAGTGGATGCCTGAAACCTTGGACAGTACTTAGCCCTATATATACTGTGTTTTCTCCTGTACATACATATCCGTGATGAAGTTTAATTTTAAATTAGGCTCAGTAAGATATTAACAATAATAATAAAATAAGACAATTATAACAATATACTGTAATGAAAGTAAAATAAACGTTACTTGAACACAAGCACTGTAATACCGCAATAGTCAGGATGATAACTGAGACAGCTACTATGTCACTAATGGACTGGTGATGTATAAAGCATGGATATGCTGGACAGAGGGATGATTCATATCCCAGGAAGGACAAAGCAGGGTGGCAAGAAATTTTATCATACTACTCAGAATGGCATGCAATTTAAAATGTAGGGATTGTTTATTTCTGGAATTTTCCATTTAATATTTTTGGACCACAGTTGACTGTGGATAACTGACACTGCAGAAAGCAGAACTGTGGATAAGCGGATACTAGTGTATATGCATATCCTTTCTCTTCCTTTATGCAGGTAATTTTAATACACATTGTTTTTTACTCCAAATGAAATTTAGTGTAAGGGTGAAATTTAGTAGTTTCTTTATTGTTACCTGTGTCTTAGAAATTTGTAACACATATAACAGATGATAAAATTAATGTTAATTAGACCCATCTTAGAAAGTTAGGTGGGTGGCTGTCTTCCTAATCTTTTTCCTTTGTGTTTTCTCTTGCTTTCTGCTCTATAGGGATATGTATTGTCATCATATGAGCTATTCCTCTTAAGCCAGTATTTCATACTGGTTACCATAATTGGGTGTTTCTGGTTTCGGCATTTAGAATTAAGGTGGGGGAAAAAGGAATCATTCTCCTCTACCTGTAACTTTAAGTTTCATAAATATAATGTGTTGAGTCGTAGTCATCAGAGAAGCTCAAAAGTCAATGAAACGTAAGGAATTTGAAACATATGAAGGCTTCTTTCAAAAGCTGCTAGAATTACCTTCTGTTTATCTAAAACCTTATAATTCTGTACCCAGGTATATTACCTTTAGGGATTGAGGGCACAATGAAACATTTTTAGAAAAAATAATAAAGACTAAGAACTATTGAAGGATGTACCTGTGAAAAAAGACACTGAAAGTAAAAGGAGGAATGGGTTACAAGATTCAAAGATAAAAATATAAATTGGATAAATCTAATTGAGCTACATGAAAGCAACATTGGAAACATTATTAAAACATAATAAAATGCAATTTGGGGAGAGAATGATTGGCATTAAATATTGTCCTATTTGTAAAGAGGATGTATTTACTAATATTAGGTGAAACAGACATTAAGGCAATAAAAGCATTATTTGGGATAAATAAGGTAATTAGGTAATGATAAAAAGAACTAAGTAGGAAGATAGTAACAATTTCAAACTTCTACTCAGTTCATAAAATAGCCTTAATTTTTAAAAGCACAACTTGACAAAACTGTAAGAACTTTTCAAATGTACAACAAAGGTGGAAGAACTTAATATTTTTCTCAATAATTGATAGATCAGGAAGACAAAATAAAAGTAAGTAAATAATTATCTGAATAGAGTTAACAAGCTACCTAATACAAACATAAATAATTATTCAGCACATTTTAGGGAGCATTGTCTATGATCTAGACACTTCTCTAATCACTTGAGGGACCAGCAATGAACACAATTGGCAATGGTCCTGTGTTCATACAGCTTACATTCTAGTGGGAGAGTAATAGACAAAAATAAGTAACTGATAAATATATGATATGCTAAATGGTGAAAAATGCCATGAAGAAAAATAAAGCAGATTAAAGGAGGTAAGGAGATGCAAAATGGTAGGGAGGAGGGTTGCTATTTTACATATTCAGTGATCAGGGATGCTTAACTCATAAGATTATATTTGAGGAGAGACCTGAAAGAAGTAAAGGGTGAGCCATGTGAGAAGAATGTCCCAGGCAGAAGGAACAGCAGTTAAAAAGCCCTGATGCAAGAATGTGCTTGGCCTATTTGAGAAACAGCAAGACTAGTTTGCCTGGAGTAGAGTGAGGAACGGGGAAAGTTGAAGAAGATGTTACCAGGGAACATGCGGGGAATCACATCTCGTAGAACTCGGCAAGCCCCTGTAAGGACTTAGGCTTTTGCTTAAGATGAGAGGCCATTGAAAGGTTTCAAGCCAGAGAAATGATGTGAGCTGGCTGCTGCATTGAGGCGTAACCACAGGGGATTAGGGCAGAAACAACACTTAAAAGGCTTTTGCAGTAATCCAAGTGAGTGACAATGGTGATTCGACTATTAGAGTACTAGAGATTATGTCCTGCATGTATTTTAAAGATAGTGGCAATAGCATTAGTTGATAAATTGGATGCAGGATATGAAAGAAAGAGAATCGTGAAGAATAATTCTAAAGTTTTTATGTGTAGTACTGGAAGGGTGAGGTTGTCGTTCTTTTTAGGGAAAGGGTATTAGACATTTCCTTTTGAATATATTAAGCTTAAAATATCTCTTAGACATCCAAATGGAGACATCACGTTATTGTTGAGTAGAGGAGTTTGAAGTATAGAGAAAGGTCCAAGCTAGAGGTAAAAATTCAAGATTTGTGAGCCTATAATAAGGTATTTGAAACCATGAGATTGGATGAGATCACCAAGGGAATGAGACTGAAAAGAGAAAAATAAGGTCCAAGGACTTGGCTTTCAGGCACACCAACTCTTAGAAGTTGGGGAAATGAGGAAGACCCAGAAAAGGAGGCTAAAAAGAAATGGTCATTAAGTTACCTAAAAAATTTTAGGGTCAGTTTGTCAATTTCTACAAAAAAGGTAGCTAGGATTTTGATGCAGATGGCATTGAATCTGTAGTTCAATTTGGGGAGTGTAGCCATCTTAACAGTATTATCTTTTAACCTGTGAAAATGCAACGTCTTTCCATTTATTTAGGTCTTCTTGAATTGCTTTCAATAATGTTTTATAGTTTGTAATGTACGAGTCTTATACTTCTTTTTAAAAACTTATTCCTAAGTATTTTTGATGCTGTTTTTTTTTTTTTTTTTTTTTTTTTTTGAGACGGAGTCTCGCTCTGTCGCCCAGGCCAGACTGCGGACTGCAGTGGCGCAATCTCGGCTCACTGCAAGCTCCGCTTCCCGGGTTCACGCCATTCTCCTGCCTCAGCCTCCCAAGTAGCTGGGACTACAGGCGCCCGCCACCGCGCCCGGCTAATTTTTTGTATTTTTAGTAGAGACGGGGTTTCACCTTGTTAGCCAGGATGGTCCCGATCTCCTGACCTCATGATCCACCCGCCTCGGCCTCCCAAAGTGCTGGTATGCTGTTTTAAATGGAATTGTTTTCTTAATTTTATTGTTGGATTGTTTATTGCTGGTGTGTTGAATACAACTGTTTTTCTTTATATTTGAGTTTCTGCAATCTTACTGAACTTGTTTATTAGCTCTAATGGTTTTGTGGATTCTTTTGGGTTTTCTATATGTAAGAGTATATCATCTGAGAACTGAGGTAACTTTACTTCTTCCTTTCTGATCTGGATGCTTTTTTTCTTGCCTAGTTGTCCTGGCTAGAACCTCTAGTACAATGTGAAGTAGAAGTGCTGAGAGAATAGACATGCCTATATTGCTTTTAATCTTAGGGGGAAAGCTTTCAGATGTTCACCATTAAATGTGATGTTAGCTATAGGTTTTTGTGTCTTTATCATGAAAACATGTTAGATTTTATGAAACGCTTTTTCTGTATAATTAAGTTGATAGTTGGTTTTTCCTTTGTTTCACTAATGTAGTATATTACATTAATTGAGTCAGATCTTAAACTAATATTGCATACCTGGGATAAATCCCATTTGGACATAATGTGTAATCGTTTTTATATTTTACTGGATTTGGTTTGATAGTATTTTGTTGAGGATTTTTGCATGTATATTTATAAGGGATATTGGTCTGTGGTTTTCTTGTGATGTCTTTGCCTGGTATGGGTATCAGGGTAATATTGTCCTCACAGAATGATTTAGGAAGTGTTCCCTCCTCTTCAAATTTTTGGAAGACTTTGTGGAGCGTTGATGTTAATTAAAAAAAAAATTTGGAGAATTGATCAGTGAAACCGTCTGATTCTTACTTTTATTTCTGGTGAGTTTTAAAATGACAAATTCACTCTCTTTACTTGGTAAAGGTCTAGTTAGGCTGTTTCTTGAGTCATTGTCAGTAGTTTTTATAGGAATTTGTTCAATTCATCTAGATGTTCTAATTTGTTGATATATATTTATTGATCATAGTAAATATTTACTAGTATTCTCATATAATTATTTTTCCCTTATATAGTATTTATTCCTAGTATTCCCTTATAATTATTTTTTGTTTCCATAAGATTGGTAGTAGTGTTCCCTCTTTAATTCCTGTTATTCATAATTTGGGTCTTCTTTTTTTTCTTGGTCAGTTTAGTGATGGCGTGTCATTTTTGTTGTCCTTTTCAAAGAACCAGTTTTTAGTTTCATTGATTCTATTTTTTCTATTCTCTATTTCTTTTATCTCTGCTCTAATTTTTATTATTTTCTTCCTTCTGCTAGCTTTGGGATTAGTTTGCTTTTTCTACTTTCTCAACTTGTGAAGTTATATTATTGATTTCAGACCTTCTTTTTTAATGTAGACATTCACATCTATAAATTTCCCTCTGAGCACTGTCTTTGCTGCATCTTATAAGTTTTGGTGTGTTGTATTTTTGCTTTTATTTGTTTCAAAGTAGTGAATTTCTTTTGTGATTTTTTTCTTTGACATTTTGTTATTTATGCTTCTATGTTTTAATTTCCACACACTTGTAAATTTCATAAATTTCTCTTATTTACACATTTCTAGTTTTCTTCCATGTGGTCAGGTATCATACTTGTATATTTTCAGTCCTTTTTTTTTTTTTTTTTTTTTTTTGTGAGATAGAGTCTCACTCTTGTCACCCAGGCTGGAGCAGTGGCGTGATTTTGGCTCACTGCAACCTCTGCCTCCCAGGTTCAAGAGATTCCCCTGCCTCAGCCTCCTGAGTAGCTGGGATTACAGGCACACACCACCATACCCAGCTAATTTTTTTTTTTTTTTTTTGAGACAGAGTTTCACTCTTGTTGCCCAGGCTGGAGTGCAATGGCGCTATCTCAGCTCACCGCAACCTCCGCCTCCCAAGTTCAAGCTATTCTCCTGCCTCAGCCTCCCTAGTAACTGGGATTACAGGCATGTGCCACCACACCCGGCTAATTTTGTATTTTTAGTAGAGACAGGGTTTCTCCATGTTGGTCAGGCTGATCTCGAACTTCCGACCTCAGGTGATCTGCCCGCCTTGGCCTCCCGAAGTGCTGGGATTGCAGGAATGAGCCACCACGCCCGGCCATTTTTGTATTTTTAGTAGAGATGGGGTTTCACCATGTTGGCCAGGCTTGTCTTGAACTCCTGACCTCAAGTGATCTGACCACCTCGGCCTCGCAAAGTGCTGGGATTACAGGCATGAGCCACCACGCCTGGCCTATTTTCAGTAGTTTTATATTTACATTCAATGTTAGCCAAAAGGCCAAGAAGCAAACAGTAATTTTATATTATTGAGACATGTTTTATGACCTAATAGATAGCTAATACTGAATAATGTTCCGTTGCACTTGAGAAGAATATATATTCTGTTGTTGTTGGTTTGAACGTTCTATAGACATCTGTTGGGTCTAGTGGATTATAGTGTTATTCAAGTTCTCTTTTTTCCTTGCTGATCTTTTATCTAGTTGGTATCCATTTTTGAAAGTAGGTTGCTGAAATCTTCAACTATTATGGTGGTATTGCCTTTTTGTCTTTTAAATTCTTAGTTTTTGTTTTGTGTATTTGGGGCTTCTTTTATTAGCTGCTTATATGTTTATAATTTTTTATCTTTTTGATGGATTGACCCTTTTTTCCTTATAAAATGCCCTTCTTTGTGTCTAATAAGAATTTTTTTAAAGGCTGTTTTTTTCTGACATTAGCATGGCCACTTTAGCTTTCTTTTAGTTACTGTTCACTTTGCATATATTTTCTCCTTTTTAGTTGCAACCAGTTTGTGTCTTTGACTCTAAATCAGGTCTCCTGTGGATAGTATATTGTTAGATCATATTTTTTTTATCTATTCTGTTTTTATTTTTTTACTTATGTATTTATTTTTTGAGATGGAGTCTCGCTGTGTCGCCCAGGCTGGAGTGCAGTGGCATGATCTCGGCTCACTGCAACCTCCACCTCCCAGGTTCAAGTGATTCTTCTGCCTCAGCCTCCCAAGTACTGGGACTACATGCACATGCCACCACGCCCGGCTAATTTTTGTATTTTTAGTAGAGACAGGGTTTCACCATATTGGCCAGGCTGATCTCGAACTCCTGACCTCATGATCCGCCCGCCTCGGGCTCCCAAAGTGCTGGGATTACAGACATGAGCCACCACACCCGGCCCTATTCTGTTTTCAGTTGGAGAATTTATTCATATGTATATGCCCATGCATGTGTATACATTATGTTAGCGGTCCCCAGCCTTTTAGGCATCAAGGTCTGGTTTCATGGAAGACAATTTTTCCACAGACCAGACAGGAGGGATAATTTCAGGATGGAACTGTTCCACCTCAGATCATCAGGCTTTAGTTATATTCTCATAAGGAGTGTGCTACCTAGATCCCTTGCATGTGCAGTTGACAATAGGGTTCGCCTTCTTATGAGAATCTGATGCCGCTGCTGATATGACAGGAGGTGGAGCTCAGGCAGTGAAACTTGCTTGCCACTACTCACCTCCTGCTGCACGACTCAGTTCCTAACAGGCTATGGACCGGTACTGGTTCAAGTCCCATGGGTTGGGGACCTCTTAATAAATATTTGTTGAATATGTGATACTTGTTGAGTGAACAAATTGAGTGGTCACTTATGACCAAATAAGCAAAAATGTTAAATATAATACTACCATACACAATTTAGCCGTATGTGGTATGTGTTTTTTGGTTTTTTGTTTGTTTTTAGACAGGGTCTCACTCTGGCATCCTGATTGGAGTGCAGTGGCATGGGGCTCAAACTATCCTCCCACCTCAGCCTTCTGAGTGTCTGGGACTTCTGCTGCATACCACCATGTCTGACTAGTTTTTTTATTTTTTTGTAGAGCAGTGTATGCTGCCCAGGATTGGGGTATGTGTTTACAGTAATACACATCAAGCCCAGTAAGAATGTGAGGACTGTGAGAGTATTTGAATATTAGAAAACTATATAATGTGATTTATAACATTAATAGATTAAGGAAAATATACCATGTGATCAAAACAATGCCAGAAAAGAAATTCTTATTTAAAATTCATTGCCTATTTAAGATTTTCAAAAACAGTAACAAAAAAGAACTGTTGGTAAACTAAAAGTAGCAATGAACTTTCTTGACTTGTTAAGGGGTGCTTTAAAAAAAAAAAGTTGCTGATAACTATACTTCACAGAAAACTCTTAGAAGCTTTCCGTAGGGTCAGGAATGAGACAAGGATGCTTGCAATCCCTTTTTGTTTATAGCATTATACTAAAGAAACTAGACAACGTAATAGGAAAAGAAAAAGCAACAATTGCTAATATTGTGATTATTATCACAAAGAAAGTTCTAGAGACTTAAACTTCTCTATAGTTCTGTATTTTTCTAGAGAACTTACACTGTTTATGTTACAAAAACAATTTAAAATTAGAGAATGTTGTAATATTTTTAATCTGAAATAAGATTGTTTTTAGTAATTGCATTTTATAGTTTATTTACAAGTTTTTGAATAATTTTTAAAATAAAGTTATATTTTTTTTCCTCTAGAGCTACAGAGACTTCTGAAGTGGAGAGTCTGCGACCTCCTCGGTTCTTCAATGAAGATGGAGTTATCAGACCGTACAGGTTGAGGGATGGGACTGGAAATCAAATGTTACAGGTAAATTAAGAGCTATCTTATAAATTAAGATTAATTTAGTCAAGTTAGATTTTTTTTAAGTAGCCATTTAATATATATTAAATTATTTGGGCTTTTATCTATTTTGCTTAATTCCACTTATAAGTTTCTTATATTTACTTAGATTTTAAAGTACATTTATTTACTATAAGATTTTTTTTTCTTTTTTACAGGCATCAAAAAGTTTGATATGAAAAGTTAATGCATGACTTTGCAAGTGAAAGCCAACAGTAGATTTTAGTCTTAAAATTTACAAACTACGTACAGCTGTTTCAGTATTTTGAATACAAAGAAAACCTTTTGTATTGGTAACTTTTAATAGGAATTTTAATGAATCTGGTTTTTTTATAGGGTGTTCTTAGTTCTGCACTGGATTTGCTAGATTTGTTGGAAGCCTTTGTACCTTATGTATCCTCGTCATTGGTGGTACTTACTTAACCAATTAAACCATTTCTGTTGTGGGGTTATTAAACCACTGGTAGCTTTTATACCAGATATATAATCCTTATATCCAATTACACATGAAGAAGGAAAAGCAAAACTCAGGAACACTGCTATTGTGAATTACTCTTGGATTCTTGTGCTTTGCCTTTGAAAATGCTTAAATGGCCATGACCCTCTTCCTGCTTTATTCTAGTGTAGTCTTTATAAAACTTGTGGGATTTGATAAGCAGTTCACATGCAAACCAGTATCTTTTAATAATACAAAGTAGCATCTGGAACAATAGACAGTTTGAAGTTAGAATCTGCTTAGACAACTTTCTTACTTGGTAAATTCGACTTTTTAAAACCTGGATTATGCTGTAGGTAACTAGTAATCATATATAGGCTATACCAGTGTCATGTTGTTTCTGTGGTTTAGAGGTGGAATACTAAATTAAATCATTTGTTTGAAAACAAACAAGGAATCATTATGTTATGTAGGCTTGCAGATACTCATGGTAGCAATAAACTGTTGGAATATGAAGCTTCCTTTATGGCTTTAATATTTTAAATATTGTGATATTTAATGTGATCAGAGTAAAGATTTAAACTTCAGTATTTTACCTATTGCAGGGCATATAGTATTGCATAAAATATACTTCTAACTCTTTCTCTGAGGCTTCTAATATACAAAAATGTAACCATAGAGTTAATATGCAATATTTAGTTAAGTGATTTTATACTGTATTTAAAATGTTTTTGAAGCATCAAAATCATTGTATATTGGGATAGAACTGGTAATCTATTAAGAGGTTGTGCTCTAATGGACAGATTGTGCAGTCTCTACAATGACAGTGTATCGTTCTTTGGAAGATAGTAAATTTGCAGAAGTCACCCATGGCTGATACAGTCAAAACATGTATTTCTACCCAATACCTGCCTTCCCTTGTTAGAACGCATTTAACAAGTTACTAACATTTTACTAGACTAAAAATCAAATATAGTACGAAGTAAGGATGAGTGTTGAGGAGAGTTTAGGAATATATCCTCATTATAAGTGAGCACGTTATGATACCCACAAGGAAGCCATGAGATACCAATAATTTCTCATGGTTGATAATTTGATTTTAGTGAAGCTTCTCATTGTTTTCTGAAGCTTTAAACTTTGAGATGTAAAAACATGACTTTTGACTGTGTACTTTTAAAGATACATATTTATTTTTAATAGGTCAGTCTCATCATTAATCACTAAAAGAGCTATTTAAATGACTAAAAACCACAGCACTTGTCAGCCATTACTTGTTTTTCAGCAAGCATTTACACAGTATTAGCTGAAATATTTGTAGGGATTCACCAAGTACCTTGGGATGTTGCAGTTAGCATTTTTTTCTTACAGGTATAAAAAGTGGATTGTTGTTTTGATGGTGGTGGGTTTTGTTTTTTTTTTTTTAATCAAAGCTCTAGTGTATTATTAGCAAACACTTAAAAAATATGTAAATACCAGTACTGTGGAAAATAATTAGATGACACATAAACTGGATTTAAAATCCATCTCATCTGCCTAGATTTTATGTAAGTGATATAATGAAGGTGCCTTAAAATATTTGATACTTTCAAATGTTTCTCATGTTATTTTCTTATTTTCTAAAAAAGATGTATTCACTAAATTATATACACTCATATAATAATTAAATATAAAATACATTCTTTTATTGTGTACCTTTCTATCTAGAAGGTAGCACATTATTACAGTGTTTCCTGCTGGTCAAAGTTGCCTATTAGAGAAATAGAATGGTAATTTTAATATATTCACAAAATACCTTATTGATATCATCAAACCAATTTATACATTGAGTTTGTACCAACTAGTGGAATTGTCTTAGGTCTATTAAGTTATGGAATATTATATCCATAATTACAGTCTGAGTCATAGCTGAAAAAATCTGCTTTAAAATTATTCTCACTCTTTGAACATTTCATAATCTTACATGTTTTCAAGCAATTTGCCATACTCTACTAACCTTTGTGCTTCTTTTTTCCTTTGCCATGCTTACAGAAAATTCAATTCTACAGGGAGTGGATTATGACTCACAGTAGCAGTAGTGATGATGATGATGATGATGATGATGATGATGAGTCAGATCTAAACCATTAAAATTCATATGTTCTTTATTTTACTTGGAATGTTTCATTAACATGTTTTGTATGACTTATACCATAATGCCCATATGTCCATTTATAGGGAGGTAAAACACATTTTCTTTTAAAATGTTTTCCTACACATTTTCATAAAGCAAAATAATTGTATTATTTAAGCACAGAAAAAAATGTATCTTACATCCAAAGTAGGGAGGGCATCCAACATATTATAGATTTGCTTTTATATATTTTATAGCTTTGTATTGCATAGTTTGTCTTTAAGAGTTCAAGTTAGACTTAAATATAATTTTGATGTTCACTGGTTTTATTTTAAATTGCCTTCTTATTTGTTAGCAAAATGCCTTTTTTTAATGGTCTCTGTAAATTTTCTGGGCTTTAATGTAATGCCACTGTGTAAAAAAAAAGGAAGAAAATAGTAATAGCCATTTAATGTTTTATATTTATCATTTTAAAGATATTTTTGTCAAATTTCTTTTAATAATAATAAACATATGTAATCTAAAGGAGTGTGAATTTGTTGTTCTATCCCCAAATCATATAGATTGAACTGCTATTATAAAAAACAGTCATGGCCTCTCATGGAAGAGTAGATAGTAAAATAATTTATAGTCTGAGAATGAAAAAGACCGTTCTTTTATGTCTTTGCTTTACTTTTTACCGTTTTGTTTCACATATTTTTTGTGAAACAATGAACAAAGTTGGTTTTAATAGTCATTATATTCACTTATTAATTTGTATATGCATCTACTATATTTCTATTATGAATTCAGAATATTTGGAAACTTCTATCGTAAACATAACTATATATATTTTTTCTGTGTAATATTAGGGAAAATGTTACATATATCTCTGAAAGATCCATTAGTAAATCTATTTTATGTTTTGTGTAATAAAGGTTTTTAAAAAAATTTCAACATAGATGAAACTGTCCTATTTCTCTAACATATCAGACGTACTTTAAAAAATTCTCTAAAAAGTATATGATCTTTGGTAGTTAGAATGTTTAATCCCTATGACTGCTGTGCTTTTGGATCAACAAAGGAATATTTATCTTGACTACAGCAGAAGCTCAGTATAAGCAACAGGTGATTTAATTTAACTGATTCAGCACATGATTTCTGAGTCTCCTCTAATTCTTAGGTTTATCAAGTTTTATTTCTATAAATCATTCTCTATGTTTTTTGAAAGTGACTACTTTAAATTTGAAAATATTGAGATTACTGCAAAAAAAACTGAAAAAAATCAGCTTTTTTGAAATTTCTTCCTATGCAGAATTCATTCAAATTAAATAGAAATCAAGGTTATGTATGTAAAATTTGTTTGAAAACAAACTTACTAATATGTAAACATCATAAAGTTGTTTTAAAAAACTGTTATGTAAACATCAAAAAATTCAATTATTGTTTTAATCACAGTATTTTTATCTTTTTAGAATAAGTACATACAAATAGTGACCATTAAAATAGTCATTGCTTTATTGGAAACCAACTTTGTATTTGTTGTGCACCCACTCCTCTCTCACCCTTGGCCAAAATCAAACAAAACTTACTGCTCCTTCTAAAATCTAGAAAGAATACTGCCTATTTTTGTATTTTGTATATGCTTAAGGAAGGAAGAGTCTGGAAGTTTCTTCATTGGCTTCTTACATTCCAACTTTGCTAGTCACAAGGCCTTTGTAAAAGAGACTGTGGAAACTACTTGTTTGCAAGACATTTCCCAAATTTACTGTGCTTGGCCTGTGACACTTAATTTCATGGAATGGGATTCATAAAGATGATCTTAACCTTTCATTCCTTAAGAATTTATCGGAAAAAAAAAAAGTTGTGGTTATCTTAGCAGTGATTTACCATTTTCATGAAAAGAAAATTGGAGGTAGGATTACATTTATTTAAAATTTCTTCAGTAAAAATATTTTAAATAATATGCTAGTAACTAGTAAACATTGCTTGTGTGGTCTTAGAGTTTCATCATTCTTCAGTTTTTAGCCCTTAGAGATGAGATGTGCTCTTTATTTTTTTTTTTTAATTTTTTTTTTTTGAGATGGAGTCTCGTTCTGTCGCCCAGGCTGGAGTGCAGTGGCGCGATCTCGGCTGACTGCAAACTCCACCTCCTGGGTTCACGCCATTCTCCTGCCTCAGCCTCCTGAGTAGCTGGGACTACAGGCTCCTGCCACCACACCCGGCTAATTTTTTGTGTTTTTAGTAGAGATGGGGTTTCACCGTGTTAGCCAGGATGGTCTCGATCTGACCTCGTGATCCGCCTGCCTCGGCCTCCCAAGGTGCTGGGATTACAGGCGTGAGCCACCGCACCCAGCCGAGATCTGCTCTTTGACAGTGTAATTGCCCTTGTTTTTCTGCCACAGTGAAATTATCTTTTCAAACCTCTTGAGGACAGGTATTAATTGTGTTCCAGTTTTGAAAAAAAACTTGAATTTTTCTCTAGTAAAAGCAAAAAAAAAAGACAGAATTGCTCTTTTGTTTTACACCATTGTTCTCTTGATGGAGATAGAGGATCTAGGCAAAAATATATTCTTATTTCTTATCAAATATATAGAAAATGAATTTATATTTGGATTTTAATAAGATGAACTCTTGTTTATCAATGGTTCTATAATTAACTAGAACTTTTAAAATGGTAGTATCTAACAGGAAAGTCTAGTGAGAAAGCTGTTTGAAAATTATGTAATGCCACACCTTTCCATATGCTTTAACTTCATTTATGTTCCAGATTTCTGCACGATCATTGCTTATGTATAGAAAATGGGAAGGAAGGTTCACTTCCCTGAAGGAGTGATTACCTGGAGATTCCTTATTTTCCTTTGTGTCTACCTGACGCTTGAATAACATATTGAAAACGGGCAGGAAGAAAAATTTGTAAAAATCTGTAATTGTGGACACTCATAACCATAGATAAATAATCTAAGCCTGTAAATGAAATTAATTAGTACTCACATGGGATATAAATAAAACAAATGTAAATTCAGAATAATATTGCCAATTTTCAGTATTATAGAAAAGGAAGTCAAATTTTGTTTCCTTATTTAAAATAATCAGTATTTTATAAATTTGTTTTTGAAACTATTCAAAACACATATCACTGATGCAGTGTTGAATGTTGATTTTAAGTTCATGTTATTTAAGTGTACACCTGGAGCCACTGCATACTTATGACATCAATATTCAATGTGAAAAATACTGTTGTTTCTGTGTCTCAAGATTATAAATGACTGCTATAGTAGCTACTAGTTTGTCTGATTTAAGTCTTGTAATGAAATTTTGCATTCAGCTTTTTTGTGGTGATGGGAGAAGGACCAGAAACAACCATCCCAGCTGTTACTGCGTATTTTCTACTGCATCTTCAAATTTCAGCTTTTTGTCTCTTAGATTTCCTTGCAAAATAGTAAAGGGTCTTATGGATCAAAATCAGGTGATGTTAAGTGTACACACATTATTTAGCTCAAATAATAATGATGATGGATATGTGAAAATGTCAATTTATTCCAGCACCTTTGGAATAAATGGAGATCAATTAAGAATGCTTACACTGTTAATTTAATCATTAATATTAGTGAGTGAATTTGTGAGTTCATAAAGTACAGTGAGTACAGCCAGCATTATACAAAACGTAGAAAGTCCATCAAAGGAAAGTAAAACAAATAATTTCAAATAGGTCTGTGTTAAGAGAACTAATTAGAATAATTTATGATTTTCATAGGGATTTATTGTCCGGTTTGTTTTAACGTGGCAGAATATTTATCATTCTCAATAAGTATGATAAATTTATTTAGCAATTATTCCATATCAACCGATATATAGCAACAGTCTACCTCCAAATATCAATTTTAAAACACACGTTTAACAGTGTTATAAAACTGGCTTTTGATGAATCTTCTTCATTGCTTACACATGTTTTAAGCAATGAACTTGTAAAGATTTCTCCTGAATTGTATTATGCTATTCTTCTGGATCTTAGAGATCCTCAAATACATGAGCACTGAAAATATTATAGGCATTGTTTTTGTTTTTTAAAAGCAACCAGGATAGTCAGAGATTTAGCTAAGTATACCCAGTTTGTCGTAATTGGGCATGTTATATTTTTCTACTATAAATTATCATTTATCAGTAACCTGTTAACTACATTATGTCTACAAAGGTTTTCTGAGTATATTCAATAAAACTTGGCATTTCTATGAATTAAAAATTTTACAGACCTGCATTTCTAGGGAAAAAGCTAAAAACCTGTGGATCCATTTGCTGACATTGATTCTCAGTTGACAACTTTAGTATTTTATAAAGATACGAAATTTTTCAACATTAGTTATTTTCTACATTAAATAGATTATTTTCTACATTGAAGTATGCTCATTAGAGAAAAGCAGGAAACTATAGAAAAGGAAACAATTATCCTGTCTCCCCACCATTTATGGTATATTTCCTTTTTAAATTTTTTATTCACCTGGTTATGACTCAAAAGTATAAATTGCCATTTTATGTTTTACTACGTATTTTTATAAGCAGCATTATTAACTTCTAAAGATTAAAAAAGCATACCACTCAGAAATATCCGTAATTGGGAAACCTAGTCTTTATTTATGGAGCACATAAAGAGTAAGCAGAACTCTTTTTTTTTTTTTTTTTGAGACAGAGTTTCACTCCATTGCCCATGCTGGAGTGCAGTGGCTTGAATAAGCTCACTGTATCCTCAAACTATGGACTGAAGTAGTCCTCCTGCTCCACCCTCCCAAGTAGCTGGGACTACAGGCATGCACCACTATGCCAGGCTAATTTTTTAAATTTTTTCGTAGAGACAGGGTCTTGCTATGTGGCCCGGGCTGGTCTTGAACTGAGCTCAAGCGATCCTACCGCTTCAGCCTCCCAAAGTGTTGGGATTTCAGACGTGATCCATTGCTCTCGGCTTTTTGTTTGTATACCTGATGTAGAAGCTTTTTTCTTTTTCGTTAAACATTTCTACCTTTTGACTCTATACTTTTTTAAAAACATTTCTTCCCTTTAAGTAAATCTTTTAAAATGTGTTTGCATGGGTATGTGTGTGTATGATTCCTGTGTCCTTCATTGTGTCTGAATGTTGACAGCTGAGTTGTTGTCCTGTGGGTGTAGTATAGTGTGTTCTTAAACATTTCAGGTATTTTTGAATTTATCTATGTTGTCTTTGAATCTTTTACAGGGATTCTATAACTGCCGTCATGTAAGTTGTTACAGAAGGGAGGCTGTTTTTGTGTCTTGTATATTTCTTTTCTTTCAGAAATTACAGATGTTTATAATTAGCTTCAAACACTGCCTTAATAGCAATTGGAAGATAACTGCCGTCAGCCGACGTGGTCTTTCCCTTTACTTCAGGAGGAGAATGACTACTAATCTGGAAGAAAGGTCTTACTATAGCAGTCAGATCACCAGAGTAGTGCCGAACACTTCCTGGCTTCATCTGAAAATTTGAGTAAGTGGACAAGAACTAGGAGACAAAGGCTATTGGACTTCACTCTTCATTTTATAGCTCTTCCTCTCCAGAAGGATACTTCTGAATGGGATGAGAACACTGAAGAGAGCCAAATTGTGTTATCCAGGCAAATTAGAATTCTTAGCATCTCAAATAAAGCAGATTTCATGGAAAAGATTTCCATGGATTTTTGGATACAATTATCATACCTTACTAGTTTAGCAGGAATCTCTTGGAGAGACTGTCACATTATTTCCAAAGGCCCAAATGTTGAACATTTAATAGTGTGTACCACTATATTTTGGACCAGTAGAGTCCAAAATAGAGTAAGGAACCCCACTTAGAACCTTCCAGTGTTATATAAAAATAATTTTAGAATAAGATTTTGAAATAAATTATGTCTTCCTCTGGTGGTGATGATTCCACTTCGTGGAGGTTCAGGTTTTTTCTTTCATCTCAAGTGTAAAATTTATTCATTTCCCACCGCCCGCCACCCCTCCCCCCACCCCGTCCCTCTCTTTTTGTTGTTGTTGTTGTTGTTGTTGTTTGTTGTTGAGACAAGGTCTCACTCTCTCGCCCAAGCTGGAATGCAGTGGTGCAATCATAGCTCACTGCAGCCTTGAACTCCTAGGCTCAAGTGATCCTCCCACCTCAGCCTCCCAAGTAGCTGGGATTATAGACATGAGCCACTGCGTCTGGCCTAATTCTCTTTTTTAATTCAGGAACTTAAATGAGACTAATTTGATTTCTAGATCTTTCAGTTTGTCATCATTGCATCCCTTAAATTTGTAAATATATTAAGAAAGGATAAATGCTACTGTAATAGAAAATTCAATACATTATAACATTAAAAGAAATCCTCAAATGTTAAGCCCAGGTACGTTCAATTTGAGTCTTACATCTTTTTAATCAAAGATCTGTCAATACAGCTAAAAGTGCAGTAAGTATTAGCTAGAAGGTCTTCAGCCTTAATTAAGCAAAGTTGCTAAATTCTGATACAGGACTCAACTCATGATTTCTCTACTGATGTGATAGAGCTCTACCTAGTAACTTTCCCTAGTTACCTTGGACACAAAGATTCTCAGCATAAGGTGAGTGTAGTAAAGCTCATTCAGAAATATTTGTGTGTGTGTACGTGCATGCTGTAACAATAACATTGTTAGAAAACTAGTATACATTATGAAAAGTCTATTTTTTATTAGCCAAATGTCCTGTGAAAGGATACATTCACTTGCCGAATGAAAGTTATCATGCAAAATCAGATTAGAGGCCTCTTTTCACTCATCCAAAAACACAATTTAATGCCATCTATTAAAGGAAGCACCATGTTTTTTGGTGTTTTGTTTTTGTCAGTTAAGAATCTTTTGTTTTAAATTCAAATGAAATTGATATCCTAGTCACTTCTAATGATGACTCTAATGAATTGTAATGGTAATTTTTCAGTGAAAATTTATCACTGTAAAGAACCCTACGGAAGCACTATAAAGAAATATAGATTTAGACATTTCTGTGGTACTTCAAGTCTAAGTAGTTTGAGTTAGAGATCTTATGAAGATGCAGTGTTGGAATACAAATATGGGAGATTGAACATTTCATGTAAAGTTAATCTTTATGGAATAAGTTGCCAAAAGAATAAAATATATGGATAGATATAGATATATAAAATTGAATTTTTGCTGGCTTTATTTGGTAGCATAGTTTATATGAATACAAAGAAAAGAATTAATGCCATGTATTCATTTGTTCTACAAACAAATTCAGTTCTGTTCATTATGTGTTCAGACACTCTTGTAGATAGTAGAGTTACAGCCCTGAAGAGAGTATTGAAGGTTCCTGCTCATCTCTCATGAGTTTATAATTGTAATGAGCTTTATTGTTCTGGTGATGGGGCATAAAACACATGCCACGTTAGAGGCCAACCCTGTAATGTCGGATCTTCACACTCTCATTCCTGTTTGTTGTTTAGCCGGTATATGCAAGGCTGTAAAGAACATTAGGAATCAGAGACACCTAAAATATGACCCATCTTCCACAGAGACAGTGATCCCTAGGTATTATATGAACTTGAAGCATTGCAAGAGACATGATAACAGTTTGTGAGATATCTAAATCCATATACCAATGAACGGTTAAAATGAGATCCCACTGAGTCTACTGGAATATATATAGTTCTTCTGTGCTAACTCGTTTTGTTAATAAAAATTATTTTGAGATATAGCAATACCCTGTGCCTAAGGGCCTGGACTCTGGAGCCAAGTAAACCTGAGTTCAATTGTAGCCTTTTTCCTTTTACTAGAGTTATTATTTTTTATTATGCTTATCTGACGTCAGTTTCCAGGTTGTAAAAGAGAGATAATTGTAGTGCTTATCTTGGTGTTGTTGCTAGGGTTAGAACAAATGAGGTAATGTATGTACAGCCATACCTCAGAGATACTGCACGTTCAGTTCCAGACCACCAGAATAAAGCGAATATGGCAACAAAGCAAGTCACACGCATATATTTGTTCTCCAGTGCATATAAAAATTATGTTTATAATGTAGACTATTATGTACAATCACGTCGTTAAAAAACTATATATACACTATATAAAACTATATATAACTATATAAAACTATATATAACTATATAAAACTATATATATACACACCTTAATTTAAAAATACATAATTGCTAAAAAAAAAAAAAAATCCTGATCATCTGAAGCCTTCAGTGAGTCCATCTTTTTGCATGCCTGGTGTTGATGGTTGCTGACTGATTAGGATAGGGATTGCTGAAGGTTGGGATAGCTGTGGTAATATCTTAAAATGAAGTTTCCCACATTGATTGACTCTTCCTTTCACGAAAGATTTATCTGTAGTATGTGATGCTGTTTGATAGCATTTTACCCTCAATAGAACTTCTTTCAAAATTGGAATCAGTCCTCTCAAACCCTACTGCTGCTTTATCAGTTATTTTTATGGAATAATCTAAATCCTTTGTTGTCATTTAAACAATCATAGAATCTTCCCCGATAATAGATTCCATCTGGAGAAACCATTTTCTTTGCTTATCCATAAGAAGCAATTTCTCCTTTGTTCAAGTTTTATCATAGGATTGTAACAATTCAGTTACCTCTTCATGCTCCACTTCTAATCCCCTTGCTATTTGCACCATATCTGCAATTACTTCCTCCGCTGAAGTCTTGAACCCTCAAAGTCATCCATGATGGTTGCAATCCACTTTTTCCAGACAAACTCCTGTTACTATTGATATTTTGACCTCGTCTTATTAATCACAGATGTTTTTAATGGCATCTAGAATAGTGAATCCTTTCCATAAGTTTTCAATTTACTTTGACCAGATCCATCAGAAGAATCACTCCCTGTGGCAGCCCAACAAAATGTATTTCTTAAATAATAAGACTTGAAAGTTGAAATTACTGTTTGATCCATGGGGGCTGTAGAATGGATGGTTGTGTTAGCAGGCATGAAAATGACATTAATCTCGTACATCTTCATCAGAGCTCTTGAGCCCGAGTGACTAGGTGCATGGTCAATGAGCAGTAATATTTTTCTGAGCGATAGGTCTCAACAGTGGGCTTAAAATATTTAGTAAACTTTAAGTAATTCTTAAGGACTCTAGGATTTTTTCTTTTTCTTTTTTTTGAGACGGAGTCTCGCTCTGTCACCCAGGTAGCCTGCAATGGTGCAGTCTCGGCTCACTGCAACCTCCGCCTCCTGGGTTCAAGCAATTCTCCTGTCTCGGCCTCCTGAGTAGCTGGGATTACAGGCGCCTGCCACAACATGGGCTAATTTTCATATTTTTAGTAGAGATGGGGTTTCACCATGTTGGCCAGGCTGGGGACGATCTCCTGACCTCAGGTGATCCACCCACCTCGGCGTCCCAAAGTGCTAGGATTACAGGCATGAGCCACCACACCCGGCACTTTTTTTTCTTTTGAGATAAGAGTCTCACTCTGTCACCCAGGCTGGAGTGCAGTGATATGGCCTTGGCTTATTGCAGCCTCGAACTCCCAGGCTTAGTTGATTCTCCCACCTCAGCCTCTTGAGTAGCTGAGACTACAGGCATGTGCCACCACATCTGGCTAATTTTTTTTTTTTTTCTGTAGAGATGGGGTTTCACCATGTTGCCCAAGCTAGTCTTGAACTCTTGTGCTCAAGCGATCCGCCCACCATGGCCTCCCAAAGTGCTGGAATTATACACGTGAGATGCCTCATGTGGCCAGGGCTCTAGGATTTTTGGAATGGAGTCTTGGCTTCAACTTAAAGTCACCAGCTGCACCAGGCATGGCGGCAGCCACCTGTTGTCCCAGCTATTTGGGAGACTGAGGCAAGAGGATCCCTTGAACCCAGAACTTCAAGTCCAGGTTGAGCAAAACAGCAAGACCATGTCTCTAAAGAAATTAAATAAAGTCACCAGCTGCACTAGCCCCTAACAAGAGAATCCGACTGTCTTTTGAAGCTTTAAAGCCAGGCATTTACTTCTCTCTAGCTATGAAAGTCCTGGATAGCATCTTTCAATAGAAGTCTATCTCATCTACATTGAAAATCTGTAGTTTAGTGTAGCCACTGTCATCAGTGATCTTAGCTAGATCTTCTGGCTAACTTGCTGTAGCTTCTGCATCAGCACTTGCCCCTTCACCTTGTGCTTTTATGCTATGGAGGTGAATTCTTTCCTTAAACCTCATGAACCAATCTCTGCTAGCTTCACCTTTTCTTCTGCAGCTTCCTCACCTCTCTCAGCCTTCATATAATTGAAGATAGTTAGGGCCTTGCTCTGGATTAGGCTTTGGCTTGAAGAAATGTTGTGGCTGGTTTATCTTCTATCCAGACCACTAAAACGTTCTCCATATCAGCAATCAGGCTGTTTTGCTTTCTTATAATTCTTGTGTTCACTGGAGTAACACTTTCATAATACTTTCCTTCAAGAATTTTTCCTTTGCATTCAAGATTGGCTGTTTGGTACAAGAGGTACTACCTTTCAGTCTAACTCAGCTTTTGACATGTCTTTCTCACTAAGCTTGGTCGTTTCTAGCTTTTGATTTAAAGTGATAGACATATAACTCTTCATTTCACTTGAACACTTAGAGGTCATTGTAGGGCTGTTAATTGGCCTAATTTCAATATTGTTGTTTCTCACGTAATAGGGAGGCTCAAGGAGAGGGAGAGGATTTGGGAAACGTCCAATCAGTGGGGCAGTCAGAACACACATTTATAGATTAAGTTCACTCTCTATGGCTGTAGTTTATGGCACCTCAAAAAGGACTATAAAATAGCAGTATCAAAGATCAGTGATCACAGATCACCATAACAGATATAATAATGATAAAAAAAGTTTGAAATATTGTAAGAATTAACAAAATGTGACTTAGAGACACGAAATGAGCATGTGCTGTTGGACAAATGGTGCCTGTAGACTTGCTTGATGCAGAGTTGCCATAAACCTTCAATTTGTAAAAAACACAATATCTGGGAAATACAATAAAATGGAGTATAATAAAATTAGATATGCCTGTAATTATTAGCATGGTGCCTAATAATAACTCATTATATTTTTATTATTCCAGATGAATACCAGTTTATGCAAGTTCTTAGTCATCATTATATAAATTCCTCATTTTTGTCCTCTTTGGCAAGACAAAATCTATTCTATTTAAGAGTAGATTTTAAGAATTTAAAAGAATAGATTTTAAGAATTTAAAAAAGAATCTTTTTTTCCTTTCAAGGTTAACAGAGTAGTTAAAACACCATGACAGTTTTCCACACATGCTAATTGGCAAGCAGTTGAAACAGTAAAACCTCAGTGATTTGAACTGCTCTGAATTATACAGTATTTTAAAAGAAATGTTACTGCTGCTTTCAGGGATATGTAGTATGATGGACCCGTAAATGTTGATCCATTAGAGGTTCTGCTGAACTTTAGTGAGACTTTTGTTACTGTGCACCTACATTACCCTTGATGCTCTCACTCTGGCTCTTCTCCTAGAATATATTAAGTACGTTAATTGATGGTCTGCTGTTGTCAGTACATATAACTATTTGATGAGCATAGTTATTTTCCTTCTCCAGGCTTTTGGTTGTACCAGTTGATGACAACAATTCGTATCTCTTAAGATATAGTAGTTTCTTACACTTGATTTTATGTCAAAGGTTATGCTCAGCTTTCCTGCCCTGTCTAAGCTGTCAGTATAGCCTATACCTATGGTTTTGCTGACAGTCAAGATAGCATATTAGCATGGGAGAGGATGAAGTTATGAGGGATAAAATAAGTGCTGGTTGCTCTTCAGATTTGACCATATAGTCAGTAAGATTTTATTTTTTTAAAACCAACTTACCTCAGACAAGGTAAGCTACCTGTCACTTCTTTATTCTTGTTTACATTTATTCTCATTCAAGAATATGAAATCATTAAGTTTTGAGGTAATAAATTTCTACTATATTTGATTGTGAAGTTTGCTTGAATACCTTCTTTTTCCTGGCCATGGCACTCGAGTCTGAGGTTTGAAGTGAATTAGTAAAACTTTCTTTATCCCTAAAAATTCATCATAAAACTCTAAGGAAGTTATACTTATTAAGTTTTCTCTAAAGATAAGATTGTTTTGAACAGTTTGTCTATTTACTTCTTAAATAGTTTTAAAATGGCAGTATTTACCATTTTACAATTAACTTCCTGAATTTTGTTGGTTTTAGAAATAAGCTTAAATTTTAAGTAGAATCTATTCATAAATGCTTCCTCTTTCCCACTCATCTCCGGAACCCTCAAATTAACCAGTCTATAAAACCATTTGTTATCTATATATTTTCTTGCTTGATAGTATTCATTTTTATCTTTCATTTAGATGAATTTCATGGTTTTTTGTTTTTGAGACGGAGTCTCGCTCTGTTGCCCAGGCTGGAGTGCAATGGTGTGATCTCAGCTCACTGCAACCTCTGCCTCCTAGGTTCAAGTGATTCTCCTTGCCTCAGCCTCCCAAGTAGCTGGGATTACAGGCTCCTGCCACCACAACCAGTTAATTTTTTGTATTTTTAGTGGAGACGGGGTCTCACCGTGTTGGCCAGGCTGGTCTCAAACTCCTGGCCTTGGGATCCGCCCGCCTCGGCCTCCCAAAGTGCTGGGATTACAGGTGTGAGCCACCGTGTCTGGCTGAATTTCATGTTTTTAATCCCCCATTTTTGCTATTTTTTTTTAAACGTTCATACCTCTTTGCAACACTTGTCTTCCACATGAGTCAGATATTGATTAGATTTTGGTTTTTTGTTTTGCCGAACAACATGTTCTTGTCCTTTAACCAATTTTCTTAAATATATTTCCTATTAATGATTAACACATTCTTTGGTTGGGACTTAAAGCCTTTTATTTTAGTGATTTATTCCTATTTTTAATCTTTTCATATTTTGCATTATTTTTCAGAAGTATTTTTGTTAAGGGATTCTGTTTCTTCATAACATTTGGATGATTTGAGAGTGTTAGAAGTGTCTCTGTTACCATGGCTCTGTCCTTCAAGTTCCACTTTCTTTGTGTTTCCAAATGTATCATTAATTTGGTTTGAATTTATTTATGTCTAATAAAGTATGGTTTATGTACTCATCTTTTCTAAATGCAAAAGGACCTGTTTACCAGTAACCATGTATTTTAATTATTACCTATAGATTCTGACAATTGTATATAATGAATGCAGTTTCCATTGTGTTTCTGTTTCTTTTAGTAATTCTTAAACTATGATAGGTAATTTATATATATACTTTTAATGAATAAGGCGAAAAAAATGTTTTTCCTTTAACATTTAAGCATATAAATGAGGCTAACATGTCTAAAGTACTGGCATTGTTAATTCCTTCATAGTTCAGCCAAATCTTGGTCTTTATGTAAAGGCCCTACATGATGATTCCCAAACCCTGATTTTGCTAATTCTTCATTTATTTTAAAGGCTATCACAAATTATTTTAATAGAACCATTTATACCTAGCATCTGTTTGGGATGGAGGAAGATAGGATTTTTGACACTAAATTATTTGAATACTGTTGACCTGGAAAAAATTAGCAGCCTACCTCAGCAACTATCAGTATCCAGGGATATCAAAGACATTTTTTGAGGTACCATGAGGAAAGTATGACTGATACCATGAGGAAGAAACATCATGATATGTTTGGTATAGTGAAACGCACTGGAATTAGAAGTGAAGAATCCAGTTTTCTGAGCCCAGTTTTGCAACTAACCCCAAGCAAGTCACTTAGATGTACTCTTACCTAATTACACAAGATGGTGAAAATTTAGATTTAGAAGATTCATTAGACACTTACTGATCCTCAGTTTCTTTGTGTGTAAAAGGAAGAGATTGGTTTGGATGAGCAACAGGAGTTTTTCGGTTCCAAAATTCTGGGGTTTTTTCCCCCCAAAAATGATGTTTTGAGTAGTCTAAAGCTTCTTATATAATGCATTCATAAAGTCAGGCAGGAATTTGTGACTACAACGTGACATTTGTAGACTTTTTACAGCGTGACGTTCTCTCCCATTAACTTCTGTGGATTCAGTTTGAAAGTTTTGGATTCTGTTTATAATGTTCTTATTCCGTATTCTCATGTTTATAATGGAGACTGACCAGCAAGATTTTGCTGTGCGATGAGTTATCTTTGACGCTTTGACGTTTATTCAAATACAGTCACTCTAATAACAAAGGATACGGTTGGCAGCCATAAAAAATGATGAGTTCATATCCTTTGTAGGGACATGGATGAAATTGGAAACCATCATTCTCAGTAAACTATCGCAAGAACAAAAAACCAAACACCACATATTCTCACTCATAGGTGGGAATTGAACAATGAGATCACATGGACACAGGAAGGGGAATATCACACTCTGGGGACTGTGGTGGGGTCGGGGGAGGGGGGAGGGATAGCATTGGGAGATATACCTAATGCTAGATGACACATTAGTGGGTGCAGCGCACCAGCATGGCACATGTATACATATGTAACTAACCTGCACAATGTGCACATGTACCCTAAAACTTAGAGTATAATAAAAAAAAAAAAATAAAAAAAAAAAAAAAAAAAAAAAACAAAGGATACGGTTGATTACGTTTCAAAACAGACTACTATGACCATAAAGCTCATTCATCTATCAAGTGTGTTACATTTAAGGTTTTGGATGGAAAGCATTATATGAATTACTTTCTCTGGATTCTTTTAGCTCTTACTTATACCAGATGCTGTTGTGACTGTTGAAACTGGTTTAACTGCTTATATGCACAGATTAGATTTGATTTAAGTTGGGTCTGGAAAGTAGAAAGTGATGAGAGGTAGGCTTAATTACAATGCCCAAACTTAGCATAATATGGAAATAAAAGTTAGGTACTTGGAATAAACCATAGCTTTTAAACTATTGGAAGGTTACGATCTATTAATGGTGTATGTAGGCTCTTGAATTCTATTAGCAGTGGCATTCTTGAGATCAACATTTGTATTCTTCATTTTTAAACTTCGCCATATGGAACAAAAGAAAATGAATCTTTGAAAGCCAGTTTCTTTTCAGATATCAAAAAACTGAAACAGAATAAAAGAATGTAAAATTAAAAATAAAAGCTTAACTTCTGCCTCCACCATTATGCTTCAGAAGCCCAGTGATCAGTGCTGTTAATAGATTGATGTGTACCTTCCAGAAGTTTCTACATGTTGAAACTGGTTTAACTGCTTATATGCACAGATACATGTACGTACAAATATATGTACATGTATGCATTTCTACTTTTCATTCTATACATTCTCTTGTAATATAATTTTATTTACTATATCTTATACATCTCTCTATGTCAGTATGCACAGGTTTTTTATGACTTCATAATGCTCCATTGTATGGCTGTACATGAATTTATTTAACCAGTACCCTTTTAATGAATATTTAGATTTTGTGCTTTTAATACAATATTGCTGTGAAGATTCTTATATGTATATTTTGGCATACTTTTGCCTAAGATAAATTCTAGCAGTGTAATTGCTGACTCAGAGGGTATGTTTAATTGATTTGCATTTTCCTAATTTTGAGTTATAGTGAATATTTTCTCATGTTTATCAGTCAGATTTTTTTTTTTTTTTTTTTTTTGCTGAACTACCTTTTCATATTCTTCACACATTTTTCTACTGCTTTACTCATTTTTTTCTGTCGGTTTCTTCAAATTGCTAGAATTGTCTATATTTTGAAAATGACTCTATATCTCTGTATTGACAAATATTTTCCCAAATTGTCCTTTGATTTTTCTGTTATTTTACTTTATTACTGTTTATTTGCTTATCGTTTTGCCATTCAGTAGTGGTTAAGTTCTATGTACTTAACAATTTTTTATGTTGTGTTTTATGGACTCTGTTATATTTTGGCCTTTCCCACTTCAAGATTATTAAAATGGGCCGGGCGCGGTGGCTCATGCCTGTAATCCCAGCACTTTGGGAGGCAGAGGCGGGCAGATCAGGAGGTCAGGAGATCAAGATCCTGGCTAACATGGTGAAACCCCGTCTCTACTAAAAATACAAAAAAAAAATTAGCCGGGCGTGGTGATGGGTGCCTGTAGTCCCAGCTACTTGGGAGGCTGAGGCAGGAGAATGGCATGAACCCAGGAGGCAGAGTTTGCAGTGAGCCGAGATCGCATCACTGCACTCCAGCCTGGGCAACAGAGCGAGACTCTGTCTGAAAAAAAAAAAAAAAAGTTATTAAAATGTTACTTTTTATAGTACTTTTATAGTTATTTTCTATACTTAAATCATTGATCCATGTAGAATTGATAGGGTATATAGAGAGAAGGATACAGCTTTAGCCAGTGAGTTACTTAAAACGCCATTTATTTGATAATACATGTGTTTACCCACTAATTTGAAGTGCTGTCTTCATTTAATAAATTTCCGTAATTGGATAGGATTTTATAATGTCGTATATGCATAGTGGTCAGTTTCTGTAATCTGTATTCTTTCCTTTGATATGTCTGCATATACTTTACCACCACCAAACTATTTCACTACTGCAGCTTTATAAATTGCATTAATGTCTTCCAGAGTAGTTCTTCTCATTCTTCTTTCATAATTTACTGGATATTACCACATATTTTTCCTAGCTACATTTTAGTATAATTTTGACAAATCACTTCTTACCTCCTACCCCATGCTCCAAAAACCACCATCTTGGGATCACATGAAGTTGTGTGTGTGTGTGTGTGTGTGTGTGTGTGTGTGTGTGTGTGTGTAAAAATTGGGAGGGAGTCAATAACATCTTTATTATGATAAATTTTTATATCCAAGAATAAGATATGGATTTCCATTTCCAAAATTTCTTTTACTCCCCTGAATAGAGTGGTATGGCTTTTATCACCTATATTCTGCACAGTATTTATTAAACTTACATGTAAATATTTATCTTTTTATTACCCTTGTAAACGGGATTTCTTTCTCTTCCATTTCCAAATTGATTACTGGGTTTTGTGTGCTTGGATTTTCCAGATGTACTGTCATCCACAAATAATTTCTACTCATGATGCTTCTTCCTCTTAATATTTCTTAAAACAGTTCTTTTCATCTAAGTTTTCAAAATTATTTGCATAATTTATAAATTATCTAATACAGTAGTCCTGTCATTTCCACAGTTGCTTTCTGCAGTTTCAGTTACCCATGGCCAACCATGGTTTGAAAATATTAAATGGAAAATTTCAGAAATAAACCTTCACATACCTTTTATTACAGTATAATTGTTCTATTTTATTATTGGTTATTGTTAATCTCTTACTGTGCCTAATTGATAAATTAAACTTTATCATAGGTGTGTGTATATAGGAAAAACCATAGAATATATGTAGGGCTCAGTGCTGTCTGTGGTTTCAGGCACCCACTGGAGGTCTAGGAACATATCCCCCTGCAGATAAGGGAGAACTACTGTAATTCATATTATTTTTTTCTGAATCTGTATGTATGTCCCTTTTTCATTTGTATTACAAAGTGTTTGTGTTTATTTGCCCTACCTACTACAGTAAATAGTAAAGATATTCTTTTCCTCAATATTTTATAATCATTGAAGTTAGGAACTTCTTCCATGCAATTAATCTGTATGAGTCATCCTGCTATTTTAGTTTTTTAACTTCTTTCTCAGATAAAAATGAAAACTATCAATTTTCTATACGAAGATCATCATGAAGTCACTTCTTAGCTTTCTTCTAAGCTAAATAATTTTAGTTTTTTGGTACAGTTTCATGGAACACAATTTTCTAAAACCTTTATATCCTCTTTTGGATTTCTTTATGATTTTTCACATTTGGCTAAATTCATAACATGCCTCTTCTTGAGGGAACTTAGTCATAATTACATTGCTTGCCTTGCCTGTAAAAACAGTAGGCTAGCCTGCTATGTACTTTAAATAGCTGAAGTACGTCCATCCTCAGAGCAAATATTACTGAAAATGGAATTTAAAATGGTAAATCTTATTTTGTTCATATGGTTATATTTACATTTCTTGAAGCAAACAATTGTTAATAAACAGTGTCATGGATAGACAGTGTTTCAACAGTCTTGAAAATAAAGATTGATTCAAAGGCTAAGTAAGCCTTGGGGTCCCTGTTTGTCCAGAAACTCTCTGCTCTTTATTTTTTACTAAGTTGTGAGATTGACAAAGAAAAGCATATTTGTTACATACGAAATTTCTAGCGCAAGGCAGAAGCTAATAAGTAATTTATGTGATGCATATGTTTAGATTTGTGTTAGTATTTACATGTGTTTTTGTACAAATATTATTAAATACTAATGTGTTTTCCAATATAAAGTCACTGTAATAGTTAAATACCTCATTAGATTGAATTTAAACTTTGTAAGATAACATCAGCTTCTAAAAGTCTAGCATTAAAGGCTGGCATTGCTGCAACTGAGTAATGTTAAATAAAGTAGTGCAAGTAGATGCTTTTAAAAAGGAAACAGCAATGATTTTACAAATAATTAAATGTTTTCTCTATGTTAATGGTTTGCCCCATTGAGAAATGGTTTTTAGAGGACTATAAGGCATTGTTTGCATTACAGTAGGAAATACTATCAATTTTCTCATTGTCTCTCACTTTTTTCTTTTAGGTCATGGAAAATGGAAGATTTGCAAAATACAAATATTTTACCCATGTCATGATCAATAAGACAGATATGCTAATGATAACCAGACGGTAACTTGCTTTCTTTCTCTTACGTAATTTTATAAGGGGTTAACTGACAGCGACTCATGAGGTGAAGATTTGTTATTCACCTTTTGTTCCATATAGTCACACTGATTCTTGGGTCTTCTTGCTCCACAAGCCTAACTCGCTAAACATTACATAAATTTCCTGCATAGCTTTGTGCATGCATACAGATAAACACAGTCATGCACAGACATAAATATTTTAGTATTTGTTTCAACTAATTTAACTGGATGCAGAAATTCCATAAAGCTATCCTCTTAAAAGTAAGCTTTCTCCTCTCTGAAGAAGTGTACAATTTTAGGTTATCCCAGAAGTCAGCAGTCCTCTGGTAGTATCTGTTTGTTAGAATATATATAGATTGACGTAAGTGGATATACTAGTAGAAGCAGATAAAATTTTAGGTGGATACTCCAGCGACTTCTTCAAGTAGACAGTGGAGGGGTACATGTAAAAATACACAGGGGCATAGCCTCAGAGGGGCAAGTGTGCAGAAGTCATTGTTAAACTAGGGAAAAAATGAGCAAGTGCATTAGTAAGATGGCAGTCTCTGGGTGGTGGAGAGTGAAAATACGGCTAGCAGGGAGAAGTTAGAGCTAAATAGAAATGAATTGTCAATCTATGGTTTTGTTCACTTATGAAAGGTAAAGTTATATGAGCATTGTGTTGGTTCAAGGTGACTACTAAGCAGTCACTTTTAATGTTGTAATCTCAATTTCTGAATCTAAAATGTATAGCCCTATTTTAATTTTCTTATTTAAAAAGTAACACCAAGTGGAAAACTTCCACAATATTAGAAGTTATACCTGTAAAAAGTAAGTCTTCATTCCACCCCAGATACTGGTCCCTCTGTTCCCTTCCAAGAGGCAGCCCATTTTTTACTTGTTTCCTTTGTATCCTTCTTGAAATATTCTATGCCTCTACAGGTAGACATACACACACATTTTAATGTAGATGAAATTCTCTTATATATACCATTATGTACTTAGTTTTAATTTTTCACTTGAGATCTATATTTTGAAGATTATTACATGTCAACGTATGGACAGCTGTCTTAATTTGTAAATTCCTGCCTAATATTTATTTAGGAGTATGTACGAATTTACATGTAACTTGTTTCTAGACTTTTGTAATTAATTACAGACATTGCTTCAGCGATCATTTTTGCTCATAAAAATTTTCCATCATGTTTTTAGTAACTCACTTTCCCATTGACTAAAGGAAAGGTAACTAATCAGCATTAAGCAAAATCAGTTGCAAAGTTTGGTTCCAAATCTTGCAACATTTTAAAAGTTATCTTTTTTCTCAACACAGTGGACCTCTTTAGATGAGGCCATGGTGCCTTGACAGAATAAGGGAAGTGAATTAGTTGTAGTTGAATAAAACGTGATGGTTATACTTGAGATTCCCTTTCCAAGTTTCGGGTTTGAGGATAAAGGATCTTTGAATCAGGACTGGGAATAGCTGCTACATTGGCCAGCCTGTCTGTGATTTTTCACATGGTTGGAGATGTCCTGGGGCACCACTAGGTTTGCTCCATCAGCTCCTGTAATCCAGGACTGGTAAAAGAGGGGAGCAGGGACAGAAGATGGAAGTGAGAGATAGATATAAATCCTGGCTAGCTCTCTCCTTTTCCATCCTAGCCAGGAGTCAGACCTTTTTTTTTTTAACTCAATCTAATACAAACCTCTGGTTGCACCTACAATTGATGTTTCAATCAGAAAGAAAAATTAAGAAGAAAGACATTTGAAGGAAGGATTAAATAGACTTCTTATAGACAGAAGGTATTTTCATTTCTTGGTTTCTTTCTTCAAAATGGGAAAACAAGAATTTATTTAAAAATTAGAATGATGCTTTTTGAAGTCTTCCTCTAAAATTGGCAGTAATGGGACTTGATTTTACCTGTGAACATCCTGAGGCCCTCAGCATGATGATTCTGTTCAACATGGTTAGAAAAGCTTTTTTCTGATGTAGTTGGGAAATACGTTACATGGAGCCTTAGAAATGAAAGTATTTATTCTAAGGCGTTAATTATATGAAAGTTCCTCCAAATATTGGCTGATAGTTGGTTCTGTAAATGTACCCTGTTTCTTATGAAGTGCCTTACATATTTGATTTTGTAAGAAGTGCTTCAGTTTTTCTAATATAAATATGTTGTGTTATAAATTTCCCATTGAGCATTATGTTAGCTGCATCCCACAAATTTTATGGTGTATTTTCATTCTTATTCTGTTCAAAATATTTTCTAATTTCCTTTGAGATTCTTTGACCCCTGGATTATTTGGAAGTGTTACTTTTAAGCATTTGGAAATACTATTGTTATCTTTTTGTTTGGGTTTCTAGTTTAGTTCTGTTATGATCTGAGGACACACTTTATGGTTCCAGTTCTTTTAAATTCATTAAGAATATAGAATATAGTCTATGTTGATGAATATTGCATTTGCACTTGCGATTCATTCGTATCCTGTTGTTATTGGATATAAGTGCCTCAATTTTAAAGCGAATTCTTTTTTTGTTTTTCTTTTTGCAGTGGTGTATTGTTTGTAACAAAGGGAACATTTGGACAACTCACGTGTGAGTGGCAGTATAGTTTTGATGAATTTACCAAAGAGCCATTCATTGTTCATGGGAGAAGATTGCGCATTGAAGCAAAGGTATGTTGAATAGATTTATTTTTTGAAAACTTGGAACTGAAAATAATGCTTTGAAGTAGTCCTTTTTATTTGTATAATGCTCTACCTCTTTTATAGATGTCACTTTGTCCTGGTGTGGTTTTCCCTTATACCTGCTATCTTACCCAGGCTTAAAGGAAAAAAAAAAAAAAACTAGGCCAAGAAAAACTGTGCTTTCTGTGCTATTGCACTGACAATAACATTCCTGGGCCCTTGCTGTATATTCAGTAACAGAGCCCCACCTTCCCACATATGAAATAATGGATAGTGGCTATTAGCCTGTGCTGCAGTCCATACTGCTTTCCTGGCTTTTTAAATATATTTTCCCTTTCTAACATTAATACATTCTCTTATCTCTTTGATTTCTTCCCCTTCCCCCTTTTCATGAGACCTTATATCTACAATTCTGCAATCATTCTTTTTTTCTTTTTTGAGACAGAGTCTTGCCCTGTCGCCCAAGCTGGAGTGCAGTGGCGCTCTTGGATCACTGCAACCTCCACCTCCCAGGTTCAAGTGATTCTCCTGCCTCAGCCTCCTGAGTAGCTGGGATTACAGGCATGTGCCACCATGCCGACTAATTTTTGTATTTTTAGTACAGACGGTGTTTCACCAGGTTGGCCAGTCTGGTCTTGAATTCCTGGGCTCAAGCAATCTGCCTGCCTCAGCCTCCCAAAGTACTGTGATTATAGACGTGAGCCACTGGACCCAGCCTCATCTTTTTTTTTTTTAATTAGAAGAAAGAATGTAATTCTTCTAGTGTCTGTATTTGCATGGATAGTTGAATTACTTATAGAACATGTTTGACTAGTAAAACCTTTACTTTGCCCTCTATGACCTCACCCATATGTACAGAGGAAAACATCATCCTTGTCCTCAATAGTTTCACTTCTGTTTGCCCCTGATATGCTTAATATCTGCTCTGAGACAGTCCCACTCCCCACTACCAATACTAAACATAATACCAACGGAGCATAAATAGTGGAGGAAAATCATCTAGGACACAACCTGATCTCTCTTTGATTCTAAACTATATTCTTACTGTATGACTGGTTTAAAATGGCAGAAGTACATACATGCACGCACACATGCACATACAATATATGTATGTGTTTATGTACGTATGCATACACACACATGTGCATATATTTTTAACCTGGACTCACTCATGATTCTATGGCCAGATAACAACTGTGTAAGAAATTATTTGGAGACGAAAAACAGTGGCACTACTCCCCAACTTACCTCCTTCCCATCCTTTATGTCGACTCTTTATGGCATTAGCAATTAAAATATCACCTTAAGCTTTTTAACTTAGGTTTAGTGATAATGGTTGTGTTATTAATAGAATGTAGTCTTTTTTTCTATTGGTTTTGATTCTTCTTGCTTCCTCATTCTTGTCTTTTTTAAGGTGCATGATTTGTATAAGAGGGACACTTTAGGCATACAGTAATAAAGCTTTGTGGCATTTCTTTATGGATTTTTACAACCAGATTATCTTTTTAATGAATTTACATATTCTGTTTATAGGAACGAGTGAAGTCTGTATTTCATGCCAGAGAGTTTGGAAAAATAATTAACTTCAAGACCCCAGAGGATGCCAGGGTAAATATAATAAATCTTTTATTTAAATAGGAGCTGCTCACTTCAAAATCATGTAAGTGGACTATTTTTTAATGCAGATAAGTTTTGTTTGGGGGTTTTTGTTTGTTTGTTTTGCTTTTGTGTTTTGGCAGGTTTTAAAAGTATATGTAACCAGATAATATTTACCCCAGACTTTTTTTTCTACCAGATTCAATTCGGCATACCTACTTGCTTTTCAAACCAGATTGCTCCATCTTATTTTAAATGCTAACTCTAATTAATTTTTTTTAATAAAAAAGTCAACAAACAAAAATTAATTATTTTGTTTTAGTGTTAATCCATCAGCTCCAACAGGAAAGTGTAGCCCCACATTGTTGATTTTTCTACTGCATAGCTACCGTGATTTTTTAAAAAGTTGCCATAGCTGACACAGACCAAAGGGAGCCAAGCCCAACAGAAAATCCAAGTTTGAATACTGATTTTGTCCTTCTTGACTATAGAATCTTGCAGAAGGTCAACTAAGCACAGTTTCCTCAAGATGAGAATGGTGTGAACTGAAAAGCATGGTGTGTACTTTAGGGATTATGGCAATCAATCACAAGGATGTGCACTGTCAAGAAAATGAAGACTATGAATTGACTGTCTGACCTCATTGATCACAACTGAAGTGCTATTCAGAATGTTGAGTTGTACTCATTATATCATGAAACTTACAGTAAGAGGGTGGAGCCAAGATGGCAGAATAGGAAAAGCTCCAGTCTACAGCTCCTAGTGTGAGCGACACAGAAGATGGGTCATTTCTGCATTTCCAGCTGAGGTACTGGGTTCATGTCACTGGGGAGTGTCGGAAAGTGGGTGCAGGACAGTGGGTGCAGCGCACCGAGCGTGAGCCAAAGTAGGGCGAGGCATCACCTCACCCAGGAAGTGCAAGGGGTCAGGGAATTCCCTTTCCTAGTCAAAGAAAAGGGTGACAGATGGCACCTGGAAAATCGGGTCACTCCCACCCTAATACTGTGCTTTTCCAACGGTCTTAGCAACCGGCACACCAGGAGATTATATCCCATGCCTGGCTCGGAGGGTCCTACGCCCACGGAGCCTTGCTCATTGCTAGCACAGCAGTCAGTCTGAGATCAAAGTGCAAGGCAGCAGAGAGGCTGGGGGAGGGGCGCCCGCCATTGCCCAGGCTTGAGTAGCTAAACAAAGCAGCTGGGAAGCTCGAACTGGGTGGAGCCCACCACAGCTCAAGGAGGCCTGCCTGCCTCTGTAGACTCCACCTCTGGGGGCAGGGCACAGCCAAACAAAAGGCAGCAGAATCCTCTGCAGACTTAAATGTCCCTGTCTGACAGCCTTGAAGAGAGTAGTGGTTCTCCCAGCACACAGCTGGACATCTGAGAATGGACAGACTGCCTCCTCAAGTGGGTCCCTGACCCCCAAGGAGCCTAACTGGGAGGCACCCCCCAAGTAGGGGCAGACTGACACCTCACACGGCCAGGTACTCCTCTGAAACAAAACTTCCAGAGGAACAATCAGGCAGCAACATCTGCTGTTCACCAATATCTGCTGTTCTGCAGCCTCCGCTGCTGATACCCACGCAAACAGGTCTGGAGTGGACCTCCAGCAAACTCCAACAGACCTGCAGCTGAGGGTCCTGACTGTTTGTTAGAAGGAAAACTAATAAACAGAAAGGACATCCACACCAAAGCCCCATCTGTACATCACCATCATCAAAGACCAAAGGTAGATAAAACCACAAAGATGGGGAAAAAACAGAGCAGAAAATCTGGAAACTCTAAAAATCAGAGTACCTCTCCTCCTCCAAAGGAACGCAGCTCCTCACCAGCAATGGAACAAAGCTGGATGGAGAATGACTTTGACAAGTTGAGAGAAGAAGGCTTCAGATGATCAAACTACACCAAGCTAAAGGAGGAAGTTCGAATCCATGGCAAGGAAGTTAAAAACCTTGAAAAAAAATTAGATGAATGGCTAACTAGAATCACCAATGCAGAGAAGTCCTTAAAGGACCTGATGGAGCTGAAAACCAAGGCACGAGAACTAAGTGACGAATGCACAAGCCTCAGTAACTGATGCGATCAACTGGAAGAAAGGGTATCAGTGATGGAAGATGAAATGAATGAAATGAAGCGAGAAGAGAAGTTTAGAGAAAAAAGAATAGAAATCAACAAAGCCTCCAAGAAATATGGGACTATGTGAAAAGACCAAATCTACGTCTGATTGTCATACCTGAAAGTGATGGGGAGAATGGAACCAAGTTGGAAAACACTCTGCAGGATATTATCCAGGAGAACTTCCCCAATCTAGCAAGGCAGGCCAACATTCAAATTCAGGAAATACAGAGAATGCCACAAAGATACTCCTCAAGAAGAGCAACTCCAAGACACTTAATTGTCAGATTCACCAAAGTTGGAATGAAGGAAAAAATGTTAAGGGCAGCCAGAGAGAAAGGTCAGGTTACCCACAAAGGGAAGCCCATCAGACTAATAGCTGATCTCTCAGCAGAAACTCTACAAGCCAGAAGAGAGTGGGGGCCAATATTCAGCATTCTTAAAGAAAAGAATTTTCAACCCAGAATTTCATATCCAGCCAAACTAAGCTCCATAAGTGAAGGAGAAATAAAATCCTTTACAGAAAGGCAAATGCTGAGAGATTTTGTCACCACCAGGCCTGCCCTAAAAGAGCTCCTGAAGGAAGCACTAGACATGGAAAGGAACAACCGGTACCAGCCACTGCAAAAACATGCCAAATTGTAAAGACCATCAAGGCTAGGAAGAAACTGCATCAACTAACGAGCAAAATAACCAGCTAACATCATAATGACAGGATCAAATTCACACATAACAATATTAACCTTAAATGTAAATGGGCTAAATATTCCAATTAAAAGACACAGACTGGCAAATTGGATAGAGTCAAGACCCATCAGTGTGCTGTATTCAGGAAACCCACCTCACATGCAGAGACACACATAGGCTCAAAATAAAGGGATGGAGGAAGATCTACCAAGCAAATGGAAAACAAAAAAAGGCAGGAGTTGCAATCCTAGTCTCTGATAAAACAGACTTTAAACCAACAAAGATCAAAAGAGACAAAGAAGGCCATTACATAATGGTAAAGGGATCAATTCAACAAGAAGAGCTAACTATCCTAAATATATATGCACCCAATACAGGAGCACCCAGATTCATAAAGCAAGTCCTTAGAGACCTACAAAGAGACTTAGACTCCCACACAATAATAATGGGAGACTTTAACACCCCACTGTCAACATTAGATCAACGAGACAAAGTTAACAAGGATATCCAGGAATTGAACTCAGCTCTGCACCAAGCAGACCTAATAGACATCTACAGAACTCTCCACCCCAAATCAACAGAATATACATTCTTTTCAGCACCACACTGCACTTATTCCAAAATTGACCACTTAGTTGGAAGTAAAGCACTCCTCAGCAAATGTAAAAGAACAGAAATTATAACAAACTCTCTCTCAGACCATAGTGCAATCAAACTAGAACTCAGGATTAAGAAACTCACTTAAAACCACTCAACTACATGGAAACTGAACAACCTGCTCCTGAATGACTACTGGGTACATAACGAAATGAAGGCAGAAATAAAGATGTTCTTTGAAACCAACGAGAACAAAGACACAACATAGCAGAATCTCTGGGACACATTCAAAGCAGTGTGTAGAGGGAAATTTATAGCACTAAATGTCCACAAGAGAAAGCAGGAAAAATCTAAAATTGACACCCTAACATCACAATTAAAAGAACTAGGCCGGGCACAGTGGCTCACGCCTGTAATCCCAGCACTTTGGGAGGCCGAGGCAGGCGGATCACGAGGTCAGGAGATCGACACCATCCTGGCTAACATGGTGAAACCCCGTCTCTACTAAAAATACAAAAAATTAGCCGGGCGAGGTGGCGGGCGCCTGTAGTCCCAGCTACGCGGGAGGCTGAGGCAGGAGAATGGCATGAACCTGGGAGGCGGAGCTTGCAATCAGCCGAGATGGCGCCACTGCACTCCAGCCTAGGCAACAGCAAAACTCCATCTCAAAAAAAAAAAAAAAAAAAAAAAAAGGAACTAGAGAAGCAAGAGCAAACACATTCAAAAGCTAGCAGAAGGCAAGAAATGACTAAGATCAGAGCAGAACTGAAGGAAATAGACACAAAAAACCCTTCAAAAAATGAATCCAGGAGCTGGTTTTTTGAAAATATCAACAAAATTGATGGACCGCCAGCAAGTCTAATAAAGAAGAAAAGAGGGAAGAATCAAATAGATGCAATAAAAAATGATAAAGGGGATACCACCACCGATCCCACAGAAATACAAACTACCATCAGAGAATGCTATAAACACCTCTATGCAAATAAACTAGAAAATCTAGAAGAAATGGATAAATTCCTCAACACATACACCCTCCCAAGACTAAAGCAGGAAGAAGTTGAGTCTCTGAAGAGACCAATAACAGGCTCTGAAATTGAGGCAATAATTAATAGCTTACCAACCAAAAAAAGTCCAGGACCAGATGGATTCACAGCCGAATTCTACCAGAGGTATAAGGAGGAGCTGGTACCATTCCTTCTGAAACTATTCCAATCAATAGAAAAAGAGGGAATCCTCCCTAACTCATTTTATGAAGCCAGCATCATCCTGATACCAAAGCCTGGCAGAGACACAACAAAAAAAGAGAATTTTAGACCAATATCCCTGATGAACATTGATGCAAAAATCCTCAATAAATTACTGGCAAACCGAATCCAGCAGCACATCAAAAAGCTTATCTACCATGATCAAGTGGGCTTCATCCCTGGGATGCAAGGCTGGTTCAACATATGCAAATCAATAAACATAATCCAGCATATAAACAGAACCAATGACAAAAACCATATGATTATCGCAATACATGCAGAAAAGGCCTTTGACGAAATTCAACAACCCTTCATCCTAAAAACTCTCAATAAATTAATTAGGTATTGATGGGATGTATCTCAAAATAATAAGAGCTATCTATGACAAACCCACAGCCAATATCATACCGAATGGGCAAAAACTGGAAGCATTCCCTTTGAAAACTGGCACAAGACAGGGATGCCCTCTCTCACCACTCCTATTCAACATAGTGTTGGAAGTTCTGGCCAGGGCAATCAGGCAGGAGAAGGAAATAAAGGGTATTCAATTAGGAAAAGAGAAAGTCAAATTGTCCCTGTTTGCAGATGACATGATTGTATATCTAGAAAACCCCATCGTCTCAGCCCCAAATCTCCTTAAGCTGATAGGCAACTTCAGCAAAGTCTCAGGATACAAAATCAATGTGCAAAAATCACAAGCATTCTTATACACCAATAACAGACAGAGAGCCAAATCATGAGTGAACTCCCATTCACAATTGCTTCAAAGAGAACAAAATACATAGGAATCCAACTTACAAGGGATGTGAAGGACCTCTTCAAGGAGAACTACAAACCACTGCTCAGTGAAATAAAAGAGGATACAAACAAATGGAAGAACATTCCATGCTCATGGATAGGAAGAATCAATATCATGAAAATGCCCATACTGCCCAAGGTAATTTATAGATTCAATGCCATCCCCATCAAGCTACCAATGACTTTCTTCACAGAATTGGAAAAAACTAAAGTTCATATGGAACCAAAAAAGAGCCCACATCGCCAAGTCAATCCTAAGCCAAAAGAACAAAGTTGGAGGCATCACGCTACCTGACTTCAAACTATACTACAAGGCTACAGTAACCAAAACAGCATGGTACTGGTACCAAAACAGAGATATAGACCAATGGAACAGAACAGAGCCCTCAGAAATAACGCCGCATATCTACGACCATCTGATCTTTGACAAACCTGACAAAAACAAGAAATGGGGAAAGGATTCCCTATTTAATAAATGGTGCTGGGAAAACTAGCTAGCCATATGTAGAAAGCTGAAACTGGATCCCTTCCTTACACCTTATACAAAAATTAATTCAACATGGATTAAAGACTTAAATGTTAGACCTAAAACCATAAAAACCCTAGAAGAAAACTTAGGCAATACCATTCAGGACATAGGCATGGGCAAGGACTTCATGTCTAAAACACCAAAAGCAATGGCAACAAAAGCCAAAATTGACAAATGGGATCTAATTAAACTAAAGAGAGCTTCTGCACAGCAAAAGAAGCTACCATCAGATTGAACAGGCAACCTACAGGATGGGAGAAAATTTTTGCAATCTACTCATCTGACAAAGGGCCAATATCCAGAATCTACAATGAACTCAAACAAATCTACAAGAAAAAAACAGCCCCATCAAAAAGTGGGTGAAGGATATGAACAGACACTTCTCAAAAGAAGACATTTATGCAGCCAGAAGACACATGAAAAAATGCTCACATCACTGGCCATCAGAGAAATGCAAATCCAAACCACAATGAGATACCATCTCACACCAGTTAGAATGGTGATCATTAAAAAGTCAGGAAACAACAGGTGCTGGAGAGGATGTGGAGAAATAGGAACACTTTTATACTGTTGGTGGGAGTGTAAACTAGTTCAACCATTGTGGAAGTCAGTGTGGCGATTCCTCAGGGATCTTGAACTAGAAATACCATTTGACTTAGCCATCCCATTACTGGGTATATACCCAAAGGATTATAAATCATGCTGCTATAAAGACACATGCACACATATGTTTATTGCGGCACTATTCACAATAGCAAAGACTTGGAACCAACCCAAATGTCCAACAATGATAGACTGGATTAAGAAAATGTGGCACATATACACCATGGAATACTATACAGCCATAAAAAATAATGAGTTCATGTCCTTTGTAGGGACATGGATGAAGCTGGAAACCATCATTCTCAGCAAACTATCACAAGGACAAAAAACCAAACACTGCATGTTCTCACTCATAGGTGGGAATTGAACAATGAGAACACATGGACACAGGAAGGGGAACATCACACACCAGGGCCTGTTATGGGATGGGGGGAGGGAGGAGGGATAGCATTAGGAGATATACCTAATGTTAAATGACGAGTTGATGGGTGCAGCACACCAACATGGCACATATATACATATGTAACTAACCTGCACGTTGTGCACATGTACCCTAAAACTTGAAGTATAATTAATAATAATAATAATAATAATAATAATAAAAACTTAGAGTAAGAGGACATTTCTCCTATACTTGATCCCTGGGCCTCCTGGCCAGACTCAGAAGAGATCCCTGGCCTCCTGCACTCATACAACACTCTGCGTTGATCCTGGCTGTGGTGACTGTTTACCAGTTCACCTGTCACATCTGAACCCAAACTAGGGGCCTCTCCCACTGTCTCATACACATACCTTGGACCAGTTAACATGTCCTATGCAATTTTCTATCTAGACATTCTGATATAAGGCGACACTGACACACTAATAGTGGAAAACACAAAAGGAGCAAGTTACAAAGAAAGAGGAATAAAGTTACCAGTCTTCATATGCTTGTCACCTGGAACAGGGAGACAGATAAGCATGACTTTTAGGCCACCTTCTTTCATGTCACTGAAGGACAGTACCACCTGTTTCAATTTACCTGCAATAAAGTTTTCTTTTAATTCCTTCACCATGTGACTGACTTTATCCCAGAAGGTTTGTTTTTAATCCTCCTGCTTGGCCAGGAACATCCAGAGAAGGCTACTGGATTCAGTTATCTTTGTCTCCCTATCTTAGGGCTATTCTTACTAGGCTCTTTTAAGTTAAAGAGGTACAAACATCTCTGTGAAATCTTTATATATTAGAATAAGCCCTGTATCACCTCCGTGGCTTTTATCTGTCATCCATGCCCAATAATAATAGACATTACTGGTAGAAAGGTTGTGTATTACATTTACATTTTATTTTTGTAATTTCAAATTATTTTAGAATAGAAAATATATTGTGAGAGCACCTAAAATGCTCAAGAATGTTGCTTCTACTACCCTCTCTGGAATTGTGTGTAAGTATTTCTACTCCATTAGTAGAATCCTGTATCTGGATTTATGGAAGTTCATGATACAAAATCAGCACAGATTGGAAGGAATTTTTTTCTTTCAGGCTGGCTCATTTCACTTAATTCTGAAGATGAACATCCAAAGACCTTAGAAGAACTGCATTCCTACTATTAAACCAAGTACTATTGTCCCTGAGCCATCTGGGCCATTGAAGTGAATGATCTCTTTTGCAGGATGAATTTTATGTATTGGCTGTCAGTATTACACCTAACTAAACTATAAAGCTAACTTCTAGATCTCCATTCATTACATTTTGTTTCATTACAAGTTCACTGAAGTAAGCAAATGTTCATTTATTTTCCCACCGCAGTGGATCCTCACAAAGCTACAAGAAGCAAGAGAACCTTCTCCGAGCCTCTGACAGAGAACACTGCCTGAAGACACACAGCAATAAGTGATTACAGCTCCTAGACTACCTTCCAAAACCTGTTTGGGAAGCATATTACAGAAATGATTTCAAGTACCCTGTATTCTGGATGCTAAAAAACAAAAACAAACAAAAAAACAAAAACAAAAAAACAAAACCAGAATCAGGTAAAACAGCTATGTGATTAAAATATTTTAATTCTTCAGCAATTACCCGGTTTTCTAAATTGAATCATGCATCTATTTATAATTCTAATTATTTTGTAAAAGAAGACAAAATTATGAATCTTAAGTATTTGCTCCATCTTTTTCTCTGTAATGGTGGAGAGGCTGCCCATAATTCATCTCCACATGGAGCCAAGTTTAATGTTTCTAGTTCACATTTTGTACTTCTGTCATGCTTATTTCAAACTCCCTGAGTGATGGGTAAGAAATCAAACATTGCCTCAGTGGTATCAAGAGAACTTTGGTGGTGGTTTCTTCAGAATCATGAAGTTCTTTTGCCAGATAAATATTTTGATATTATTTTCCTTTTTAATATAAAGGATAGGTTTGAATTGTACTTAAAATGCATAGCATTATTAAAAACAATCTTTTAAAATATAATTTATAACATAGATTGAAGCCTCCCCTTAAGAAACCTTAAAGAAATAAGTATCCTACTCAAAAAAGGAAGTCTGTTTCAGAACTTTAGGGCCTTTGAAATATTTCCTCAAGCCTATTTCATGAGATCTACTTGGTTTACCCAAGTCATGTTTTTAATAGACTGCTAATATCAAAGGAGAATTTTTAAAGCCTTAACAATGCCTACTTTCCATTCACTGTTAACATGGAATAAACACAATTCCCAACATCTTAGATAGTGTATTATGCTTCCAACAGACAGTCCCTCTCATATAAAGTTTATGTACCCTAAAATCTAACCCAATAACCTGTCCCGTTGCCAATAGATTGAGAATTTCTGGTTTGCTTACTCTACAGTTATTCAAATGAGAGTCACGCTTTTAAATTTACAGCTCATCACAGAAATCATCAGCTATACATTAGTAAAAATAAGGACATGAGGTTTTCTTTCTTGGTTTTTGTCCAAGATCTTTGCACCTTAATATTAATGGACTGTTTCAGGTAAAAGAGAATGAATGTATGATTGTGAACTGTGAAGAGAATGATGCAGGATCCTATTTAGTTACTGAATAATACAGAGTATTCAATGCATGTTGTATGTGCCACCAAGTTACTATTAACTGTTTTTGGAATTGAAGACTCTGTATAGTCAATAGTTGTGAAATTCTTCTCAGGCTCCTTAAACCCTCGCTTTGTTGTAAAAGCTAAAATAAACAGCATGCTATATTGTAATTGTATTTCTTGCTGACCAAATCTACTAAATGCTATTGATTTCTCTCTGATTACTAAAACACATTGTTTATTCTCAGTAGTTTCCCCCAAAATGCTTTTTTCTTTGCTGAACTTAAATTGAATCAAACCACAAGTTTAAAATCACATGAAAGTGTGTTTCCATGTTGACCTTTGTTTAAAAAAAAAAAAAAGTGCTTATTTTCTCTGTCGCTAAGCTCCTCCAGTTTTGCTTTTGTCAGAATTAAACTTAACAGTAGAGGTAGTCAGAAAGCTTGCATCAGACTGTCCTCATCCAAAACGAAATACTTCATTACCCAATGTTATGATTTCACCATTCTCAGAAAAATTACAGTCCCCTGCCTCCCTGGGTGTAGTGTCGTGAAGTAGAAAAGCCTTACATAAATAGTAAACATAGAAATTCTTCTGGTGCCCTCTGGCAGCCAGCAGGAGTGGGTCTTGTGACTAATCCACATGGAAAGGATAGTGCCTGTCTTTCCTGTTCCCTTGCCATAAGAACCGTGAAATCTCTCCTTTCCCTGCCACTCGTTTACTCATCACCTCCTCCCATCACTTCCTTGTCTCTAGACTAGAGGGACCCACAGTTTTAAGAGCTACATCATATCATTTGTTGTTTTAGAAGATTGTCTTCATCTAAACAAAAACACTAAGAAATCAGTAGATCACTAGATAATGAGTCAGTGTTTTTAGCATCACATTTTACAATTTACAGTTTTTGTTTGATTCTGTAGCCCATTTTTCTTGAAGGTTAGAATAAGAATCTTCTTGTATTTGAAAACCATCTGCCCTAAATTACATTTAACTACAAGAAATGGCTCTCTGCTGGAGAAATTTAAGCTTGTCTTAGTTGTTTGGTAGTGGCTATGGAATGAGAGGTGTTGAGTCTTGTGCCCCTTCCATGTATTATTTGCTAACTAACTATATTACTAGGCCCTTAATTCCAGCACAGCATGTCTTCTGGTCTATGATAATTGTGTGAGGACTAAGGCAGAGTGCCTGTTCCCTGCCAACTCTCCACCAGAAAATCATAATCAGAAAGAGTGACTTTGATTTCTGGTACTTGTGATCAAAAGCAGCTTGTGATTTCTTCACATTTGCAAAATACTCTCTGAGCCAAAAGGCACATACAGTTCTCCAGTGTCTTCCCTTTTAGAGTATACATATTTGCTGCTTTTCCTTTAGTGTTCACAAAAATCCCAAGGTCAGTTTAGTGTGGCTGAGTTGTTGTTATCTGGACCCTAAACAATCATTACCACCTGTAGACAGTTCTTACCTACCCCTCTCCTCCACAATCCTAGTCCATTTGGAGGCAACTATCCTGTGGCCTCCAAGTGAATAAATCTTTCTTACACTTACTTACGTGATATTTTCTATCATAATTATCTCTCTCATTTCTTCCAATAGTAATAGCGGTAATATTGTTCCATTGAATATCTATGCACCTAGCTCATCTCTTAGAAACATCCCACATAGTAGCATCGTATTACTCTCTGGTAAAAAGAAAGATTAAATTAAAAGGACTCTACACAGTGCTGAATTTCCTGCACCTAAATTATTCAGTTATCACTTGCCAGTATTAGTTGATCCTTCAGGCTATGCCAAGTGCCCCCTCATGTAGGCCTCTGTATTAAAAAGATTGGGACAAAATACTTGATTAGTTTGCCTGTAGAAGCTCAAAGTGTGTACCAAATACATTGACAGTGGATGCTTTCATGGCTCAGCCAACACAGTTCAGAGGAATCTTTTCGGCTTCCAGGGCATTGCTTGTTACCTTTTGTCAGGATCAACCCAAATCCTCAGGGATGCTGTTTTTCCACACTGTAAGTCCTAACTCATTAGTGGGTCATGAAATCAACTTAACAGCTCAAGACCAGTATATTTTAAACGTGAAATAATAAAAAATAGAGGAACAATAGAGCATATAAAATGGTTAAGTATTGGTTCCTGAAATACTGTTTCAGCTAAATATTCTATTTACTGTGTATACTGGGTCACAATATAAAGTGTTTCCTGTTATGAAATGCAATTTAAAAAAAGAAAGCTTGAAAGACTGCTGCAGGAGGCACCGGCCATCCAGTGATTGTTGGAAGAGTCTGGATTGTGTGGAGCCTGACCTTAGATAAGGAGCAGCAGATCCACAACTCAGGAAGTCTAGAGATGCTTAGCACTTCTTCTTTTGAGTGAGAAGATGGAATCACTCTTGGTTTCTAAAATATTTTTCTTCTCTGCTGTGTATCGGGCAACCTCACATGATTCAGTGGGACCAGAAAAAGCATAGAAAAATTAGATCCACACACAGCACCCAAAAAAGGCCATAGTCTTTTGTTTACCTAGATGTATTTTAACCTCTTTACCACTAAGCATTTTACTATAATAGAACTGGGGACATACATTGTCCTTTTGAGTCCGTTGAATCTGCACCATCTACCTTTTGGCTGATTCACCATACAGGTGGCAAAGGCCTTTAAAAATGGGGAGCTAATACGTAGGGCACATTCTGGTAGGGCCAAAATATTCAGTGTCTGGGGGGTGCTATGCAAATATCAATGACTTTTTACTAAAAACAGTGGATTTCCTCATTTCTTTAAGATCCAAGTAGAAAATGTAAATAACTTACATTCTGTATGCAGGACTCAATACAGACTTAGTCAATCTGATTTTTTTTGGTGCTTTTCAGTATAGCGCAACTCTAAAAGGAAACCCATTCACCCTCCTTAGTCCTTTGAAGTATACTTTTGAAATTATACCTTATTGTTAATGGCAACCTAATCAAGCTAGGATTTGTCGGTTAAAATTTTGATTCTTGTAATCTGTACTGTCAATTTTTGGCCACTCTGGCTGTTACAGCAAACTTTTCTCCCACTGTCATAATTGGTCTAAAGTAGTATTTGTTTCAGGACTATCCAAAAAGCAAGGCCAGCACATTGAGAAGATGCAGAATCCTACTCTATTACAAACCTCACTCATGTTTCTTTTATTGAAACCTTTTTCTACTTTATATTTCCTCTTTTGTAAATTTTTCCATGTCATTTAAAAAATTTTTTACTTTAGAATTACAGATTAGTTCTTTTTTTAAAGCATTATGGCATTTTCAAAAAAAAAATTATTTTGGTTACCCAAAAAGCTATACAAGAAATATAACTTCAATTTTTTAGGTTGATATGGGTATATTTTTAAAGTTTTTATTACTTTATACAAATACAAATTAATTTATATTATAGTTTAACACCTGCTATGATGATAGATATCACACTGCTATGATAGAAAATCCCTGTCTGTCATTGAACTATTCATTTAGTGTTACTCTGATATGTTAATAATGTATTCCTTCTAATGAAGTCCTTGTAACAAGAAACCCTGTGAGATTGGTATAATGAGATATCAAATAATCAGAAGTATAATTAAAATAGAACATGTTGGAAAATCCCAACATTTCCTGTTATGCCGTCATACCTCCGGTGTTCAGTTTGTTACTCAAAAGTTCCCAGTTCTTAGGCTGAAAAACATTCAAGTAAAAATGTAGCATAGATTACACTGAAATATTTTCAGTATCAATGATTTAATATCCACACAAACTATTAGGAATGGTATCTGGAACTTGTTACAAGGTCAGATAAACTGTTACAGAATTTTAGAAATAATTATCTCTGTATGTGACTGTGTATTACATATAAAAATGAATTTTTCAGGAAAAGTGCACTTTAAAAATACTTTCTCTTGCTAGTTTTTTAAATTGATGAAATAGCCTGTGCTGCTTTGGAATGCTTATTCTTTCTTTGATGAAAATACGGTCATTGATTATGATAATTTTAAAAATATCTATTTCTGCATCGCTGCAGGATTTCCTACACTTTTCTGTTCCTCATCCCTCTTTTATGTGTGCTTGGCTCAGTTGCCTGTTACACAGCCTCTGCCTTGGTTTTGTGTATTCTAAGATAATTTATAAACACAGATATTTACAGTGAAGTTCTTCCTTTTGAAACTAATCTTATTCTTTTATTCCTCTCTCTAAAAATTGGTTGGCCATGCTCACTAATGATTTTTTTTCTTAACAATAAGCATTTCTTGGTATTGGTAGATTTGGATTGCATGGTAAGATGACTGCCCATTTTCACCATGTATACCTTTGTCAAATAAAGATTTCTGATCTTTGGTCTGCTTCTGTTTTTAGTTTTTTGATAGAACTAGAAACATTATTAATACCCTTCCCTTGCCTATATAAATTCCACCCTCTTTGGGGCTGAAACAAATGTGAATAACAGATTGCCCAAGGTCCTGATTTTTCAGTCAAAGCAGGCGACATTCCAGCCCAGCATGATCATTGCTGACTAAAAGCTTGGGGTGGTATAGTACCTAGTAAATTCTCTTTTTTTTTTTTTTTTTGAGACAGACAGTATTGCTCTGTCACCAGGCTGCAGTGCAGTGGCACGATCTCGGCTCACTGCAACGTTCACCTCCCAGGTTCAAGTGATCTTCCTGCCTCAGCCTCCCGAGTCGCTGGGACTACAGGTGTGTGCCACCACGCCCAGCTAATTTTTGTATTTTTTTTTTTTTAGTAGAGATGGGGTTTCACCATGTTGGCCAGGATTGTCTCGACCTAGTGAATTCTTAACCACCGACATTCTGTCTCTTAACCTTAGAAAACTCCGCATGACTCATTTCCCCAGTAAGTAATGAGAATATTGAATGAAGGGCCAGGAGAGAATTTTCTACCAGCAGAATCAGTATTGGCAGAGGTAATTAATTCACCTCTGACATTGAGAGTCTAGCCTTTCCATGCCTTAAGAAAATATTGTTACCACCCTTTGAATGACTTATTTAACAGCCCTCCCACAACCAGGATATGGAAAGCCATCATTTTCTTATATGCTTTAAGTAGTCAGCCAACTATAAATTAACAAAAACTCAATGCAAGAAAGTGCTTAAAATAAGAAATGGAATTCTTCATGGTTTAATTTCCCAGATGACTGGATTCTGTTGAACCCTTTTTATGTTAATTGGCTAGTGAAACCCAGTCCATAGCCTTTAGCCCATCGTTGGTGGGGAGGGGAATTGTCTTGTATTTTCTTTGTGCTTCTAGATATCCTAAAGAGCTCCATTCCCCTCTCTCTGTTCTCACGCAAAACTGTCTCGGCTATTTCTGGACTTTACTGTTCTAGATAAATTTTAACATCAATTTGTGAACTTCCACAAAAGCTGTTGCTATTGCATTTATCTCTTGAGTGAGGATTCATATTTTTAAAGCTAGATGTTGCTATTGTAGAATTGCTGCATATCAGAATAATTTCAGTCTTTTTCAGCAATTGGAATTGTTCCCACAGAATGGGGACACATGGTTCCATAACATATGTAGCCAACCGAGGTGCATTTTATAGACTGATTTGAGACAGATATTTCATACCTTACGTCCCCAAATGGTGTATGTGTGTGTGCACACACATGTGTGCACACATGCACAAAACCATCTTGGCCTTTAGTGTGGAGCACTCTTAATTCCCAGAGGATTCTCCTTCTGCTTGACCCAGCCAGCTACTGAGGGAACTGCAGCATGACACGATGATGCGCAGACTTGCCTTGAAAGGAGGAATCTTAGGAAAGTTTCCGAGTTACTATTAAGGCCACAGCATTTTTCTGTTTAGGAGCAGAACCATCAGTCAACCATGAGCTCTAAGAAACACAACATAACCCAGTGCTAATAGCAGAATGGTATATTCTTAGCCTCCTCAGAAAGGCACAGCATACATAATTCAAACAGCAAATCTGTGGTGGCCATCAGAACTTTGGCAGGGTTACGTAACATTTGTCAAACAATGTGGACTTCTAGCCATTTCATACATTTTTAAGATCTGGTCATATACATTGGGGGTAAAAATGTACACACACACACACGTGCACACACACACATTTTTCACCAATAAAACATATATGCTATCTAGAGCCCATTTACTCTATGTCAGCTTTGGCTTCTTGGTGATCAAACTGTGGCAAAGCTAAATTAGATATACTTATATATCCATTAATTTGGCTTAGAAAGTTAACACACAAAAAGAACCAAGTGTTTAAAAAAAATCTTTGGTGGCATGTTAAAGGAGTCACCCTTCAGCATGAGGTGAGAAACACAATTAAAAATGTCTCTAAATTACAAGGTTTAATAAAAAGCTTCAAACCCATTAACATTCTTATTTTTAAAAAAGTCACCCAAATTAACTCTAGAGGTTTGAAGGCATGATCTATAAACTAACAGGCTCCTTGCTTACATAATTTTAATCGCTATTTTTAAACATATTTAAAACTAAATCAAAGTGGCTTTTAAAAATTCTAGAAAACACCAAATTCAAAAATTACACAAAATCTTATAGCCAAAAGTCAAGAAAATAATTATAAACACAATTTGGGATGTAAGGACTTTTAAAGTATGTTGGTAAACTCAAATATCTTCCAAGTTCCATCACCCATCTCTGTCCCCACGATCTACATGACATCCTTAGTTCCTGGCATGGGGCTGGCTCTGGTGATGTCAGAAGCACTTGCAAATAAAACAAGGAGTTTGCAAATCACATCTTCTGTTATAGGGGAGGAGTGGGCAGCAGCTTTTAGACAAGGTTGAATTCCCTTAGGTTTAGCTGTAGAATTGTGTCTTTGACAGCAGCAAACACAAAGCGAATATTGTCTGTATCTGTAGCACATGTGAAGTGAGAGTAGATGACTTTCTCTTTGTCAGGATTCTGATCTTGGTAAAGCTTCAGGATAAAGTCTCTGGCAGCTCTGACATCCTGTTTCGGTCCTAGTCACAAGTGCAATTACAGGAATAAAGACACAGACTTAACACCATGTCCTCCCAAGAACCTTTTTTTTGAGACAGAGTCTCGCTCTGTAGCCCAGGCTGGAGTGCAGTGGCACGGTCTCAGCTCACTGCAACCTCTGCTTCTGGGGTTCAAGCAATTCTCCTGCCTCAGCCTCCCAAGTAGCTGGGATTACAGATGCGTACCACCACACACAGCTAATTTTTGTATTTTTAGTAGAAACGGGGTTTTACCATGTTGGCCAGACTGGTCTCGAACTCCTGACCTTAGGTGATCCACCTGCCTTGGCCTCCCAAAGTGCTGGGATTACAGGCGTGAGCCACCGTGCCTGGCCCCAAGAACCATTTTTTAATGTATTCTTGTTCTTATTTGAGATCCTGCTTTGATCCATCTTTATTTCCAGGGAACGGTTTACCTGGAGCATTATTTTTATGGTATCTCATCATGAACCCATAAAATAGTCATATTTTAAAATGTCCTCTGGTATCTAAAAATTGTACTTTACAGTGATTTGTTTAAACATAGTGACCCAATTTGTCTGATTTGGACCACTATTGAAGAGAAGTAATCCTGGCTAACACATATGGACAGACAGCTCTGGTCTAGGAGAGATAAAAGGAAGAATGTGGGAACTAACATCAGGCTGATTTTAAAGCTCGAGGGTGCTACACTACACAGCCAGTATGGTTAGTAAAAGGGGAAAGAAGAGTGCTAAAACATGAATCCACTAAATATCAGTGTCAAACTTAAGGTTTGAGACCTCCTGTACCAGAAACAATTAGCAACAGGGCATGAGACTCTCCTACCTTGGACAGGTTATGTGAGTCCACCATGTGTCTGGGAAAAGGGATGCCACACTCTAACATACACATAAGAAGCACCAGGTGCTCTGACTGGCATGAGGAATGCACAGATAAATCAAGCAGAGTCTCTACCCTCATGGAGCCGACTGGGAAGAGAGCTGAGTGAGCAGAGGATATGACATAGCATGATGTGGCCAAGAGAGCAAGCAGGGGTTAGGCTGCTGAGGGAGCAGAAAGGAGGAGGCACCCTTCCTGCAGACCAGATGGGCAGGGGAAGCCAGAAAGGCTCCCAGAGAAGGGGAGGCCTTTGCTGGGTTTTGGAGAACAACATGGAGGCAGCGAAAGGAGTTGGTAAGGGTATTCCAAGCACTGAGGGAAGCACATGTGGAGGTGCTGTGGTGAAAACACAACAATGGTGCAACTAGAGCTTCTGTTTGAAGGTGGGAATAGGGGGAGAGGCTATTGCAGGCAGACCAGGGAGGCCCCTTTGAGCCGTGATAACTCTAGACTGATGCCCGGGAGGTGGACGAGATCAGCACAGAAAACACTGTCCACAAGATAGACACTTACCTGTGTATTCTGGGAAATAGCTAATTAGATGAGAGTACATGATTTTCTCTTCCAAAAGATCCTTCTTGTTCAAGAATAAAATCACAGACGAATTCAGAAACCAGGGGTAGGTGATGATGGTTTTAAATAAGGCTTTGCTCTCTTCCATGCGATTCTAAGTGAAAAACAAGGGACTTGGGATGAAGTAGAAAGGAAATATTTTGGAAACAACATGGCGCATTGCCAGTCCATCCATCTCTTCCCTTGCCCCGCCGCAGTCTCTGGGCCACTGTCTGCTGAAGCTGGTGAGCATGTGGGGCCCCAGGCTACAGGCCTCCTGCTTCTGTTTGCCCCTCCCCAAGCCTCTTACTAACCATCCCCTTCTGGGTCCCCTCTCCTGTAGCATCCCAGCTCTTCTCCAGCCCAAAACTCACATGGAACGAAGTAAGAAAGGCTTTGGTGCAGCTTGGAAAAGGAAGGTTCCTACCCACGTTTCACAAGTTTCCTGTGTCATGTGATCGTTGGGATTACTAAGTGGGGAAGTGCCAGCTTCAGACCTGACACGGCCACCTCAGTTGGTTATGGGCTTCCAGACTGGGCCTCAGCAGTCAAGTGACAAGGCTCTTCCAGCAAGGCCACTGGCCCTAGGAATGCTAGAAGTTGGCAGAGACAGGACGCACTGCTACTGGGAACCCACCCTGTGCCACACTTTACAAGCAGAGCAGTGGCCCGTTTGATGGGTGACCATACTGTTGTTCAGAACTTTTTTTTTTTTCCTTTCTGAGATGGAGTCTCGCTGTGTCGCCCAGGCTGGAGTACAGTGGCGCGATCTCGGCTCACTACAACCTCCAGCTCCTGCATTCAAGTGATTCTCCTGCCTCAGCCTCCCGAGTGGCTGGGACCACAGGTGCATACCACCACACCCGGCTAATTTTTTGTATTTTTAATAGAGACGGGGTTTCACCGTGTTAGCCAGGATGGTCTCAATCTCCTGACCTCGCGATCCGCCCGCCTCGGCCTCCCAAAGTGCTGGGATTACAGGCATGAGCCACCGCGCCTGGCCTTGTTTAGAACATTCAAATAACTTTCCCAAGCCCATGTAATAGTGGGACCTGGGGAAGGTTGTGTAGAAAGACAGTGATAATTTCTAAATGTTAGACATTGGCAAGAAGATATTAAATGCTCCTAATTTACTGAGAACAGACAGGGCACAAACAAATCTTATCTGTGACAATAATTGTTCTAGATAGCATTCTGCTCTTTCTCAAGTATTTCTAAGAGGAAAGAAACAAGAACTTCCCTGTAGGGAGGGAAGGGATCACAGTGAAAAACATCCAAGCTCAGCACACACACTCAAGAGGGACACGCCATAAATCACTCTTTCCCCACAACTTCCAGACACCCAGGTTTGTTCTGCCACTCAGTACGCATTGGGGGAATTACGATCTGGAATGTATTAAAGCTTTAAAATTATTATGATCTGAATGATAATGATCTCCAAGGAAATAAAATATATGAAAACTTCCCAGACAGTATACAGAGTGGATATAATACATATCTACAACCAGGAGGGGAAAGTCTGGAGTGGCAACCACTTAATTTTTCTCCAAATATTTTGTGATTTTTAGAAGAGAAAATGTTTAATTTCTAAGCACTTTGGGCTGAGATACTGGTCCCTTGTGCACCTTACTAATCGTTTGAGTTTCCTGAGGAACGTCACAAATAATTCCTGAAACAAATTTGCAGCTATTTTTTTTATATTGATAACTGAATGTCTTGCCTTTAAAAAAAAAAAAAAAATCTCCAACTGAGAGGGCTGGGCGACAGCCAGCATTTCCGTTCTTTGCACAATGACACAATTAAATGGGTTAATCCTCCACTAATTAGGTAATATAAGCTATGCTCCTCAGAGAAAAGTGTGCTCTCAAGAAATACAAGATACAATTTGTTCAGTTATTGCCTAATCCTGGACTGAGTCCTTTATTGATTTACTTTCACGCCTTGGAAACAAAAGACATTTTTTAAAAGGTCAAGAGGTCTTAATGCAAGTTCAGGGGAAAAGATGACGAGGAGGACATGAGTGTTCCACCGATACTGTCCCCAACCTGACAGAGAAGTGGCTGTGAGGGTCCTCTTCACTCTCAGGGCAGCTCCCACTGATGGAATTGGAAGCAGCCAGTGCTATGGCCACTCTGAGGGGACAACGCATGCCTGACCAGGCTGGATCCATCCCAGCTGCCCTGAGGGAGTCCCTCCCAGGAGACGTGAAGGCAGATGCAATCCCAGACAGCCCCAGAACAGCTCCAAGCATCTAGCACCACTGCCCACCCCAGTTCCACTAGGGATCTAATTTGGGAGCACCATGGGCCTATGGAGGTTAGGAAGCCTGTGCCCAGGTAAAGTGTTTTAGAGATAGTGCTGCTCGGCATTGGTTGTGCAGTAGAATCCCTGGTGGGCTCTCAAAAGAAGCCTCAACCTAAACCCAGTAAATATGAATTTTTAGTGTTCAGTCCAAGAGATGGCATTTTTTCTTTTTTTTTTTCTTTTTTTTTTTTTGAGATGGAGTCTCGCTCTGTTGCCCAGGCTGGAGTGCAGTGGTGCGATCTCGGCTCACTGCAAGCTCCGCCTCCCGGGTTCACGCCATTCTCCTGCCTCAGCCTCCTGAATAGCTGGGACTACAGGCGCCCACCACCACGCCCGGCTAATTTTTTGTATTTTTTAGTAGAGACGGGGTTTCACCACGTTAGCCAGGATGGTCTCGATCTCCTGACCTCGTGATCCACCTGCCTCGGCCTCCCAAAGTGCTGGGATTACAGGCGTGAGCCACCGTGCCCAGCCAAGAGATGGCATTTTTAAAAACCTCGCCAAGAGATTCCACTGTGCCACCAAGGATGAGAACCTAGGCTTTTGAATAGGTTCCGACCTTAGCAGCACAGTGGATTCACCTGGGGTGCTTTTTAAAAATCCCCCCACTCAGGCCCCATTCACCACCAATTCATTCAGAATCTCTGGGGTTGGACTCAGGCACCAGGTTTTTGTTAAGTCCCTCAGCAAACTCCAGTGTGCATTCAAGTTTAGAACCCAGGTTCCAGGCCCGTGATTCTCAGCCTTTCATATGTATTTGAATTACCTGGGTTCTTGTTAAAATGCAGATGCTGATGTAGTTGGTCGGGGTTGATTCAGTAAGACTGCATTTCTAACAAGCCATGCAGGTGATGCCTGTGCTGCTGGTCCACAGGTCACACTTTGAGTAGCAAGACTGTTTGACCTAATGACGAGGGTCTATTTCCTGACCCGGCTGCCTTCTTAGAAACCACAGAATAGGCTCTGGCTTCCACAGCTACCCAAACTTCCCGCCCAGCATACCTCGTTGTCACACTCAGCCAGGACCTGGTCATATTCACTCAGAGCAACCAAGAAAATAATGGAGGTGACACTCTCAAAGCAGTGAATCCACTTCCGTCTTTCCGATCGTTGGCCACCAACATCCACCATCCTGTTGTGTAGAAACACAGATCCTTCAAAGGTTGGAATACATGACACTTCGGGGAAAAAGGACATGAATTATAGCATGGAAACCAGTGCTCTTGGAGTCCTCAGTAATTTCTAAGAGAGAAAAGAGGTTCTAAGTTTTAAAATGTTTGATGCTGCTGCTTTAAGCAATGAGGGACCACTGGATGTTTCCTAGCAAAGAAGGGAGAGAATGTAAATGACATTTCTGAAGACATGCAGAGGTGACTCAGGGAGCCTGCCGGTTAGGAAGCTAACCAGTGTCCAGACAGAAAACGCAAACGTTCACTTGGGTTCTGTGACAACCACTGTAGAGTCCCTGGATACCAGACTCAAGAGGGACGCAGCGGCCAGCTGTCTTCCGGGTCTCCCAGGCTGGCTTCAGGACCCGAGCCTATTCTGTTTTTGTGGCTCCTCTAACTTACCTGTAAATCCTTTCTGCATTCCCTGGATGCCACCTCTTGTTCCCTATAAAAACCTACAAGTGTCCTCTGTCCAGTACAGAAATCCAAAGCCTCTATATCTGTGTCTTTGGGAAAAATTTCAGCAACTCCTAGCCCAGGGATCATGAGCTCAAATGCTACAAGAATCAGGCAGTTTATGGGAATGAGCCAAGTGGGCTCCCCAAAGTACAAAACATACATGGCACAACAGCCGGGGGCCCTGTCTACAGGGAAGCCTGCCGCGTACCTGCAGCCAAGCTCTGCAGAACAAGACGCAGGCTTGCCATGACCACAGTCTCTGCCTTTTCAGGAGAAACAAGGTATCCAATGTGTTAGCTCAAACGTTTTTTTAGTAACACCAAGTGAGCCAAAGAAAATACATAATGGACCAGATACAGCTGCCAAGTAACCCCCACCCACCCCTACATCACCACCCCACCACACACACACACCAGTCCCTGAAGGCACTGGGTCATTGTGGTTAGGTGGTCCACAGGCCAACCACCCAGAACTGTTGTCTGGAAAAGTGCAGGAAGGAAAATGAAAAATTCAATACTGTTCTTGAACCATGTCCTGGAGGTGCAGCCACTCCCACAATGACATGTTCATGGCTGGCTATCACAGCAGGGAACCGATCTTGAAACAGGACATTGCAATTGTCAAAAGGTTGAGCTTGAAGAAGCCATTCTATAAAAGCCTCAATTTCAAAGATCGGAATTTTTCAGCCAGAAATATCCCACTGGGAGAGGTGCTCTGAGTTGTAAAGTAATAGATTTCACTGGTGGATGATGTTAAACCCATTCACCAGCCTCTAGAAAGTAATGCAAAACCCATTCATCGCAGTCCAAGAAGGATAAACTTAGAAGAAATAAAAGTATTTTTTAAAACAAAACGAATAAACAAAATCCTTGGGAGTCTGAGAGGTTTTGGACATTGCAAAAAGCAGTTAATTGTGAAAAGGTTTAGAGAAATTCATGGGCACACAGGCACAGAGGGCTACTATTAAAATCAGGGATATGCTAATATAGATGGGGGACATGTTTGAGGGGCTGGACCTGAGGGCTTCCCAAACACAGCAATTCTGGAGAGAGAAGCACTGAGCTATAACTGGGGATCAGACAGGACCCGGATGTGGGAGGACTGATGTGTTGTCTCAACTAGAAAATCGTGTGTGATAATTGTTAGGAGGAACAAGGGAAACAGTGGATATAAAAGTGCTTTGAAATGTGCAGTGCTACATATATGCCCTATATTATTATTCATTTTTTACCATAACTAAATGCAGTGAAGATTCACTAAGTCATCCTAAAAGTATTTCCTATATTTGTAAGTGGAAATGCATACATTTTTACACAGCTGTTAGTTTGTACATATTATTCTTCACAGTTTTCATACACATTTTTTGTATCCTTAATTTTCTAAGGATAAATCTTGGAGAAGGAAATAGAGGAGAAAGGAAATATGATTCATCTTTAAGGAAAAGACATCGATAATCACTACATTCAATTTGTGGGATACAGAAGTATACATTTGTGTGTGTGTGTGTGTGTGTGTGTGTGTGTGTGTGTGTATGAGTGTGTGTTACACATAAGAATCATTCCAGTTTCCAGTAAGGAAACCCTTTTTCTCCAAGGGTAACAGGAAGGTGACTTCCTCTCCATTCCAGGGTTGAGACCTACCTACCACAATTCTAAATACCCTTGGCAGAGAGGGTCACTCTGTCCTAAGAGATATAATCCCTGCTTAGGAATAACACGTTTAAGAATCCACCTGGGGACTTCCAAGCCTGGGCAGATTCTTCATGGTACATCAGGGAGACAGACTTACCGAAAGATGATGTTTTCCAAGTCAAATGGATACTCAATGATGCCGGTGGTGGGCACTCGGACGCGAAGCACATCTTGTTGGGTAGGCACGAATGATGGTGTGGCGATGCGGTCAATGTCAGTCAGGTAACTGTATATTAGAGAACGAGGAACTGACTCTCCTTTTAGAGCAGGGGGAAATGTCCATCCTACTCAAAGGAAGTCACCCCCCACTCACAGTGAGCCCCACACAGACACACGAATTCCATCAATGACTTTCCTGAGAGCCAGTGCCAGGCCAGGCTTCTCCATCCTTCCTACGACTGTTTTGAAGACAATATGGGTCAGAAGGACTTCCATGCGCCTTCTGGGACATCTGCAGAGCACTCCGTCTCTTCCTCCTGGGTTCTAAGCTCTATCGCTTCTATTTGACCAGCGAGGGAGACAGTGGGGCTGGAAGGACCAGGATGTTGGAAATGGCTCTCTCCAACACCCCATCTGTCATCCTCCCTCCAGAGCCCCTTCTCCCTCCCACTCACCCTTGTCCAAGAGCATTATATAATGGAGATGCTGTTCTCTAAAGCTTTGCTCAATGAATTAAATAGTTTCTAAGAAAATACACAGGCGTAAAACAGGCCGAGGAGAAATTCAAAACAACAGCAACAAGAACAAGTTTTCCTCTTGAAGACACTGGGAAACTACATCTCCTAAAATAACCCAAAACTTGCCTTAACTTATTTTTGGCCATATATTGAAGCCCTGAGCTTAAAACATATTTTTTTTTTCTGTAGTAAAATAAGAGAATCCTTTAAAAAAAAAAAAAACTTTAAGGCCTTTCTAAAAGACACTTTTAGGTAAAATAACTGTAACTCAGGCCCTCGCTAACAAAAGAGTTGTAGATGCAGAGCCCGCTGCATGCTGAGGTCGGCCCTGCCCTGTCCCAGCACCGCATCAGGGGCTGAGCAGGTCCGCATGCAGGCTAACCAAGAGGTCACAGGCAAACCCTGTTCACCGTATGCCTTCAGCTCCAGAAGCAAAGCTCTGGGGCAGCCTTCCACAACCCACCTCTCTGCCCAGATACAGTCCCAGGGCTTATCACTGTTTTTGCTGTACTTTGATGTGTAATTATTTGATTTACACCTGAGTTGCTCCACCAGACTGTATATTCCCTGAGAGCAGAGAGCACTGGTTGTATAATACCTGCAGCCCTTACCACAGTGCCTGGCGCATCACAAGCACTCATCACATTGTCCAATCAGCAGACATCTCTAGCTGAGGGGTTGAAAACCGCTGGCCCAGATGGAGAAAACGTGCAAGTGCCTTGAGTCCTGCCGGTTTGGAAGGTTGGGCGACTGGGTTTAGGAGAGGCTGTTTTCTCTGTGACAGCTCTCACCACCCTAGCCACGCCCCTCGTCCATGTCAGTGGCCTTGCCCCCATGGTTTTCAGGGTTACACTGAATTCTGTAGCAGGTCTGGTGGATCTTTTCCAAATGGATCTACATCAAGAGCCCTAGCCAATCCCCAGGCCTTCACAGAGGCAGGTAACTCAGGCCACCTCAGGTATGGCTCAGGAACGTCGTACCTGTTCCTGGCTCCTCGAGCTGTCAAAGGCAAGCCCTCCTCCATGGCACTCTTTCTTTCTTCCACCTCTCTATGCTGATCTAACACCTCAGTGGGGTTTCTGTATTTTCCTGCCTTGATGCTTTTTTGCATCTAAACATTCCTGTACTTAGATTGGTTGTGCCAACCTGGATTAATGACATTCAATTCTCAGCCCGGGATAAACACCAAAGGAAGCCCATTGAAACCACAGGAGGTGACACTTCTGGCTTTCTTTCCTGCCCAATGCCTTGTCCAGCTCAATGCCTGCTCAGAGGGTGACAGTGGCACCCAAAGGGAAGGAGGTACGTCTGGGGAAGGGATTTCTGAGCCCTCAGAGGATGGAAGATGATACGGGACAGGTGTGAAAGAGCTGAGCTGCAGAAGCAGGAGTTATTGCCACTTTAAGAAGGACCCATATCAAACTATTTACCCGGTGACCAGACTGAGGAGGCATTGCCCCGGGATATTATTATTTATTTATTTATTTACATTTTCTTTTTTTTTGAGACAGAGTCTCACTCTGTCACTCAGGCTGTACTGCAGGAGTGTAATCATGGCTCATTGCAACCTCAACCTCCTAGGCTCAAGACATCCTCCCGCCTCAGCCTCCCGAGCAGCTGCCCAGCTAATTTTTGTAATTTTTGCAGAGACGAGGTCTTGCTCTGCTGCCCAGGCTAGTCTCGAATTCCTGGTTTCAAGCGATCCTCCCACCTCTGCCTCCCAAGTCCCTGGGATTACAGATGTGAACAGGAAATGCCCAAGAAAGTGAAAATCTGTCATCTCTATGGGACAGTTTGCATGCTGGGACATCTAAATAGAAATCTTTTTACCTTCAAGGATTAATGAATTAAAAATTGAGCTGTATGGATCCAAAATACAGTGTGTAGGCCTTCGCAGGCAGCCAATAAACAAAGGATTGAGCTTCCTGTGTGTGCTGCGAGCGCAGCCTCCTATCTGTGCCACTAGAGGACAGCACCAGATCAGCAGCTGATGGGTCCACGGCCCCGCTGCTCTAAACTTGACTTTAGATTTTAGCGCAATTGGACCTGCTGTCTTCTGATGGGGAAACCAGAAAGGCAGAGGGATATAGAGAGGAGGAAAGTAGAAGCCAAAAGCAAGGGTATTTCTTGTTTAAATCAGATAATTTCAGCACTCCTAAGGAGATCAGTCCCACTTAAGGGACCTCAGATTTGATTTGAGTCTCTCATTGAAAACGACAGGCTTAGAACACAGCAAGAGCAGGCGGGTGTCGGCAGGAAGAGAGGTCTGCGATCCACAGAGTGACCGAGGGCTTTAGGAGGTGGTGAGAGATGGCACTAAGAGGTCAGGAGGGATATGGGAAAGCAAAGGCAAGTAGCGCTGCCACTGTGCACCGCATTTCAGCAGCGTTCAGCGAGAAACTTCTTTGAAGTGTGGCCGAGCTTGCCTGAAAGCACCGCGGGCGGCCAGGGTGGGCTCTGTACTCACTATTTGGCAGAGTCCGACAGCTGGTACTCCCTCCTCCTGTCGTAACACTCCTGGATGCCTGGATCTTGCCAGAGCTGCTTGATGGCCTCCACCTGCTCCCTGGAGAGCATGGAGACCTTGTCCACTTCCACTTCTCTGATTATCTGGGCATTTTCCTACTCAAAGGAAAGAGAACCTTGCATCAGGCAAAGGAAAGGAAGCCAACCCATTGGCAATGTCGGTACAAGTCTTGCCCTGGTCTGTGGATTTGGAGAGCTCTCACTAGGCATGGGGCGTGGTGGGCACCCTCCCAGGGGCCGCTCACAGCCAAGACACCCACTGCAGCCATGCTGAGTGGAGATGAGGTGGCTGCTTAGCTCCGTGGAGAGAGCCACCAGCAGCCCAAGACCTGCAGCTTCTGTGCCCAGCCATGTCCTGGGCCAGTTTCGCCAGCATTCAACAACACCCAGTGGTGAATAAAGAGTCACTGGAGCTTTCATCCTACCAGCAAACTTTACTTCTTCATTAACATATGACTCATTTGAGTATCTGCATAGCCAATGAGGCCATTTAAAAATGGCACACCAAGGTTTGGGTGGTAGAAACTGGTCCACCTGGTACAGGCAATAAGGAGGCGCCTTGTCTTTAGAGAAGTGAAACACAATAACAACTTATCATCAGTCTGGGATTTTGTTCTTTCATTTAAAAAAAAAAAAAAAAAAAAAACACTGGCCAGCTGCGGTGGTTCATGCCTGTAATCCCAGCACTTTGGGAGGCCGAGGCGGGCCGATCACAAGGTCAAAAGTTCAAGACCAGCCTGGCCAACATGGTGAAACCCCATCTCTACTAAAAACACAAAAATTAGCTGGGCATGGCGGCGCGTGCCTGTAATCCCAGCTACTCAGGAGGCTGAGGCAGGAGAATCGCTTGAACCCAGAAGGTGGAGGTTGCAGTGAGCCGAGATGGTGCCAAGGCACTCCAGCCTGGGTGACAGAGCGAGACTCTGTCTCCAAAAAAAAAAATATATTAATAATAATTGACTTTACTTTTTAGAGCAGTTTTAGCTTGCCAGCAAAATTGTAGGGCAAGTACAGCGCATTCTCACACAGTCTGCTTTTCATTTTCTTGCATCACTGATACAACTCTTTCCCACTGGGAGCCTCCCTCCCAATGCACTACTCTCCCCACACCACTGATTATTATATTACCATATTTATTATTACTATGATTATTAAATAATTATTGCTCTATTACTACAGTAATTAAGGCCATTATTACTGTAATTATTACTATTACAGCGGTTACCATTTATTGGCTATGTACTATGTGCCAAGGCCTCTACATACATTATCTCATTTAATCAATGGGAGGCTAGCATGAGCCAGAAATCTTTCCAAACCTCAGAAAATGGAAAAGATAAGGTTGGCCTGCAGCCACAACATTTCCCCGTGTTGGCCCCAGAGACTCAGCATCCTTTCCTTGGCTGCAAGTTGTAGCAGACAAGTGAATCCTGGCAAGAGAAGCAGGACCCCAGGCTCTTATTCCCCCTCCCATATTTCTGCATCCCACAGCAGTTACATCACCAAGCAGGGCTGGCTACAGCAGCAGCTGTGAGTCAGCAAACCATCTGCTTGGTAGCTGGGATCTCAAGTGTAGACGGTACCTCCTGAAAAGTCACTTTTATTGTGCGTTGTTCATCCTTATAATTATCCAACAGCAAGCCAGAGAAAAGGAGGATCTTACACATCCACCTGGCTCATCCTAACCAAGGACTGTGAATGAATCGATGTGACTTTTCCCCACACCTGTCAGGAAAGTGAATGTAAACTCTTCCTGGAGACTGTAGGACCTTCAGGCAGGTAGGATCTCAAACAAGGTCCAGGCAGGATGGATTACTGGAAAGTGCGCTGGCCTGGGAATCAGGACCCTGAGTTCTAAACAGTGTAGTTGGGACTTTTAAGGACCCCAACAAGTTACCTGCCTCAGTGTCCTCATTTGTAAAACGAGCCATGATTTCCAGGGGTACCTGAATTATAAAGTGTTACTTATATGTAAGTAGAATTAGCCTTTACTATTGTAGCAGATGTCTAATAAGTATTTCTTGTTTGCAAAAACAGGACACATCAGTAGCCTCTAAACCCTGACTTCTAATCCCACCACTGGCATGCTGCATGTCACGGACCCTATTCTTGGCTGGCGAGAATGATGGATGGAGAACCTGGACAGTGTTTATCCAGTGTGGTGCAGAACAGCTCTCTCCCATGTCCTCCCCTCCTCTCGCCACGCTCTTGCTTTCCCAAATAGGTCAGTTGTGCTGAGCTCTACTCTCTCAATGTAAAATGTCTGTTTTCCTCTCTGTCTTCATGGCAGGCCAGGAAATGTCATGAGGGCAGAACCAATGTCTTATTTGTTCTTATATCCCAGAACCTAGTGCAGTGCCTTCTATTGCAAATAATAGGTGTCTTCTATGGATAGGCGCATTCAGTAAACATCTGTGGTGCATGTAAAATCCACCTACCTAACAAGACAGAAAATTATGACAAAATAAGAGTGAAAGCATACTAGGGTGGGAAGACGGAAGCCCGTGCAGGTCACAGTGGGAGCACACACGGAGCAGGTCAGGGCCTCCTCTCAGAGGAGGAGATGCTCAGGCAACGCTTGGCCAATCTGTAATTCCAACTTGGGCCCTGGTGGCCCTCAGCATCCTTGCTTCTTGTGGGCATGCCTCTTTTGCTGCTATGCTAAGTTTCACTGTCAAAATCAGGTTAACGGCTGAGCTTTAGTGCTGCGACAATCATCAGGGCTGTAACAAATGCATTTCTATCTCTCCTTCTCACAAACAAAATGTAGGAATGAACTTCAGGGTGAATGAAATGTGAGCGGAAATCACTTGTCTCTTTTGAAAATAAACATTACGGCCAAGTGCAGTGGCTCACGCCTGTAATCCCAGCACTTTGGGAGGCCGAGGGAGGCGGATCAACTGAGGCCAGGAGTTTAAGACCAGCATGTCCAACATGGTGAAACCCTGTCTCTACCAAAAACATTAAAAATTAGCTGGGTTTGGTGGTGCATGCCTGTCATCCCAGCTACTCGGGAGGCTGAGGCAGGAGTATTGCTTGAACCCAGGAGGCAGAGGTTGCAGTGAGACACAGCTACTGCACACCAGCATGGGCAACAGAATGAGACCCTGTATAAGAAAGAGAAAGAGAGAGAGAAAGAGAGAGAGAGAGAGAGGAAGGGAAGGGAAGGGAAGCAAAGCAAAGGAAAGGAAGGGAAAAAGAAAGAAAGAAAAAAGGAAGGAAGGAAAGAAAGAAAGAAACTTATAAAGAGTCAGTGAGTAATGCACCACACTCATTTTCATCTGCTGTGGTGATTTTGGAAGCATGAGACAAGATGGCGCCTCCATCACCCAGAGCTCCTAAGTGACTACAATGAACACAGATATGCCCTCACTTGCCATGCTGGATATGTGGCACGAGTGAGCAATCAACTCAAAAGTTATCATCCACAAAGTTAAGTAAGCTGAACTTCAGGGGCAGTTGTTAGTGCGGCATGACCTACTGCACAGATCCTGACTGATACACGTTGCCATGGATAAACCCAGCCTTTGGCTCTTTTAGTAGAGAGAAAAAGTGGAACCTAGTGAGATATCAAAGAGGAAAGCAAGCTTCTACATGAAAAATGGGGAGTAGATATAGATATGACCTCTCAGGTCACCGGGAGACCTCACCAGGAGAGGAAGACATATTGTCTGTTTAGCCGGGTGAGGGGAATTTGGAGAATCTGGCTTGAAAGAAGCAGAGAGCTCAGCCTCTTTGGAAACCCAACAGTAGAACTTGAATTCGGAGCAGACTGCACCTGAGAGGACCAGAAGTACTTCAAGTTCGGAGGTCACTACCTGGTTAGTTTTCCTACCTGTTAAGATTTTTTTTTTTTTAAAGACATAGTTTCACTCTGTCTCCCACGCTGGAGCACAACGGCGCGATCTCAGCTCAATGCAATCTCCGCCCCACCGGGTTCAAGCAATTCTCCTGCCTCAGCCTCCCGAGTAGCTGGGATTACAGGCACCCGCCACCACCCCTGGCTAATTTTTGTGTTTTTAGTACAGACGGGGTTTCAACATGTTGGACAGGCTGATCTTGAACTCCTGACTTCAAGTGATCCACCCACCTCAGCCTCCCAAAGTGCTGGGATTACAGGCATAAGCCACCACGCCTAGCCGATTTTTTTTTTTAAAAAAAACCTTTTACTGTGAAATAATATAAGACTTGCAAAGATGTGGGGAAAATGGTACAAAGACTTCTTCTATGCCTTTCAAGATTGGTCAAATGTGAACAATTAACTACTTTGATTTATCATTCATCCTTTCTCCCTCCATGTGTGTGCAAACACACACACACTTCAAACCCATGTGGGCCAACACACACAGTTACATTTTTCTTGAAATGTTTGAGTAAGTTGCAGGCACGATGCCACCTTATCTCTAGAGACTTAGTGTGACTTCCTAAAAACAAGGACATCATCGTGCATAATCACAGTATAATGATCAGCATCAGGAAATAGGCGTGGACACAACATTATTATTCATTATTAAAAATTACTCATCTTCAGGCCTCATCCAAAGTTTGCCAGTTGTTCCAGGAATGTCCTTTATCTGGTCTGGAGCCCAATGTAGGATCACCTGTTGCATATAGTGATTATATTCCTTTAGTCTCCATTTATCTGGAAAAGTTCTTGGTCAGAGAAGTCATTTTTGTCCCTCTGAATGAGAATGGCCCAGCAAGGGTCTGTTCTTTAGTCAAGACATTATGAGGATGGCTGGTGGAGAGAGTGGCAGCTGAGGCCCCAGAGAACGTTCCAGGGACAAGTATTAGGAAGGACAGGGAGGAATGAGGAAGGGAGTACCCTGTTACCTTTATTTAAATACAGTTTTTAATTGGACTATGGAATATGAAATGAATGACTTTCTGTAGATCCTTAACAATGTCTGTGTATTACAAGAGTGGAGTTGGCTGGGTGCAGTGGCTCACGCCTGTTTTCCCACCACTTTGGGAGGCCAAGGTGGGAGGATCGCTTGAGCCTAGGAATTCAAGTCCAGCTGGGCAACATGGTGAGACCCCATCTCTACAAAAAATACAAAAATTATCTGGGCATGGTAGTTGTGCCTGTAGTTCCAGCTACTCAGGAGGCTGAGGTGGGAGGATTGCTTGAGCCTGGGAGGTCAAGGCTGCAGCGAGCCAAGATCGTGCCACCGCACTTCGGCCTGAGTGAAAGAGTGAGATACTGTTTCAAAAATAATAATAATGATGATGACCCAAAAGAGTGGAGTTTTGTGCATAGTTCTCTCTGGTTTGGCAAGCAGCTCATCCACAGGTGTCTGGGTACTTTGATGGGCCTGTTCAAACAACCTCTATGGCACCTGCACTCTGAGCACAAGGGACCCTCATGCGCTGTGGGGAAAGCATTTAAGGCTTGCTTCATCTCAGGGAAAGAGAGGACAAAGAGTCGGAAGAGGACAAGGGTTAGGGGAGATGTGACTTGGGTGGGGCATGTGCTGAGTCTGAGGTGGCCAGCATCTAAGTGGAGATGTCTAAAAGGCAGATGGATAAAATGGGTCTGTCTGTGGTTCACGGAGAGTCCTAGGCTAGAGAAACATCATGAGTTGAAATTGCCTAACACATTCATTTAATTGAAAAAAATATCACTCTCAAAGGAGTAAATATTATAGGAGCAAACTCAGTGATACAGAAACATGACCAGGCTCTCAAAAGTGAGCTCATATCTGGCTTTCTCTTTTTCCTTTCTCAAACAAAATCACCATATTCACTGCTCTGACAGGGAAACCTGGAAAACAGATGTCCTCCATGTGTGTTTCATTCAGAAATTCCCAGGCTAACAGTAAAAGGAGCTGCTGATGAAGTGGCGCCCTGCCGGTTTCACGCAGGGATCCGTGGCTGCCGGTGACAGTCCCTGCCGAGTGTGGTGAGGCCCTCTGGCTGGGACCCAGAGCCCAGCGGGCAGCCCCGTCTCCACCAGATCCTCCCCACGGGGGTGCTTCCTGCCCTATGAATGCCCCAGGACAGCAGGGCTCCGAGCTCTCTGTTCAAGACTGACTTTCCCAATTAAGCTAGAGTCCTTGTTCCTTTGTCAGATCATTAAGCATTTTGGTTAAATTTTATATTTTTAATTTCTATTTACTTATATTTTAATTGACAAAATTGTATATATTTATGGCTTACAATTTGGTGTTTTGATATATGTATACATTGTAGAGTGGCTAAATCAAGCTGTTTAACATTTGTATTACCTCACATGCTTATTGTTTTGTAGTGAGAACACTTAAAATCTACTCCCTTAGCAATTTCCTTTGTTTCTTTTTTCTTTTTTTGAGATGCAGTCTTGCTCTGTCCCCAGGCTGGAGTGCAGTGGCGCAATCTCGGTTCACTGCAACCTCCACTTCCTGGGTTCAAGCAATTCTCCTGCCTCGTCCCCCTGAGTAGCTGGGATTACAGGTGCCCACCACCATGCCCGGCTAATTTTTGTATTTTTAGTAGAGATGGGGTTTCACTATGTTGGCCAGGCTGGTCCTGAACTCCTGACCTCAAGTGATCCGCCCACCTCAGCTTCCCAAAGTGCTGGGACTACAGGCGTGAGCCACCGCGCCCAGCCTGCAATTTTCAAATATACTATATATTATTATTAACTTAGTCATCATGATATACAATAGATCTCTTGAGCAAATTGCTCCTGTCTTAATATTTTCGTTAAAATTAATATTTGCTAACGTATTGATATGGTTTGGCTCTGTGTCCCCACCCAAATGTCATCCTGAATTGTAATTCCCGTAATCCCCACATGTCAAGGGAGGGACCTGGTGGGAGGTGATTGGATGATGGGGGCGGTTTCTCCCATGCTGTTCTCGTGATAGTGAGTGAGTTCTCATGAGATGTGATGGTTTCCTAAGTGCTTGACAGTTCCCTCTTCACATGCGCACACTTTCTGCTGCTGCCTGTGAAGAAGGTGCCTGCTTCCCCTTCTGCCACGGTTGTAAGTTTCCTGAGGCCTCCTCAGCCATGTGGACCTGTGAGTCAATTAAACCTCTTTCCTTTATAAATTACCCAGTCTCCAGTATGTCTTTATAGCAATGTGAGAACGGACTAATACACTTATTATAGATAATAAAAACTTACTATTTCAAGTGTCTACTGTGATGTGCAAGCTTTGTAAAAATAAGTGAGATTAAGATAAAATATATTATTAAATATGAGAACTCTTTGTAGCATAGTATTTCCAACTTTTGTAAAAGCACCCCTCTATAAGCTTTGATATCTATAAGCTTTGTAAAAATCAGTGAGATTAAGATAAAATATATTATTAAATATGAGAACTCTTTGTAGCATAGTATTTCCAACTTCTGTAAAATCACCCCTCTTTAACAACTACAGAATTATACTGTGTTTAATGTGTCCAGAATTACACTATGTGTTCTATTAAAAATTATGAAGTAAAATTTCAATATTCCATAACCATCAGCTTTTGAAGCAAAACATGAAATCATAAAGAAAATGCTAGTTAACTATGCCAGAGAAAGGAGTTTTTCCTATAGAAAATAAACAAGGAACTTCTGCTTCAGGTAAAGGAGGATGACTAGGAAACTTGAATCAACTCTCCCACTAAGGGCAGCTAGAAATAGCAGACAAAATATTTTGCAAATATGCTTGAAAGTAGTAGAAAGCTAATGCAGGCCTGGTGCAGTGGCTCATGCCTATAATCCCAGAAGTCTGCGAAGCTAAGGCACACGGATCACTTGAGGCCAGGAGTTCGAGACCCGACTGACCAACATTGCAAAACCCCGTCTCTACTAAAAATACAAAAAATTAGATGGGCGTGTGATGCATGCCTATAATCCTAGCTACTCGGGAGGCTGAGGCAGGAGAATCACTTGAACCTGGGAGGTGGAGGTTGCAGTGAGCTGAGATCACACAATTGCACTCCAGCCTGGGCAACAGAGTGAGACTATGTCTCAAAAAAAGAAAGAAAGCTAATGCAATGATGCAATAGTTAATAACTGCTAAGCCACCATATAGGGGAAGACAGTGCCCAAGCAGATGAGCCCTGCAATGGGATGTTTTACTCCTGGGGCTTCTGTCGACTCTGGAAGGGACAGTTGATGGTTAAGCAGCTCTTTTTCCAACATCACAGGGCCAGAGTGACAAGGATTGAGGTCTAAGACTCTGCAAGAGCAAAAGGCCCTCATACACCCTTTGGCTCTGTGTTAGGATTCCATAGGGCAGCCTTGAGGGGTTTGCAACTCAGCTTGGAATCATGACAATCTCAGATATCAAGTACCTCCAGACACCTGGCAGAAGAAAAGGAAACTCCCTTTTGGAGTTTGGGAGATAACATCTTCCTCATCCTCAAATTATGTTTTCAAATATGTGTCCAGGGCACCACCCAAAATAATCAAGCATAAGAAGATGGGACAACTGCAAAGACAGATGACAAATAAAAAGATGGCAAAAGATCTGCCATGCAAACACTAACCCAGAGGAAACTGGAGTCTCTCTACTAAGACAAAAGCAGACTTCAAGGTGAAAAGCATAGCTAGAGCTAGAAGAGAGGGATATTTCAAATGACATAAAGATTTGGAAAAATATAGCAGCTCTAAAGTTTTATGTAGCTATTAACATAGGATCAAAATCTATGGAGCAAAATTTCACAGATGGAAGTGGAGAAATGGACAAATCTTCACCATATAGAGATTTGAACATACCTCTCTCACTGATAGTGTAAACAAAAAACTCAGGAAAAATATAGACAATTCAAACATTATGATCAGCAAATTTGAATTTACAGATACATTTTGATGCATTCAAAATAACTGTAGAATATATACTTTTTAAAAGCACACCTAGAATATTTATAAAAATACTTTTAAAAGCATATCTAGAATATTTAATTACTAAGACTTCACGTAAAAAAATGGATTTCCAGCTTCTTTTGATCAATTTTCATCTTCTCTAGAAACTCTAAGCTCAGCAGGGACTCACTTCCCCACCTCCTGCACCTGCAAGCTCACTGCACCCACTCTGCAGACATTTCAATATTAAACACTGGGCTAAAGCCACCTAGACTTCAATCTCCCACACACTCAGAATAGAAGGAAGCTTTTTAAACCCAATTCAAGATTCAACAGAAATCTTTATTTCTACTACAATCTTCGTCCTTCTCTTTCCCTTCCTCTTTTCTCCAACAACAAAAATAAATAACAGAATTTACTGGCCACAATAAGTGTTGGCATGAGGGGCCAAGTTCGTTACTTTATCTTTTCTTACCAGTCAAAACTTCAGTCGGGGCTGGGCACTGTAATTAATCCCAGCAATTTGGGAGGCCAAAGTGAGAGGATCACTTAAAGCCAGAAGTTCGAGACCAGCGTAGGCAAAAAAACAAGACCCACATCTCTAAAAATAAAATAATAAAAATAAATTAGCTGAGCATGGTGATGCGTGCCTGTAGCCCCAGCTACTCTGGAGGCTGTGGCGGGAGGATCATTTGAACCCAGGTGTTGGAGGCTAGAGTAAGCTATGATTGTGCTACTGCCCTCCAGCCTGAGCAACAGAGCAAGACCTTGTCTCTGAAAAAAACAAACTTCAGTGTGTTTCACTAAAAAGGCTCTTTCCAAAGGCTCCTATGATAAAATACTTAAACCCCTGTAGCTACATGAGTGTGAATAATGCAGTTGAGAGATGGTATGTGTGGCCTTGCACCGTGCTGGCTTAGCTGAACCTACTGACGTTTCCCAGAATGCCCCACCATGTTTGGTTCTGGGTTAGGGCTGGCCACAGAAGAAATGGAAAGAGACTTGCAAGGCAGAAGGACGCATCCACTTTCCGGGTCTGAAGGTCAGAGGCCTGCTTCTGCTTAAAAACAGCCCAGCTGATCTTCTGGTCAACCTCACAGGTGCCCTCAGCACATTTAACTCCTGCCTGGATCTTCTCCTTCAGCTTCTCCACATCATGGGTCAGCTTCTCCACATCCTGGGGCAGGCACATGTACAGATCTGTGGCCAAGGGTGCCAGCTTCTTCCACAAGTTACCTGCACTGTCAGGATGGTGACACCTGTGCAGGTTCCACTTCATCCCCCCAGAATCCACTTGGTTTTCGTGGGTTCTGCTTTGTCTTTGCAGGTTCCAGCCTGCCCTTGCTCTTCCCTGCTTTGCATCCCCGTTTTCTCCTTAACTGCCAGCCTGCTGACCTGTAGCAGCCTCAGGCCCCCTCAGACATGCAGCAGCAATAGCCTTCCAGTGTCTTCTTCACAGCTCCAGCAGCCAACACGGTTCAGTCCCCATCATAAGCCCATCATTCCCCAGCACTCCGTGCACCTCAGACTCCCTGACACACAAGAGCTTCCATTACAGTCCACTCAATCCTATGTACAGACAAAATCCCTGATCACCTTAGGTCCAGGGGGAGGTAGCTTAGGGTTCAGTTGGGGTGCCCTAAATGTCCCACACTCAGCTGGGCACCAGCAGGCAGACTCGTTCACCACTCAGTGCACAGCGTCCTGCCCCTGCTCCATGCCAGATCCAGGGCTGCCTGCTGGGAATAGAAATAGGCCCTAACCTTGAGGATTTCAGAATTACAGCTATCCTTTTGAGTAGGAATGACAACAGAGCCCCACACGAATGCTGAGCTCAAAGGAAGGGAAACATTTCAACTGGGGAGGAGTGAAGGGATGAGCCAACTAGTACTTCCCACTAGAGGTGGCCTGATGGCGGGGAAGGAGAAGGGGCTACATCTTCCCTTTTCGCTGCCACGAACATGGCTTCCTGCCTGTGCTTGCCAAAGATTGCTCTGTGTATGGAGCGGGGGTACGAGAAAGGGACCAGACCAGCCTTTGCTACATCGCATTTCACATAACAAGTCTTTCCCTAAGATGCTCTGGAAAGTGCCTAAACCCTCAGTAGAACACAGTCAAGTGAAATTTTCCAAACAGCATCTGGTAGCCCAACTCCCTCAACACCCTCCAAACAAGGAATGCGTGTATTCGGCCAGTGGAGCTGCTTCTCAGAGAAGGGTTTTGGGGCCCAGCAAGGTGGCTCATGCCTGTAATCCCAACATGTTAGGAGGTCAAGGCTGAAGGATCATTTGAAGCCAGAAGTCCAAGACCACCCTGGGCCGCAAAGTGAGACCTGTCTCTAAGAAGAAAAAAAAAAAAAAAAAAAAAGAAAGGAAAAGAAAAAAATATTTGCCAGGCATGGTGGTACGCGCCTGTAGTCTCAGCTACTTGGCGACTGAGGCAGAAGGATCACTTGAACCTAGGAGTCGGAGGCTGGAGTGAGCTATGATCACACCACTGCACTCCAGCCTGGGCAACAGCGAGACCCCATCTTTAAAAAATATATATTTGTTTGGGCCAGTTAATTGTACGTGCCCAGGGGCCATTAAACGTGGTCATGTTATGTGGGAAGATAGAGTTTTCTGTCCCTGTCACCATCTTGTTCACTGTCTTGTTCCTTCCCTTCCTCCTCTAGTTGACAGAGTTCTCTTAGTTCTTTAGCACATAAAAATTGTTTTATCACTGACAGTCCAACTTAGCAAGAGGAATATCTCTTTTGTCTGTGCCTATCTTCAGAATCTGCGGAGCCTGCTGCTGGGAGGACGACAGGGTTTACTCCCAATTTTCCAGTGACCAGGGCCCTGCTGGGGAAAAGGCGGGGACTCTGCAGGGAAAGGCAGAGGGCAGAAAACGTGAGTGACCAGAGCGGCAGGGCTCACGGGAGCTCTCAGACCAAAAGACCCCTCCACAGAGAAGTAACAAATGCTTTGCCCCACCTGTGGGCTTCCTGCAGTGGCACAATCAGCTGTGAGAAATCTCATTCTCTTTCTGGTGTTGGGTTATTTTCACGGCCCTTCCAGACAAGGAAGCATTACCAAAGGCTTGCAGTAATTCAACAAAACACCAGCAAGGCTTCAATTTAAGAACAGGTTGGTTTCAGAAACTTACTTGTACACTTGGTTATTGGGAGCTCAAAGTATTTTCCCACTAAGCCAGGATGGCCGCGGGTCCAGTACATCCTATTTTGCTTTCTTCCTGGGCTCGCGAGTCATGCTGTGTCTCTCAGCCTTCCTGGCAGTGAGGTGGACCCGTGTAACTGAGTTCTGAGTGAGGGAATTCAGGCTGAAGCAATGCATGCCATGACTGGGCCTGACCTCCAAAACCTCCCATGCAATCCCCCTCCATCTTTCTTTTCCCATTTCTCAGGTGAGGGAGAGTGAAGGAGAAGGGGTGGGGGGAGATGCTCAAGGTGATGGGGATCTGGATTTTGAATGACTGTGGAGCAGAGCCCAAGTGCCACACCCCCACCAACTTATACTGGATTGACACGGATGTGACTACAAAATCAACTTCATTTTGCTAAGCCACTGAGGTTGTGGTACTGGTTGACTGTTTTAACTTTAGTAAATTTTACTTTATACAGCCAAAGAGAGAGAGATAAATGATGTTAGCATGGGAGGTTCTAGGCTAGCTTAAAGAAATCCATTTTAACCAGTACAGAGATGAACTATCACACCAAGTATAAATCCTGGCTACAAGTTTTGGTGCAGTTCATGTACAATTTTTTTTTTTTTTTGAGACGGAGTTTCATTCTGTTGCCCAGGCTGGAGTGCAATGGCACAATCTCGGCTCACTGCAACCTCTGCCTCCCGGGTTCAAGCAATTCTCCTGCCTCAGCCTCCCGAGTAGCTGGGATTACAGGCACACACCACCACGCCGAGTAGAGATGGGGTTTCACCATGTTAGCCAGGCTGGTCTCCAACTCCTGACCTCAAATGATCGCTGACCTCGTCCTCTCAAAGTGCTGGGATTACAGGCGTGAGCCACCATGCCCAGCCTCAATGTACAATTTCTGTAAAAGCTACTTATCTGTTATATATCCCTTTCTGCCACCCTACCTCACAGTGACTCTCTCTTCAAGGTCCCGTTTCTCAGACCCAAACTACAGTACTGCTTCTTATACATAAACTTTCTAAGACTGCGAGCACTAAGACCTCCTCGTTCCTCTCTTCCCCAATCAAAAAGTGCAGGTACACCAGACAGGAGGCTGTTAGCCCTGGAGAGAATTCTATTTCTTTTTCAGTTTCTTTCCTTTATCCAGATCTGAGCCCAGACATGGTATTATTAGAGAGGACAGGCTAATGACCCCTGAATTTCAGTGCCTTAACAGCACAGGTGTATTTTACAACCCTTCACAGTCCATTATGAGGTCATAGTAGGGGTGGGGAGGACTCTCCTCCACAGAGTTATTCAGGGATCCAGGCTCACTCCAGCAAGTGAGTACACCAACTTGAAGGGCCCTGGAGTCCTTCACTAGATTATTTGCACCCAGTCTGCAGGGGAGGGAAGAGAGCATGGAGCAGTGTTCAGGAAGTCTTATGGGCCAGGTCTGGACATGGTGGACTTTGCCTCTGGACACAGCTCATTGGCCAGATTTAGTCACAAGGCTCCCGCTAAGTGCAAGGGAGGCTGGGAAATGTGGTTTTCCCATGTGTTCAGGTGGAAGGTGGAATGGGATTTGGTGAATGGAGAGCATGCTGTCTACCACTCACAGAGTCTTGAAATCTCTTTATCTTTTACTACATTGGTTTCTAACATTTGTATGATGCCAGTGTATGCTTTCATGTAGATCAGGGTAAACTGCAGCTGATGGGCCACATCCAGCAGACTGCCTGTTTTTGCTAATAAAGTTCTATGGGAAGACAGCTATGCCTTGTGATATGATCTGCCTGCTTTCAAACCTGCAACAGCAGCATCAAGCTGTTGAGACAAAACCAGTATGGTCCACCAAGGCTAAATCACGTACTATCTAGCCATTTACAGAAAATGTTTGCTGACCCTGCTACAAACAGTCCCCAACTCATGATGGTTTGACTGAACGATTTTCTGACTTACGATGGTGTGAAAGCAGTAACCATTCAGTAGAAACCATATTTTGAGTATCGAATCATTCTGGTTTTCATTTTCAGGTCGGTGTTCGATAAATTACATGAGATATTCAATTCTTTATTATAAAACAGGTTTTGTGTTAGATGATTTTGCCCAGCTGTAGGCTAATGTGTTCTGAGCGCATTTAGCAGGCCAGGCTAAGCTATTCTGTTTGGCAGTTTAGGTAAATTAGATGCATTTTTGACTTTTGATATTTTCCATTTAATTTATGATGGGTTTATCAGGACATGATCCCATCATAAGTCTAGGAGCATCTATATAGTCTGATAATTCGAATTAAATGCATACAAGTAGCGTACTGCTGCAGCCGTAATTCCTAATTCATTCATTCATCAGGCATGCGTGTATGCAGCACCCATAAACTCTTTGCCAGGCATTATTCGAGGTAGACGTATGCAACTATGAAAAAAATATTGTCTTTATGCTCAAACTTCTAGTCTTTTTAAGAATGATGGTAAGAAGTGTGCAGAGTGTGGAAAAGGAACTTTTTAAAAATGTATTTAATTAGTGTAAAAAGCAAGAGAATCCCACCTAAGCAAATTTCCCCACTCTTCAGAAGTCTTAAACGGCAATTCCCAGAAATAATTTAGATTGTGGACCTGCCCCAACTGGAAGCATGTATAGCCATCCACTGCATAATGACATTTCAGCCAACAGCAGGCTGCATATACGATAATGGTATGATAGGATGTAAGATTATAATGCAGCATTTTTACTGTATCTTTTCTATGTTAAGATACAGTTAGATACAAAAATACCATTGTGTTACAACTGCCTACAGTGTTCAGTACAGCAACATGTGGCACAGGTTTGTACCTTAGGAGCAATAGGTAACCCAGGTACCTAGACCTGGTAGCCCAGGTGTGTAGTAGGCTAAACCATATAGGTTTGTGTAAGTGCACTCCATGATGTTCACACAATGATGAAATCACCTAACTTTACATTTCTCAGAGGGTATCCCTTTGTTAAGTGATGCGTGACTGTATGTAGTAACATTAAATAAAATGCCACCCAGTGGAAAATCTTAGAATTGTTCTGATTCCCATTAACAGAATTTTCCCCATTTCTTTTTTCTTCTTTATAACTTCCTTAAGCAAGCCATGTTATCAAGTGCTAGTTCCCCTGAGGTTCAATATCGTATTGTTTGTTTTTACAAAGTCTATGCCATGTCAATCAACCAGTGGCCAGACGTTTCTAGAGAGCCTGAAATCCAAGACAACTGTGGAAGGACAGTCCCTACATTCTCCCTGGGGCGCTGCTGACTTTTAAGAGAAACCAGTGGCCTCCCCAATCTTTGAAAAAGGCCTCGTCAAGGCAAATCCAAACAAATTCTCCCCCAATTCCCTGTCAAACAGGTTTCATACTCAAACCCCAATGCAAAGGGAAGGGAATGTTAGATTCATTAGTTTAACACCAGCTAGGCAGGTATAGCCGAGGCTGAGCTGAAGAATAAACATTAGGAAATAAAGTTCTTTGATGGCAAAACGCCAGAGCATAATCTCCCTCTTGAGAACCCCTCCTTAGGCCCAGGCCTCCTTCTAGACATTCCCTGTGTGTGCCTCACAGTGACTCAGACCCCTACCGCCTCCCTGCTCAGACAAGAACCTTAGAAACAAAGAGAACATGAGGAATTGGCGGTAGTTCATGGTACCGGACAGACTGGAAGCTGGACCTGGGCCGAAGGACATTTGGAATTCTGGGATTCCGTGGGCTTATGCATCCTCAGGGCATTTGTCCCAGGGCTGCAGGATTCTGGAGCTTTGGCATTCTGGTTGCCGGCTGGTGGGACTAAATAAATTGCCCTTTTCTGTCTCCACTCTGAATTCTTCATGGTCATGGTCTTGACTCTTGATTTACAAAATGGGATACACCAAAGCAAGATGAGGGGGCTGGCTCTGCCTGTGACTACACACTTCTGTTCCCTGGGGCTTGTGGTCAGCCCCAGCAAAACATCAAGTGCTCAGCCTTACCCATGCACAGGAGGCTCTTAATAAAGGGCAGAGACCGTAATCCTCATCTTCATCCATCTCCCTCTGACCTTCTTAAGTGCCTGGGGGCTTACATGCCGCATCAAAGGAATGAAGAAATCTTGCCGATTCTCATCATTCATGATTCCATATTTGTGAATTCACCTACTTGCTAAAAGCTACTTGTCACCTCCAAATCAAACTGACGGCACTTTCACAGTCATTCTCCAACGTGTACAGAGCAGCAAAAAAAATCTAAGTCACCTGATGCAAATGTTTCCATCTGAGATCGAACAAGCTCTGGTGCTGTTAAAATTATTCTTCCTATGGTCTATCTAGTGGCCCGTGTAATTTTCATCCTTTTTTTGGTGGCGATTTTGCTAAGATAGCACTTGATATGGTTTGGCTGTGTCCTCACCCTAATCACATCTTGAACTGTAGCTCCCTTAATCCCCATGTGTCGTGGGAGGGAACTGATGGGAAGTAATTGAATCATGGGGGTGGGTTTTTCCCGTGCTGTTCTCTTGATAGTGAATAAGGCTCACAAGATCTGACGGTTTTATAAAGGGCATTTCCCCTGCACACACTGTCTTGCCTGCTGCCATGTAAGACATGCCTTTGCTCCTTCTTCCCCTTCCACCATGATTGTGAGGCCTCCCCAGCCACATGGAACTGTGAGTCCATTAAACCTCTCTCCTCTATAAATTACCCAGTCTTGGGTTTGTCCTTATAGCAGCATGAGAACAGACTAATACGGCATCTGAGTATAGTGTGACCATAAGAATGTGACGGCCCTATGGGGAACATACGTGTGTCAGACTAGCTTCCTTCAAGAGGACTCAAGATATAATCTCAGCTCATCCCCTAGTAGGGAGCTTTCGATGAATTTATCTGACCCTAAGCCCTCAGTTTCCTCATTGGTAAAATGAGGAGGGGAGGTGGGGGTGGTCTTTTCAACATTAGCAGTCTCTAGCTAAAGAACGTATTTTTTAATTATAAAGCTTCATAAATATTTGTTGTTGTGGACATTCTTTTTTCAAAGTATAAAGGCAAACACAGCCACTGTAGTCACTCTTTTTAGAGTGCTCTAAAGCAATCATTGTAACTATACTTAGCTGAGGATGTAAAGGAATGCCACTATTGATAAAGAGGTCTGTTCCTGGGATCCAGGGTGAGGCTATTCTAGGATGGCCCTGAAAATCTTGAGGATGACCAATGTGTAGGTCCGTCTCTCTTCTGTGAATCACACATCCTCAAAATAACCAGGAAGACAGCCTCAAAGGCAGTTATCCCCAAAAGATAATATTGCCCCAAACTTTTTTCTCCCTTGTCACACACATGTTCATTAGTCACCCTGGGACTCTGGACCACAGGTTTTTCCAGCTTGGGTGGACAAGCCAACGTGCAGCAAAGCTGCTCAGCCACTCTCCCAAGCAAGAACCCGAGATTCTTTGTTGTAATCAGGTGCATAAGGAAACCTGTTGGGGTCAGTGCAAAGTGTCTCTCTCCTCAAGCATCTCAAAGTTACACAGACATTTAACCAAGTCTCCTATTTCCTGTCAAAAAATCCCAACCGAGCAACCAGACGAGCACAGGTAGGTGGTGAGTGACAGATATTTGTGCAAAAATTAGATGTGGTCTCGTGAAGTCCCCACAGCCCAGGAACATTTCACTCAATCTAGTGATGTCCATGCTCACTATGTGCTGGTCTCACACCGCATCCCAGGGGAAGCGGATATAACTCCACAGAGGCTGACTTGAGAGACACGATCCAGTAAGAGGCTGGACTGCTTGATCCAGAACCCCGTAGAAATACACTGGTCCTGTCAGCAGGTCTGAGATAGACGTGTAGCCAAGTGACAAGCTCCAGTACAGCCTTAGGATTCACCAAAGTCACCCCTACTCATGTGACGTGTGAGGCAGACAGATTTGCCTTTAAGTAGCAACAAAGAATATCTGCACTCCAGATCTTGGTGGAGAATTTAGTCTCTCTGCCGCCTAACTCTTACCAAATTTTGAAACAAATGGTATCTATGGATGATTTTCCTGAAGTACATTCAGTCCAGCGATGCCTTTATAAGCATTTTCCAGAGTGGTACATTAAACAAAACACTACTCTACAAAACGTGGTACATATCCTTAAAAAAAAGTTCCTTGATCAAATTAGTTTAGGACAAAGTCTGAAAAAGTTACCCAAGTTTTCTAGTTAACTGCAGAACTGCACACAAGTGTGTGTGTGTGTGTGTGTGTATGTGCATGTGTATGTGTGTGTGTGGTGTGTATGTGTATGTGTGTGTATGTATATGTGTGCGGTGTGTGTGTTTGTGTTTGTGTGTGTGTCTGTGTGGTACATGTACCCCTTAGGGCAGGGATCTGCTGTGGTCTGAAAGTTTGTGTCTCTCCAAAATCCATACGTTGAACTCTCATCCCCAACGTGGAGGTATTAAGGAGTGGGGCTTCTGAGTGGGGACTAGGTCATGAAGGTGGAGTCCTCATGAATGACTTTGTGCCCTTTTAAAAGAGGTCTGAGCTGGGCACATTGGTTCATGCCTGTAAGCCCAAGGACACAGGAGGCTGAGGCAGGAGGACTGCTTGACGCCAGGAGTTCAAGACCAGCCTGGACAACATAGCGACATTCCCTCATCCCTAAAAACAAATAAACAAACAAGTAACCAGCCGGGTGGTGTGTGTACCTGCAGTCCCAGCTACTTGAGAGGCTGAGGCAGGAGGATGGCGTCAGCCCAAGAGTTCGAGGTTACAGTGAGCCATGATTGCACCACTGCACTCTAGCCTGGGTGACAGAGCAAGACCCTGTTCCTGAAAAAATAAAAAATAAAAATAAAAAGAGGCCTGAGGGAGCTTGTGTGTCCCTTCCGCCATGCGAAGACACCAAGAAGATGCCATCTCTGAGGAGCAGACTCTCACCAGACAGCACATCTGCTAGTGCCTTCATCTTAGACTTCTGCAGACTTCCCAATCCCCAGAACTGTGAGCAGTAAACGCTACTCTTTATAAATTACCCAGCCTAAGGTATTCTGTTATAGCAGCCTGAATAGACTAAGACAGATATTAGTCTCTTTTCTTCATTAATGTACTCCCACGTGCCTAGAATGGTGGTTCGCACATCAATATTCTTTGAATGAATAAATGAATCTTACCTGAAAATCTTTACATTCAATAAATACTGACAAAATACAATGAAGTCAAGGAGCAATATGCATTAACAAAATGCAACAGTTCATGAAAATGTGTAACTATGCGCACCAAACTCTTAACCATTCAGTCACTTAGAAAGATAATCCACATGTGTATGGCTTAAAAACAACAGCAAGAACAGCCCTGAAGCTACAACAGGATTCCTTCAACAAATGCAGCATTTAGTGAGAATTTATGGAACTGAGCAAACCTGAGCAATCATAAGCCTGCAGCCACCACAACAAATACAGCAACATGGAGTGGGGAGGCCCGAACACAGCACAGAGCTTTTGATATGCTAGTTTTATTATGAGTTTCCAAAGAGCAGCTTTACGATACACTACTTGCCAAATACATATAGTTCAATGGCAACTGGGGATCCATTTTCTCACAGGATAAAACTGCTCAGACTCCAGCCGATTCCATAGCTTGTAAAAGTCAGAAGTCTTGCTGCAGTTTCTGCTAATGCTCAGAAGTGAAAGCTTCATGATTCAGTATCTCTTCTCATTTGCACAGGCACAAAGCTCAGGCTCCTCGCCCGCTCCGTGCAGCATCCGATCTCTTCAAAATCTTGGATTTCACAAGGAAGAACCGCATTGCCCAGCCTTCCACTACCTGCGTAGTTCCACCCCACACCCCCGGCTCCCCTCTTTCTACTTCTCCTGAAGCTTTGGATTTGGTGGTTCCAAAGTCTTCACCGTTTCTTACAAAAGTGACTTCCCCTTTCCTCTAACACTAAGACATAAAGGAGGAAGTCTCAGATTCTACCCCTAAACTTGTCAGTCTGATCTACTTCTGTGAACCCCCTTTGTTTTTGGGTGGCCCATTATCCATTCTCTCTCCTTCGGGTTACAACTGAGCTTGGGAGGATAACCTTTCGCTCGCTGTGTGCATCTTGGCACACCTGTTAATTCAGGTCTCCTGCTCTCCTGTGGCTAAGTGCCAGGCCACTCAGACTTTGCTGAGCTGTTGAACCTTGAGGGGAGTTATCTGATAATAGTGGGGACGGGGAAAAGGAACAGATGAAATTCTTTTATTTTGGTGGCAACTGGCCATCAGGATTTTTTTTTTTTTTTTTTTTGGAAGTGAGACCCCTGGAGTTTTCAGGTTCCTGTCCATTCTGAGACTGTTTCTTTAGCCTGCTCCTTGATTCCATGACCTCACTATAGCCTTTCCATAAACTCTCTTCTGCAAATGTGAGTCAGTTTATTTCTGTTGCTTACAACCCAGAAACCTGACTCTCTGCCCCACCAGTAGAGCAAAGGCCTTTCTAATGCGAACAGTCAGGGTCAACGAAAAAAGTTGTTTTGCTTTTAATGTGACACATATATTAGCATCTCCCATGAATGTTTAGTTTGGGAAATGCCCTAGATGTTCTGGATTTTATTTCTGAATCTATTCAAAGGCTGTGGATTCCAGCCATATGGTTTGCATTAGTTTTCTATTGCTGTGTAACAAATTGCCACAAACTCAGCAGCTTGAAACAATACCTTTTGATGATCTCAAAGTTTCTGTAGGTCGGAAGTCCAGGCAATGGTATAACTGGGTTCTCTGTGCAAGGTCTCACAAGGCTGAAATCAAGATGTTTGCTGGCTGTGCTCTCATCCAAGCTCATTCAGGCTGATGGCAGGATCCAGGTCCTCAGGACTGTAGGACTGAGGTCCCTGTTGTCTCATCAGCTGTCACCTGAAGGTCTCTCTCAGCTCCTAGAGGCTGCCCTCAGTTCCTGGCCATGTGGCTCTCTCACAGCATGGCAGTATCCTTCTTCAAGGCTAGCAGAGACTCTCCTTGAACTCTAGATCTTCTTTAATGGGCTGATTAGGTCAGAACACCCAGGATTATCTCCTTTTGATTACTTAAAGCCACTGATTAGGGACTTCATTACATCGGGACTTCACTTTGTATATCCCATAATCTAATCGTGGGAGTGACAGCCAACACTGTCCTGCCCACACCCAAAGGGGAAGAGATTATGCAGGACGTGTACACCAGGGGGCGTGAATCTCAGAATTCTGCCCAGCACATGGTCTTGTTCCCAGTTCTCTGGGGAGCAAAACTACCTCTTACTTTTCCCTCGGCTTATATTTTTAAAGTGTCTACGATACCTCATATAGGGTTATTGTTAGGGTTACTGTCTCTGTTCACATGATGCCCCACATAAGGAATATATATTCTTGGAGTTAAGAACCAAGACCCCTTATGCTTCGCTGAGAGACTGGTAGGTTTTGCCTTGTGGTCCATAGGAATCGCATGAGTGAACCTGATTCTCTTTTCACTTTAGCTAGTGGGAAGCTCAGAAACAAATATGTGGCTAAGTCTAAGTAACTGAGTAGAAGTTTATGAGTACTTGTATCTTACAATACCTGTGTTTCATTCCCCCACAGGCCCCTGCCCAGCCTCACTCTTTCATTTTAATTCAAAAACTTTTCTGGCACTGATTACTATTTTAAGGTAGACAGTCTTATAAGTAGCCTCTAATGTGTTGTATAAGGAAATAGGGTATACATAAAAATGAAATAAAATAATAATAATAGCTAATCTAAACTGAGCCATTATTGTGACCACCTAGTATAAGCATGATCATATATGATCTTTACAACCACTCCAGGAAATAAGATACTTTAATACCCTTATTTAATAGATAAGGAAACAGATGAGGCCTAGAGAAGATAAGAAGTAGTACCAGAACAACCATTCAATTCCAAGCGTGCCTGACCAACAGAGCCTAGGCTGTTAACCATCACACCCTATTGATTTAAATACATTTACATTTTAAAGGAAGGAAAGAGTGGGGACAGTTGGCTGCCTGTGCAACTCTCCAGACTAGAAAGAGACCATTACACATGTTGTAAAGCCCAGAGGAATAGTTTTCTGCACATCTTGCCTGGCAAGTGCTCTTCTACAATGTAAAACAAACTTCTCTGAAGTACAGAACTTGGTAATAGCTAAACCCCGCTTGAAAGTAGAAAACGAAGTTCCAGAAATAGAAGAAGGGCTTGGAAACAAGTAAGTAAGCATTTTCCTTGGTAAGTTATAAACAGGTGTAAGAGAATATCTGACACCAAGACCCAAAAGCACGATGTGACTGTTTCCATATGGAAGACTTGCTAATATTCACCGTGGAACTGAGGAGTAACGTATGTTCTTTCTAAAACAGAGTATGAAAAACTAGAGTTGATAAGACACATTCTGAAGGTACATCGCTGATGCCAGCCCACATTCTTTAACCCTACTCCAAAGGATATTATTTATACAATAAATATAATATAGTTATTGGAAAATATTATAGTAAAAATAAATACAATATTTAAAAAATAAATCAGCTAATAATTATTGTCAGAGGTTTACATCCATATCAATATCAATGTGATGTTTATGAAAAAAAATAAACACAGCTGACGAGTTTACGTACTTACCTAGGACCATAAATAGCCTTGACTAGGGACAGCCAGGACTTAGGTTTCATGCCTGTGACTCACTAGGATTCACTGTGACTCACGACGCCACGTAGTGGCAGCTTCCACAATTGCAAGCCCATTAACAGAAGCAAGACCCAGGGTGCTTACTTTATACCTAACACTTACAAAGTTTCAGCCAGAACGACGTAGCTAGGTTTTATCTTGAAGTCTGTTTCAGAGCTAATATGAAGGTAAGAACCCAGGCATTCTGACCCTTTGAGAAAGTGGGAGCGAGAGAGAAAGAGAGAGACAAGGAGAGAGAAAAAGAAAGAGACTGAGTTAGAGTTTAGTGGAAGGCGCATCTTTGCTGCAACTTTTCAAGTTAGTAGAATATTATCACCAACACAAAATGCCCCTTGGGGGTCTATGTTCTATAAATTCGAATTTTATTAGTAGTTCTTTGAAGTACATAAAAATTGACAAGAGAACTTAAGTTGCTTCCTGCAATTATAAAGTGAATGAGTGGTAAAGGGACTAAGCCCAATTGTGTATGCCCGTAAGCTTTCCATAGTACTCCATCAGTGTCTTATAGACAGCTCTGTGTGATGGACCGGCAATGCCCTACCGGAGTGTGAGAAAGCAGCCAAGAGGGCAGCTGATTTCCCTTGCACACAAGGACACATGTGAGGTTGTCCTACTCTTTGCACTGAATTTAACTACATGTTTCCAGCGACCACATTTCCCATTGACATGCCTTTTACTTCATAAGCACCTTCATCCGGGCTATAGACACCCTCACGCCGCCCAGCCTGCTACTCTTAATAAATTTTCAAAATCCTGCTCCAATGATAATTCAAGTCTAGTTTTGTAGTAGTTCTCCCTCAACACCAAAGCTTACAGATTTTTAAATAAAAAGGTCCTCCTTGGCTCACAGAGAATCATCCAACAACATTCCTTGCTCTGCTTTTTTTTTTCTTTTTCTTTTTTCTTGGTGTTTCACTTTTTCCACTCTTTTCAATTGCTTGAAAAACTCTTAAGCACACCAAAACAAACATCTGGGTCACAGCTTGCTTTAATGATGTGCTTTTGAAACGGTGGTTTTAATCCTGGATGCATTTTTGGTTGTTTTCCTTTTGTAGTGATAGCCCACAGGCATTTCTGCCTGGGATCGGGATCATAATGAGGGGAACAGGGCACTCCAGATTTCCCAAGGGCCTGCTTATTAACACCCCAGCCTTGCGCTTCTCAGAGCGTATGTCCTGTCTTTCCTCTAGATGGCACTGTGGAGCAGAGGCGACTGTCTTAGGGACCCGCTTCTTCCTCTATCAGCCATTACCCACTTCTCTGCAGGTGAAACCAGGCCCAAGTGCACAGCTTTGAGGGGGGAAAAGAAAGTCTCCTGGGAACTCTTTGCAGCCTGGGGAGAATGTGGAAGCAGTGGATGTTCTGTCTGGGTAGCAGTGTGGCGGACTAGGAATGCGCTGGCCACGCGCGCCTGAACCTGCAGTGGGTTTCTGATGGATTAGTGACTGGTGAGAAGACCCCATCACAGTAGGGCACAGTTAGCGAAAGTTCCGGATTTAGTTAGCCCAGATATCAAAGTCTCATCAGAATATGGTTGCCAAATAAAAATACAGGACATCAGTTAAATTTGGATTTCGGATAAACAACAAACGCTTTTTTAGTATAAGGATGCCCCACGTATTTGAAGAGAACTTGCACTGAAGTCTCTTCTCAATTTACTGTACTGTTTTCCTAGAGTAAAGATACTAAAGAAATCTGTGCACTTTTGTATCACAGATTGTTTATCAACATCGAGGGCTTTTCTCTGGCTTTCAAAGCAAATTTGGCATTAGCAGGGCTACATCCCGAGGGGACACAGCAGAAATCAGGGCCCATTTATTCCTGAACAGTATCTCTACTGTGCTTTCCAGAGTTCCACAAAGTCCACCTCTCTGCAGAACCTAAGCTCCTTTTATCACAAGCTGGAGGGGGGGGGGTTGTCCTCTTCTCCCCCTTGCCCAAGACTCTAGCCCCACCTCCTCATGGCACTCTGTCACCAACAATAAGTCATCGCCCTCCATCCCTTGCTCATGATAAAAAAGTAAGGGACATGCGCAACAATGAGAATGTACTTAATGCCACTGAATTGTACACTTAAAAATGGCTAAAGTGGCTGGGTGTGGTGGCACGCGCCTGTAATCCCAGCTACTCAGGAGGCTGAGGCACAAGAGTCACTTGAACCCGGGAGGTGGAGGTTGCAGTGAGCTGAGATCACATCACTGCCCTCCAGCCTGGGCGACAGAGTGAGACCCAGTCTCAGGGAAAAAAAAGAAAAAAAAGAAAAAAGGCTAAAATAGCAAATGTTATGTTAGGTATATTTTACCACAATTAAACATAAGGAGCAGGGGGATTGTCTTACTGTAAGATTGCCTGCAGCTCAGCCCAAGCCCAGCCTGCCCTCACCTCAAAGTCTTCTCCAGTGCCCTCCTGCCTGGGTAATCCAAGCAAAATGACGCCTGGCCTCGCCTCCTGTCTGCTTCCATGTGCTCTTTCCTGGGCAGTGTGCAGACCCAGGATGTCTCTTTGCAACTTCCTCCCCAACATACGGCCCCAGGCACCGCCTCTTGCCTCAGGAGACCCCACTGCTCTCAGGTCCTCATCTCCAAGGTCCCACCCGCAAGCTCTTTCCTGAGCTCTCCACTGTCAGTCCCACTTGCAGGGGAGGCTGGGCCTATAATTTCTGCTACTTATAAGCTATTAGCAATGCCTGATCCCTCAACAATTTCATTTTTTATTTTCCAAATGTCAAATGAGCTTCTCAGCAGCCAAGCCTAATAATGTGTCCTTATTTGACCCCAGACTCCCCTGACTTCCAGGTACAAGGCTTTCTCACAGCCCACGGGGCCTAGAAAGTGCCTTATATCCTCCTGGCATCTCTCGCCCACCCTCTGCCAGGCATTCTGTGCCCTGCCCATCCCGCTACCCCACTGTGGCCGGGCAGAGGAGACTGGTTTGTGTCCTTGTGCGGGCACCAATGGGTCTCGTGGATCCCCTATAGCTCCCTGCATTTCTCACGGACAAGTTCATTTCCCTCTCTGCTTTGGTCTCCCTGTTCTTTTTCTCCCATCCTCCAAACCTCCCATCAGAAAAATTCTTCCAAACTCTAGTGAGCTGAATCGTGTCTCCATCAAATTATCTCCTCCTGGAACCTCGGAATTTAACCTTACTTGGAAAGAGGGTCTTCACTGATGTCATTGAAGTACGGATTGAGATGAGGTCACGTTGGATTAGGATGGACCCCAAATCCAATGAGAGTGCCTGTAAGAGACAGAAGAGGACAGAGGGAGACACAGGGCAGAGGCCGACGTGAGGATGGAAGCTGAGATTGCAGTGTTGTGTCCGCAAGCCGAGGAACACCAAGGGTTGCCGGCCACCAGCAGCAGCTGGGAGAGAGGCATGGAAAAGATTCTCCCTTGGAGGCTCCAGGGGGAACCAGCCCTGCCGACACCTTGATTTCTGACTGCTGGCCTCCTGACCTCTGAGAGAATAAAGTTCTGTTGTTCTAAGCCACTCAGTTTGTTAAGACAGCCCCAGGAAATTAATTCATAAACCAACTGGCAAAACTCTGGACAGACGGGGACCAATGACTGAGCCTTGGCTGGGAGGGCGTCTGCAAGCAACTGTGATGGACTAGAATCCCTGCAGGTCCTCACGGGAGCTCCTAGGAAAGAAAGGGCTGTGGGGACGAGTACGCAGGAAGCAAAGAGAAAGAAATGAAGGGGCCAAAAAAGCATCTTTAGCCAGACCTGCCCCCTGACTACGCCTCGGCTATGGGGGATGGAAAGGGTGTGCCCAAGAATGAAAAGAACGAAGTGCATTATCACCATCACAGGCTGTGGGGCGTGGATGGAAGAGCAGGGGCCAGGTCCAGTGTCGTTGACTTTGTTTTTTTGTAAATTGGATTTATTTATAGCACCTCTCCCTTACAGGTCTCACCGAAAAACCAAACCAAATCAACCCAGTGGGATCACAGACGTCAAGGGCTCAGAAAATAAAGTATAAAGTTAGTTTGTTAACCCTAAAGCTGTTCTCTAACTCAATTTATCTAAGGGAGACAGTTCCATTAGCTGTGATAAGTGGCAGATATCCAGCCTTCACTCATGCTGATCAGTCACTGAATGATGGGCCTTCATGAGTCCCAGGTGGGTCCCCAGCAGGCTCTCACCAGGCCCCCGCGGAGGGCTGCAGGGGGTGGCATCCGCGCTGTGAGTGCTGCAAAACTTGGCTGTCCAAAGTGAGCTCCTCAGACCAGCCACAGCACACCAGCATGGGAGCAAGAGAGTTTGCTAACAATGCAGAATCTCGGCTCCCACCCCAGATAATGACTCTGAAGCTGCGCCTTAGCAAGATCCCGGGTAGTTCATTTGCATTATTAACATTGAGAAGCTCTGGAATAAAACATGGGCTTGGGCCTCAACGGTGATTCTTAAAACATCCCTCTAGAACAAAATTATTATATTCTAAAAAGTAAAAAACGGGGCTCAGAAAGCTTGGGCAACTTGCCTGATGTCACACAGCTTGTAAGCAATTGGGTGGGATTCCATTTTTTATTCCAAACTCATTTTCTTAGCCTCGCTCACCATCTTTATCAGAAGGGGTAAATGACAACACGGGGATCCTATACCATGATCCTATATCATAAGGATCAATTAGGAAGTAAATCATCATGGATACAGTCCTTATAGCTTTATACTCACTTTTATTTTAAGGTATTGGCAATATATACCCCCCAAACATGCTTCTCTTAAATCAGCATGCGTTTACTGTTAGAATTTCTTGAATAATAGTATCCCAGCAAACCGTCTTTCCCTAAAAAAGGCCCAGTGCTTTCTGATATTCTCCTGAGCAAGAGTAAAAGCCAAAGAACATATATATTGTGTGCTTTTTAATTCTTGGCACACAATATATAATAAGCACATGCCTTATTGTGCACTTTAAGAATGTATGGATTCCTCTCTTTTATATAATTGCTTTCTACACGCTTTTTTGTTGTTGTTGAGAAACCGCTATTAGGGGTCAAGGCAAGAGGTAGGTGTGTTAAATCACATGGTTGCTACTGAGGGCTTTTAGGCTGAGACCACTTGTCCAGCCTGCATAGACAAGATCTTCTAGGTACGAACGTGAGCTCAGCAGCATGATTAAGGCTTCTCTTGACTACCGAGAAGTAAATTTTATCCGGAAACACGACATTTTCATCAGATGTTCACCAGTCTTTGCCCCGCAGCTCTTTGTCCCTGGGCATGTGTTCAGCCAGACTCGGGCAGCTGTGACTCTCAGACAGGCAGTTCTTTTCCTCTGGGAGCTCCCCGGGGCTCAGGGCAGGTTGCTGGAATACCAGTGAGGGGGGAATCCTGCTGTGGTCACAGGCCCAGTGGCTCTTGCCTGGGAGGCTGACGGTATGCTCCCCCTTTCCTGGTCCTTTCTGCATTCTCCCAACTTTGGTTAGAAATAACTTAGCTCAGGCTGGGCGCAGTGGCTCATGCCTGTAATCCCAGCACTTTGGGAGGCTGAGGCGGGTGGACACGAGGTCAGGAGTTCAAGACCAGCCTGGCCAAACTGGTGAAACCCTATCTCTACTAAAAATACAAAAATTAGATGCTGGGCATGGTGGTGGGTGCCTGTAATCCCGGCTACTCGGGAGGCTGAGGCAGGAGAATCACTTCAACCTGGGAGGTGGAGGTTGCAGTGAGCTGAGACAGAGCCACTGCACTCCAGCCTGGGTGACAGAGCAAGACTCCATCTCGGGGCGGGGGGTGGGGGGGTGGGAAAAGGAATGACTCAGCTTATCCTTTCTGCCCCTCGATCCCTGACTCTGTCATCTCCCTCACCACCATCCCTGCCTCACCTTTTCGGGTTCAGGGAGAACTGGCAGCTTTAAACTTCTCCCCAGGGTCCCCAGATGCCCAGTCACCAAGTTCCTCCACTAGATCTGCTGCACTTAGTCTTCCCTGTGGGGCTCCGTGCCTCTCCAGCAGAGGAGTAACCCACTGGAGTTCTCTCTTCTAAGATGTCTCCAACCCAAGGGTAATAAACAACTCGAGGGTAATAAACAACTTGGGTTGGCAGCACAGATTAGGAGAGGGGGTGTCAGATCACTAAGCTCTGATCTTGATCCTCTGCTGCGAATGCGAAGGGCACCATTTCCAAATACAGAGTCCTACTGCATCCCCATTGGATTTCAGAGCAAAAGTGACAGTGGAATGTGGGACTGTAAAAACTCCCACACCAGTAAGTAGACCTCCTTTGCTCTCTGGATGAGGAAAGATACTAGGAGTCGCCATCACAATCAGATGCGGCAACAGTGCATCTCAAACAGCTGACACACTTCAGGCAATGCCAATAATAATTCTCTACTCAAGACAGCCAAGAACCAGAGCTGCTCATAAAAAGCTTGGAATCAGTGGATGTCACTTAAAAAAAGAAAAAAACCAATGTTGTATTATATGTGGACCAGTCAGTTCTCAGACAGATGCTAACCTTTGCTTTTAAAAATCTCCCAGCCCGGGGTAGGACCAAGGCCAAGGGGATTAAATCTAAGAAAATGGACCTTTATCCTTAACCTTTAGTTTTTAACTTCAGCCAAACATTTCTGTCATTTAGAAAGTGTGATTAACTTTCAGATAAGTGTTTTTGTTTCTTCAGCAAAGAACACATGTAGTTTCTCAACCAGTATCAGCAGCAATGAGAAATGCCTCAAAAATAATTATTTGGCTTCCATTTCAGGAGTGGCTGGTGGCAGAATCATGCCAGGTTCAATAGGTCAATACCCCAGGAACCCCCACCAAGGACAGGAAATATTGGGATAGGAGAGCAGCTTGGAAGTTGGACAGAACCAGGCTGATGGCTGAAATTTAGAAAGAATCCTGGGGCTGTCTGGCTTTATGTGGGTAAAAGTGCATGTATGGATTCCTCTCTCTTATGTAATTGCTTTTTATATCAGCAAAGAAAAGAAAGAGAAATATATAGTTATACTGCCTTTTATCATTACTTACATAATTACCTTAGCTGGAACTGGTTTGTTGTTGTTGTTTTTGTTTTTTTGAGACAGGGTCTCGCTTTGTTGCCCAGGTTGGAGTGGAGTGGTGTAATCTCAGGTCACTGCAACCTCAGCCTCCTGGGCTCAAGTCATTGCCCTACCTCAGCCTCCAGAACAGCTGGGACTATAGGTCCTTGCCACCAAGTCCGGCTAATTTTTATATGTTTTGTAGAGATGGGGTCTTGCCATGTTGTCCAAGCTGGTCTTGAACTCCTGGCCTCAGGCAATCCACCCACCTCAGGCTCCCAAAGTCCTGGGATTACAGGCATGAGCCACCATGCCCGGCCATGTGTGTATGTGAGAGTGTGTGTATATATATGTGTGTGTGTGTGTGTATATGTGTGTGTGTGTGTGTGTGTGTGTGTGTGTGTGTGTGTGTTTAAATGTGGATTTGAATTACCTTTTAGCGTCACTAACTTTTAACGTGAAGACCATCTTTAAGTATTTCTTTTTAAGATGGGCTTCTAGCCACAAAGTCCATTTTTTTCTTTCTTAATCTAGGGATATTCTTATTTCTATTTCATTTTTAAAAACATTTTTTTTGAGATACAATTCCCATACCACACAATTCATCCATTCAAAACACACAAGTCAATGGTTTTTAGAATATCCAACGAGTCATGCCACCATCATTATGATCAATGTTAGAACATTTTAATCACCCCTCCAGAAAACCGCCGTACCTATTAGGATTCTATGGGTTGAATTACATCCCTGCTAAAAGATATGTTGAAATCTGAATCCCCAGTACTGGTGAATGTGACCTTATTTGGAAATAGGATCTTTTCAGATGTAATCAAGTTAAGATGAGGTCACTTGGGTAGGCCTTATTCTAATACAAGCAGTGTTTTTTTAAGAAGAGGGAAACTTGGACATGGACACACAGAGAGGAGAATGCCGTGTGAAGCCAGACACAGACACAGAGGGAAGATGGAGGCAGAGATTGGGGGTTACATGGCCACAAGCCAGGAAACTCCTGGGATGCCAGAAGTTGAAAGAGGGAGGGAAGAAGCCTCTCCTATAGGCTTTGGAGGGAGGATGGCTCTGCCAACACCTTGATTTTGGACTTCTAGCTTCCAGAACTATGAAAGAATACATTTCTGTTGTTTTAAGCCACCTAATTTGTGGTACTGTGTGATAGCAGCCAGATACTCCCCATTTACTCCCCCTTTTCCTAGCCCTGGGCAGCCAATAAGACAACCTCTGTCTCTATGAATTTGCCTATTCTGGATGTTTTCTATGTCGGACACCACACAATATGGAATCCATTGGGATTGGCTTCTTTCCCTTAGCTTAATGTTTTCCAGGTTCCTCCCTGCTGTAGGGCATGTACTTCATCTCTTTTTATTGCCAAATAATATTCCATTGTAGGAAAATACCACATTTATTTATCTCCTCCTTCGTTGAGGCCATTTGGACTTTTTTACACTTTTTGGCTATGAGCATTCATATACAAGTTTTTGTGCGGCTGTGTGTTTTCATTTCTTTTGGGTATACGCCTAGGAGTAGAATTGCTGCGTAATTCTATGTTGAAGTTTTTGAAAGGACTGACAAACTATTCTAAAGCAGTTGCCCCATTTTTTATTCCCACCATCACCAATGTATGAGAGTTGCCTTCATTTTCAAAACATAGCTTTCTACCTTTGCTTGATATAGGATTTTTTTTTTTGAGGCCTCAGCCTTCTAAGCTCAAGCAATCCTCCCACCTCAGCCTCCCAAGTAGGTGGGAACACGGGTGCATGCCACCACACCAGGCCAATTGTTAAAATGTTTTATACAGACGGGGTCTTGCCGTGTTGCCCAGGCTGGTCTTGACCTCCTGGGCTCAAGCAGTCCTCCCACCTTGGCCTCCCAAAATGCTGAGATTACAGGCATGTGCCACCAGGCTGGGTAATATAAGATTGTTGATTGACTTTTTTCATTGCCTCTGGCTTCTATTTTTCCAGTGGGAATTCTGCTATTAATTTGATCAGGGTTCCCTTGTGCATAATGAGTAGTTTATCTCTTGCCTCTTTCAAGATTTCTCTTTCACTTTGACTTTCAACAGTTCGACTATAATGTGTCTGGGTGAATGCATATGGCTTTCTTTGCATTGATCCCACTTAGATTTCATGGAGGTCCTTGGATGCTTCGATTAGTGTTTTTCATCAAATCTGGCAGGTTTTCAGCCATTATGACAGAATATTTTTTTCTATTCCTTTCTCTGGTCTTGTCCTGCATTCCATATGCAAATATTGGGGTGCTAAATGGTGCCCCATGTTGATCTGAGACCATGCTTCCTTTTCTTTCTTCTTTCTGTTCTTTAGAATGCATAATCTCTCGTTATCTCTCTTTAAGTTCACACCGATTTTTTCCTCTGTTAGCTCAAATCTACTACGGAGCCTTTCTAGCAAGTTTTTAAGTTCAGGGTTGTACACTTCAACTTCAAAATTTCCATTTGGTTCATTTTTATAATTTCTATTTCTATGTATTCAGTCATTGTTGTCATTCTGTTGCTTAATTCTTTAAACATGGTTTTCTTTAGTTCTTTGAATATATTCATAATAGCTGCTTTGAAGTTTTTGTTTGCAAAGTTCAACCTCTGGGGCCTTCCAAGCCTGTTTTTTGTTTGTTTGTTTGTTTGTTTCCCTTTCCTGTGCATAGGTCACACTTTGTTATTTGTTTGCATGACTTAGAGCTTTCTTTTGAGAGCTGGACACTTTAGATAATACATGGTAGCAACTCTGTGTACTGATCCTTCCCTCCCTCTTCTCCCTCCCGTCTGAGTTTGTTGTTTGGTCATTTGTTTGTTCGTTTAGGGACTCTGTGTGACTAACTCTGTGATGTCTATTTTCCCGACCACATGGAGCCTCTGAAGTCTCTGCTTGGGTGTTTCTCCCCTTCACTTCCTAGAGGCTGGCCCCTGAGTCAGCATAAACCACTTTTTGGTCAAAGGTTGTGCTTAAGCCCTCTCAGCCAGTTAGGGTTTTTTTGCCTTTTACCACTCGGTGTGTGTGTGTGTGTGTGTGTGTGTGTGTGTGTGTGTCTTGGAGACTGCTTTCACATTTCAGGGAGTTTACAGTTTTGCTCCATGTTCAGCCAGGGACTAGTAGCTCAGAGTTACTAGTTAAAGAGCGTCTCTTTCTGGGCACTCCTGAGGGGGTGCAGAGTGGGGCAGGTGCCCAGCTGTTCAGATCACCAGGATGAGTGTAATTTTTTAAAGTCCGGATTCCTAGGAGTCACCTCTGGGTCAGAGTAGCTTGCTGAGCTGGGGTTTTGCTCTGAGGTCATGCTTATGCCCTTTGAGTCTTCTCCCAAAGTCTTCCAATAAATCTACATGTTACTGATAGATCTATGTGGCTTGGAGAATGCTTTCCAGTCTAACCCATGACCCTCTCTGATTGTTCCTGAGTGAATACAGCCTTGTGTACACCACGCTTCTGGAGCCCTTGGGGTGAACATCATCTCAGGAAGGGTATTCTGGGCTGTCTCTTTCCAATCTGCCATGTTGCATGTGGCTACTAGATTCATGGAGCTACCAGCCCCCACCCCTTAATTGCTCACCACCAACATGTCTACTGTGAATGAACTTAGGCAAGAAATGCTTCATGCTGCTTTCCAATAAAGTTACTCCTCTGGCAGAACTGCGGAGCTCTCCTTTTTTTTTTTTTTTTTTAAGACTAGTCAAGTGCAATGGAGCTCTCCATTCCCATTCTTCTGACAACCTGCATCTCCCTTTAGATAGAACACCCATGCCACTACACCAGAGCTGGGAGCAGGGACAGTGGCCCACTTCTGCAGTGAAACTTATGCTCTACAAGTGGGTACTGTGTGTTAGGGTGGGGGAGGGAAAAAGTTAATAGTACTTGGTTTTCTTTTCTTGCCCCCTCTTGGCATAAAATTTTCATCCATTAAAGCACACTCAGGGGCCCCAGATTTGTCTTGACCTATCTATGTCTGAATCAAAGCCCTTGACCCACAAGTAAGCTCTAAGTGGGGAAAAGATCTTCTCAGCCACACTTGCCTAAAATAGCACTTCCACAACTCAGGGCTAGAGGGTATGAGATACACTGGCAGCGTGCCCCTCTCAGAGGGGTCCTAGACTAGGAGCTGGGGAGTGGAGAGAAGCAGCCCCCATCTTCTTGGCCACATCTTCCTGGATAGAGCTTCTATCACATGGACATGGGGGCAGGGGCATGAGAATGAGTCATGGCTCAAATGCTACCAACTCTTAATGCTCTTACTGGCATATAGTAGATTTTCTTGAATAAATGTTTTTCCATTTGCTGTATGCTTTTAGGACAATTTCTAGAGGCTTCGAATAGTTGTTTATAATTTTTACCAGTTAAATGGCTGTTTCACTGGAGAGAGGGTCTACCAAAACCCTCACACTGCCATTCTGAAGGTCTGAAATCTTTCCTTTTAATCAGACATACACAGGTCGATTTAATTCTCTTTTTGGTCACTGTCTAAAACATCCTTCAAGATCTGAAGTGGCCATCCTGTCCCTTGTGTTGTGTTTGCTATATAGAGTAGACATTTCTAATATTTATTAATATTTCAAGACTTTCTCTCTTTCCAGGAATGTGGGACTATTATCTTCCCCTGTGCTTCTTGAAGTTGGTGTGACTGTGATCTGATTTGGTCGACATAATGTGAGAAGTCTGTCACTTCCAAGCAGCATCATTTAATTGCTGCTGCGTGCTTCTCTATCTTCTCTTCTCTGTTGCAACAAATCCTGGAGCCTTGTGACGATCATAAAATGGGAACATCTTTGTTATCCCAGGTCCTGCACGGTAACTGTGTGAAGCACAGCCCTCACCCCTCTGGCTGGACATGTTGCGTGAGCAAGAAATAAATCTTAGTTGTTCTAGGTCACTGAGACTTGAGTATTGCTTGCTTCTCCAGCATATCCTAGCCCATCTCAACCATTAAGAATGCTGTTCTTAAAACTCTCAACACATGCAGCACATTTTTGTGAATTTCAGCAGCCCTTAGCTAAAGTCAGTTTCATCTTTTGATGTGTGTATAAGATCTACATTCCTTAGCACGTCCACAAGGTGCTGCATGATTTGTACCCTGCCAACCTGTTAGTCTCAGGTCCCTGTAGGATGCTTTACCTCCTCATTTCCTCTTTTATAATATAGAGCTGCATGAGGCTCTCACCCCCATAAGTACTATCAGTTCCCTCTCTTCCTTCTTATGAGACCTATCATTCATCCATCCAGACTTAGCATGTGCCCTATCTTAGGGACAAGGAAAGCTGGGAGAGGAGGGTGGGGTGAAGAGAGAGAATAAATGAAGTATTGCATTCATATATAAATTGTTTTGCAAGAGGGAGGGCCCAGAATTAGTCCTAGGATAAACTGTGTTAAAAAAAAAAAAAAAAAAAAAAAGAACTTTCCAGACAAATTAATGTAAGAATCAATTGTAGTTTTATACACTACTGTTATTGTTTGTGTCACCCTAAAATTAATTAAGACAAATTGCTTACAAGCACATATCAAAGTTTTATACTCTCTGCAAGAAAAGACTGACAACCAAAAAAAAAAAAAGTCTGGTTAAAGATTATGATTAATCAGTCAGTTGGGTGGACAACCCTAACTTCCCAGAAGTTCTTAATCATATAGGAGTATCAAAAAATCGCCCAAGCATTTAATCAGGAATGTGAATTACTTCCCAGAAAGAGACTGTGCATTACATCATACAGAAAGCTCTGCTGCAGACCAGGTTTGGACAATTTTTCTTTCACAGAAGGCTATAAAGAGACAGTCTTGGCATGGTTGGTTCTGGTTCACTCATCAGTTTTCAGCATTCCTGGGTTTTGTTTTCACTCATTCAAACCTGTATTGAATACCTATCAGGTGACTAGATGCTGATGTTGTAAAGATAAAAAGAAAGCCTCTGCTCCTTTGGGAATGATGGACACGTGCATACATAATTTTGTAAAAAAGCAAAACTGTACCTTGGTATGTTTGGAAGGCCGTATGAGTGATGCTGAGGAAGCAGATCTGCTTGGACTCATAGTGACATCAGGGAAAAGGAGGAGTACAGAATATGCTTAAAGATGAAATACTTCTGTTTTGGACAGCAAGGAGTTATCAGGGCATCCAGTAACCTCCCCATCCTCTGGAGGCGGAGAATGCTCACGGGTACAGAATAGTCATGGCATGTTCAGGATGTTCACTGAACCTCTGGGTGGGGAGGACTGGGGTGGAGAGACAGTGGCCTGTGGGGCTAAGAAATCTGGATGGAGTCCTCAGGACATGGGCTGACACCAGGTCATACCAGGAAAAGCAGCACCCATCAGGTGCTTTGGAGAGTATCTCCAATTAGAAAACAATAGGAAGAGAAGAATAGGAGGCTGGAAGATAAATAAAGGTGACTATAACAGCACAGGTGAGAAATGATCAGGCTCTGATCCAATCCAGTAGCAATGTGAACCATGGTGACGGTAGAATACTCTGTCATGGATTCAGTCAACATCTGTTTCCTTTCAAAGAGCTTATAGCAGATTGGGGTATTAACATATCCACAAACACAACTAATTTATAACACAGAAAGTGGTGAATGCCTATGAAAGCTATAGCTAAAGTGCTACAGAGGATTAGAAAGTACATTAGAATACTATAATTGGAGAGATCAGGAAAGGTTTCAAAGAGAAGGTCACTGTTCTCACATAACTATGAAGAACTACATGAGACTGGGTAATTTGTAAAGAAAAGAGGTTGAATTGACTCATAATTCCACAGGCTGTACAAGAAGCATGGCTGGGAGGCTTCAGGAGACTTACAATCATGGCAGAAAGAGAAGGGGAAGCAAGCACGTTTTACCATGGCAGCAGGAGAGAAAGAGAGAGCCAAGGGAGAAGTGCCACACACTTTTAAACCATCAGATCTCAGGAGAATTCACTCACTTTCACAAGAACAGCAAGGGGGAAATCTGCCCCCATGATCCAGTCACCTCCCACCAGGTCCCTCCCCAACATTGGGAGTTACAATTCAATATGAGATTTGGGTGGGGACACAGAGTCAAACCATATCAATCACCTTTGAGATGAGTTAAGAGAGCAATAGGATGAATGCTGAGATGGGTTGGGCGTTCAAAACTGGAGGGATGGATAAGCAAAGATCTGGGAGTAAGAATGTGAAGGGACAATACTGGAAGGTATTAGGTTCAGCCCTACCAGGAAATTACATGGAAAAGAAACGCTGGGGCCAATTAAGGAGAACTTTGCATGCTATGGAATCTGGGCTCAATTTTAAAAGTAATGTGGAGCTACTGAGGTTGTATGGGCAGGGGAGTGATGAGATCAGGACAGTGCTTGAAGGTTGGTCTTGCAACAAATTAACATTGAAGAAACTGATGAATAGGGGCCTCCCTAAAATCTGGGCACTTTATGTGGGTGGACAGCCCAAGAATGCAGGGGCTGGGAAGTGTGAGCAAATTTGAGAGGGGCAACATGACCCATTAAAGACTGGATAAAGGAAGCATGGGAGAGGAAGGTACCAACATTAAATAAACTTGAAAGACTGATAAGAAAGATAACAGCATCATTATGAGAAGGTGAAAATCACAGAGGAAGAGCAATCTGAGCAGGGACAGTGGGTGAGGAGCTTGCTACATGTGTTTGGGGTGCCTGTGATACGTTTTACGGGAGATATTCAGAAGGGTAGTTGAGAACGCAGGAGAAAAGTTAGTGCTAGGCCTGAGACTGGAAAGCAATCATCAAAGTCACTCACTACAGTCATGCAGGAGTCAGGATGAACTATCCACACAGTCTATGCATAATACCACACCTGGTGTTTAAGGACTTATAAAGGTCATAAAAAGCTGTTTGTTTGTCCTCAAATATAAGGGGAGCAGAAGGTACACACCCAGAACATTATTATGAGCAGGTATAAACAAATATACAAAAGATAAAATATGTATTAACTGCATCAGTAAGTAAGAAGCAGCCTATTGGGGTTGTTTGGAGTCTGTTTCCCCATGGAATCACCACATTAATAACAATATTACTACAGGCTAATTCTCTTGGAGTTATATTTGTCTTTTTCTGAAATTTGACAAAGTGCTGAATCTGGCAGTGCTTGTCCAAGTAAAACCAACTCCATACAGCTTTGCACCAGCTCTGTCACTAAGCCCCCAAAATGATTTAGAGATAAAATACCCTTGGAAATCTGTGCACTACGACTTCTGATAAAGTGTCATACTTTGGAAAATGGACGACAGCATATCAGCACTTTCTTTGCTAAGATGTTTTAACATGTCATCAGGGGAAGGTGTATTAAGCGGAACCATGATGCTATCACTTTCAAAAAACTCCTCTCTGTTCCCTGAATCTTTCATGGCATGGACTCAATGATATGATGGAAAACTGCATTTCTGAGCCCTCATCTTCCAAAAAGAAATGTCCTGGAGGTTCTAGCCAGGACAATTAGGCAATAAAAAGAAATAAAAGGCATCCAGAGAAAAAGGGAAGAATTAAAATGATCTCTATCTGCAGAATTTGTGGTCCAGCATATAGAAAATCCTAAGAAATACATTTTTGAAATATTAGAGCTAATAAATAAGCTCAGCAAAGACACAGGATACAAGATCAATGTAAGAATCAATTGTAGTTTTATACACTACTGTTATTGTGTCACCCTAAAATTAAAATGTTGAAGCCCTAAGCCCTAATGTGATGCTTTTGGAGGTAAGCCTTCGAGAGGCAGTTAGGTTTAGATGAAGTCATGAGAGTGGTGCCGTCACGATGGGATTAGTTTCCTTATAAGAGGAAGAGACATGACATGATCTCTCTCTCTCTCTCTCTCTCTCTCTCTCCTCCAAGCCCACACACAAAGAAGAGGTCATGTGAACCATCTGCAAGCCAGGAAGAGGGCCCTCACTAAGAACAGAATCTTCTGGTAACTTGATCTTGGACTTCCCAGCCTCCAGAACTGTGAAAAATAAATGTCTGTTGTATAAGTCACCCAGTTAATGGCATTTTGCTATAGCAGCCTGAACTGACTAAAACAACTAGTAATCAACATTCCAAAAATGAAATTAAGAAAACAATTCCATTTAGAACAGCATCAAAGAGGAATAAAATACTTGGGAATAAACTTAACACAAAAGAAGTACAAAACTTGTACAATGAAAACTACAAACAATTGTTGGAAGAAATTAAAGAAGACTGTGCATGAGCACAATTGCTCATGCCTGTAATCCCAATACTTTGGGAGGCTAAGGCAGGCAGATGGCTTGAGCTCAGAACTTCAAGACCAGCCTGGGCAACATGGAAAAAACCCATCTCTACAAAAAATACAAAAATTAGCTGGGTGTGGTGGTGTGCCCCTGTAGTCCCAGCTACTTGGGAGGCTAAAGTGGGAGGATGGTTTAATCCAGGAGGTGAAGGTTGCAGTGAATCAAGATCATGCCACTGCACTCAAGCCTGAGTGACAGAGCCTGACCCTGTCTCAAAACAAATACAAAAACAAAGGAAATTAAAGAAGATATAAATGAATGGAAAAACATCCCACATTCATGAATCTGGAGACTTAATATTGTTAAGATGGTAACACTCCCCAACCTGATCTACATATTCAATACAATCTCTATTAAAATTTCACCTGGATTTTTTTTTTTTTTTTTTTGGCAGAAATTGACAAGCTAATGTTAAAATCCATATGGGAATGTAAGAAAACCAGAATAGCCAAAACAAGGTTTTTTCAAAACCTTGAAAAAGAAGGACAAAGTTGGGAGACTCACGCTCCCTGATTTTAAAACTTACTACAAAGCTATTGTAATCAAAACAGTGTGGTACTGGCATAAGGATAGACATTTAGGATAATGGAATTGAGAGTCCAGAAATAAGCCCTCAAATTTATAGTCAACTGATTTTATTACAAAGGTGCCAAGCTAATTCAATGGGAAAAGATTGTTCCATTGAATTGTACTGGGGCAACTGGATATTCACATGCAAAAGAATGAAACTGGATCCCTACCTCATAAAATATACAAAAATTAACTCAAAATAGATCATTTATCTAAACTGAAGAGCTAAAACTATAAAACTCTTAGAAGTAACATAGGCATAAATCTTTTTGACCTTTGGTTAGGCAGTGGATTATGAGATATGACACCAAAAGGGAAGCAACAAAAGAAAAAACCGATAAGTTGGACTACATCAAAATTAAAAACTTTTATACTTTAAGGAACACTTGTCAAAAAAGTAAAAAGACAACACATAGAATGGGAGAAAATGTTTGTAAATCATGTATTTAATAAGGGACTTCTATTCAGAATGAAGAACGCTTACAACTCAGTAAGAAAAGAATAAGAATGCAATTTTAAAATGAAAAAAATTTGATTAGGCATTTCTACAAAGAAGATACACAAATGGCTGACAAGCACTTGTTATCCATGACAAGCCTCATTATCCATCCAGGAAACACAAATCAAAACCACAAAGCGATACCAGCAACACACAATGGGATTACTGTCACCAAAAAGATAGACAATAACAAGCACTGGTGAGGATGTGGAGAAACTGTAACCCTCATACATGGGTGAGACTATAAAATCATGTGGCCACTTTGAAAAATAGTTTGACATTTCCTCACCTAGTTAAGCATAATTACTAAATGGCCCAGCAGTTCCACTCCTAGGCATATACCCAAGAGAACTGAAGACAAATGTCTACACAAAAACCTGTTCATGAATTTTCACTGCAGCATTATTCATAATAGCCAAAAAGTGGAAACAACACAATACCCATACTGATGTATGGATAAACAAAACATGACTGTTGGATCACATTGAAATATGATTTGGCAATTAAAAGTAAATGAATTACTGATACAGGTTACAAAGTAGATAAGCCTTAAGAACATTATGCTAAGTGAAAAAATCCAGTCACGAATGGCCACATATTACATGATTCCATTTATATGAAATGTCCAGAATGGTCAAATTCATAGAGACATAAACCGGATTAGTTGTCACCTAGGACTGGGAGGTCATGGAAATAGGAGCATGATGGCTTAATGGGTCCAGTGTTTCTTTTATGGGGGACATAAAATTTTGTGATCCACACCCAAGTTGGCTGGCAGCTGTTTGTGTTGAAACAAGCCCAGAGGCAATGAAGAGACAACTCATCTATATTGCTTCCGTCACTCAGTGATGGAAATTCACATAATAATGGAATGCCACAATGAGAACAGGTCTGACATGGAAGACAAACTATTGATATAAACCCTCTTCTCCAGTGTGGCTATACAAGGGAATTTGTTCAACTGGTAATCACCTACGCCCACAGTCAGGCTGTGGGTATATAATGACAAGCAGAAATAGTTGCTATGGTTAAGAAAACATGGTCACTAGGATCAGAACTTGAAAAGGCTTAGTTGGATGACAGGGCTTGTGACATTAAAGCAAAATGACAACACCTGTCCTTGAGTAGTTATTGTACATTACCTAAAATGTATCCTGGGGATGAATGTGGGGCTTAGGCCCTAGGAGAATGGCTCTGGTCCTTCGGTAAAACAGTAGAGAGAGCTGGGGGAATCTGGCTGTGAAGGCAGTAAGTGGTCTGGCTCCAGAGGAGGGTCTGAGAACTGAGCATGGACCCTTCCTTCCCTCCTTGCTCCCCTCTCCTCTAAATCTCACCACTCCTCTTCGTTCTTTCTAGAGCATCCTCCCAGGGAAAGATCAGGTTGAGATAAGCAATCATCTAGGGCACAAAATTTAAGGGGACCGGACATGCATTCTTGGGTCTCTGCACAAACCCCGTGCACCTAGGAGAGCATATGCTGCCCTTGTTCAACAGACATATCTGGAAAGGAGACCTACGTGGGCTCTAGAAGCTGCTCGATGCTGTGGGTTGGGGTGTTGGGGTTCTGGGGTACCCAAAGATAGAGGGATGCAGGCATGGTGGGCATATCCCCTTAGCCCCCTAAAATTGTCACCTCAGTAGGTAGGACACAGCAGGAGCAGGCCTAAGTGTGCCCTTGAGCTTAGACTTCTGATGACTAAATTGGCTTGGCAGAAATACATGTGACTAAGAAATGCAAAAAGAGATGCTCTGCATTATAAGTAATTTGGGAAATTGGAATTCAAACAACAACAATAACTTAGCTTAGATGGGTTTAAACAGGGGAGGGATGTGGTCAGAATGCTTTAGAAATGAAAGAATCTAGTCCTTAAAGTAGCACCCAACTTCCTGGGGAAATGATTCAGATTTTAGATTTTCTAAAATACTGAAATGACAAAATCACACCAACAAGATTGCCTCTCTTGGTACGTTAAAATAGCACAGAATATCAGAGTACTGAAAACCCAGCATCGCCATCTCTAGGTAATGAGGGGGAGGCGCCCTGAGAGCAGGAAATGACATCTTCATCTCTGGGGAGGCCACAGAGCACAGCAGAGCAGCTGGCTCATTGTTGTCTTCTGAATGAACAAAATCAGAATACCAGTTCACACACAGAATCGTAAAGCTCCCACACAGGAGTGTAGAGGGTCCACATATAGAAACATTTGCTGTATAATTGAAGATTATCTGTGTCAGGGAGGCAGTGTGAAAAGAATAAGGGCCATACTGCCTCTTACAACTGGTGACTTCAACACATATGCTCTCTCCTGAAGGCTTAATAAAATGATAGGATAGTAGTTTGTTTGTTTAAAGGCAAGTCCTATAAACTGAAAAGGATAAAATGAATTGGAACTATTGTGGAGGAGTAACAAGAAAATTTGAGAAAATGGAAAAGAGATGCAGATGAGTGAGTACATAGCACTTAACAGGAGAGAAAGCTGAAACCTTGTATCTCTTGGGGAGAAACCCAAAAGAAGTCAGTGGGTTCATACCTGGGAACATTTCAAGGCTCCTTCTGGGTTAAAGGCCCACCATTTAGAAAGGTGGTGGTGTTCCTCAAGGCAGTGGGGTTGGCTCAGGGAAAGACTGCATGAGTAACAGCTGAGTTTCCACCCTTCACAATCATTCCACCTTGTCAGGATTCTGTAATTTGCTCCCTCAGCCAGAAGACATACAGGCACCAAGTATAGTTTAAGGAGGAAGGTGCATTTTGAAACCAGGTATGGGCCAGGCACGGTAGCTCTCACGTGTAATCCCAGCACTTTCGGAGGCTGAGGCAGGTGGATTGCTTGAGGCCAGGAGCTCGAGACGAGCCGAGGCAACATGGCGAAACCCTGTCTCTACTAAAAATACAAAAATTAGCCGGGTGTGCTGGCGTGCACCAGTACTCAGGAGGCTGTGGTGGGAGGATTGCTTGAGCCCAGAAGGCAGAGGTTGCAGTGAACTGAGATCCTGCAACTGCATTCCAGCCTGGGTGACACAGCAAGATCATGTCTCAGAAAAAGAAAAGGAAAAAAAGAAAGAAAACAGATATGTTAAGTAAAAGTCCATGTACTGAATCCTGAGCCCTCCAGCCCCATTCCCCTGCTGAGAATATGGCAGCCAGAGTTGAAATCAGAACATTCCTCAAAAACAGACCTGCTCAGGAGAAAAAGCCTAACTAATAATTACAGGCATTTGAAGTCTCATAATAGGCCACCATCTAATCACCCACCCATAGCACAGAACTTCCTATCCTCTTTTATAGTGCCTTGCTTCTAAGAAAGAAGGAACAGTCAAAGTTAGCAGGCAGTTAAAGACATTCTCCAAAATAAAACAGAAAGGAAGATACGAAGAAAATGAAGCTATTTGAGGGAAGCAGTGACACTGTAGAAAACAGAAGAAGAATGTTATAAAACTTATAATTATTATCTCCAAGAATCAGAGAAAAATCTTGGAAACAAGAACAGAGTCCCATAAAAAAGGAAGAATTGGAGAACAAAGAGAACATTTTAAAAGTTCAAAAGACAGGTGAGGAAAATTGAAGAAATTCCTTCAACAGAATAAAAAGAGAAAAATGCAGAAATTGAAATAAAATAATAAGAAAATTAAAGAACTATCCAGGCAGTGTAATAGCGATCTGATGGGAGTTTAGAAAGCAAGAACACAGAAAACAGAATGAGAGACCTTTTTAAAGGTGTCTTTTTTTTTTTTAAACTTTAAGTTTTAGGGTACATATGCATAATGTGCAGGGTTTTTACATATTTATATATGTGCCATGTTGGTGTGCTGCACCCATTAACTCGTCATTTAGCATTAGGTATATCTCCTAATGCTATCCCTCCCTCCTCCCCCCACCCCACAACAGTCCCCGGAGTGTGATGTTCCCCTTCCTGTGTCCATGTGTTCGCATTGTTCAATTCCCACCTATGAGTGAGAACATGCGGTGTTTGGTTTTTTGTCCTTGTGATAGTTTACTGAGAATGATGATTTCCAATTTCATCCATGTCCCTACAAAGGACATGAACTCAACATTTTTTATGGCTGCATAGTATTCCATGGAGTATATGTGCCACATTTTCTTAATCCAGTCTATCGTTGTTGGACATTTGGGTTGGTTCCAAGTCTTTGCTATTGTGAATAGTGCCGCAATAAACATACATGTGCATGTGTCTTTATAGCAGCATGATTTATAATCCTTTGGGTATATACCCAGTAATGGGATGGCTGGGTCAAATGGTATTTCTAGTTCTAGATCCCTGAGGAATCGCCACACTGACTTCCACAATGGTTGAACTAGTTTAGAGTCCCACCAACAGTATAAAAGTGTTCCTATTTCTCCACATCCTCTCCAGCACCTGTTGTTTCCTGACTTTTTAATGATTGCCATTCTAACTGGTGTGAGATGGTATCTCATTGTGGTTTTGATTTGCATTTCTCTGATGGCCAGTGATGATGAGCATTTTTTTATGTGTCTTTTGGCTGCATTAATGTCTTTTTTTGAGAAGTGTCTGTTCATATCCTTTGCCCATTTTTGATGGGGTTGTTTGTTTTTTTCTTGTAAATTTGTTGGAGTTCATTGTAGATTCTGGATATTAGCCCTTTGTCAGATGAGTAGGTTGAGAAAATTTTCTCCCATTCTGTAGGTTGCCTGTTCACTCTGATGGTAGTTTCTTTTGCTGTGCAGAAGCTCTTTAATTAGATCCCATTTGTCAATTTTGGCTTTTGTTGCCATTGCTTTTGGTGTTTTAGACATGAAGTCCTTGCCCATGCCTATGTCCTGAATGGTACTGCCTAGGTTTTCTTCTAGGGTTTTTATGGTTTTAGGTCTAACATTTAAGTCTTTAATCCATGTTGAATTAATTTTTGTATAAGGTGTAAGGAAGGGATCCAGTTTCAGCTTTCTACATATGGCGAGCCAGTTTTCCCAGCACCATTTGTTAAACAGGAAATCCTTTCCCCATTGCTTGTTTTTGTCAGGTTTGTCAAAGATCAGATGGTTGTAGATATGCGGCATTATTTCTGAGGGCTCTGTTCTGTTCCATTGATCTATATCTCTGTTTTGGTACCAGTACCATGCTGTTTTGGTTACTGTAGCCTTGTAGTATAGTTTGAAGTCAGGTAGCATGATGCCTCCAGCTTTGTTCTTTTGGCTTAGGATTGACTTGGTGATGCGGGCTCTTTTTTGGTTCCATATGAACTTTAAAGTAGTTTTATCCAATTCTTTGAAGAAAGTCATTGGTAGCTTGATGGGGATGGCATTGAATCTATAAATTACCTTGGGCAGTATGGCCATTTTCACGACCTTGGGCAGTATGGCCATTTTCACGACACTGATTCTTCCTACTCATGAACATGGAATGTTCTTCCATTTGTTTGTATTCTCTTTTATTTCATTGAGCAGTGGTTTGTGGTTCTCCTTGAAGATGTCCTTCACATCCCTTGTAAGTTGGATTCCTAGGTATTTTATTCTCTTTGAAGCAATTGTGAATGGGAGTTCACTCATGATTTGGCTCTCTGTTTGTCTGTTATTGGTGTATAAGAATGCTTGTGATTTTTGTACATTGATTTTGTATCCTGAGACTTTGCTGAAGTTGCTTATCAGCTTAAGGAGATTTTGGGCTGAAATGATGGGGTTTTCTAGGTATACAATCATGTCATCTGCAAACAGGGACAATTTGACTTCCTCTTTTCCAAATTGCATACCCTTTATTTCCTTCTCCTGCCTGATTGCCCTGGCCAGAACTTCCAACACTATATTGAATAGGAGTGGTGAGAGAGGGCATCCCTGTCTTGTGCCAGTTTTCAAAGGGAATGCTTCCAGTTTTTGCCCATTCAGTATGATATTGGCTGTGGGTTTGTCATAGATAGCTCTTATTATTTTGAGATATGTCCGATCACAACCTAGTTTATTGAGAGTTTTTAGCATGAAGGGTTGTTGAATTTTGTCTAAGGCCTTTTCTGCATCTATTGAGATAATCATGTGGTTTTTGTCTTTGGTTCTGTTTATATGCTGGATTATGTTTATTGATTTGCATATGCTGAACCAGCCTTGCATCCCAGGGATGAAGCCCACTTGATCATGGTGGATAAGCTTTTTGATGTGCTGCTGGATTCGGTTTGCCAGTATTTTATTGAGGATTTTTGCATCAATGTTCATCAAGGATATTCATCTAAAATTCTTTTTGGTTGTGTCTCTGCCAGGCTTTGGTATCAGGATGATGCTGGCCTCATAAAATGAGTTAGGGAGGGTTCCCTCTTTTTCTATTGATGGGAATAGTTTCAGAAGGAATGGTACCAGCTCCTCCTTGTACATCTGGTAGAATTCGGCTGTGAATCCATCTGGTCCTGGCTTTTTTTGGTTGGTAAGCTATTGATTATTGCCACAATTTCAGAGTCTGTTATTGGTCTATTCAGAGATTCAACTTCCTCCTGGTTTAGTCTTGGGAGGGTGTATGTGTTGAGGAATTTATCCATTTCTTCTAGATTTTCTAGTTTATTTGCATAGAGGTGTTTGTAGTATTCTCTGATGGTAGTTTGTATTTCTGTGGGATCAGTGGTGATATTCCCTTTATCATTTTTTTATTGCGTCTATTTGATTCTTCTCTCTTTTCTTCTTTATTAGTCTTGCTAGTGGTCTATCAATTTTGTTGATCTTTTCAAAAAATCAGCTCCTGGATTCATTAATTTTTTGAAGGGTTTTTTGTGTCTCTATTTCCTTCAGTTCTGCTCTGATTTTAGTTATTTCTTGCCTTCTGCTAGCTTTTGAATGTGTTTGTTCTTGCTTTTCTAGTTCTTTTAATTGTGATGTTAGGGTGTCAATTTTGGATCTTTCCTGCTTTCTCTTGTGGGCATTTAGTGCTATAAATTTCCCTCTACTCACTGCTTTGAATGTGTCCCAGAGATTCTGGTGTGTTGTGTCTTTGTTCTCATTGGTTTCAAAGAACATCTTTATTTCTGCCTTCATTTTGTTATGTATCCAGTAGTCACTCAGGAGCAGGTTGTTCAGTTTCCTTGTAGTTGAGCGGTTTTAAGTGAGTTTCTTAATCCTGAGTTCTAGTTTGATTGCACTATGGTCTGAGAGACAGTTTGTTATAATTTCTGTTCTTTTACATTTGCTGAGGAGTGCTTTACTTCCAACTCTGTGGTCAATTTTGGAATAATTGTGGTGTGGTGCTGAAAAAAATGTATATTCTGTTGATTTGGGGTGGAGAGTTCTGTAGATGTCTATTAGGTCTGCTTGGTGCAGAGGTGAGTTCAATTCCTGGGTATCCTTGTTAACTTTCTGTCTCATTGATCTGTCTAATGTTGACAGTGGGGTGTTAAAGTCTCCCATTATTATTGTGTGGAAGTCTAAGTCTCTTTGTAGGTCACTCAGGACTTGCTTTATGAATCTGGGTGCTCCTGTATTGGGTGCATATATATTTAGGATAGTTAGCTCTTCTTGTTGAATTGATCCCTTTACCATTATGTAATGGCCTTCTTTGTCTCTTTTCATCTTTGTTGGTTTAAAGTCTGTTTTATCAGAGACTAGGATTGCAACTCCTGCCTTTTTCTGTTTTCCATTTGCTTGGTAGATCTTCCTCCATCCTTTTTTTTTGAGCCTATGTATGTCCCTGCATGTGAGATGGGTTTCCTGAATACAGCACACTGATGGGTCTTGACTCTTTATCCAATTTGCCAGTCTGTGTCTTTTAATTGGAGCATTTAGCCCATTTACATTTAAAGTTAATACTGTTATGTGTGAATTTGGTCCTGTCATTATGATGTTAGTTGGTTATTTTGCTCATTAGTTGATGCAGTTTCTTCCTAGCCTTGATCGTCTTTACATTTTGGCATGTTTTTGCAGTGGCTGGTACCAGTTGTTCCTTTCCATGTTTAGTGCTTCCTTCAGGAGCTCTTTTAGGGCAGGCCTGGTGGTGACAAAATCTCTCAGCATTTGCTTGTCTGTAAAGGATTTTATTTCTCCTTCACTTATGAAGCTTAGTTTGGCTGGATAAAAGAAAAGAATTCTGGGTTGAAAATTCTTTTCTTTAAGAATGTTGAATATTGGTCCCCACTCTCTTCTGGCTTGTAGAGTTTCTGTCGAGAGATCTCTCTTAGTCTGATGGGCTTCCCTTTGTGGGTAACCCGACCTTTCTCTCTGGCTGCCCTTAACATTTTTTCCTTCCTTTCAACTTTGGTGAATCTGACAATTAAGTGTCTTGGAGTTGCTCGTCTTGAAGAGTATCTTTGTGGAGTTCTCTGTATTTCCTGAATCTGAATGTTGGCCTGCCTTGCTAGATTGGGGAAGTTCTCCTGGATAATATCCTGCAGAGTGTTTTCCAACTTGGTTCCATTCTCCCTGTCACTTTCAGGTACACCAATCAGACCTAGATTTGGTCTTTTCACATAGTCCCATATTTCTTGGAGGCTTTGTTCATTTCTTTTTATTCTTTTTTCTCTAAACTTCTCTTCTTGCTTCATTTCATTCATTTCGTCTTCCATCACTGATACCCTTTTTTCCAATTGATTGCATCAGCTCCTGAGGCTTCTGCATCCTTCACGTCGTTCTTGAGCCTTGGCTTTCAGCTCCATCAGGTCCTTTAAGGACTTCTCTGCATTGGTTATTCTAGTTATCCATTCGTCTAATTTTTTTTCAAAGTTTTTAACTTCTTTGCCATTGGTTTGAATTTCCTTCTGTAGCTCAGAGTAGTTTGATCGTCTGAAGCCTTCTTCTCTCAACTCATCAAAGTCATTCTCCGTGCAGCTTTGTTCCATTGCTGGGAGGAGCTGCGTTCCTTTGGAGGAGGAGAGGTGCTCTGCTTTTTAGAGTTTCCAGTTTTTCTGCTCTGTTTTTTCCCCATCTTTGTGGTTTTATCTACTTTTGGTCTTTGATGATGGTGACGTACAGATGGGTTTTTGGTGTGGATGTCCTTTCTGTTTGTTAGTTTTCCTTCTAACAGACAGGACGCTCAGCTGCAGGTCTGTTGGAGTTTGTTAGAGGTCCACTCCAGACCCTGTTTGCCTGGGCATCAGGAGCAGTGGCTGCCGAACAGCGGTGGCTGTAGAACAGCGGATATGGGTGACCTGCAAATGCTGCTGCCTGATCGTTCCTCTGGAAGTTTTGTGTCAGAGGAGTACCCGGCCGTGTGAGGTGTCAGTCTGCCCGTAATAGGGGGTGCCTCCCAGTTAGGCTGCTCAGGGGTCAGGGATCCACTTGAGGAGGCAGTCTGCCCGTTCTCAGATCTCCAGCTGCATGCTGGGAGAACCACTACTCTCTTCAAAGCTGTCACACAGGGACATTTAAGTCTGCAGAGGTTACTGCTGTCTTTTTGTTTGTCTGTGCCCTGCCCCCAGAGGTGGAGCCTACAGAGGCAGGCTGGCCTCCTTTAAAGGAGTCTTATATGAAAATTCCCAGAACTAAAGCACATAAATCTTTGGACTGAAAGAGCTCTGGAGGACCCAGCATAATGAATGGGAAATAACCCACCTCAATAACCGTAGGGATAAAATGAAGGTATGACATTCTTTGAGAAAAAGAGAATATATAAGGAATGTAGAATTAGAATGACATTAGATTTTTCAAAAAACAAACACAAAATAAAAGATAGTAATGCTTTCAAAATCAGAGTGAGAATGACTTTCAAACTAGAATTCAATACCCAGACAAATATTGATCAAGTCTAAGGGCAGAATAAGACATTTAAGACATTCAAGAATACAAAACAATTTCTCTCCCATGCCCCTTTTCTTTGGAGAACATGAAAGGATGTGCTCCAGGTAAACACAGAATCAGAAAGAAGAAGAAATAACAACTGGAACACAGTAAAGAGGTAAAGGGAAGTGTCATAATCAGAACTTGCAGTCAATTAAAAGAACAATCAATCTAGCTCAGAGTAGGAGGATGAAGAGCTTAAAGTGAAACATATCCAAGAGAAAAAATGGAATTTATAAATACAGTTTGTCTTAAGAGGAGTTTTATAATTCTGCCTCAAAGTTTAGGAATAAACTACTAATGGGCACATAAAACAACCTTCTTGGAAAAAATTAAAACGTGTTCAAAAAGAGAATTGTGATCATGGTTAGAAATGGCTCAACTGTGAACAATATTTATATAATCATAAGTGATAAACGATTTCATCACAAATTGTTATATAACAATGTAAGGAATACAAGTGTGGGTGGGTGGGTGTGGGTGCTGTAGGCAGGGATATAAAATTGTTTCCATTAGAAAGTAAGAGTACTACACTTTGTGGTAGTATGAATCAGGGATGAGGCAGGGGACTGCTCTTTTTCATTTTATATCTTGTAGTACAGTTGTCCCCTTTATCCATGGAGGGTATATTCCAAGACCTTCAGTGGACACCCAAAACCATGGATAGTACCAAGCCCTATATATACTGGCATACCTCAGAGACATTATGAATTTGGTTCCAGGCCACTGTAATGAAGTAAAAATTTCAATAAAATGAGTCACACAAATTTTGGTTTCCTAGTACATACAAAAGTTAGGTTTATACTCTATTGTAGTCTATTAAGTGTGCAATAGCATTATATCTAAAAAAACACTGTACGTACCTTACTTGAAAAATATTTTATTTTTTAAAAATGCTAATGATCATCTGAGCATACAGCAAGTTATAATCTTTTTGCTCACAGAGGATCTTTCCTTATGTTGATGGCTGCTCAGGATGGTGGTTGCTAAAGGTTGAGGTGATTGTGAGCAATTTCTTAAGGCAGCAATGAAGTTTGCCGCATTGATTGACTCTTCCTTTCATAAAAGACTTCGTGTCATGTGATGCTGTTTGATAGCATTTTACCTACAGTAGAATTTGAGTTAATCCTCTCAAATCCTGCCACTATTTTATCAACTAAACTTATATAATACTCTAAATCTTTTGTTGTCATTTCAAAAATGTTCACAGCATCTCCACAGGAGTAGTTTCCATCTCAAGAAATCACTTTCTTTGCTCATCCATAAGAAGGAACTCCTCATTTTTTCAAGTTTTATAATGAGATTGCAGCAATTCAGTTACATCTTCAGGCTCCACTTCTAATTCCAGTTCTCTTATACTCCTACCACATCTGTAATTACTTCCTCCACCAAAGTCCTGAACCTTCAAAGTCATCCATGAGAGTTGGAATCAACTTATGCCTAACACCTGTTAATAATTTGACTTCCTCTCAGGAATTACAAATGTTCTTCATGGTATCTAGAATGGTGAATCCTTCCCAGAAGGCTTTCAATTTACTTTGCCCAGATCAATCAGAGAAGTCACTATCTATGACAGCTATAGCCTTAAAAAATGCATTTTGTAAATAATAAGACTTGGAAGTCAAAATTACTCCTTGATCCATGGGCTTCAGAACAATGTTTTGTTAGCAACCATTTAAAAAAAAACACATTAATCTCCTTGTACATCTCCATCAGAGCGCTTAGGTGACCAGGTGCATTGTCAATGAGTAGTAATATTTTGAAAGGAATCTTTTTTGCTAAGCAGTAGGTCTCCACAGTAGGCTTAAAATATTCAGTAAATCATTCTGTCTACAGATGGGCTGTCATCCAGGCTTTGTTGTTCCATTTATAGAGCACAGGTAGAGTAGATTTTGTGCAATTCTTAAGGGCCCTAGGGTTTTAGAATGGTAAATTGGCATTAGTTCCAACTTAATGTCTCCAGCTGCATTAACCCCTAACAAGAGAGTCAGCCTGTCCTTTGAAGCACTGAACCCAGGCATTGACTTCTCTCTTGCTATGAAAGTCCTGGATGTTGTCTTCTTCCAATAGAAGGCTGTTTCATCTATATTGAAAATCTGTGGTTTGGTGTAGCCACTTTCATCAATCATCTTAGCTAGATATTTTGGATAACTTGCTGCAGCTTCTCCATCAGCACCTGCTGTTTCACCTTGCACTGTTATGTTACAGAGATGGCTTCTTTCCATAATCCTCATGAACCAACCTCTTCTCACTTCCAGCTTTTATTGTGCAGCTTCCTTACCTCTCAGCTTTCATAGAATCGAAGAGAGTTAGGGCCTGGCTCTGGATTCAATTTTGGCCAAGGCAATGTTACAGCTGTTTGATCTTCTATCCAGACCACTAAAACTTTCTCCATATCAGCAATAAGTCTATTTCACTTTCTTATCATTTGTGTATTCACTAGAGTAGCACTTCCAATTTCTTTGAAGAACTTTTCTTTTGCATTTACAACTTGGCTATTTGGTGCAAGAGGCCTAGCTTTTGGCTGTCTCAGCTTTTTACATGCCTTCCTCACTAAGCTTAATCATTTCTAGCTTTTGATTTAAAGTGAGAGATGTGTGACTCCTCTTTTCACTTGAACATTTTGAGACCATTGTAGGATTATTAATTGGCCTAATTTCAATACTACTGTGTTTCAGGTAATAGGGAGGCTTTAAGGAGAGGGAGATAGATGAGGATTGGCCAGTGGATGGAGCAGTCAGAACATATATACACAATGTTTATTGACTGTCTTCTTACATGGGCATGTTTGTGGTGCCCCCAAATAATTACATTAGGAAGATAATAGATCTCTGACCACAGATCATCATAATGGATATAATAATAGTGAAAAGGTTTGAAATATTGGGAGAATTATCAAAACTTTCCAGAGACATGAAGTGAGCATATGCTGTTGGAAAAATGAACCCAATAGACTTGCTCAATGTAGTGTTACCACAAACCTTCAATTTGTTAAAAAAAAAAAAAAGGCAATATATATAAATTGCAATAAAGTGAAGCAGCATAGAATGAGGTATGCTTGTATTATGTTTTTTCATCTGATGACTGAAACAGCTACTAAGTGACTAGTAGGCAGAGAGCATATACAGCATGAATACACTGGATGAAGGGATGATTCATGGCCCAGGTAGGATGGAGCTGGACAGTATGAGATTACATCATGCTACTCAGAATGGTGTGCAATTTAAAGTCGTTTCTTTCTGGAATTTTCCATTATTTTTGGACTGCAGTTGACTATGGGTAACTGAAACCAAGAAAGTGAGACCATGGAGAAGGGGAATTGCTGTACAGAATTTTTAAAAATATTATGTACCAGTGTTACTTTGATTAAAAATAAAAAAGTAAGCAGTTGAGGGAGCTTTAACTAGTCAATTGACATTTTGCCATCTCCTCTTCCTTATCTATAAAATAGGAATGCTATCTTATGGTATTTTTGTAATTGCCAAATAAGCCAGTATGTAAAAGCACTTTATAAATGATAAAGCTAAATCCAAGAGACATAAAAATGTAAACAGGAGAACCATGTTGCTGTTTTAGTTATACTGAAAACACAGATAGGCACTACTGAGTCCTAACCCAACACAAGTCATATGTAACACACACATACACACACCACATTCACAGCTGAAAACTAGGATGTTTTGGTTCATTAAGAATTGTGGGTAAATAGCAGTAAGAATATTAACCATTTATGAATTACAGATTTTGAAGGAATTAGAAGTACCTACCACTGAAGCCATCCTGAGCATGATCTAGTCTCTTTTTAGAGTTTCAGTAGACACATCCAGGTCTCACCATCTCGCTCAGATCTCACTGTCTCACAGAGTTGTTATTAGGAACAACAATGTGCCAAACATACCACGTTGGGCACTGGAGCCAGTTTATACACAGCTGAAAAACCCAGTTGACATCACATTTGATACCAGGACCATCATCTAAAAAGGTCATTGATAATGTGGAAGATTCAGGGAGAAAAAAAAACACTTAAAGCAATGTACAGGCCAAAATAGCAGTGTAGAAGCAAGCTGCCTTCACTCCACCTGAGAGAACAAAAAATACAAAGCCAGCAATATCTTAGAACTCACATATGAGGAGGATATATTTCCTAGGGGCACAGAGAAATTTAAAAAACTGTGAGGAGGTGGTAAGATAACTGAACTTCCATATCCTTGATTCTGCTGTCTCCAATCTACCCGGCACCAAGTGCATGGAAAATTTCTGCCTGACTCAGGGTTTCTACACTGGAAAGAGTAAAATCAAGGTGGATAACTAGCCTCCCCACCTTCTTGGGTTCCCTGGCAGGAGACCTGTCCTTCCCTCAATCCATGGGAAGCATCATGAGCGCCTGAAAAGATAAATATCACTGAGGACAGCCAGAAACAAAGCAGGGAGGCAAGACTTCCATCCACCACCATGGAAACTCTGCTCTGTAACTCAGCCAAAGCTGATGTTAAATCAGAGTGTTCAGCAGCATCACTCTGTAGGAGGTACATTCCACAGGTCCTCTGGGCACAAACACCTAGTGAGCCTTCCCATACTACTAAGAATCCCATTTGGGACCTCACCCATTCAGATGGGCAGCACTCTGGTTTTTACTAGAATTGAGAAAAGCTTGGGCTCAAGGCACCCTCTAGTGCCAAAAAGGAGGCAGTGTTTTAGTGTGAGGAAAAATAAAATAAATAGTAAGTTACAAAGACTCTTTAAGCAAACACACCTAATTAAAAAAAAAAAAAAAAAAAAAAAAACAGAACAAGCCAGACAGAGAAGACTGGAATTAATAACTAATCCTTCAGTGCAAAGAAACAGACATACATCACATGAAACAACAGCAAACAGGAAACCATGGCCTCCTGAAATTGACAAAGCAAGGAGTCTGCAACTGACCCTAATGAGATGGCAATATACAAACCGTCTGACCAAGAATTCAAAATGGCAGTTTTAAAGACACTCAGTGATCTCTAAGATAATAGAGAAGCAATTCAGAAGTTTATCAGATAAATTGAACACAGAGATTAAAATAATAAAGAATCAATCAAATCATGGAACTGAGCAATACATCTGCAGAACTGAAAGACTCATTAAAAGCTCTCAACAACAGAATGAATCAAGCAGAGGAAAGAATGAATGAGCCCAAAGACAGGCGGTGTGAAAATACACAGTTAGAGGGAAAAAAAAGAAAATAATGAAAAGAAATAAAGGTCACCTACAAGATACAAAATTACCACAAAAGACAGAATCTAAGAATTATTGGTGTTCAAGAGGAAGTTGTGCAAGAGGAAGGGGTACAAAGCTTATTTAAAAAAATAACAGAAAACTCCAAAACTTGAGAAAGAGATAAATATCAGAACAGGAAGATCAGTGAACACCAAACAGATTCAACCCAAGTAAGACGACCCCAAGGCATAAAATAATCAAACTTTCAAAAGCAAAGGACAAGTGTGTCCGGAATTGGTGGGTTCTTGGTTCCACTGACTTCAAGAATGAAGCCGCGGACCCTCGTGGTGAGTGTTACAGCTCTTAAGGTGGTGCACCTGGAGTCTGTCCCTTCTGATGTTCAGATGTGTTCGGAGTTTCTTCCTTCTGGTGGGTTTGTGGTCTCGCTGGCTCAGGAGTGAAGCTGCAGACCTTCGCGGTGAGTGTTACAGCTCTTAAGGCAGCGCGTCTGGAGTTGTTCATTTCTCCCGGTGGGCTCGTGGTCTCGCTGGGCTCAGGACTGAAGCTGCAGATCTTCGTGGTGAGTGTTACAGCTCATAAAAGCAGCGTGGACCCAAAGAGTGAGCAGTAGCAAGATTTATTGCAAAGACTGAAAGAACAAAGCTTCCACAATGTGGAAGGGGACCGGAGCAGGTTGCCACTGGCAGCCTGTTTTTATTCTTATCTGGCCCCGCCCACATCCTGCTGATTGGTAGAGCCGAGCAGCCTGTTTTCTCAGGGCGCTGATTGGTGCGTTTACAATCCCTGAGCTAGATACAAAGGTTCTCCACGTCCCCACCAGAGCAGCTAGATACAGAGTGTCGATTGGTGCACTCACAAACCTTGAGCTAAACACAGGGTGCTGATTGGTGTATTTACAATCCCTGAGCTAGACATAAAGGTTCTCCACGTCCCCACCAGAGCAGCTAGATACAGAGTGTCAAATGGTGCATTCATAAACCTTGAGCTAAACACAGGGTGCTGATTGCTGTGTTTACAATCCCTGAGCTAGATATAAAGACTCTCCACGTCCCTACCAGACTCAGGAGCCCAGCTGGCTTCACCTAGTGGATCCCACACTGGGGTTGCAGGTGGAGCTGCCTGCCTGTCCCGTGCCATGCGCTCGCACTCCTCAGCCCTTGGGCGGTGGATGGGACTGGGCACCATGGAGCAGGGGGCAGCATTCGTCGGGGAGGCTCAGGCTGCACAGGAACCCATGGAGGCAAGGGAAGGCTCAGGCATGGCGGGCTGCAGTCCCGAGGCCTGCCTCGCGGGAAGGCAGCTAAGGCCTGGTGAGAAATTGAACACAGCGCGGGTGGGCTGGCACTGCTGGGGGACCCAGTACACCCTCCGCAGCCACTGGCCTGGGTGCTAAGCCCCTCACTGCCCAGGCCAGCAGGGCCGGCCGGCCGCTCCGAGTGCGGGGCCTGCCAAGCCCACGCCCACCCGGAACCCCAGCTGGCCTGCAAGCGCCTCACACAGCCCCGGTTCCTGCTCACGCCTCTCCCTCCACACCTCCCTGCAAGCTGAGGGAGCCAGCTCTGGCCTTGGCCAGCCCAGAAAGGGGCTCCCACAGTGCAGTGGTGGGCTGAAGGGCTCCTCAAGTGCCGCTGAAGTGGTAGCCCAGGCAGAGGAGGCGCCGAGAGCGAGCAAGGGCTGTGAGGACTGCCAGCACGCTGTCACGTCTCACAAGGAGAGAATCCTAAAAGCAGCAAGAGAAAAGAAGCAAATAAAATATAAAGGAGCCACATTTTTTCTGGCAACAGACTTCTCAATGGAAACCATACAGTCCAGGAGGAAGTCGAATGACATTTTCAAATTGTTGGAAAAATAAAACTCTGCCATCCAAGAATACTGTATCTATCAAAGCTATCTTTTAAATATGAAAGAAAGATAAAGTCTTTCAAACAAAAGCTGAGAGAATTCACCAGACTCATAAGAAATGCTAAAAGAAGTTCTTCAGTCAGAAATTTTAAAATGCTAACATGCAAAAAGGAAACATTTGAAGGTATAAAATCCACTGATAAAATTAAGTACATGGACAAATGCAGAATAATACTGTAGTTGTGGTGTAAATTGACTAAGTTCTCCAATTAAAAGGCACAGAGTGGCTTAATGGATAAAGAAACAAAACCCAACTATATGCTGCCTACAAAAACCTGCTTTACTTATAAAGACACACAGAGATGGAAAGTAAAGGAATGGGTAAAGAAATTCTATGCAAATGAAAACTGAAAAAGAGCAGGAGTAGCTATACTTGTATCAGATAAAATAGACTACAAATCAAAGACTGTAAAAAGAGACAAATAATTAATTACATAATGATAAAGGGGTCAATTTGGCAAGAGGATATAACAATTATATAAATATCTATCCATCCAACATTGGAACTCCCAAGCATTTAAAGCAAACATTAATCAATCTAAAGGGAGAGACAGATTGCAATACAATACTGGTAGCGTACTTCAACATCCCACTCTCAGTAATGGACAGATCATGCAGACAGAAAATCAACAAAGAAACATGGGAGTTAAACTACACATTAGACCAAATAGGCCTAACTGACATTTACAGAACATTTCACCCAACTGCTGTAGAATACACATTCTTTTCATCAGCAAATGGAACATTTTCCAGAATAAACCATGTCTTAGGCTATAAAACAACTCTCAACAAAAGAGTAAAAATCATATAAAGCATCTTTTCTGACCATGATGGAATAAAACTAGGAACTGATAACAGGAAGAACCTCACAAAATCCACAAATATTTGGATATTAAACAATACGCTCCTGAATGACCAATGGGTCAATGAAGAAATTAAGAAGGAAATTTAAAAATTTCTTAAAACAAATGAAAATGGAAATACAACATACCAAAATCTATGTGATACAGCAAAAGCAGTACTAAGAAGCACATCTATAGCAATAAATGACTATATTAAAAAACTAGAAAGACTTCGCATAAACAACCTAGTGATGCACCTCAAAGCAACAGAAAAGCCAAACCCAAAATTAGTAGAAAGAAAGAAATAATGGAGATCAGAATATAAATAAATAAATTTTATTTATAAAAATAAATACAATTTATTTATAAAAAATACAGGTCAGCATAATGAAAAGTTGATTTGTTTGAAAGATAAAATTGGCAAACCTTTAGCAAGATTAAGAAAAAAAGAGAGAGAGAAGATGCAAATAAATAAAATCTGAAACAAAAAAGGAGACGTAACAACTGACATCCCGGAAATGCAAAGAATCATTAGAGACTATTACAAACAGCTACACTCCAACAAATTGGAAAACCTAGAAAAAAAGGATACATTCCTGGACACATCCAACCTACCAAGAATGAAATACGAAGAAATAGAAAACCCTAACGCAATGTATAGCATCTTAACATGCATTTCCCAGAACCCTCTACCAATCCTTCTTTACAGGAAAAATCTATTACCAAAAATACTTGGGGCCAGGCACTGTGGCTCACGCCTGTAATCCCAGCACTTTGGGAGGCCAAGGCAGGCAGATCACTTGAGGTCAGGAGTTGGAAACCAGCCTGGCCAACATAATGAACCCCATCTCAGCTAAAAATACAAAAATTAGCCGGGCATGGTGGCAGACACCTGTAATCCCAGCTACTCGGGAGGCTGAGGCAGGAGAATTGCTTGAACCTGGGAGGCGGAGGTTGCAGTGAGCTGAGATCATGCCACTGCACTCCAGCCTGGGTGACAGAGCAAGACTCCGTCTCAGGAAAAAAAAAAAAAAAAAAAAAAAATATATATATATATATATATTTGGGAGATGCTCAGAGGAACATGGCAGCAGTGGAGCCAGCAGTCCTGGCACTCACTAACAGTGGTGGTGTGGGTATGGGGGCACCGTGGGGCATAGGACATTTGAAGGATTGGTATGCTACTCACCATCAGGTGAAGGACTGTAAGCCCACACAAAGTCTTATCTCTACTAGAATGAAAATGTTAGGTCAAAAACGGCTCCTTTTTTGTGCCTCCTTAGTGAAACTTCTCCAGCTAGACCATTTGGATACGGGCATTTAGTTACAAATGTCAAAGGCTTTAGGTGCTGCTTATCTTCCTTTTTTGTTAATGTGCTTTTATGTATTTTAAAAAATTACAATGAAGGTGCCTATTTTGTCTGTACTGTGTACTCTGATCATAAAGTACCAACAGTGATTTGCTTTTTACATTACTGTAAAATGTTATAACGTTAATAGTGCTTTTACTTTACAGTTTGATTGAAATAAATTATATATGAGTTTATGAACAGGACTGTGGATCATGTTACCCACTCCCCTCACAATAGTGTCCACTTATTGAGTGAGTTATATTGATCTATCCATATCAAATTATGTTGAATAATTATGTATCTTTCTTGATTATACTGATTTCTTATTCTGGTTACTATTAATTCTGTGACAATGTTCTCTTTTTTTAACTGAATCTTTTTCTGAGAAAAGCTCTTTGGGTTATTATTTGTTTTAATTTTGTAAACGGATGGGATGGAAGGATTTGCAATGCCCTATCATTGGTGGAGGGCTTTTTAACATCTTTGAAGTATGACTTTAGCTGAATTATCTTTACAACCATCTTGAATATATCTTCTAGAGTGCACAAGATTTAACAAAAAGATAAAGTCTGGATAAAATATCATTGTTTTTGTTTTTTGTTTTTGACAGAGTCTCACTCTGTCACCCAGGCTGAAGTGCAGTGGCACAATCTTGGCTCACAGCAACCTCCGCCTCCCGGGTTGAAGTGATTCTCGTGACTCAGCCTCCCAAGTAGCTTGGATTACAGGCACACACCACCATGCCCGGCTAATTTTTTTTAATCTTTAGTAGAGACGGGGTTTCACCACGTTGCCCATGCTGGTCTCGAACTCCTAAGCTCAGGCAATCTGCCCACCCCAGCCTCCCAAAGTGCTATTACAGGTGTGAGCCACCGTGCCCGGCCAAAATATAGTTTCAAATGTCCATATTCTGTTCCATATTTTCTCCATCTATGCTCCAAATATTATTAATGCAAAAGGCATCAGTAATGATTTCATAGTATTTTGTGGTCATTATTAATCTTCAATAAATTTATTTTCACTTAATGGTTATTAGAGGGTTTTGAAACTTTCTCAAATATTATTGAAATGTGGAACATTGCTGTCTTTTAAAGTAAGTAAAGAAAATGTATTGTGATTGAAAAAAAAAATTGGGAAACACTGCAGAAATGACTTCCAGAAACTCACAAAGCATGTTAGTGTATTAAGGGTACTGAAGTGTCCTGAGAAAAAAGACCAGTTTGACTTTGTTTAACACTGTATTTCTTATACATATTTGGCCATTTTATATTTAACATTTAGTTAAATCCCACATGAGGAATACATCTTGGGAAATTGTTTTAAAAGAGTTGGAAATTCATATCTACAAGGAAATATTGAGCTGTAAGTATTTAATTTTAAAGGTGAAAACCAATGAGAGAAGAAAGGGCCTTCAAATATGCAAAGAGTTGTGGGGTTTTTGTTTTGTTTTGTTTTGTTTTGTTTTGTTTTGTTTTGTTTTTTGAGATGGAGTCTCGCTTTGCTGCCCAGGCTGGAGTGCAGTAGTGTGATCCTGGCTCACTGCAACCTCTGTCTCCAGGGTTCAAGTGATTCTCCTGCCTCAGCCTCCCGAGTAACTGAGATTACTGGTGTGCACCACCACACTCAGCTAATTTTTGTATTTTTAGTGAAGACAGGGTTTTGCCATGTTGGCCAGACTGGTCTTGAACTCCTGACCTCAGGTGATCCACCCACCTCAGCCTCCCAAAGTGCTGAGATTACAGGCATGAGCCACCATGCCTGGCCAAGAGTTTTATGAATATTGGAAACTCTTGCATCATTTCAAGAGCAAACACGAAGAAATAGATCTCTAACTTAGATTAGACCAAAGGAAGAACTCTGTAAGATGCCAGGCTGCTACACAGCGAATGGGCTGCCTTAGAGGAGTTGTGGGGGAAAAAACCTCTTTTTCCAAAAAAAAAAGCCCTGAAATGTAGCTAGTTAGTAGCTAACTAGCTAATGATGAATTTTTCTCATCTACCTTAGTATAGAGTTGGTGCTGGGAGTTTCTTCTTGGCTAATTAGCCCTCTTAGCCATGGTAAGTTGGAGATAACATGTTGAATATGGGCAGACGCACAAAAAAGAATGTCGCCTGGATCCCTGAGTGACCATTTGGTGGAAAGCTGCCAGACCAGGTACATGGACATTCTACGAATAAGAAATGAACTTCTCTTGTGTTGCAGCGCTGAGATGTATGGACTTTTGTGACAGCAATTAATATTACCTTGACTATATAGCAAATATGGATAAATGGTTTTGACAAAATTGAGTGATAGGTACAAAGGTTATTGATTACATTCTCTAAAGTTTACTGTATGCTTAAAACATTTTATAATAAGTAAGAAACCAGAATGCTCCACGCCTTCAGGAACCCTGAGAAATTCACTACACACATAGTTTACAGAAGGAAGCAAATGAGAAGGAAAAAGTGTATACTAAGGGCTTCCATTGTTTTTTAATGCTCTGTTTCTTTAAAAACAAGTTGTTCTGAGCTAACCTAGCCAAACACTAAAGAAAGGCTACTTGCTCTATTAAACAAGTAAAATCATGTTCCTTAATTGGTCGGCTTTCTTCCCAGAGAGGATAATGTTTCATGAGAGGAATGGAGAGTGTGTATGATCCCAGGGAGGCCCTAGACTTGCTTGTAAGGAATGGATCCCAAGAGAAGCAGGAGTGATGTCCGTGACAAGTTCCACACTGGGAGATGCACCGGGGGAGGTAGTCTGTCTACATTGTCCTTGGAAACTTTTACTGTATTCTCTGAAGATGAGTAAATAGGGAAGGAATTTACTGTTTTTCCTTCCTTTGGCAAATAATGACATTTCAGATAATGATAGTGGAAAAGTACTGTTTCTGAAACAATTGTCTTTTAGGAAATTTTAATGTAATCTGCCCATGTGGGGGAAGTATTAACACTACCCAGGTTACTTCCACCTTGACTGATTCATCTCAAGCCTCAAGTACAAGAGCCAAGTTTTCACAGGACATAAAATAGGAATTCTTTAACTCCTTGTTACTAAGTACCTTCAAGAAGAGCTTTGCCCTACAATGCCCTGTTTATTCAGACTCAAGATCCACAAAGTTTTAAGGACAGCATAAACTCCTCAGATGGCACAAGCACCTTCTGTAGCCCAGATATAGGAGTGGCTGAGGGAAGGGAGAGGGCTCTCCCATCTAACTGCAAGGTCCAGGGCTGTGGGTTGCCAGGTGCGCACAGTTAAACAAGACAATGAAACAGGAGAGCTGTGATCTGGATCTGCCAAGAAAGAAGCACTAATCTGTATGGCAGGAATTCCTAGGTACATTCTTTCAGCCAAGAGGGAGAATCAGAGATGTCTGCATGGAGGAAGTGACATTTGAACTCGACCTTAGATTAACAATGTACCTCTTCAGGAAAGGTCAAGGTTATTGAAAATCAGTAAAGTGCTTACTGGAGGTTGGGATCAATCAAATTTTATGCTTCACTCATGGTATGCTTTGTGTTTTTAATGGAATATTTCGAACAAACACAAAGGTATACAGAAGAATATAACAAATGCTTTTGTACCCATTATCCTGCTTTGTCAGATAACAACATTGAACAGTATTTGCTTTAGGTCTGTAGATCACATAGAAGTTTCCTCCACCACCCTCCATCTCGTATTCCTCTTTCCCTCCAGAGGTAATGTAATCACTGTCTTGAGAAGGGCACTTGTTTTTCTGATTTGGAATCTGTATCCTCTACTTCTCACTCCCCTCCACGGCAGAGGTGCTCGGAGACCATTTGTCCTTTCCATACCTTAGAAGAATTCTCCACCCAGGACTCCACTGGAGTGCAGGTGGTATGAGTCACAAAGCCTACTGGCCTTGTCCCCAACTCCAGCTAGAACCCAAAAGGTGAAGAAAACAAAGAGCTAGATGTGATCTGCCTTCTGGCTCTTCCATTTGTGTAGAAGCTGATCTGGGCCGGAAATGGACACTCCAGACATTGCATCTCTGGGGAGATGGTGACCACACTAGACCAACAGTCAGATATCCTGTTTCCAGCCATAATTCCTCTAGATCCTAGCAATGTGACCACTCAGGACACTGAGTCTCATGGACACCTTTGATTTACCTATAAAATGAAGACACCACATCCCTGAGCTTCAGACCTAGCAGGGCTGAGTCTGTGTGCCTTCCCTGTTCCTCCTTGGCACCTTGAGCTGACCACTATTGGCGCATTTTACAACTATGTAATAATTACTGACTGATGCCTTTTCCACTTATCTGTGAACTTCCTGAGCGTGGAGACCACGTTCCTGACATGTAACAGGTGTTCAATAAATACTGAATGAATTAAGCTGACCAAACATAAATATATTTATGAGCTAACATATTTATATACATATGCATATACATATTTATATACATATGCATATACATATTTATATACATATGTACTTTATGACCATATGACTTTATGACCTAAAAACTTTATGACTTTATGACATACAAACAGCTACCAGGTGTAATTCTCATTTGGCAACACGAATTAGCATAAATGACATTAGTAGCCAGTACTACCCCATCTTAGCATTAATGCTTATATTGCTGCATCTGGAAATACTCCTATGATAGTGACTGAGTCCTCAGCCTCTAAAATTGAGCTATCTAGGGTCAAATCCAGGCACTGCCATTTGCTTGTCACTGCAAATTAACTGACCTCTTTGTTTCTTAGTTTCTCATCTGTAAATTAACCCAAATGAAAACAAGCTGTGTCGGGCTCAGTGGCTCACGCCTGTAATCCCAGCACTTTGGGAAGCCAAGGTGGGTGGATCACCTGAGGTCAGGAGTTCAAGACTAGCCTGACCAAAATGGAGAAACTCCGCCTCTGCTAAAAATACAAAATTAGTCGGGGGTGATGGTGCAGGCCTGTAATCCCAGCTACTTGGGAGGCTGAGGTGGGAGAATCACTTGAACCCAGGAGGCAGAAGTTGCAGTGAGCCGAGATCGCACCATTGCACTCCAGTCTGGGCAACAAGAGCAAAAGTCTGTCTCAAAAAAAAAAAAAAAGAAAAAAAAGAAAAAGAAAACAAGCTGCACCAGGGCAAGAATTTGGGTCTGTTTTATTCACTAATTTAATAACATGCTTTGAATAGGGCCAAGCCCGTAGGAGCTACTCAATATACTACATAGTGAATGGATGGATGGCTCCTAAGAGCCATCTCCTAGGGTTATAGTAGGGATTGTGTGATTTAATGTGCATTCTAGTGCTCAACATGATGCCTGGCACACAGTGGGCACAGGACGCACTTAGACAAGATTTTCATTAGTAGTTCATGGCTCTTGAGAGAACGCCATCCAATCAGTCGGTCTTGATTTTGATCTTCTAGCCCCCAGATCTCCCCCCGCTGAGGATGCCATGAGTTTGGCTTTACCCACTGTGTGATGACCATTTTCGGAGCCACCGATGGGCTTCTCCAGCCCTCCTGGCTTTGCGGGGTGTGGGTGTTTGGGTAATGTGATGAAAAAACCTACACCCCAGGCAGTGGGTGTCTGCCTCTGTACTCCTTCACCTTTCCATTCTATAAAGGTTCCTGGGCATAAAAGTATCCAGCTAAATCCACACACTGGTTAAGAAATGCTAACAGCTGTGAGGAATTACATGAGTGGAATTTTCTGACACTTGGCCTGATATGTGGGGTGGGGAGCCAATGTCAAGCATGTTCCAGATTTGGGAGAACAATGGGAAAAATGCTACTATGTGGAGAATTCCACAAACATTAGAAACGTAAGATGGTATTAAGGAAAGGCTAAGTAATTTAGCCATGTGGTTCCTCATAACCCTTTAGCCTTGCCACCTTTAAGCACCCCCTTCAAACCACTGTTTATTTAACTAACATTTGTAATTCTTCTTGATCTCAAAAGCTCATTTCATTTTTCCTGATTATGAAAGTTCACTGTAGAATTCTGGAAAATAACAGCAGAATGATTAAGAAATATGGGAACTTTACTGCCACCAGATTCATCACTGTTGGTAAATCTTTAGTACTTCATAGTTTACAAATTGCTTCAAAAAAAAAAAAAACTGATGACCATATTGCAAAGAATTGAATATGGTACCTTTTCCATCTACATTGTGTACATCTTAGCATATTATAAAAAGACTTCAAAATTTTGGCTTCTTTATCTACTGTAAAGTTAGGTATACATACAAAAAGGCCACATAGCATATATAAACATTTAAAAGAATGGCCGGGCACAGTGGCTCATGCCTGTAATCCCAGCATTTTGGGAGGCTGAGGGGGGTGGATCAGCTGAGGCCAGGAGTTCAAGACTAGCCTGGCCAACATGGGAAACCCCGTCTCTACTAAAAATACAAAAATTAGCCGGGCATGGTGGCGCGCTCCTGTAGTCCCAGCTACTCAGGAGGCTGAGGCAGGAGAATCGCTAGAACCTGGAAGGCAGAGGTTGCAGTGGGCCGAGATCATGCCACTGCACTCCAGCCTAGGTGACAGGGCAAGACTGTCTCAAAAAATAAATAAATAAATAAATAAATAAGGATAAAAACAGTAAAATGAATACCCTGAAATATGATTCTTTCTGAGGACTATATAGCATTTAAACACATGGGAGTTTCATAATTTAACCTTCCCCTGTTAAATATTTAGGATTTGGGATCTTGGTGCAAATTTCTGATAATTTCTTTTCTTTTTTTTTTTTTGAAACGGAGTTTCACTCTTGTTGCTCAGGCTGGAGTGCAATGGCACGATCTCAGCTCACTGCAACCTCCACCTCCTGGGTTCAAGCAATTCTCGTGCCTCAGCCTCCCAAGTAGCTGGGATTACAGGCATGCACCACCACTCCTGGCTACTTTTTTTCAGTAGAGACGGGGTTTGACCATAGTGATCAGGCTGGTCTTGAACTTCTGACCTCAGGGGATCCACCTGCCTCAGCCTCCCAGAGTGCTGGGATTACAGGCGTGAGCCACTGTGCCCGGCCAATAAGGTGAAATTTTGGGAATGAACTTACCTAGGCAAAGAATATATAACTATTTTTAAATTTTAACTCTTTGATATAATTGAAGATTCACATGAGGTTGTAAAAAAATAGTACAGAGAGATCTTGTATAACATTTACCCAATTTCCTCCAATGGTAACATACTACCAAGCTACATTACAACATCAAAACCAGGACATTGACATGAGTACAGTCAAGATATAGAACATTTCTGCCACCACAGAATCCTTCATGTTGCTCTACAGCCATAACCACTTCCCTCCCATCCCCATCCCCACTGAGTCCTTAACTCCTGGCAACCACTAATCTATTCTCCCTTTCTGTAATTTTGCTGTTCCAAATATATACAAATGAAATCATATAGTATGTAACCTTGTGGGATTGGCTTTATTCACTTAGCATAAGTCTCTGAAGATTCATCCAGGTTGTTGCATGTGTAAATAGTTTATTCTCATTTATTGCTGAGTGGTAACAAAGGCATAAGATACTCAAGGTGTTCCCAGTTTTTGGCTATTACAAATAAAGTGGCTATAAACATTTGTGTACAGGTTTTTGTGTGAATATAGTTTTTACTTCTCTGGGACAAATGGCCAGGAGTAGCTGGGTTGTATGGTAGTTGAACTCTTTTTTTTTTTTTGAGACAGAATCTCGCTCTGTCACCAGGCTGGAGTGCAGTGGCACAATCTTGGCTCACTGCAACCTCCGCCTCCCGGGTTGAAGTAATTCTCCTGCCTCAGCCTCCCAAATAACTGGGACTACAGGCATGCGCCACCACACTCAGCTAATTTTTATATTTTTAGTAGAGATGGGGTTTCACCATGTTGGCCAGGCTGGTTTCAAACTCCTGATCTCAAGTGATCCACCTGCCTCAGCCTCCCAAAGTGCTGGGATTACAGGTGTGAGCCACCACGCCCAGCTGCACTCTTAATATAAGAAACTGCCAACTGTCTCCCAGAGTGGCTGTACCATTTTACATTCCTGCCAGCAACATGAATGGTTTAGTTCCTCCACATTACCCCCAGCATTTGGTGTTGTCATTGTTTTTTCTTTTAATCATTCTGATAGGTATAGAGTAATACCTCATTGTGATTTTAATTTTCATTTTCCTAATAGCTAATGAATGATATTGAGGATCATTTCATGGATTTGCCATCTGTATATCTTCTTCACCGAAATGCCTCTTCATGTCTTTTGGCCATTTTCTAATTGGATCAGTTTTTTATAACTGATTTTTTTGAAATTTTAAAAATATAGATCTAGCTCTTTGTTGGATATATGGCTTGGAAATATTTTCTCCAAGTTTGTAGCTTGTCTTTCCGTCCTTTTGATATAATCTTAAAGTTGACTTTTTCTTTGTTGTTCAGATTGGATAATTTCTTTTTTTTTTTTTTTGAGATGGAGTCTTGCTCTGTCACCCGGGTTGGAGTGCAGTGGCATGATCTCGGCTCACTGCAAGCTCCGCCTCCCGGGTTCACCCCATTCTCCTGCCTCAGCCTCCCGAGTATTTGGGACTACAAGCACACACCACCACACCCAGCTAGTTTATGTATTTTTAGTAGAGATGGGGTTTCACCATGTTGGCCAGGATGGTCGATCTCTTGACTTCGTGATCCACCTGCCTCAGCCTCCCAAAGTGCTGGGATTACAGGCGTGAGCCACCGTGCCCAGCCCAGATTGGATAATTTCTAATCTGTCTTCCAGCTCACTGATTCTTTCTCTGTCTCTCTATGTTCTGTTGCTCAGCCAATCCATTGAGTATATTGTTTTGGTTATATTTTTTAATTCTAAAATTTCCATTTTGTTCCTCTCTATATGTCTTATTTCTTTGTTGAGACTATTTTTTCCTGTTTCTAACCTGTTTATAATTGCTCATTGAAACATTATCATGGCAGCTTTAAAATCTTTGTCAGACAATACTAACATCCCTGCCACCTTGTGACTGGCATATCTCGATTGTCCTTGTCATTCAGTTTGAGATCTTCCTGATACTTGGTATAGTCACTTTCCATTGACTCAGACATTTTGAATATTATGAGACTGAATCTTATTCTGTTTTAGTGGTCTTACTCTGACCCTGCTCTGGCAGGGGAAGTCGGGGAGGGGAGCCACCTTGCTATACTACAGGGGCTCCTCGATCCTGCTGGGTGACGGTTGGGAGATCTGGTTCCCCCTGGCCTCCACTGAGACCTCCCTGCTGGGAGAGGTAGGAGAGCCTCATTGCTGCTCCCCATGTGATCTTTCCCTGTGCCACGGTTGGGGTGGCCTTGTTAATGTTGTCCAGTGCTGAAAGTCCTGCCTCTCCACTAGGCCTCCTGTGACAGCAACCCAGCAGGAGAGGGAGAGATCTCTTGGTACCTCTTCGTGGGAATGTGAGTCTCAGCTTTCTCTGACACTGCCCAAGAAGGGGGGTTGGGTGAGAGTGGGAGGCTAGACTTCCCTCTGAGTCTTTGCTGAGTCTTTGCTGGCATGGGTGTGGGTGGGGCCACAGTGTTTTTCTTGGTGTTTGGCTAAAGCAGGGTGGCTATTGCTTAAACTTTGTCTGTCTTCTAGCTTGTCCTTTCTTGGTGCTTCGGTCTCAGGGAGCAGGCCTTTGTTGGAGCTTTTTTGTCTGTGCCCCTTGCTGTTTCCAGTCACTGGCATCTTTAGCTCAGAGTCTGGAATATATGAGGCAATAAGGAAACCCAGGCAACTCAACACCGTGTCCTTCCTTGGGCCCTGAGGTCCCTGCTCATCTTCCTTATTCTTTCCACCCTTCAGAGTCTTCTTATGTGTGTTTTAAATATAATGTCAAGGATTTTTAGTTGTACTTAGCAGAAGGAATCTGGAAAAGTATGCCTACTCTATGTTTCCAGAAATGGGGGTTCCCATATCTTTTTAATTCTCAAATAGGACATGACCTGTTCTGAACACCAGTCCTCATGGGTGATCAACGGTGCCCACTGCAGGGCAGTTGTAATGCACATCAGTCTTTATGGGCTGATCCTCAAGGTATTTGAGGAAGAGATAAAGATGTAAAAGGTAAAGATCCTAGATGAGAGAGGCACCCAATAAATGCTTTCATAATGAACCAATGATGTACAAATGCCAGTGATTTCAAAAACTTCAACTGAGCTTCCCATAGAAGTATGGAGGAACTTGCTAAATGAAAAATGACTTCAGAAACTACGTGATGTTCATTTCTCTCCCTCCCCAAACTTCCCATTCCTTTGCATGAATGTGAGCCCTGTGCTTGCACTGATTTCTAAAAATGCTCAAATGCTCTATGGAAATACAACTAATACCTAAGTACACAAAGAAATTTACATCAAATTTCAGGATTTTTTTTTTTTTTTTGAGACAGAGTCTTGCTCTTGCTCTGTGGCCCAGGCTGGAGTGCAGTGGTGTGATCTCGGCTCACTGCAGCCTCCACCCACCGAGTTCAAGCCTCACCCTCCTGAATAGCTAGGATTACAGGTGCCTGCCACCACACCCAGCTAATTTTTTTGTATTTTCACTAGAAACGGGGTTTCACCGTAATATATTTGTAGTAGAGATGGGGTTTCACCATGTTGGCCAGGCTGGTTTTGAACTCCTGACCTCAAGTGATCCACCTGCCTCAGCCTCCAAAGTGCTAGGATTGCAGGTGTGAGCCACGGTGCCTGACCCCAAATTTCAGGATTCTAAGGAAGAATGCAACAGATGGAATGTGTTTAAAAACAGGGAAGCAAAGTGGCCTCCAGTGAGACCCTATCACCTCTCTACTTATACTGTCCCCAAATTACCTATTCCAACAGGCTTTATCGCCTACTTTTGTTAAGTTTCCATCTCAGCAGTGAGAATTTAAATAACTGCCATCATAGCCAACTTAAGCTATGAGTAATGGAAACAAATCTTTTTCACCAACTTCCATCAGAAATTCTTTTCAAGGGCCCTTATAAACGCGATCTTTTTTTCTAAGCCTTAAATATTTGATCTCTTGCTTGAGACTATACAAACCAGATCTTCATTTCACAAGACCTGCTCTCATAGGGAATCTGCTGTCTACAGGGATTTAGCCTGCAGGGCAAGCTCATAACACCACCCAGGACACTCTTCTGAAGGCCAAAAGCCAGAAATGTTTGAAGAAGGAAAAGCTCCTAGAAGACTCATTACCATAACCCAGTTATCAGCCTGTTCCTCACCAAAAGAAATGGCCTGAAAAAATATGATCTCCCTTTCTTTAAAAAAAAAAAAAGAGAGAGAGAGAGAGAGAGAGAAACAAGTCCACATTCATTCCAACTGGCTGCATCCTCCGTTGGGGAAGCCATGGACTCTGTTGAGCCATGGTTCTAGAAGTCTGGCCGACTTTTTTTTTTTTTTTTTTTTTTTTGGAGACAGAGTCTTGCTCTGTTGCCCAGGCTGGAGTGCAGTGGCATGATCTCAGTTCACTGCAACCTCTGCCTCCTGGGTTCAAGCGATTCTCCTGCCTCAGCCTCCTGAGTAGCTGGGACTACAGGTGTGCACCACCACACCTGGATAATTTTTGTATTTTTAGTAGAGACGGGGTTTCATCACGTTGGGCAGGATGGTCTCAATCTCCTGACCTCATGATCCACCCGCCTCGGCCTCCCAAAGTGCTGGGATTACAGGCATATGAGCCACCGTGCCCGGCCTCTAGTTGACTTTAAATTGTAATTCACTGCATCTTCCAAAGTTGAAAGTCCCTAATCATTTGTACTCCCCCTTGCCTGGGAGAATGTAGAATTAGAGATATGAATTTCAACTGGAGAACTGATGAATAAATAACCCATATCTGCTTTTACAGAGAGTAAGTCTGGCCAAGGATACAGTTTAGTGGACAGACTAAATTTGAGAGCCTAAGTAGAAACAGCCTGGTGAATAAATAATATATATTTATAATACAGCACTTTTGAAAGCATAGGCTGAATAAGAAACTATTTTTAATGTCTGCATTTGTTATCTTTCAATCTCTTTAAATAAACTTGGCAAAGGCTCTTTGAATAACGGCATGAATAATCAAATTATGAATTACCACAAAGTCAAGCCAGAATTAGTTGCCTTTCTCCCTTCCCGGTTACACTTTGCACAGTGCTCCAGACTGGTATTCATGGTGCTGTATTGTAAATTACCAGTCTATGTGGCTGACTCTCTCCTCCATTTCCCTGCAGACTGGAAGTCCTTCATGGCAGGATGAGTCGTAATTCATTTTTGTTCTTGAGGACACAGCAGTGTCTGAACAAAACTCAGGAAATGAATAAATGCATGGGTGAATGAATGAACGAACTAAGGAGGAATTAATTAGCAGATTTTGAGTCGCATGCTGTTTGCTAGTCAGAAATTTCAGAAATTTTCCGATGTGACAAAGAAGGACATAAACCAAGATGTGGTTTTCCAGCAGAGAGGAAGGACTACAGCTGTAGCAAGGCACCATCATTTCTGCCTTATTTTTATATAAAGCTTTGAAGTATGTGACTCTATATAAATGCATGGGACAGCACCCTTCTTTTAATCAGGTAACAGGTGCATGATAAATATATTTTCCTTTTTTTGGTTGGCAGGGGGCCTTGGGTGAAAATAGGTTAGACCAGCACTATCTGATAGAAATATGAGAGCCACTTATGAAATTTAAAACTTTTTAGTAGCCATTAAAAATGTAAAAAGAGGCTGGGTATGGTGGCTCATGCCTGTAAGTAAGCTCAGCACTTTGGAAGGCCGAGGTGGGAGGATCACTTGAGGCCAGGAGTTCAAGATTAGTCTGGACCACACAGAGAGACCCCATCCTCTACAAAAAAAAAATAATTAAATCAACAAATAAAATTAGCCAGGCATGGTGGTGCATGCCTGTAGTACTACCTACTTGGGAGGCTGAGGTGGGAGGATTGCTTGAGCTCAGGAGGTTGAGGTTGCAGTGGGTTATGATCACACCACCGCACTCCAGCTTAACCAACAGAGTGAGACCCTGTCTCTTAAAAAAAAAAAAAAAAAGAAATGAGAAACTAATTTTAATAAAATATTTTAAGTCAATAGATCCAAAACATCATCATTTCAACATGCAATCAATGTAAAAAATTATTCATGAGAGGCCGGGCGCAGTGGCTCATGCCTGTAATCCCAGCACTTTGGGAGACCGAGGTGGGCAGATCATGAGGTCAAGAGATCGAGGTCATTCTGGCCAGTGTGGTGAAACCACATCTCTACTAAAAATACAAAAATTAGCTGGGCTTGGTGGCACATGTCTGTAGTCCCAGCTACTTGGGAGGCTGAAGCAGGAGAACTGCTTGAACCCAGGAGGCGGAGGTTGCAGTGAGCCGAGATCAGGCCACTACACTCCACCCTGTCAACAGAGCGAGACTCCATCTCGAAAAAAAAAAATTTCATGAGATATTTTATGTTATTTATACTAAGTCTTTGAAATCCAGTGTGTATTTCACACTCACAGCACATCTTGATTCAAACCATCCACATTTCAAAGACTGAACAGCCACATGGGGCTAGTCACTACCATATTGGACAGCAAAGAGTTAGAAAACAAATTAGTGCTCATTTGCAGCAACTACCTTTCATTTGGGTTTCTGATACCATTAATTTCCTCCACCTATCCCAGGACTCTTAATCACTTATCCTCACATTATCAGAATGGTTTGAGATATCTTGCCTCTTATAAGTCACTGGAAATCTTATTTGGAAGTGTACAGGATAAAAATTCTAAAGGGATAAAGAACATAGCAGATTTTATCCACATTTCCCAGTTGAAAGTAAGTTCAGAGCCACAAGATATCTCTAGTCACACAGCTAGTAAGTCTTCAGGCCACAACTACAGCCTAGGTTTTAGGACACTAATTTCAACATGCCTTTGCCTCCATCTCACCATCTCTTTTAAAAGTCAGAACACTTCAGAGCAGGAAAATACTCAGCTTGTTTGGGAGTTAAATAATGAAGAGAAAGAATCTCTTGCTTCAATATGCTTACCCAATTCCTACATAAAAGTCCAAATGGCTCGTTGGGGTGAGGAAGAGGTCAGGTCTCAAAAGGAAGTTATTTCCCCAACTTGAAAGATACTTGGTTCCCTTCCAAAGGCAGGAAAACCTTTTAAAAATAAATCAATCAATCCTCATTTTTAAGAACAAACATGTAGAGCATGGATGCTGGATCCAATGCCATGGCTGAGAAAATGTCACCGTCAAAGCCAAGAACAGCAACTGAACCCCCGAGCATCACAAATCTTATTGGAATTCATAAAAAAACAGCTGTATTTCCCTCTGTTTTCATTGAGTCTAACCTTGTATGCTATTTCTTAAATAAACACACAAAGCATTACTCCAATAATCAGAAAAACAGCCGTTTGTTTTTAACGGCTCCTCTTTTCCTAATTTCTACCTCTTGTCCAGCTCACTCTTTTTTTCAAGATGTAGTCTTGCTCTGTCACCCAACTGACAGAGTCCACTGGAGTCCAGTGGTGCAATCTTGGCTCACTGCAATCTCCACCTCCTAAGCAATTCTCTTACCTCAGCCTCCCGAGTAGCTGGGATTACAGGCACTCATCACTGCGCCCACCACCATGCCCAGCTAACTTTTTATATTTTCAGTAGAGAAAGTGTTATCATATTGGCCAGGCTGGTCTCAAACTCCTGACCTCAGGTGATCCACCCGCCTCGGCCTCCCAAAGTGCTGGGATTACAGGCGTGAGCCACTGTGCCTGGCCTCAGCTCACTCTTATTAGTGGGTTTAGTCATGTGAAAGTTTTCAATGTTGAAGAAACTCTCCACTACTCTGTCCGCTTCCCTGCTCTCTCTCATTCTCTATCATCCCCTCTGTATTTCTTAATTCTCTACTGCAGTCACTACTTCCACCATTGCCTCAATCCCACCCTTTCTACCCACTAAGAAAGAAAATACATCTAGAAAATGCATTTAGACCTGCTAAGTGTCGGAAAAAGTAAATTTTGTTCCTTTCATTTAAAAAAATGATTTGTGGCATTGGTATGATATATCACACGAGTTGTTTTATTTAGTGAAGGACAGAACAAATGAGCAAATATGTTGAGATGCTTGAGAACCAGAGCTGTCACGATGGAAGAAGAGAAATATGGACTGTGATGAGGTGGGGTGGACAAAGGTGGTGTTGGATTAAAATTGGAGACGACTGATTAAAATGTCTGCATGCATTTGTATGCATGCATGTTTGTGTATATGTCTTGCTGGAAATCTTATTTCTGAACAGCCACATGGGGCTAGTCACTACCACAGTACGTGTATATATGTGTGCGTGAGTGTATGTTTATGTTTCCCCAGCTCTGTTCATTGATAGGGTGAGAAGCATGTAACAACCAAATACATGGCAACAAGCTCCCCAAGCAACCAGATCTTGTTTCTGACTACAGTTCCCCTGTAGAAGAACCAGGCCTCCTTGGAGAAATGGCTGTGTCCAAGACTGGGTCAGGGAAAATAAAAGTTGACCTTAAACATCTTGTGCCAGAAAACAAGAATATACTGGGAGGATAAGGAGGGATGCAGAAGTAGCTTGAAGGGGCTCCTATTGGCCAATTTCCAGCATCAAGGAGTATAATTTCTGGTAACATACTAAAATGAAAAGGAAGAAATAAGAACTTAGTGAGGGTATTTTTTTTGCAGTAAAAAATACCTAACATAAAGTTTAACTATTTTTAAGTGTACAGTTTAGGGCATTAATACATTCACGTTGTCATGCAACCATCACCACCATCCCTCTCCAGAACTTTTTCATCACTGCAAACTGAAACTCTGTACTCATTTGGTAAGAACTCCCCATTGGCCCCTCCCCACGCTCAGTCCCTGCCATCCACCATTCTACTTTCTGTCTCTATGAATTTAACTACACTAGGTACCTCATATAAGGGGAATCATATAATATTTGCCTTTTTCTGTCTGGCTTACATCACTGAGCATACTTTCAAAGTTCATCCATGCTGTGGTATGTGTCAGAATTTCATTTCTTTTTGAGGCCGAATCATATTCCATTGCATGTATATACCACATTTTGTTTACCCATTCATCCACTGACGGGCATGTGGGTTGTTTACACCATTTGGCTATTGTGAATAATGTTGCTATGAACATGGGTATGTAAAAAGCTCTTTGAGACCCTGTTTCCAAATTATTTTGGGTTTACACCCAAAAGTGATAATGCTATGTTTAATTTTTTGAGACCCAGTGAGTTTTCTAAAAAGAGGGAGAAGGAATACGTTCCCTCCAGAAAATTACTAGATAAATGTAAAAAATCTGATCATTTTTAAAATTACTATATTGTACCCATTTATGTAATAGATCTTACTGGCAAGGATCACCAGTGGATGCTAATGGGTGGAGAACAGGATGTGCAGAGAGTGGTGAATGTCACCCTTCATATTACTTATTAATCACAAGACAAAGATTCTTGTATAGGTTGGTGAGAAAGTAATCGCGGTTTTTGTCATTGAAAGTAATGACAAAAACGGCAATTACTTTTGCACCAACCTAATGCAATGACAAGATCCAGTGGAAACCAAATTATCCCAGTGATCAAAACTTAGCGTCAACAACAGTGGGGCAAACTGGCATAAAATGCCTCTTAAAGTGTCTAGTGGGAACGACACATCACTACGTAGTAGTCTTTGTTTTTTAATAACAGTTTTCTTGTGATAGAATTCACTTTTCGTATTTACAATTTAAAGTCTACAATTCAATTATTTTTAGTATATTCACAGGGCTGTGCAACCATCAAAATAATTTTTAGAGCATTTTCAATCATCCTCAGAAGAAACCATATATCCATTAGCAGTCAACCCTCATTGCCTTCCAACTCCCCCAGCTCTAGACACTCACCAGTCTTCTTTTTCTCTCTATTGATTTGCCTGTTCTGGAAATTTCAGATCAATGGGACTATACAATATCTGGTCTTATGTGACTGGCTTCTTTCATTTAACACAGGTTTCCAAGGTTCATGCATGTTGTAGCTTGTGTCAGCGCTTATTATTGAATAATATTCCAGTATATGGACGTTGCACACTTTATTTTATTATTTTTGAGACAGTCTTGCTCTGTCACCCAGGCTGGACTGCAGTGGTGCAATCTCGGCTCACTGCAACCTCCACCTCCTGGGTTCAAGCGATTCTCCCACCTCAGCTCCTGAGTAGCTGGAATTAAAGGCACCCGCCACCATGCCCGGCTAATTTTTGTATTTTTTAGTAGAGATGAGTTGCAGTGAGGACTCTATTTCAATATTAAGGAAGAAGCATTAAACAGATGAGCCTGAACATGATGGGAGTACCCCACAGTCCTTCCTGCCCTCAGATGGGTACTGTGGCAGTTAGGTTTGGTTCCCAGTTAATGGCCTCTGGCCATCTCACCAAGGAGCAAGCCTCCACCCCCGACCCAAGATGCCCCTGGGAGAAGTGATGGAATGTTCCCTTTGGCCCTTTTCGTATCAGGCCCCTAGGATATAATTAGGAGGCAGCTCCCAGAACAGATGTGTAGGGAGTTAGGTTGGAAAGTTTCCATGCAGAGAAAGGGGAAAAGAGGGAAGACGCTGGTTGCCTGGAGACATTTATGAGTCTAAGATGATTTGATAAGTGATGAAGCAGCCCAGCCCTTGGTGGGGGAGGAGAGATGCTCTCAGAACTAGCTAAGTGAGGGAGGCACCAGTTTCTCTCCATATTAGAGTTGCCCAGTTAGAGTTGGATCTCAAGCCCCTGGATTATAGGGCACCATGCATTTTCCCATTCCAAAAAAAAAAAAAAGTTTTTATTTTTTTTTAATACAGAGGGGAGTAGAGGTTAAGAGAACCTTCCCAAAGTGACCATCATCTTATGAAATCCCAGAATGTCCTCATTTTATTATTCTCCAATTCTAAGACAGCTCCTCCATTCCCCCTATAGTTCAGAAGCTAAAGATCATCTGGTCAAGTTCTTCTGGGTTACACAGCTAATTAGCCATAAAGGTACAATTTCAATTCCCACTTTGCTCCCTGGGATACACCTTGCTCTTAGACTCCAAGAGTGTCAGTCAAAGGGTTCCTAAACCTGCATAGAAAACAGAGGACAGCTCTGCTCCCTATGGGTCCCATTCTTCAGCTTCCTGCAATTAAAGGCTCTAGGGATGAGGCCTATTCCTCACTGAGTTGGAGAATGGGAAGCGTAACACATGTGTGTGTCCTGCAAAGATAGGAGAGACAATGTACGCATCCCCCTTTTTCCTCTTGTGTTTTTCGCATCTGAATGAAACCAAACTCATGAGCAAATCTGGGAGTCTGAACAGCTTGCAGGCGAAAGGAGTTGAAATCTGTAACATAATCCAGGCAGAATCCCAAGTGGGCACAGACCACACGCCCTCACAGCCCTCACTCACCAGAGGCCTGTCTTCTGGCCCCACTCTCTCCTCCTCCACATCTATCCCCACCTCCATGTCTGCCTCTGTCAACAAAATGGCCTATTCCTGCAGCCTCAGTGAGCTGCTGATGTGACTAATGTAATTTACATGGAGGCCTGGAGAAGCAATCAAAATGAACTTGGAACTTGTGTTTTAAGGGTCCAGTCAACCAGAAGGCCTCTAATTTGGCACAAAATGTTACAGATACTCCCCAAAGGCAGAAGGTAGACCCTCGATAACTGTTTGATGAATGAATAACCTCATGCCTGTGCCGCCATGGGCTCCGTATTGGCTGCCTCCCGGCCCTACCTTGGAGCCTCCCTCAAGCTTTCTAAGAAGGAAATGGCTCGAGGTGACAGAGCCCCCACTGCCTGCTTGGCCCCCACTGTCCCCCACTGTCCCCCTCACTTTGCCCAGTGTTTCCTTCCAACCATACAAATCCAGACCCAGAAGCACAGGCATGTACACAAAAATATTTCCAGAACACAAACATACGATTTATTTAACAAAAATCTGTAATAACATAAATTATACACTCCACACCCCCAGGATAACTTCATGTGGATTTGAAGTCAGTGTTAAAGGGACTAGAGGAGTTTTAGTCACTCTTCTCAAAGTTACTACTCATATCTTAATTTTAAACTGCTAATATTTATTTTTAATTAAAATGTAGCATTTGGGTTTTTTATGTTTAATGTTTTAATAAACAGAAGTAAAAAGAAGAAAATTAAGATGACTTACCTCTGCAGAGATAATCTTATTCTGCAGAAATAATCTCTATCCACATTTTAAAAAGTAAATTGAACAGAAAAATTAACAGGGAAATTATCTTTTCCCACTCCATTCAAAGGTAATCATTTTTACAGTTTCTTATTTCTTGAGAAAATAACATATCTGTAACTATTTATGTATTCTTTATCAAAGGTATCTCATACACACACAAAGGGATATTCATAAACACATCAACTTCTTTCTATACCTCACTTCTCTCATGCCTGTTATAGATTGATAATCTTTTTATATCAATAAACATAGCTTTACCTCGTTCTTTTTAAAAATTTAAGCATTTGAACAAACCCCCGCTAAAAGGCATCCCATTTAGACCACTCTCAGAATATACTATCCAGATTTTATTTGATTTTTACTGGCACTGGTTCGAAGGTCACTGTCATGCTTTGTTTCAATTAGCAAAATAAATTTGAAATAATCTCTGGCTTGTTTACTTCTCTTCAAGGAAAATAAAAAAATATTTTCCATGCAACTATTTCAAATCCACTCAACAGAAGGTTCTTCAATCCTCAAACTTTATCCAGTGAAAGCACTAATCCTGATATTTCTCTAGTTTCTTTGATGGCATGACCCCTTGTGTAAATATTGATAGAGATTACACTGACAGTTGTGTAAGCCAGCTGGATCCCAGCCAGGGACAAAGGAATTTATAAAAGGCCAGGAATAGAGAATCCAAGACAGAGAATCCCCCAATCACCTCATTTAGCACTTTCATAATCAGATCATTAAATGATACCCTAACACTACACAAGGCCTTGAATCACCCATCAAGAAGCATACAGAACAATAGTTAGCAGCTCTGCCTGGGACGTCAGGCCTCCTGGGCTCAGTTTCCCACTCTGACATCTGCTACTTGTGTGATCTTGGGAAAGTTATTTACCTCCACAAACCTTAGTGCCTGTATCTCTAAAGTCAGGGCAAGTGATAGTACCTACATTGAAGAACTATTTAAGATAAAATCATATATTTCCAATAAAGACTGGCACAGAGTGCCTGACATGGATTCACACTCATTTTAGCGCCCAGAAGTATACACAGTCCCTGCCCTTAGGGAGCTCACGAAGTACTGGAAGAGACAACTGTGATGGGTCTATGACACAGGGGACACACTCAATAATTCCGTGAGGAGGCACAGCAATTGCATGACACTCCTGGCCTCTGCCCCTTCCTCTCTTTCGCACCACTCTTCCAGGTCATTACAGGACTGCCCTGCTGGGTGAGGCCTGAGTCTTCCCGAACACATGATGACCTTATAGCTAAGTCCACCACATTCTGGGTTTAGGACAAGTCCTCACTCCAGTTATGAGCCATGCTCTCTATACTTCAGCATTAACCACAATACATTTTGGTCACCTTATTGTTTGCTGTTTGGTCTTATCCTCAATTTCTTTAAAACTTGGTTGATGAAAAGGGTATTATCTATTGAATATCTCTCCTAGTTCATAAGCAAGCCATTGTTCCCTTCAGCACTTTTTTTTTTTGGCCCTCAGGGATTCTAAAACAGCTGTCTGGTGTCTCTGCTTGAGAAGTCATTGTCACAGACTTAACTTTTCCTGGAAGGGTACATTTGCAGCTCAACAAACACATCCCAAGAGCTAAGCATGGCCAATCCCAAGCTTCCCAAACTAAGTTTAGGGCCCCATGCCAGGCTTTTTGGTTATCTTGCAACTCAGAAGCAATATTTCCAATGGCCAAATATTTCTTTGGAAAAAGACAAACATGGCCATGTGGACCCCTGTTGCTTTTTGCCCGATATCACAGTCCCATAGTCAAGGAGGCAAAATTCTATCCCATGGGAGAACAGCTGAGCACGTCCTCTGAGGTTGTGGATACTACCACCTAGATGAATCTCTCAGATACCTTTGGGTTCATAATATTGTCTTCACACAGCGTCTTAATATCATTGACTTCACGTTTATTGAGCCCGAAGGGATGCAGAGGTAAACCCGACATGATTCCCCATCAAAGAACTCTTGGTCTGAAGTGGGAGAGATGCATAAATTAAGAATTATAATGTAATACGAAGGATACTGGGCATTACAGGTACACTGGAAAGAGTATCTAACCCAAGGGTGGGTGGGTGGAAAAAGAAGGTGTCAAAGAAAGTCTTCTATAATATCAGATTTTTTTTTTTTTTTTTTTTTTTGAGACAGAGTCTCACTCTGTCCCCCAGGCTAGAGTGCAGTGGTGCGATCTCGGCTCACTGCAAGCTCCGCCTCCCGGGTTCACGCCATTCTCCTGCCTCAGCCTCCCAAGTAGCTGGGACTACAGGCGTCTGCCACCACGCCCGGCTAATTTTTTGTATTTTTAGTGGAGACGGGGTTTCACCGTGTTAGCCAGGATAGTCTCGATCTCCTGTCCTTGTGATCCGCCCACCTCGGCCTCCCAAAGTGCTGGGATTACAGGCATGAGCCACTGCGCCCAGCCCAGATTTCTTATTTAAGACAAATAAATGAAGTTAGCTATTTATGAGTACAAAGGAAATCAGTTTCAGGACGTTCAGGCAGATGGAGGATGTGAGATGACAGTGAGGCCTGGGAGAAGCAGGAAACCACAATCCAATAGGGAGAGGAAATGAGGCTGGACACTGCGAGAGACACGTTCAAGAAAGGCCAGAATGTGGCCTTAAGGTCAACTGCATGGGCTCATAAAAAAATCACATTCCTTTGCCCCAGGAATGAGTTCTTCAGTGGATAGGCTTTTGGCAAACTGGCCTGCATCTATGTCAGGCACTGCAGCTACAAAGGTGGGGAAAAGTAGGCATAGACCTTGGCCTTCATAGATCTTCCATTCTAGTGGAGGACAAGAAAGACGTGGGCAGGCAAAGAGGAAAGGGAAGCAGAGAGAGGAGCATGTGGAAAAGTCCTGGGCTTGAAGGAGCATTGTGAATACAGGGACCAAAAGAAAGGAGGTCACTGTGGTTGAAGCTGAATGAGCATGCGGCAGAGCCGGGCAGCCACTGCTGCCAAAAACCACAAGGCTTGCAAAAATAGTAAAAGAGAGGCTGTTGATCTGCTATTGGGTTCCCCGCCCTTAAAATGCCAAAACTATGTTATAATAACTTGAGATTTCTAATGGTGTTCATCTGGAATTCAAAAGGTATTTGTTTGTTTGTTTATGCATTGCCTTTGTCTGAGAGCTGGAGGAAACAGACAGGAATACAGCATTGCTCTTGAGGAATTCAAGAGTGAGCTGGTGCCAGTTTCTGTGGCTCACGTCAGTAATCCCAACACTTTGGAAGGCCAAGGTAGGAGGATCACTTGTGTCTAGGAGTTCAAGACCAGCCTGGGCAACATAGGGAGACCCCATCTTTACAAAAAAATAAAAAATTAGCCAGGCCTGGGGGTGTGCACCTGTAGTCCCAGTTAGGAGGCTGAAGTGGGAGGATTGCTTAAGCCTGGGAGGTCGAGGTTGCAGTGAGCCATGATCATGCCACTGCACTCAACCCAGGCAACGCAGCAAGACCCTGTCTCACAAAAAAAAAAAAAAAAAAAAAAACCCAGAGCAGGAAGAGACAGCCATGTAACAGAGTTTCACACTATGGGGAGAGATGGGAACTAACAGGGGCAGGTGGTACATGACCCGCAAGCAGAGAGTCACTGAAGACTTAGAGGTCTCCAGGAAACCTTTACTCAAGGATCTCCTTCACAAGGCAATGGACCATTAAATCCTCGAAGCTTTGTAATATCAGACTAGTTGCCCATTTTGTCTTCTCTTGGGCCCAATCTTTAGAAAGCACTCTTAGCTTGTGCTATTCATTTCATTCGTATAACAAATATTTATCAAATGTCTACTATTGCTATGGGTTAGGTCTCCTTGTCTAAGTTTCCTAGGTGAAAATTATTATTTGGCATTATCAGTCATTCATATCAACCTCTAGTGGCAGAGATACCACTCACTTGGAGGCAGGGAAGCAAAACTGTCATAGATGGGTGTTCATAATCAAAGTAACACAGGTCAGCCGGGCATGGTGGCTCACACCTGTAATCCCAGCACTTTGGGAGGCCAAGGCAGCTGATCACTTGAGGCCAGGAGTTCGAGACCAGCCTGGCCAACATGGTGAAACCACATCTCCACTAAAAATACAAAAATTAGATGGGTGTGGTGGTGTGCACCTGTAGTCCTGGCTACTCGGGAAGCTAAGGTGGGAGAATCACTTGAATCTAGGAGGCGGAGGTTGCAGTAAGCTGAGATGGCACCACTGCACTCCAGCCTGGGCAAAAGAGTGAGACCCCATTGGGGGTGGGGGGCGGTAGGGGGCAGGGGAATGTAACACAGGTCTTGACCTGGCATGGGGGTTAGGAAGGACATCAAGTTACACCTTTGTGGACAGTGACAAGAGTAATCTCTGGCCAAATATATAAAATCAAAACATCTCTTACAACAATAATGACAACCTGTCTCTTAAAGATGGGAAAGTGAGGATCGTGGTTGAAAAGAACAGGCTCTTGATTTCCCTTAACACAGAGCCCACTGTTGGCTGGACTCAGACGTGTGAACAGCCAGAGCCAGCCAAGTGCCTGGTGCAGTTTGGACCTTTCTCTGCTAGTGAGAGAGTGGAGGAATCACAGAAATGGCACGTTGGTTAGGGAAAATCGTCCTCCAATCATTTAACCCTCTCATCGCCAAATTTAACAGAAATCAAGCAACCTGAAAAATATCATGGGAATTCTTCCTCATCTTCCTGCCCTTCCGACCTGAGCTCTCTGTGAGGACTTTCCTGCCCATAGATGCTTGTTCTTATGGTGTGGAGATGTGTAGGAGTGCAGGAGATGCGGATGCCCACGTTTCAGGGAGGGGCCGCTCATTCATTCATTCATTCATTCAAAAATAGGGAGCAAGGGGCCACCCATTAATTCATTGTTTCAAAAATAGGGAGCGAGGGGCCACCCATTAATTCATTGTTTCAAAAATAGGGAGCGAGGGGCCACCCATTAATTCATTGTTTCAAAAATAGGTATAAAGTGCCAAAAAAGAGGTATCATCAGCAGGAAGAGGGTGAGGACGCACCTGGAAGCCACACACATTGGAGGACACAGGTTCTTCACTGCAAGTCTGTGTATGTGTATGTATGTGTATTTCTGGTGCTTATCCTGGTACTTTTCTTTTTTTTTTTTTTTTTTTTTTTTTTTTTTTTTTGAGACAGAGTATCACTCTGTCACCCAGGCTGGAGTGCAGTGGTGTAATCATGGCTCACTGCAGCCTCGACATCCCCAGGCTCAGGTGATTCTCCCATCTCAGCCACTTGAGTAGCTGGGACTACAGATGCACACCACACTCAGATAATTTTTATATTTTTTGTAGAAACAGGATATTGCCATGCTGCCCAGGCTGGTCTTGAACTCCTGGGCTGAAGCAATCCACCTGCCTCAGCCTCCCAAAGCATTAGGATTACAAGTGTGAGCCACCATGCCTGGCCATATCCTCATACTTTTTTAATATGTCTGAAAAGAACTCTTGTATTATATGAAGTAAAACAGCTTATATTGACATATTATGTATAACATTGTACTTAATGCAGTGTCTTATTAACTAGGAAGCCCAATAAAAGAAGCTTTGGTGAAAAAGGTAGCCTGTTCAGGACACAGCAGAATGTGATTTTTCACTTCTGAAGGTAGGTTACTCACACGTTTAAATTTTGTAATATCACCAGGAGCCAACATAGCCCTCAATGGAGGAAGGGAATAAAAACACTGAGAGTTTTGGGGAGCCACCCAAAACTGTTGAGGATAAAAATGACAGGGCAGGAATTTCACTTCAAGCCAGCTGTTGTCCCTTTCTAGTATACCAAGAGCTAACTTGACCTTTGGAAGAAAAACTTTCTCATTTGGAGTAATTACTAACATTGTGGAGGGCTCCACACATCAGTGAATCCAAATAATGACCATCATGATGATAAAACCCCAAAGCAAAGGCAAGTCTCTACACAACTTACCTGGGAAGACATTCTAGATCAACACAAAGCAGAGATACAGTGGGTGGGATCGGGAGTTCAGAGCCTTGGGGAGAACTAGGGGCTGCCACTGGTCTGTCATAATGGTCTCCCACATGCCATCTTTCAACCACTTCTACTGCCTTCAGGATAAAAGGAAGGCAGCTAACTTAGAGGCACTCAAAATACATGCAGAGTTATTCCTGTTATCATCAACCTTTTTACAATCAACCACAACTTAACTATGCAAATGATTAGAACACTAGTGGTGTTTTCTTAAAAGAAAATTTAGAAAAATCAGTCATCTTCTTATCTTTAATGAATTGTGTACCCACACACAGAAGCAAATAACTTCCTAACCAGGTCATATAAAGGGCCAAGTTACACAAACCAGCCCATATCTTTACTTCTAATTACAGATGCCATTTTTTTAAAAAGAGAAAGTGCCATTATTTTAAAATTTGATTTAGATAAAATACGCAGTTAAACATAAAAGATATTTTACATCAGTTTTAGATCATCTTAAATTAAACCTGACAGGGTTTTGGTGTCAGAAATCAAGGTCAAGTACACAAGATACAATGTCACAAAGCTCCCTGAAAACATTGTGGCTGTCAAAAAGAAGCATCAGTTATAAAAGCAAACTGTCTTAGCTTCTAATGAATATGCTTTTCACTCTAAAGGCAGGTTTACTGATAAAACAAAAACAGAGGCCGGACAAGGTGGCTCATACCTGTAATCTCAACATTATGGGAGGCCGAGGCGGGTGGGTCACCTGAGGTCAGAAGTTCAAGAGCAGCCTGGCCAACATGGTGAAACCTCATCTCTACTAAAAATACAAAAATTAGCTGGGCGTGGTGGCGGGTGCCTGTATTCCCAGCTATTCGGGAGGCTGAGGCAGTAGAATCACTTGAACCTGGGAGGTGGAGGTTGCAGTGAGCCGAGATTGCGCCACTACACTCCAGCCTGGGTGACACGGCGAGACTCTGCCTCAAAAGAAGAAAAAAAAATTAAAACAAAACCAAAGCCAAAAACCTTTTAACAATTTGTTTATATCGGATTAGTTAATGTATTCCGTTTAAAACACATGTCCCCTTCCCTACCACCAATTTTTTTTAAAAAAAGCTTTTAAACAAAGTTAAATAATTCATGTTCTCACTTATAAGTGGGAGCTAAACAATGTATACACATGGACACAGAGTATGAAATAAGAGACACTGGAGACTACGTAGGGTGGGAGGTGGTGAGGGAGGAGAGATTACTTAATGGGTACAATGTACACTACTTGGTGATGGTTACACTGAAAGCCCAGACCAGACATGGTAACTCACACCTGTAGTCCCAGCACTTTGGGAGGCTGAGGTGGGTGCACACCTGAGATCAGGAGTTCGAGACCAGCCTGGCCAACATGGCGAAACCGTATCTCTACTAAAAATACAAAAATTAGCCAGGCATGGTGGTATATGCCTGTAATCCCAGCTACTCGGGGGACTGAGGCAGGAGAATCACTTGAACCTGGAGGCGGAGGTTCTAGTGAGCTGAGATGGCGCCACTATGCTCCAGCCTGGGCAACAGAGTGAGACTCCATCTCAAGAAAGTAAAAATAAAAAAAGAAAAGCCCAGACTTCACCACTATGCAACATAGCCATGCAATAAAACTGCATTTTCACCCCTTAAATTTATTTTTTTTAAAACTTTTAATACAGAGGGGATGCTTTCTAGAATAGTTTGCCTAGGATACTATTGCAGAGCTTATTAATCAGTTAATAAGCAAATCGGCCCCTGAATTCACTAATACCAGATGAACACCTGAATCCCTTGGCAGGACTCCAAAACAACCCCAAAAGGGGAATTTATCTCTTGGTACATGTTTGAGGCATTCATTGATCAGTGAAGTAACTGGATGTTCAGAAAATGCAATTCTGAAAGAAGAACAGCACAGACACACCTCTGTCGCCTTTTTATCGCCAGAGAACTGGGGCACAGCTCTGCTATGGGAAAGCAAATTCTGAAGGACTTCGGATCTAACGAGCATGTTCCTAGCATCACTGATAATGATTCTAACATTCACAAAAGACGTGAATTATGAGAGTGTTTCAAATGTTCCCCTTTATATTTTAGGATAGCAATATAAAGTTGAATACTTATTTATTTATTTATTTATTTGAGATGGAGTCTTGCTCTGTTGCCCAGGCTGGAGTGCAATGGCAACATCTTGGCTTACTGCAACCTCCGCCTCCGGGGTTCAAGAGATTCTCCTGCCTCAGACTCCTGTGCTTGCAATTTAAAAGACTCAGAAAAATATTTCACATGTGTTGGACGGATGCATAAGTGTTCAAATAGAATGATGGCCTCACTAGTTTCTGGATTGTTTGTAACTTTACAGGATCTCCCTTTTTCATTAGGTTTTAAAAGCATTTCTTTGGATTTTGTAGGTGCATACTCAGTTCTGAGGTAGGGGAAGGAATGGTCAAATCAATGTTATTACTCATCATTGGCTCCCAAACTTCCTCATATCCCAGTTCAGGCTTAAAGGGTAGTGGGTGTTTTAATTGTGACGGCAATCAAGAAGAAAGTTCAGTTTCTTTCCCATCTTATTCTTTCCCATTTTCCAAACTCTTATATTTCAAGCTCTGATTACAGCAGTTTTCACACTAAAGTAAACACTGATTAATCAGAAAACTGTTGGGATAAATGGAAAAGCTCCTGCCTAGAATTTTGGTGGAGAATTTGTTGTTTGTTGTTGTTGTTGTGACAACAGGTAGAGCTCAACAGAGTACTTGGTAAGGAGAAAAATGGACCATGTGATTTTTAACACCCACCAGGACATGGGAAGCAGGGCCTGAGTTTAACATTCACCAGAGAACCAGCAACCTTGGGCTACGGCCAAAGTTGGAACATTGGCCTCTGTGTTCCCAAAGGTTCGTGCAGAATCTGAATTTTTCAAATTGGATGAGGAAGTGGGACAGAAAAATTTATTTAAACAGATGTTTTAAAAAGTAGAACATAAGAGGCTCTTAAAATACTCCCAGCCCCGAAAAACTCTCCAATAAAAAAGTGACAGAAATTAACCATTTTCACTGAACTCTGACTGATTTCTTCACAGGCATCCTTAAGAAATTCTCCTGGAAATTCAGCCTTCCACTTTCTGAGAATGGAAAGTGGAGCTGGAGGAGTTATTTATGCATAAATGTGAGACCTTATCGAAGGGCTTTCTGGTGTTAGAAATATACTCTCCTATGATCCCGCCCCCAAAATACTACACTTGATTGCTTAAATATGAAGTTAGATGTTTGATGCTTATGTTTTATACTTGATGAATTATCTCAGTAAATCAAAATATGTATTAATGATTAGTAAAAATACAAACTAATTTCCTAATATAATGTCTTTATTTACTCACAAGCAAAATCATATGGTACATATTTTTTTTGAGATGGAGTCTCACTCTGTCACCCAGGCTGGGGTGCAATGGCGCGATCTTGGCTCACTGCAACCTCTGTCTCCCAGATTCAAGCGATTCTCCTGCCTCAGCCTCCAGAGTAGCTGGGACTACAGGCATGCGCCACCACGCCCGGCTAATTTTTATATATATTTTTAATAGAGACAGGGCTTCACCATGTTGGCCAGGCTGGTCTCGAATTCCTGACCTCAGGCGATCTTCCTGCCTCGGCCCCCCAAAGTGCTGGGATTACAGGCATGGCCCATATGCTATTTTTATTATAAACAAAGCCTACGCTTTCAACCTGTTATTAATACAATCTGCATCTCTGATTGTCTTATCCATCAGAAGGAAATTACGCTTTCTATGTAGCAACAGTAGGAGAAGGCAGGCAAGAAGGCGCCATTGATGAGACCTTGAGAGAATGCGCTGCAGCTTCTTCCTCTGCCCCCATCCGCATCTCAGAGCTGGAACTCTGGGCATGAGGCTGTGCTCTGTTCCTGAAAGACTCAAAGGAAACAAACAGCATTTGCTGTGTTTGTCACCTGGAGATTCTGTCAAGGCTAATCTAACCAAGGCAGCCCAGTTCGGCTGAACACAACAGACACTGTCAATGCTGCCCGCACCATTTACCTTTGGGTGGAGATTAATTAGGTCACTCCATGGAAAAGATTACCAGAAATCTCCCTTCCTGCTATGGAAAGGTTGACAGAAAAGCAGAATCCAAATTGAACCCCTTCAAATTATGTTAAGACACATATTTATCAGTGGTTCTCGACCCTGGCTGCCCAATCAGAATCACCTGGGAGGGACCTAAAACTCAATCCACATGCTCTGGCTGCCTTCCAGAGCATTAACTCTGAGCCTGTGGGGGTGATACTCTTGGCATTGGCGTAGCAGCCCCACAGGTGATTCCAATGTGCAACCAAGACTGAGAATCATTGTTTGGGATGTTCTAGTGCCTGATAAACCCAGCAGTAGGAAGAGGAGGAACTCCAAGGGACTGAGTGATAAAGGCATCCACTTACCCAAGTGTAGGACCTGCAAAAACTTCAAACAAAATTCGCAGAGGCCTTGTGAGTCGATTCAAATAAAAACATTCAACCTTTTAAGAGTGGTGGTTGACTGGACAGCTCAAGTGCATAGACTCAACTGGATTTTGAATGCAGCAAAAGCTTCTAATGGAAGAGTAAAATGCTTTCTGAAGACAAATCCAGTCCTCACACTTCTAGAAACATTGCCTTCTAAATTAGATACTTGGAGTGGAATGGCAGGCAAAATAATCCCCTTACCGTTTAATTATTGTATTTGTCCATTCTTGCATTGCTAAACAGAAATACCTGACACTGGGCAATTTATAAAGAAAATACGTTTAATTGGCTCATGGTTCTGGAGGCTGTACAGGAAGCAGGGTGCTGGCATCTGCTCGGCTTCTGGGGAGGCCTCAGGAAACTTACAATCATGGCCGAAGGTGAAGGGGGAGCAGGCACATCACATGGCCAGAGCAGGAACAAGGCTGGGGAGGGAGGAGGTGCCACACGCTTTCAAACAACCAGAATTCACGAGAACTCACTCACTGTCATGAGGACAGCACCAACCGGATGGTGCTAAACCATTCATGAGAAACCACCCTCAGGATCCAATCACCTCCCAACAGGCCCCACCTCCAACACTGGGGATTACAATTCAACATGAGATTTGGGCACAGGCACACATCCAAACCATATCAACTATTAAATCTTCTTTAAAAAATCTGTTTTGGTTCTTGTCATGATTGCCCTTACAATTAAATTTAAGTCCCGTGCAAATACAACATGACCCCAGTGTAGTTTGGCGCTCCTCTAAGCAGAGCAGAGGGGCAGCGAAGGAGCTAGGGTCAGCTGTGAAGAGCCTGTAGGCCTTCTTTTTTTCTCAAGATGACTGAACATGGAACTAACGTGTTTTTGAGATGTCAGGTAGGGCTGACCTTTGCCCTTGGGAAATTCTGTATCTACATCATGCAAGCAGATTCTGCAGAACCTTTAAGGGGTTCATATTTTTTTCCTTCACTGTAGGACAGGCCTAGAATGAGAACTTCCCAAGTTCAAGAGACTGCAAACAGCAAAAATTATGATGCTTTTCTGGCTTCTGTGAAATCATCACAAGTAAACATGAGTTATAAGCTAACTCAGACTTAGGAACCCTGCCACTGAGCAAATGCCTTTGTAATATTTATTCAAGAAGTCATAAATTCAAATTGCTCCCATAAAACACTCTTGAGAGACATTCATAAAAATTAAGGTTTATCAACAGAGTGAGCAAATACATATGAATCATTTCTTTTTAATAAAATAAGCAGGCAAGGTATAAGAAAAAATCTTCAAGGCTGTATCTTAATTGAAAAAACATGTTAGTTAAAAAACAAATGCGGAACTAAATTTCCGATAAATTTCCTTTAATAAGTGGCCTGTCAAGTAATAGGCAAAGACTTTCAACAGCCTAGCTGAGCAATAATCTCACTAACATTTAAAATAAAACCCTCTAAAACCACTTTAAATTCTCTTCTACATACATAAGAAAATGTTCCCAGCTCTGAAAGAAACAGAAACAAACAGAAAAAACAGCAGATAATAGAGAAATAAATACTCAGCAATAAGTAATGAGAAGACTGCACCACTGTGAAAATAAAAGCTGAAGTTTTATTCTTCCCTGACATAACTAACCAATTGTTTCAAGTCATACGATACTTTGTAAAGAAGATAACATATAGCATGCCTCCTAAACCATCACTGAATACGACTGAATCACTAATCAGTTTATCATTTTATGACCTAAGCATGGTACTTTGTCACAGTTTCATGTTTGGAATCAAGACTAGCTCTGAGAAAAAATTATTAGAAATAACAGCCACAGGAAAATGATAGAGAAGAAATTGATGAAAATGACCTAAACAAGTAATAAAAAAAATGAGCTTATTTCTGATTTTTGAACCTGCCCCAATAATAACCTTGTGTTTCTCGAGGGTCATTTAATTTGTAAATCACTTCCTTTTGCTCATAGTGGCTTATGAAGTAGACAGAGCATGTCTCATTTAACAGGTAAGAAAATGGAAAAACAGAGATGGTACGGCTTCCCCAGGACCAGGGTCAGCAAAGTACACCAACTGATTAAATCCACTCATGGACTGTGGATTTTTTACATGGCCCATGAGTCAAAAATAGTTCTTACTATTCTCAACTGTATTCTTAACTTACTATTCTTATTATACATTCTGTACGTAGAGTTTATAATTGAGCCACACTTATTCGTTTACTTATTAGATATTGCCTATGTCTGCTTTCTGCACTACAACAGCAGAACTGGGTAGTTCCAACAGAGACCATATAGCCCACAAATATTGACTCCCTGGCCCTTTACAGAAAAGTTTGCAGACTCCAGCCCTAGACCCACAGTAGAACCATGAGCAAAGCCCAGATTTTTTAGAGCCAATCCAGGGTTCTTTCCATTCGACCTTCTGCCTCTCCTTAAGCCATTTTAGCATTCAGTTCATCCCAGGTGTCAGTTTGAGAAAGTTTATGCAACAGGAATTGAGATACTTGAGCCAGACATGGCAAGAGAGGAGGAGACGGGAGGTACAATGGACTTGTATCCTAGTTTCACAGTCATGGATGGAGAAGAATCCTGCCCAGGGATGGTTTGTTCTTTTTTTTTTTTTTTTGAGATGGAGTCTCGCTCTGTTGCCCAGGCTGGAGTGCAGTGGCATGATCTCCGCTCACTGCAAGCTCTGCCTCCCAGGTTCACGCCATTCTCCTACCTCAGCCTCCCGAGTAGCTGGGACTACAGGTACCCGCCAACACGCCCGGCTAATTTTTTTTATTTTTAGTAGAGACGGGGTTTCACCGCGTTAGCCAGGATGATCTCGATCTCCTGACCTTGTAATATGCCTGCCTCGGCCTCCCAAAGTACTGGGATTACAGGCGTGAGCCACCGCACCCGGCCGTGCCCCAGGATGGTTTGTACCCAGAATCTCACCCATACCTAATTTAGACAATGAGATTTGGGACTTTTTTTAAAAAAAAAAAAAAACGGAGTTTCACTTTGTCCCCTGGCTGGAGTGCAGAGGCACCATCTGAGCTCACTGCAACCTCCACCTCACAGACTCAATGGATCCTCCCACCTCAGCCTCCCAAGTAGCTGGGATTACAAGTGTGCACCATCACACCCGGCTAATTTTTGTATTTTTTTTTTTTTTTTTGGAGATGGGGTTTCACCATGTTACCCAGGCTGATCTCAAAACCCTGGGCTCAAGAGATGGCTGCCTGCCTCGGCCTCCCAAAGTACTGGGTTACAGGCACAACCCACTGTGCCTGGCCTGATTTGGGACTTTTTGAGTTGATATTTGGATTAGAATTGGGTCTTAGAGTTGATGCTGGAATGGGTTGACTTTTAGGGATGTCGGGATGGAGTAGATGTATGTTGTACATGGGATGGACATGAATCTTGGGGAGCCAGAGGGGTTGAATTGTGTTCCCCCAAAGCTCATGCTGACCCAAAACTTCAGAGTGAAACCTTATTTGGAAAGAGAGTCTCTGTAGATGCAAGCAAGATAAGGTCATACCGGATTAGGGTCGACCCTAATCCAGCGACTGGTGTCCTTGTAAGAAAAGGGAAATTTGGACACAGAACCAGAGAGGACAGTGCTGTGGACACGCAGACACAGGGAAGAAGCCAGGCGAAGGCAGAGGCAGAGGCTGGAGGCAAGCATCTACAAGCCAACGGACGGCAAGGATTTCCAGCCACCACCAGAAGCTGGGGAAGAAGCCGACAACAGATTCTCTCAGAGCCTCCAGTTAGAACCAATCAACCTTGGTTTTGGCCCTTTAGCATGACAAACTGTAAAAACAATAAATTCTGTCTTAGGCCATCCAATCTTAAGTACTTTGTTATAACAGCCCTAGGAAACTAACACAGATTAGGGGGCAAACGGAGATGGCCTAGACAAAATAATTAAGGTCAAGAGAAAAGGAGACAGTGGTAGATGTCAAACCACATAAAACCACTTTGTTTAAAATATAAACTGAGTACTCTAGAAGCTCATGAGGAAAAACAAAACAAAAGCAAAAACCTAGAAGCTTTGATAACTAAGCTGATTAGGTTTTACAAACGCTGCTGCCAACGTAAGCAGAAGTGGCTTACACAGGAGCCTTTTCTCCTCAGTGGGTCTGTTTACAAACCCATCCTTGAATTCCAAGCTTTGCCCAGTCACCTCACCATGACTGGTAAACAAAATGTATTTTACAACAGGGGAAAAACAGATGAACTGAAATCACCCCCCAAGAACATTCCTGCCTCTTCACTGAAGTCATCTTAAATCTCCACAGAAAGCCTAATTTTTAGAGTACATTAGAAAGGGTAAGTAAAAAAAGAACTGTACCTTTTCAAAAAGATACAGCAATGTATAAAGGAATCATCTCAGTCACTTCTAGAATCTCCTAGTGGCTCAGTGTGTGCCTCTCACCTTACTTCACACCAGATATACCATAGGCCAAGCTTGTCCAACCCATGGCCCGTGGGCCACAGTGCAGCCCAGGACAGTTTTAAATGCAGCCCAATGCAAATTCATAAGCTTTCTTAAAACAGAATGAGATTTTTTGCAATTTTTTTTAAGCTCATCAGCTATTGTTAGCGTTAGTGTGTTTAATGTGTGGCTCAAAACAATTCTTCCAATGTGGCCCAGGAAAGCCAAAAGATTGGATACCCTTGCTGTAGGCTAATTCACCCCACACAATTTTTTTGTTTTGTTTTGTTTTTTGAGACGGAGTTTCGCTCTTGTTGCCCAGGCTGGAGTGCAATGGTACAATCTTGGCTTACTGCAACCTCCACCTCCCAGGTTCAAGTGATTCTCCTGCCTCAGCTTCCCTAGTAGGTGGTATTACAGGTGCCTGCCACCACACCCAGCTAATGTTTTGCAATTTTAGTAGAGACGGGGTTTCACTATGTTGGCCAGGCTGGTCTCGAACTCCTGACCTCAGGTGATCCCCCTGCCTTGGCCTCCCAAAGTGCTGGGATTACAGGCATAAGCCACCGTGCCCAGCCCACCCCACGCAAGTTTTAGCATGACTCTGTTACAGGGTGAAATTGTAGGCAAGATGTGTTCCTTCATTTCTTCAGGACTGCAAGGAAATGATAGTAAAGACATAGATTGTAGAGATGAGGTAAAGGCAAGTCTGAAATTTGGTGCCTACTGTGTTTTCCTATGTAATCCCATAGAAATTTAAACTGATTGCTTTAAAACTTTTTTTAATCATATATATATGAGTATAGGTGCCACAAGTTCATAATAAAGTTGTCCTTAGGGGTCCATACTAAAGCCCATGCAATTCTGGCATTTTACTAGCTAAATTCCTTCTTCACAGATCCACGAGAGACCCATCTGACACAGAATTTTTCTCTTTATCATCATGTCATGTTGTAATTTGGTATCAATTATTTTAAATAAACTCTTATTTCTAATCTAGTTGCTTAATGAACTCAGACATAGTATTATTCTCCTCTGGATTTGCATTCCAATATACCATATAAAATTTTACTTCCTCTTCCTCTCTCTTTCCCGCCTCATTATTTTCCTCTGGTTTTCAGCAGATTTGTATTTTAAGTAACTGGTGGTGAGGGGAAAGCAAATGGCAGCTTGACACCAGCACTTTATGGGAGCACATTGCTGGCTGGGCCATTAGCATTGTGCTCACGAGCCATCACTTAGTTCCCAAGAAGGGTGAACTCCCAGAACAAACAAACAAAACCCACTGAATTCTCTGAGTAGTCTGCAGCAATTAGTGAAAACATTTCCTGAGACTGGGAATTCTTGAAACGCTGGCCACTGTAAACCCAATGTCCCCATTGCTCCAATGAAGAAATTAACTGGGTCTCTTAGCGGAAAGAGAAAATGTATGACTTCCTTTTCTCAGCGCCGGAAATAAGGAACCTAAATAACAGCCCAAACTTTGGAATCCCTGCACACTGGGTAGCCTCACGCTACCACCATGAGAGAAGTCCTGCAGAAAGAAGACCGGGGGCTAACTAAATTCCTTAAACTCCTCTCAGTGATCCCCACACCCCAGGGAACAAGAGCTTCTTCTGGCATCTGACCAAAGCACTGAGGGAATCTTTGTGCTAACCAGAGTGGGCAGGCATACATTCACAAATAGGGCAAGCACTCCCTAAGCACGTTACCTTATTCTGTTCACACACATACTGTATCCTTAGCGTGTCCATCGCTCTGATCATGGCTTGCATGGCGGTGAATATGTTTTGGTAAACCAGCTTCGTGAACCCCTTTCTGTCTTCGTCGCTGTAACCAGACCCATGGATAATTCTCATCTGCTTGATAAAGGTGCTTTTCCCACTTTCACCAGTTCCTATAAGACAAAACAAGTGGAAAACGCTGTCAGCAGACTTCCAAAGGAACACACGAAGAAACAGAGGACCTCCTGGCAGTATTAATCCACATCCCAATTAATAGGCTGATGGGTTGGATTTGGAAGGGACTGCCAAATGGTTATGCAGTTTTCGGTTACAGAGCAGTGCCAGCCCAAGCCTCACGCAAGTGCCATCCTCAGTCCAGGGAAATGCTTCCCCACATCCTTGCCCTAAGTCCTTGAAAAACAGGCAACCATGTCTGAAAGACCTAAGCATTTGAAAGCTTTGTCACTGCGAAGATGGCAGTGGCAGTGATAGGGCTGCGTCAGGGTGCAGGGAGGGTTTGAGCCATAGGAACACTTGGAGGAGAGAAAAAGGCTCATGAATCAGTCAACTCCTTCCTTTCAGATACACAAATATTCTTCATCCCTGCACAAGAAAGCACCATTTCCCAGAGGTGCCAAATGTCTATGTGCTTGCTTCTTTTCATGTCTCAACACGCAGTTCAGGAGGTCCTCAAAACTCACAACACTTGCACATGGCGGCCAAGGAACGTGTTACAGTATGAAGCCATCCCTATTGTTCTTAAATGTGCATTAGAGGTCCAGATACAACATATGTGAAAAATGACATCAAAACTCTACATTCATATTAGATTGAGAGTTTATTTGAAAAGGTAGTAAAAGTTGCAGTATAAGTGATAGCAATTTAGACAACAATTAAAATATTTGCTAATATTTTCTTTGATAAAGATAATTTATCATATGGCACCCCTTTACCATGTTTGGAACATGATGTGTCCTATTCATGGCTCCTCACAACCACACACACTTGATGAAATATATGCTATTGCTGATACAGGTCAGACCTGTGTCCCTACCCAAATCTCACATTGAATTGTAATCCCCAGTGTTGGAGGTGGGGCCTGGTGGGAGATGACTCGATCATGGGGGTGGTTTCTCATGAATGGTTTAGCACCCTCACCTTGGTGCTGTTCTCATGAGAGTTCTTGCAAGATCTGGTTGTTTAAAAGTGTATGGCACCCCTCCCTCCTCACTCTCTCTTGCTCCTGCTCTGGCCACATGAAGTTCCTGCTCCCCCTTTACCTTCCACCATGATTGTAAGTTTCCTGAGGCCTCCCCAGAAGCCGAGCAGATGTCAGCATCATGCTTCCTGTACAGCTTGTGGAAACGTGAGCCAATTCAACCTCTTTTCTTTATAAATTACCCAGTCTCAGGGATTTCTTCATAGCAATGTGAAAACAGACGAATACAATTATCATCTTCATTTTACAGATAAGAAACCTAAGATTCTAATTGGTTAAATAATCTCTGCAAGCTCCCAGTCGGCAAGAGAAAGAACTGGGATTTACTCAGAATTGAACTACAATGACCAACTCAATTATTAGAGAAAAATGTCTTGGTCTGATCTAAAGGGGACAAACACAAAGTTCACAGTCACACACTGAACCTCAAACCTCAGCCAACCCACTGTCTTGCAGGCTCAGGCTGCTGGGGCACATGGGAGAACCCCCAGATGGGGGAGTGTCCTCACACACAGTCTCACTGGCCTTGTTTCAGCCTCCAGAGACAGGATAGGTAGACACTGTCCTCCCATCTCAGAGACCAGAAAACTGGTAATTAGTCAGGGGACAAGCCAAGGTTGGGTGCAGATGCAGAATTGGGGCTGGAAGTCAGGTGTCAATGCCTTGGCCTTCAATGTTCACCACAGACATCACATATCCTAGAAAGGATTTCCTTCCCCTGCATGCCACCAACAGTTAGCCCTGCCTGCTTTAGGCCCTCAAAGTGCCTTGGATACCCAGAAGCAGCACATCGCCTAAATGCTTGCTTGCAAATATATCTCTCACCATACCTTTCATCCAGTAAAGGCAGGGCCCGAGATTCACACATTTGGGCACCACGAACAATGTGCCTGCTTTATAGAAAGCACCCAAAGAAATGGTCAATGAAGGATTGAATGGAACAAACATGAGAAGTCAGCAGCTTTCCCCCATAGGTCTTATATCATGGACAACCTCAGAAAAACGAGACATGAATTGAACAAGGATAAACTGTGATGAGACCACGTGCCCCTGGGAGCCACCATTTCATAATGACTCTTGGCTGCACAAACCCTATATGAGAAGTGAGGACCTGTAGAAAGACCTTATACTGTCCAAGCTTGATTCAAAGTCCCAAGTCAGATTAGCTCTCTACTCCTGCAGCATCTTGGAGTCCCTGCATGTGACTATGATACTGCCACGTCGGTCTCTTATTCCACCCGGCAGAGTTGAGCTACAATCCAGTGCTAGATTACCCCAAGCGAACATTAATATGGCTACATTTACACATTGTGAAGCTGATGTGAATGCAGAGATTATGTAATCACCTCAAGACAGGCTGTGGTTTTGGTCCTGAAGCCAGAAAAATCACTCAAGACACACCCAAAAATCTACACTAAGAGAATCTTTTTGCTAATAAGAGCCATTCACTTACAATGTTATTAATAGTTAAAGCTAACCCCACCACCAGCCCCAAACACACAAACATTTTTTAAAAGCCACCCATTTTTTATTTCAGACATGGAGTATTTCAAAAAGAAAACGTTAGAAGTGATTTTAAGGGTTCATACAAGAGAAGATATAGATGTATTCAATAAATACCCATATTTTAAAATATTCTTTAGTTTTAAATTGTGGTTGTTCAAAGAATTAAAAAACCAAATGCGGAGCAAAAGAGGGCAGAGTAAAGGCAAAGAAGAGAGACTGAAAGACACACAGCACCGAGGGCTGAGAGAGCAAAGAGACTCACCTTGCGGAGATCCTCCACTCTCATTTAAGCCTCAGCATCACCCAGCTAGTGTATTTTTTTTTTCCAGAAGGGAAATGGAAAATCAGAAAGATTAAATTGGTTGTCCAAGGTCACTCAGTTTGGAAGTGTCGTGGCCTGGGTCCAAATGCAGGTTTATGTTGGTGTATGCACGTCCCAGGATAGCACCCCTAGTTATGAGCTGGTTTTTACACTGCTTATTTCCCCCAAGTACATGGTCTCATCCATCGCTCCCATCAGCTTACGTGCAGTCTTCACCTGGTACAGAGATTTCAATCCCTGGAACTTTAGCTTTCAGCCTGCAGAGATCTGCTATAAATAAGATGGTCCCAGCAGCAGGTGAATGCAGGGGAAGGTAGATGATGGCATCAATCTGTCTTATAATGACAGCAGTGACCAGGACCACAGGGACCAGTTTAACTCAAGCTAAGGATCTCAGTTGAGTTTCCTCACTTGTTCTAAACAGAAACTCAACACTCAGACATCAAGTATATGACTGTTCATTTATTCACAAAAAGCAAAAGAAAAATCCAAAGGGTATGATTTTTAGAGTGAAAATTATTGGTGACTGGAGGACTCGGTGACTTAGATCCTACATCCTACCTAACTACCTATTAGAATATGTGGTTTGTTTCAGTAGCATGCGTCCGCTCTGCCTTGTTTTTTTATCTCTTTGTGAGGAATTTCTCACCCGCACCCCCACAAAATGCATGTGCTGGTGGAGGGTCCTCTGCAGCCTGAACGGCTACACACAGTGAAGACAACAGGAACCCTCACCCTGGCAGCAGCTTTTTGGTTTACAAGGAGTGGGAGGTCTTTTAACTGAAAGGTGAATTTTGGTGTCTGGTTCCAAAGGGATTCACTTAGATGTAATGAGGCTAGGGGTGGAGGGGTCACAGTCCAGAGGGCTTGCAATCCTGGACCCAATCCAAAAAGTCACAGAGTAAAAGAGAGAATAAAATTACAATTCCGTCTCTAGACTCTGTTTCAAATATAATTAGGGGAAACGGCTCTTCTCCATTTAGTTTTTCTGTTTTCATATTTGAAAATAAAATCCAACAATGGTAATAAGTACTTTTAAACTTTCAGCACCATATATATATATTTTGGAGACAGAGTCTTGCTCTGTTGCTCAGACTGGAGTGCAGTGACATGATCTCAGCTCACTGCATGTAACCTCCGCCTCTGGGTTCAAGCAATTCTCGTGCCTCAGCCTCCCCAGTAGCTGGGATTAGAGGCGTGTGCCACCACACCTGGCTAATTTTTGTATTTTTAGTAGAGACAGGGTTTCGCCATGTTGCCCAGGCTGGTCTCAAACTTCTGAGCTCAGGCCATCCTCCTGCCTCAGCCTCTCAAAATGCAAGGATTACAGGCGTGAGCCACCATGGCTGGCCTGGCGCCTGATATATTTGAGATAGTTGCTCACCATCATCCAACTGCAACTGTCCTTTGTCATAAAATCAGCGGCAAGCTTCTGGGGAAGGCACCCTGGCCAGTAATACATTCACTAGAAGACTTAACGTCCCTTTCTCTGCGTGGATCCTCTCTGACCTCTCAGCAGGGGATAAAACTGCTCCTGGTCTAAGACTCCCATAATCTCCCAAATCTCCTGCTATACAGCTTTGCCTTGGATCCTCTGCCTCCCCTCTCCCCCTAAACTTGAGATATTTCCTTTTCCAGGGCGGACACTCAATTACTGGTTAACTTGAACATAGAGACCTTGCTAGTTGGCACATACAGATAATTTCTTTTCTATAAAGCTCACCTCCACAAGCTTCCTGTTTACTGTGAGTGACAGCTGTGAGCCTTTGACCTTGCAGGTTGGGAGTTTTCCTACAAGACGCTTGCTCCTGGCCTTCCACTCAACTAGCATTTCCCAAACCTCAATTATCTGTGTACCAACCTTGTGATTTTTCTCATACGCATATGTCACCTGTGTGATTATTTAATATTTAGCTTTATTATTTCAATAAACTTGTAATGAAAAAACCTGTCACAAGTGAAAGACCAGTATTATTTGCCACGATCAAACTAAATATAACAAATGACTTCAGCAATATTTCAAATAAAAACATCCTGTCTATCACCAGTGATCTGGGAACCACATTTTGGAAAATAATACACATGAATTATCATTTCTTATGTGAAATTTACCCGTTTACTTTTCATCTTTAAAGGAGATTCCTCCACTCTTCTCTCTCGAGTCTTCCGAAATTCTACCCATGAACCTCATCCCAATACAAAATAACCAAGGATTGAAACTCATATAAGTACAAAAGGCCTTTAGGAGCCAGGAGGAAACAGAGGCCAAAGCAACATAAATCTTTCCCAAGTGATAGTCCAAGGACATCAAAACAGAAAGCCAATTGTTCTAATGTTTACATAAAATTCAGAAAGACTGCCTCCCAGAGAGCCAAAGCAGGCTGATAAAGCTTCCCAGATAGGAAGCACCATCTCCCAATTGTGATGTGTTCTGAAACCATCGTGAGAAGCCACTGTTTGTAGCTCAGTTTTGCATGAGACAATGTAAATAGAACAAAAGAAGTCAGAACAAGAATGAGCACACAGTTCTGGATGTTGCTCATGCTGTCTAAATCATCTATGTGCCCAACAGGCGGAAGACAGACATGCGCATAACGGATGTGACCAGCAGGTTGGCTCTCTAAGGACAGGGATCTTTTTTTTTCTCGTTTCCTGATATCTTTGGAGCCTAAAAGAGCAGAGTAAGAGCCTAATAAAATATTCATGAATGGGTGTTTATTGGCTGTAGACAGTCAGGATGGCTTCTGTTTTGAAAAGCAACAAGGAGGTGGATTTCCCGCTCAGAGTGGATGAGTCTGTTGTGTATGCAAAGCAACCTCACCAGTGAGCAGGCGCTCTGATGAAGACACTTGAGGCCAGGTGCCAGCACACTGGGAGGCTCAGGTTCCATTTCAGGGCTTTTTAATGGGGGGATAAAGGACTTAAGAAAATTCCTTTTGTAATCTTTAGGAAGGAGCGTTTCTCAGCAGCAAAGAGGCCTGCCCAGAGGACGGTGCCAGGCCCTTGGGGGCACTCTGCTTGGCCCCAGAGAACTCATGGCTGACCTTGGGCAGTAGCTACCCATGCAGCAGGAGTTTCTGCACCTGTGTGTACTGCAACCCTGGGGCTTGTTTAAAATACTGATTTATGGGCTGGGTGCGGTGGCTCACGCCTGTAATCCCAGCACTTTGGGAGGCGGAGGCGGAGGCGGGAGGATCACGAAGTCAGGAGATCAAGACCATCCTGGCTAACACGGTGAAACCCCGTCTCTACTAAAAATACAAAAAATTAGCCGGGTGTGGTGGCGGGCGCCTGTAGTCCCAGCTACTCGTGAGGCTGAGGCAGGAGAATGGCATGAACCCGGGAGGCAGAGGTTGCACTGAGCTGAGCCGAGATCGCGCCATTGCACTCCAGCCTGGGCGACATGCGAGACTCTGTCTAGGAAAACAAAAACAAAAAACAAAAAAGATACTGATTTATGAGAGAATCAGCTAATGCTGAGAGAAATTCCAAATGACTCCCTACCTAAGTGCAGGACAGCATCCAATGAGGGAGACGATGCTCATTAAAAATGCAGATTCTTGGGCCCCTTGTCAGGTCTAATAATTTTGACAGATTTGAAAATATACATTTTTCACCAGTATTCCAGGGGTTTGGATGCACCCGGTCCACAGGCTGGTTGGGAAACACTTCTCTGGGGCCCTTCAAAGGGGAACCTGTGCTAATAGAATATGCCTGGGACTGGAATGCTCAAGCTATTGCATTACATTCAGTTTAGTTGTTTTGTTTTTTTTTTTTTTCCAAGCAAGTTCCAATTTTATTTCTGCATGAATAAAATACCCCTCTGGAGCTCTGTTTTTCAATTTCCGGGGGAAAACATTTTTAAAGTGCCGATAAGATTCACTTCTTCAAGTTACTCCTGCTAGTTTCTGTCCAGCCCCTACATCACCATCACAGCCAGGTCACTCTCCCAGCTTCTGTTCTCGCAAATAGAGGAGGTGCTATTTTTCACCATAAAAGGAGAAGTAGCAATAATTCTAGGCAACAGAGAACTGGAAACAATTGGAGACAGGGTTCATGGCTGCTGTCTCAACAAAAGAGATTAATACAAGGCTTTCAAAATAAAAAAGGAGAGTTGAAAGAAACTAAGTGACGAGGCTCAATACACAGTTTAAGATTAAAAAACAACAGCAGAACAACGGAGCAGAATTCAAAATATGTTGTATTATTTTTGTTAGGTTTTTTTTGTGTGTGTGTGAGAGAGACAAGAGTCTCGCTCTGTCGCGCAGGCTGGAGTGCAGTCACACGATCTTGGTTTACTGCAACCTCCGCTTCCCAGGTTCAAGCAATTCTTCTGCCTCAGCCTCCCAAGCAGCTGGGATTACAAGCATGCGCCACCACACCTGGCTAATTTTTGTATTTTTAGTAGAGACGGGGTTTCACCACGTTGGCCAGGCTGGTCTCGAACTTCTGGTCTCAAGCTATCTGCCCACCTTGACCTCCCAAAGTGCTGGATTACAGGTGTAAGACACCGTGCCCTGCCTTATTAGTCTCTTGATTCGTTAATCTGCAAAACCATCTTTATTGCCTAACCAAGAAGAGCAGCAATTCCAAATATTTCCTGCTACTTTCTATCATCTTTGGGTCTCATTTTGATAAAGAATTTTCAAGTCCTAACTTGATTTGTGAGAGTACCTCTTATATCAGACAAAGTCAATGGGTCATGCTAACAAGTTTTAATCACAGAGAATTTTTGAATAATTATTTTTCTAATTTGAGATATCAAAAATAATATATTTCTCCTATTTGCCATATGTGCATTTTTTTTTACATCTGCATGCATCTTTTTTATGGATACAAAGTATTTTACATATTTATGGGGTACCTATGAATATCTGTTACATGCATAAAATCAAGCCAGGGTATTTGGGGTATCCATCACCTTGAGTATTTATCATGTCTCTGTGTCAGTAACATTTCAAGTCCTCTCTTCTAGCTACTTTGAGTATACAATACACTGTTGCTAATTATGGTCACTCTACTTTGCTATCAAATATTGAGCTTATTTCTTCTATCTAACTGTATGCTTGTACCCACTAATCAACCTCCCTTCATCCTCCCCTCCCAACCACACCCCCTTCCTGGCCTTTGGTATTTATTATTCTATTCTCGGCTCCACAAGACCAAGTGTTTTATCTCCCACCTATGAGTGAGAACATGCAGTACCTGCCTTGTTTTGCCTGGCTTATCCCACTTAACATAATGACCTCCATTTACATCCATGTTGCTGCAAATGACATGATTTCGTTCTTTTTCTATGGCTGAATAGTATCCCACTATGTATATATACCACACTTTCTTTATCCATCTGTCCATCAATGGACACTTAGGTTGATTCCTTATCTTTGCTATTGTGAATAGGGCTGTGATAAACATGCAAGCGCAGGTATTCCTGTGATATACAGATTTCTTTTTTCTTTGGATTAATACCTAGTAGTAGATTGCTGGATTGTATGGTAATCTATTTTGAGTTGTTGGAGAATTCTCCATACTGTTTTCCATAGTGGTTATATTAGTTTACATTCCCACCAACAGTGTATGAGTTCCCTTTTCTCTGCATCCTTGCCAGCATGTCATTTTTTGTCTTTTAGTAGTAGCTATTCTAACTAGGGAATGGTAGTATCTCACTATGGTTTTGATTTGCATTTCCTGACAATCAGTGATGTTGAACATTTTTTCACATACCTGTTGGCCATTTGTATGCCTTCTTTTAAAAACATTCATATTCATATTCTTAGCCCACTTTTTAATGGCATTATTTAAGTTGTTGAGTTATTTGAGTTCCTTGTATATTCTGGATATTAATCCCTTGTTGATCAATAGTTTGCAAATATTTTCTCCCATTCAACAAGTTGTTTTATTCACTCTGTTGACTATTTCCTTTGCTGTACAGAAGCTTCTTTTTTTTTTTTTTCCCTTAAAGAGACAAGGTTTCATTCTGTTGCCCAGCCCAGAGTGCAGAGGTACAATCTTAGCTTACTGCAGCCACAAATTCCTGGGCTCAAGTGATCCTCCTGTCTCAGTCTCCCAAGTAGCTGGGACTACAGGTGTGTGCCACCACACCCAGCTAATTTTTTAAAATTTTTTTATAGAGACAGCATTTCACTGTGTTGTCCAGGGTGGTCTTGAAATCCTGACCTCAAGTGATCCTCCTGCCTTGGCCTCCAAACATGTTGGGATTACAGGTGTGAGGCATCGCTTCTGACCTGTTCTTTTTGCTCAGGATTGCTTTGCTTTGGCTATTCAGGCTCTTTTTTGCTTCCACATGAAACTTGGGATTTTTTTTTCTCATGCCGTGAAATATGATGTTGGTATTCTGATAAGGATTGCATTAAACCTGTGGATTACTTTTGGAAATATGGTCATTTTAATTATGTTAATTCTTCCAATCCATGAGCATGGATGTCTAATTCCATTTGTTTCCTTTTCAATTTATTTCAGTAGCATTTTGTAGTTTTCCTTGCAGAGATCTTTCACCTCACTGATTAAATTTATTCCTAGGTATTTTATTTCTTTATAGCTATTGTAAATAGCATTGCTTTCTTGATTTCTTTTTCAGCTGGTTCACAATTGGTGTATAGATATGGTACTAATTTTTGTATGTTGATTTTGTGTCCTATAACTTTAGGGAATGTATTTATCAAATCTAGGAGTTTATTTTGGTGGTCTTTAGGTTTTCCTAGGTATGAAATCATATCTTGTTTATAGATTATAACATTTCAAATGTCTAATAAAATGTGTCTCCTTCAGGCACACTCAGGAAAAAATAAGCTTATATCACCCACAAAGAGGTACAATTTGACTTCCTCTTTTCCAATTTGGATGCCTTTGATTTCTCTCTTTTGCCTGACTGCTCTGGCTAGGACTTCCAGTACTATGTTGAATAGGAGTGGTGAAAGTGGGCATCCTTGTCTTGTTCCATACCTTAGAAGAAAGAGCTTCACCTTGTCCCAGTTCAGTATGATGTCAGCTGTGAGGTTTTCATAGCTTTATTATTTCAAGGTATGTATGTTCCTTCTATTTCTAGTTTGTTGAGTTTTTATCATGAAGGTATGTTGAATTTTGTCAAATGCTCTTTCTCCATTTATGGAGGTAATAACATAGTTTTTGTTCTTCATTCTATTGATGTGATATATCACGTTTATTGATTTGCATATGTTGGACCATTCTTGTATCCCTGGTATAAATTCTAGTTGGTCATGGTGCATTATGTTCATGATGTGCTGTTGGATTTGGTTTGCTAGTATTTAGTCGAAGACTTTTTGCACCTATGTTCATCAGGGATATTCGCCTGTTGTTTTCTTTTTCTGTTGTGTCCTTGCCTGGTTTTGGTATCAGGGTAATGCTGACCTTGTAGAATGAGTTAGGGAGAGTTCCCTCCTCTTCAATCTTTTGGAATAGTTTCAGGAAGATTGGTATTAGTTCTTCATTATACATTTGGTAGAGTTTGGCTGTGAATCCATTTGGTCCTGCTTTTTCTTTGTTGGGAGACATTTTTATTACTGATTCAATCCCAGTAGTTGTAATTGATTGGTTTAGGTTTTCTATTTCTTCCTGATTCAAGCTTGGTTGGTTGGTTGTATATTTACAGGAATTTATCCATTTCCTCTAGGTTTTCAGCTTATCAGTGTATAGTTGTTCATAATAATCTCTGATGATCTTTTGTACTTCTGTCTCCTTTTTGATTTCTGATTATGTTTATTTGGGTTTTCTCTCTTCTTGGTTAGTCTAGCTAGTGGTTTATCAATTTTGTTTATCTTTTCAAATAACCAACTTTTCATTTCATTGATCTTTTGTACTTTTTTTAGTCTCTGCTTCATTTAGTTTTGCTCTGATCTTTATTATTTCTTTCCTTTTACTAATGTTGGGTTTGGTTTGTTCTTGTATTTTAGTTCCTTGGGATGCATCATTAGGCTATTTGTTGTTGATGTAGACATTTATTGCTATAAACTTCCCTCTGAACACTCCCTTCTCTGTATCCCACAGGTTTTGGTAGATTGTGTTTCCATTTTCATTTGTTTCAAAAATGTTTTAAATTTCCATCTTAATTTCTTCATTGACCAAATAATGATTCAGTAGTATGTTGTTTAATTTCCATGTATTTTTTATAGTTTCCAAAGTTCCTCTTGGTATTGATCCCTAGTTTTATTCCATTGTGGTCTGAGAAAATAACAGTATAATTTTGATTTTTTAAAATGTGTTGAGGCTTGTTTTGTGGCCTAAAACATGGTCTATTATAAAGAATGTTCCATGTGCTGATAAGAAGAATGTATATTCTATAGTTGCTGGATAAAATGTTTTCTAAATGTCTGTTTGGTCAATTTGGTCTAAAGTCCAGATTGAATCCAATGTTTCTTTGTTGATTTTCTGTCTTCATGGTCTGTCTAACGACGAGAGTGGAGTGTTGAAGTCCCCTACTATTATTGTACTGGAGTCTATCTCTCTCTTTAGATACAGTAATATTTGCTTATGAATCTGAGTGCTCCAGTTTTGGGAGCATATATATTTAAAGTTGTTATTTCCTCTTGCTGGATTGATCCTCTTATTATTACACACTGACATTTTTTGTCTTTTGAAGTCTGTTTTACCTGACATAAGTATAGTTACTCCTGCTTGCTTTTGGTTTCTGCTTGCATGTAATATCTTTTTCTATCCCTTTATTGTGAGTTTATGTGTATCTTTGCAAGTAAAGTGGGTTTCTTGTAGGCAGCATATAGTTAGATCATGTTCCTTTATTCATTCATCCAATCTACATCTTTTAAGTGGATGATTTAATCCGTTTATATTCAAGGTTATTATTGATATGTGAAGTTTTGTTTTTGTCATAAAGTTAGTTGTTTTCTGGTTCCTTTGTTCATTTCTTTTTCTCTTGTTTGTCATTGTGGTTTGGTAATTTTATGTAGTAGTATCACTTGAGTCCTTTCTCTTCCTCATTTGTGTGTTTGGTTAACCAATGGGTTTTATATTCTCGTGTGTTTTCATGGTGGTAAATGTTGTCCTTTCACTTCACTTCCAGGTTTAGGACTTCTTTGTGCCTTTCTTGTAGGGCCAGCCGGTCTAGTGGTCATAAATTCTCTCAGCATTTGCTTGTCTGAGAAATACTTTATTTTTTCTTTATTTATGAAGAGTAATTTTGCTGGATATAGTATCCTTGGGTGCAACCTTTTTTCATTCAGTACTTTTCACATGCCATCCCATTCTTTTCTGGCCTGTAAGGTTTCTAATGAGAAGTCTGCTGTTAGTCAGATAGGGGTTCCTTTATAGGTGACTATAAACTTTTCTTGTGCTGTTGTTAGAATCCTCTCATTGTCATTAACTTTAGACAGTTTGACTATAATATGCTGTGGAGAAGACCTTTTTGCATTGTATCTGTTTGAGCATCTTTGAGCCCCCTGTATCTGGATGTCTAAGTCTTTTCTAAACATGGAAAGTTTTCATCTATTATTTCATTAAATATGTTTTCTAACATTTTCATTCTCTCTCTATCCTTGAGGACACTGATAATTTAAATTTTGGTTGCTTTATGTATGTTGTCCCAAATGTCACAAAGGCTTTGCACTTTCTTTTTTCTTTTTTTCTTTATTTTTGTCTGATTTGATTACATTAAAAGATCTGTATTCAAGTTGAGATTCTTTCTTCTACTTGAGCAAGTCTACTGTTAAAGCTTTCAAACGTATTTCATATTTCATTTAATAAACTCTCTAATTCCAGAATCTCTGTTTTATTCTTTTTAAAAGTATCTCTTTTTGGGAAATTTCTCATTCATATCCTGAATTGTTTTTCTCCTCCTCTGTTTTTCAGAATTCTCTTGTATCTCACTGAGCTTCTTTAAAATCAGTATTTTGAAATCTTTGAGATTTTGTGAATTTCTCTTTGATTGGGATCTGTTTCTGGAGAATTATTGTGTTCCTTTGGAGGTGTCCTATTACCTTGCTTTTTCCTGTTTCCTGTGTTTTTACGTTGATATCTGGTGTAACAGTCCAAGTTTTTGAATTTGTTTTCATAGGGGAGGACTTTTTCCTGAAGATATAAGATATGTACATCTACTTTTTTGTGACGAGATATATATATATGGCACTATGGCTTTGATTTTGGGTGCATGCAGTTAGTCCTTATATGATTTCTTCAGCTGTAAACAGTGTCAATGGTGTCTGTGATTTCCTCAGTGGCTTAGGGTGCAGTTATTAGTAAGTCTGTGGTGAAGTTTTACTGGGGACTAAGATGCCAGATGGCCAGTCTGCAGGCCTTAGTGGTGGGAGCAGTGAGCTGAACATGCCTGTACTTAAACCCACAGTATATGTTGGCTCTGGTGTTAGTGGGTCTAGGTTTGCCAATTCTAGGGCTTCCAGTTGGCTTGCTCACATGCTGGTGGTGGCAGCAGTGGGCCAGGCATGTGGGCAGGTTCTCAGACCACTGGGCAGCAGGTATGATGTGGGCAATGGCAGTAGCAGTGATGGGGCAGCCCAGTGGGACCCAAATGGTCCATGCTGTTGTTCCTGGTGTCTGCAAAAGTCTAGGAGTGCCAGTCCCCTGGCCTTCAGGTGGCTTGTGCAGGTGGGTGCCAGCTGTGGTGGTATCAGCAGGTTGGGTGAGCCCAACCTCAGACCCTGGGAGGAGTGCTCAAATGTCAATGGTGTTGGACTGTGTTCGCTGATCCCAGGCCCCTGATGGCAGGCTGAAGTAATGGGGGAAGGGAACTAGGTTGGTGGACGTGTCCTCAGGGCCTCTGGTAGTGAGTTCAGGTGATGGTGCTGACAGGCAGAGGCCAACCAGTCCACAGGCCACTGGCACAATGTTCAGGTGGGGGCAGCAGTGCACTTCAGGCCTGCCTCCAAAGAGGATGAGGCCACTCAGTGGGAGCTGCTTAGGGAACTGTGAAACTCACAGTTTGCTGGCACCTTGGTCCCACAGAAGCCTGCAGCAGCAGCAATGCTATTTGTCTTTGGGGCATGTGATAGTGCCTGGCCTCTCCTCTTCCTTCTTGGCCTGGCAGCAGCAGAAGTGGTGTTGGCCTAAGGGCAGGACATAGTCCTTTGAGGATTGTGCTTTCAGGCTGGTGCCCACTGTGGGCATGCCACCAGGGAGGGCAGGGTCATTCTCAATGGGAACGGCATAGGCAGGCAGCTGTGGGGCTTATGGGTTTCTCACGTCTTAGTCCCACAACAGCTGCAGCTGCAGTGGGATTTGTCCTCAAGATGTGTGAAAGGGCCTGACCTCCTCTGTTCCTCTTTGGTCTACCACAGCTGCAGTGGCATCAGCTCCAGGGAATGCAGTCCTTTGCCAGTTGAGCTCTCAGAATGGTGCCATATTGTAGCTGCTCAGGTCTCAGGAGCCCGTGGGACTAAGCATGAGCTCCCTTTGGAGCAATGTCACTGCACAATCTCTAGGTAGCTCTCTATGAGAGTCTCAAGGCCTGCAAGGGTTAAGCGCCTCTCGCTGGTAGAAATCCCTTGCAGGAATGTGGAGCCCTGAGGGGATCACTCATTTACCTTTTCCCCATGTTTGGGAGCTTCTTCCAGCTCCCAGCCAATCCTGGCCAAGCAGGCTACCTTGCTTCCCTCTCCTTCTTTGCTTTTGGTGCTTCCCGTCACTTCTCTGTTGAATGCCAGTGTTCTCTCTTCCACGATGTATTTAAAGTGTGAATATCTACTTGCTATTTTGGTTCCTCTCCATGGAAGAGGTGTGTACTAGCTGCATCTAGTTGGTCATCTTGCCTCCTTCCCATAAGTGCATTTAAAAGTTCAAATGCAGTGAGGCTACAAGGCTAATTTTTACTCTAATTTGAGCTATTCATACAATCAAATTTGTATAACTTATTATAAATATGGTATTCCTAAAAAAATCAATACAAATATTTCTCTTACTGTTAAATGCCTTACTTTAGGAAATGATTGGCATTGATTTAATCTTCTGTATGTAGTCACATAATCTAGACATCTTTGAGATGTGCCAAAACATTATAACTGTTGCTCCCATAAAGAGTTACACAATTGTGCTCATTTTATGTCAATAGCTCATATGTATAAGATTCCAGAAATGTAACAAAATACAGAGAATCTTAAGAATCAAATGCTTATTAGGGACAAAATTCTGTTTTGGAAAACCCTCTCGACATCAATTACTTTTCCCTAAAAACAAACCACACAAAGTATAAAGGAAAAAAAATCTCTTCAAATAAACTCTGTGGCTTGTAGATAAAATATTAGTGATTCTCTTAGAAGTACAACTCATTTCATTTGTAAGAAGGGTCAGTAGGTTGGGCATGGTGTCTCACGCCTGTAATCCCAGCACTTTGGGAGGCCAAGGCAGGCAGATCACTTGAGGTCAGGAGTTCAAGACCAGCCTGGCCAACATGGAGAAACCCTGTATCTACTAAAAATACAAAAATTAGCCAGGCATGGTAGCATGTGCCTGTAGACCCAGCTACTAAGGAGGCTAAAGCACGAGAATCACTTGAACCTGGAGGCAGAGGTTGTAGTGAGCCAAGATCACGTCACTGCATCTCAAAAAAAAAAAAAAAAAAAAGAAGGTTCATGGGTTCATGAGCTCACTGTCATCTCTAAGAGAATGACTCATAATTGTTTTACTTTCTTAAAAAGGCAAATTGTAAGCATATTCATTAATGGTTTTAGAATCTCTAAAACTCACTGCTGCTTCTGAAAATTAACATTTTCCTCATTCTTGCAGAAACATTCACCAAGAAATCACAACACCAGGGCCGTGATAAGACTTTGGACTCTCAGCCTTTAAAAAGAGTATGAGAAGTAATCTAACACTACAGCAGTTAACACAAGAATGAGCCTGAAGTCAGAATTTCTCCTTGCACAATTATGATTGTCCAAAAGTTTGGTTTTGCTTATGTTGAAAAAGAAAGGGTAAAGACAAAAATTACTTAAAGGAAAAAAAAGAAGCTCTAAAAAGAGACAATAGACTTAAAATCCTTAAGCCTCAATAAGGCAGGCACAAAGATGAAGGAACCATCTTGAAGCACTACAACATTTTGCTGAAACACCAGTAACTACAGTACCTAAACCACCTTCCTATCCTTTCCTCCTCCACTTCTAAAGATAAATTTAAAACAAATGCTAGTTAAATAAGAGGAGCTACCAGTGCAATTAAATACAGAATCAAGTTAAAAATGAAAACATGGGAATTCCAATACTGTAGGTCTTTAAAAATATAATGCACTACCGTTCACCTTGGAAAGCTAAGAAGTCATTCTCTTGAAGTCCTTCTCAGAATTCTGTCAGAATATGAAATTCAGATGGAAATATATATGCAAATAGGTATACATTATTTTTTAGCCCACCACTGTGAAAGAAAATATGCAAATTTGCTCTTGAAAGGTCCAGTTTATGAATGCGTGGTCAAAGTAACAGCAGGATATTGGAAACATAACATCAACTACTTAAAACTCAGTAACAGCAGGATATTGGAAACATAACATCAACCACTTAAAACAGGCCTTACCATTTTCACCTTCTTTTATCTATCCCTGTAGACCTGCTGATTCCCTGGTCAGAGTGTCCAACTCATCCTCACACTGTTCCGCATTACTTTTCCCATAAATTCTCCTAAGGTTCCAAGAAGAAGGTCTCATTCTCTTCTCCCTGTTACTACTATATCTTTACATACCATTATCGTTGCATTTGCCATGATCTTTATATGTCTTCTCATTAGTCTATGAGTTCCCTGCAATCAGCAACTATCTTCTCCCTTTTGAACCCCAGCACCTGACAACACCAGCTGTAAGAGTAAATGCTCAAGAAATGTCTGAATAATTTAAGAATTATCTAACACACACTTCAGGAGGCCGAGGCAGGTGGATCACCTGAGGTCAGGAGTTCGAGACCAGCCTGGCCAACACAGCGAAACCCCGTCTCTAACTAAATATACAAAAAATAGCCGGGCGTGGTGGCGGGTGCCTGTAATCCCAGTTACATGGGAGGCTGAGGCAGGAGAATCACTTGAACCAGGGAGGCAGAGGTTGCAGTGAGCCGAGATCATGCCACTGCACTCCAGCCTGGGTGACAGAGCGAGCTCCATCTCAAAAAAAAAAAAAAAAAAAAAAAAGAATTATCTAATCCGCACTCCTTATCTAATCACCATATAGCCTTGGGCTTTTTCTTAGCATTTAATTCAGAGCGGCCTCTCCCAATATAAATGAAATATACCCTCCCCTTGTAAATCTCCTCTCGGTGTCCAAATCAACAAATAAGTTTGTGCCTACTCAACTTTTTGAGTTCTCATCAAGAGGTCTTCATTATGACATCTCTCTCTGAAAGAGAAAAATTTCTTTTCTGGCGCACAGCTGTGAATCAGGATGTGCTTAGAGTCATTCCAATCATTCTTTAGTAAGCATCCATTGATCGCCTAGCTGGGCACTATCTAGGCTTGAGTTTACACTCCTGTGGGAAAGGTCAATCCCCCAGATTTCTTGCCTCTAGGCCAAAAGCCCTTTGAGCCCCAAACTCTCCATGACTAAGACCAAAACATTTGGGTGAGAATTTTTCAATGTATCTCTTACTGGTAGCCAAAAAAAGTTCCTTAAATATCTACATTTAATTTCCAAGGGGCAACCTAATGATTCATGACGAGTAATCACCTCCAGCCCCACTCATCAAGATGTCTCTCTATTTGTGGGGAGATGTATTCAAAAACAGGCTGGATTCCTCTCTCCAGGATGGGTTAAAATAGCCAGGATGACCATATCTTCTGGTTGCCCAGGGCAGCCTCGGTTTATAACCACTGTCCTGAGGTAATTATCGATAGCATCCTTTGCATTCTCCAGAGTATCCTGGTCCAGACAATAATGTATATGGTCATCCTACATATAACTCTGTCTTATTGGGTGTGGGGGAGGCTTTATAAGAAAATCCATAAGCAACCAGCTTTTCCTTTTCATACAACCTCTATCTTAAAAAATAACTCAGATTTTCAGTAAGAAAATTGTGGGAGTTAGATGTGTTTCTTACATTGGGAGGATGTACTTTTTGCCCTTGCTATAAAACCAGCGAACAACATAACCCAACTGTCTGCTTTGTTTCAGACAGTGGGGAAACACAGTGAAAAAGGTCATTTCAACTAAAATGCAATCTGTAGATGAGATAGCTATTATCTGTGTTAATTATATCTCCAGTGACCTACTTAGGGGAAAAATATCTTTCCACCAAAATCCTATTTGATGTATCTTCAAAGGCTGTAATTAAATATATAAAAAGGAATTCCGTTGTTACAAGAAAAAAAGAGGTAAAATTAGCTCTATTTTTGTTCTATCAATTAGTGGGATGCCTTTGCTGTCGTAATAACGAAAGTTATGCCTCCAAGGCGTAAGGAAGCAAAAGAGAACAATCTGCAGCTTCCTTTCATTTTACCCCAGTGATACAGATGTGTCCTGTGGTTTTTTCATTAAAATGATGGAAAAGGCAGGATGGCACAATACTTACAACAAGGCAGTCCCTTTTGGATTTATTATTTTTTTTCTTGGCACTAAAGAGCCTATCCTTGCTGGAATCCCAGATTTCTAGCATGCTAGTTAACTGGATGACCTTAAACAAATTACTTAAACCCTTTGACCCTCAGCTTCCTCATCAAGTAAATGAGTATAATTAATAAATAAATAAGTATAATACATCAAGTAAATGAGTATAATATAAATGAGTATAACACATCATCATTTGTTGTGAGAATGAAAATCACATTAATTGTAGAAAGCAGTATTCAAACATTCATTATTATGATAAGTGATAAGGGTGATACCTGCGGAAATGGAGAGGAAGAAGCAAATGCAATGGTTTGGAAAACTCAATGCATTTGGAAGACAAGGTCGGAGATGGGAATCATAATCTTTGAGACATTGGTGAACTTAGTGGCATTTCTATTAATAAGGAGAAAGTTGGAAAAGGTGCCTGAATCAGTTTCTTAGGCTGCTGTAACAAAGTACCTCATACTGGCTGGCTTAAAACCCAGGAAACACATCCTCTCACGGAGCTGCTGAGAGGGACTCTGCTCCATGCTCCTCTCCCAGCTCCTGGTGGTTGTGGGCAATGCTTGATGTTCTTTGCTTGTGGCAGTGTAACTCCAACCTGTGCCTTTGCCTTCACATGGTCCTCTTTACTCTGGTGTGTCTGTGTCCCATTTTCAGTCTTCTTAAAGACACCAGCCACAATTAATTTGGGGCCCACTCAAATCCACTATGAGCACAGCTTGACTTGATTACATCTACAGAGACCCTATTTCCAAATAAGGTCACATTCACAGGTTCCAAATTCATCACGAATTGGAGTGGGGGCGCACGATTCAACCCAGCACAGGGCCTGTTTGGGAGCAGTGATCACAGGGTCAACACTCTTAAATTGGACATAATAAAGTTCCTCTAGGAGGACTTTTACAGAAATGAAAAGAATAATAGGGATTCATGCACATTTTCCACATATAGCAAATTTTTTTAGCCTCTAACATGAAAGGGTCTCTTCATTGTTCTCATTTGTCTTACCCGCCATCCAGTGTTAAGCAGTATGTTAAAGAGCTTCTTCTTTACAACTTTTCCCCTCACATTATTTTCTACATGCAGCAACTTCTTTAACCAAGTTGTTTGATTAGGAGTAAATGTGCATAAACGATCATATTATTAAGCTTCTGCACCCATGTGGCAGCATCACTTTAACTTCTTCCTCAACCACCCCAGAAGTGTGGACCCAGAGATCCCTTCCCATTTAATATGGTAAGTACGTGGTTCAACTCTTTACTATTTAATGAGAAAGCCTTTCTTTTTTTTTTTCTTTTTTTTTCTAAGACAGAGTCTTGCTCTATTGCCAGGCTGGAGTGCAATGGCACAATCTAGGCCCACTGCAACCTCCGTCTCCTGGGTTCAAGCGATTGCCTCAGCCTCCCGAGTAGCTGGGATTACAGGCACGTGCCACCACACCCAGCTAATTTTTGGATTTTTAGCAGAGACAGGGTTTCACCATGTTGGCCAGGATGGTCTTGATCTCCTGACCTTATGATCCCGCCCACCTCGGCCTCCCAAAGTGCCGGGATTACAGGCGTGAGCCACCGTGCCCAGCCAAGAAAGTCTTTCGATAGGACATGTAGTCTCTAGTTCAACACAAGCCCTCCCAAGTGCTCTCCCTCATCCTTGTGGTCTGATACCAGATCCATTCGCACATTTACGGTACCTGTTGGAGCTCTGAAAGCTTAAGTTTGCCACCCATGAACTCCATGAATTCTAACACCCTGTGGCCCTGAAACCAGCCCTCCTTTTCAAGCTAGAACTATCACTTGACTCCATGTCACCCAAAATTCCCGCACTTGTCACTGAAGGGCCAGCCATTTTCCCTTATTATTCAGTTGTTTTGAAATGTTTCTCAGTCCAGCTTTGGTCTCCCCCACAACTAGATTAAAAATAGCTTTGTATTTTGTATCCTCCCACAACACCTAGCCTGACAATCTGCACAGAACAGACATTCAAATGCTTGCTGGCAGAAAATGAAAGGCCCAGTGGGACAATGTCCTACAATGGCTCTCCTATTCTGGGGCTCTTGGCGCCACCCTAAGAGTTGGGGAAAAGAGCCCCAACTTTGGAGGACCTCATTTCGGCCCTCTTTCATCTTCTCCCCACCCAAGGGAGCAATGAGGACACAGGCCCAAGGGACCGTGCCTATTTGTAGCCCATGTCCTCTCCCCAGCTTCACATCCTCGTTGCAAGCGCTTGGGACTCTATAATTTTCTCCACCCAAATGATCCCAAACCCACTTCTAGGGCTTGCATGGGCCCTCCCCAGTCCATCGTCTTGGGGGTGAACATGTCACTGGTGTACATGTCACTAAATCTGAAGGTAGCCAGGGGACAGATGTTTGCAAGGGGGTGTTGACAAAGCCTGGATGTTCTAGCCAGGGTGCACATAAAGTCTTTTGCACTGTGGGTGGGAGGGGGTAGAGAGAAGGGAACACCAGCCAGGGGTTTCCATTGGTAACCCTGTCTGTGCCCTGCAAATGTACGGTGCCTCCCTGGCTCAACATGCACTCAGGGGTTGAAGCAGTAACTATCAATGGCAATATTTTCTCATTTCCAACTTTTATCCAGGATATGCTCTTTCAGCCTCGGTATATTTTGGTATAGATCTACTCAGTAAAGAAAGATCTCACTTCGATTTGTTTGCTAAAAGAATGGTAGACTAAATACAGAGAAAGCCTTCACCTTCACCCAGAGTTTTTAAGAAGTGAAAGAAACTTTGCAAGCATGTACAATTGGTACATATTATTAGCTAAAGGTGCTAAGATTCCTCTGAGTTAGCCAGTTTCTGGAGCAGATATAATACCCAGGACAATTGGGAGTAATGTCATGTGGTCACATACATATCAATATCCACCCTGAAATACCATCGCAGTGCACATCTAGGTTCAAAACACACTCATTATCATAAAATACAGTCAAGTTAGGAGCTACAGCATGAAATCAATTCAACAATACTAATTAAAAGTACATTTAAACTATCTTCAAAGCAGCTGTTAAATCTCACTTTATCTATTCTATAATCCAACCATTGTTTACACATGGAAGTTCAAAGAGAATCAAATGGGAGGTGGAAATGAGATGGGCTTGACAAGGCTTTGTTAAGGTCAGGTTGTCCACAGGGGCAACAAAATTATTCACAGGGTAAAGTGTGCAAATTAAGATGGTCACCTTCGTATTCACTCTCACACACTGGAAATTTAGCTACGCTAGGTCTCAAAATCAGACATCAGATTTTTCCTTACTGTTATGCTATTGTGGGCCCAGTTCCTGTTTTAAATTCAGTATGGAATTGAAAATACAACTCTGATTTTCCTGATGAGGAATATCTTCAGGCAGTCTGCTTGGTCTTCCCCTACCCCTGCCCTCAAAACATACATTGCTGAATTGTTTTCCATCATAGGTTGAAAGGGAAAATTTTCAACCTTTTTGGCAGATTAGCTGAAAATTTTCATTATACTTTATACAGAATGTATGTGCCTGCAAATCAACAAGCAATGCAAATCAAGCATCTTTGGCTAGCATGCTTTGACACAGTTTGATATATTATACATTCTTTAGCTGTTCTTTTCCTCCTCTCCCTCCTCATCCTTTTTCAAATTTTGAATCTTCAATTTCTACTCATCTACTAATGCTGACAACTCAAACTCTGTCCTGCAGATAAGCAGGGTCTTTAGACTTCCTTTATGTGGTCAACCACTGGCATAAACTCATCCCCATCCACGCCAGCCTGCCCCTTGGCCACCATGAAGTACATCTTGCAGCAGGCACAAAACTAGTCAAGGGACTAGAAAAAGCAGGACCTCATCATATACATGCGCAGACACTCACCCACCCCCCCTTCAAGTGACCCCAAATCACTAGGTCATCAAGTTCTGAAGCTGCCTCCAGACTGAAGCTGAAGCCCTCTTTCATGGGACCCTTCCCTGCTCCTAAAGTCTGGTCAATTCCAGCCCCTAGGAAGAAATATAGTGAAAAATAGGAAGGATTATTCTCCTACTAGATCTGAGCAGCATCTTTGGGCAACAAGAAACAATAAGAAAAAGAGTTAGGGCCATGTTCTTTGCTTTTTTTAAAAAAAAATCCTTTTCATTCTTCATGGCTCATTTGGTAGAAATCATCTTCAGTGATTTTAGAAGGCCAGTATTTGCAAATACAGCCTTAATATAAAGAAATTTGGCCAGGCGCGGTAGCTCATGCCTGTAATCCCAGTACTTTGGGAGGCCGAGTCAGGCGGATCACCTGAGGTCAGGAGTTCGAGACCAGCCTGGCCAACGTGGTGAAATCCTGTCTCTATTAAAAATACCAAAATTAGCCAGGTGTGGTGGTGGGCACTGGTAATCCCAGCTATTTGGGAGGCTGAGGCAGGAGAATCACTTGAACCCGGGAGGCAGAGGTTGCAGTGAGCCAAGATCAAGCCTTTGCAGCAGGAGAGAAACTCCATCTCAAAAAAAAAAAAAAAAAAAAGAAAAAGAAAGAAAGAAATTCAACACAAACAATCAATTATTCCCAAAAGTTCTAAAATAAAATTGAATCTATAATATCCAGATTCTGGGGGATTATTTGTTTGGTTTTTCTTTTGGTGGGGAGTTGGTGGTGAAAAGTGAAGGACAGTGGAGGCTTTGAGAGGCTGAGAGATGAACAAATCTGAGAAAATAATCTGGAAATGAAAATAATGAGAGATAACATGCTCCGAGCATTTCTTGGGTTTTTATAGCTTTGGTTTCTGGAAAGAATGGATTTGCTGATGAGCTTTCCTAACAGAATTGAAAACTGAAACTTTTCTTGGTCCTACATTCTGTGATATGTCCCAAGTTACACCAACTGGTGAATTTGATTCTCATTTTTGTTATGATATATTATTTATAACAATTGCATTCTGCTCTTTTAAGAATTTCAAGATCACCTCACCAAGAATGATTACTCTGACATAATAAAGGAAACAAATGTTACCAAAGACCCAATTCACTCAGCAAGGGAGCAAGGGCAACCTCTTCCAGAAGGACCTACCGTTGTAGCCTTCACAACATCAGAGAAACAAGGATAAATTTTAATATCATTATTATTTCACCTTAGTTTCTTTTTAATGCCCAAGCATTTTTGGGTTCTTATAGCCAAATACAATTAGTGCTATTAAGCATCTTAATTGAAATGCCCATAACTATCAGATTCTAACTTATTTTCCATCCAGCGTTAAGCAGCAGAAACTGTGCCAACCAACAGAACACTGTACTGCAGGCTGCCAGGAGAAAAGTGAACATAACTCAATGAGGGTTTTCTGAAAACTGCATCTACTGCATCATCATGACAATATGAATGAGGATCACTCCATTTACCTAATGGTGACATGACCTGCTGGAAAAACACATCCCAGGAAAAAAGGCACATCAAAGTCCCAAACTAGCCTTATGGAAGCTAATTATTCTCATATGTCTCTCAGAGGAGCTTCATAAATATTGATCATTCATGGAAGGGTGAAATCTCAATAATTAGCCTTGTTCTTTTCTACTCCCCCAGCCCAGTTCTTGGATATACCCGGGCTCCTTCCTTAGTACCTCTCCCTAAGACTATGCAAGAGACAGGGAGAGAGTAAGGGAAGGAATGTTTATGGAGAAACCATGTGTGGCAGGCACTACACTACACCTACCATCTTCATAAATGGCATCTCAGAGTAGTGCTGGGACTAGATCTTAACCACATGGAAACAAGATCAGACCTATATGGCACATCAAAATCAATCCCAGGTGAGTCAATGATTTATATGCAAAAAACTTCAATGATCAGTTTTTTTTAAAACAGCACCAATAGAAAAAAAAAGCAGGGAAAGTACATAAAGGCAATTCACAAGAAGAGAATACAAGTAGGCATATGAAAACTATTTGGCCTCATTATCATGGAGTGCAAATGAAAATCATGCCATACCATATTTTGTTTGCAAGAGGGGCAAATTGACAAAAAAAATCCAGTGTTAATGGGCATATGAGAAAACAGACACCCATTCCCACTTATTTGTGTGCACAGCAAGATGAAGAATTATATGACAGCTTGCATCACCATCATTCAAAGTGGGATGTTATGTCACCCAAAAATTCCAATTCTAGGATATATAATCTAAAGAAATCATTGGACAAGTGGCCAAATACCTATGTAATGGGAAAGTAATCACAGTGTGATCCACAATAACAAAAATGAGAAAAAAAATAAATGCGTAGTGATAGGAGACCAATTAGTTATGTTGACTCTCCACAATGGAAATATATGGCTGAGAAAATCAATGCAGATGAATATTTACTGACATGAAATGCCGTCTACAGTACAGTAAATGAGAAAGTAATGAATAAAACCTACTAGGCCAGGAGGGAGTACAGTAAAGGTTAAGAGGGGTACCTGTGCTCAAATTCCAAGTCTGCCACTTACCTGCTGCCTCACCATGAACAGGCTCTCAATTGGCCTCATCTGGGAAACGGGAATGGTAACACTGCAAGCACTCAGCCAGTGCTCAGCCCACAGCAAGCCTTTAAAAGTGTCTCTGTTACTTTCAGGTGAAGATGATTTGGATTATTTTTAAGCTTGCACACACATATACACACATCTGTAAGTTGGAATTATAGTCACCAAAACTTAATGGTGGTAATCACTGGGTGGTAGGCGAACAGTGTTTCATTATTTATGCACAAGAAAGTAAACACAATTCTATCCCCTCTTGGTTATGAGCATGTCATGCCTATTAGTTGTCAAAGTTCAAACCTAAGAATTTTTGTTAAAAGTTTTTTTAAAGTTTTAGTATCAGTTTGACTGTTAGCAAGAACAGGGATGCTGTCTGTTCTGTTTCCTCTCATTTTCAATGCGAGGGATTCATATTCTGTTGGCTATTTTGATACTAAAGTCATCCACTTTATATAAATTTAAAAATACTATTAATACTTCATCCAAACAATTTTGGATCCCCAAGATAACTGTGTCAAAACATTCTCTGACAAAGGTCTATGTTTATAAAAATGAAGAACTGAGCTGCACTGTAATTCCTTTCTAAATCTTCAGAAAAACATCTCCTGTCTGCTCCAAATTGCTCACAGACATGGAGTTTATTACCCTGTGCTGGAAGCCAAATGGGGATCTCATTTCTACTGTGACAATTAAAGACAAAATCCTGTGCTAGAATTGCATGTTTTTGTGGCTGAGTTTTCTTTTTTTAAATGCAAATGTAAAAATGATACTTTTCCTCCATCTGACTAGCAAAAACTAAAGTCAGATAACAAAACGTTGGTGGATGTGTGAGGAAACAGAAAGTTCCATGCATTGCCGTTGGAACAATAAGTTAGTGCAGATGCTTTGAAGAGAATTTGGCAGTATTTTTTTTTAAAATGAAAATATGCACATTTTAGATTGGTTATTAGATGATACTATGGAATTACTGTGGTTTTATTAGATATGATAATTTTATTGTGGTTACATAAGAGAATGATTATCAGCAAATCAGTGAAGGAATACTTAGGGAGTAAAGTCTAACACTTTAAAAGTTTCAGTAAAAAATAAACACACATGGCTGGGTACAGTGACTCATGCCTGTAATCCCAGCACTTTGGGAGGCTGAGGCGGGTGGATCATTTGAGCTCAGGAGTTCAAAACCAGCCTGACCAACATGGCGAAACTCGGTCTCTACCAAAAGTACAAAAAATTAGCTGGGCGTGGTGGCATGGGCCATTCCCAGCTACTCATGAGGCTAAGGTGGGAGTAACGCTTGAGCCTGGGAGGCCTAAGTTGCAATGAACCGAGACTGCACCACTGCACTCCAACCTGGGTGACAGAGTGAGACCCAATCACAAAAAAAGAAAAACATCCCCACATATATGCCTGAGTGTGTGTCTATCTAGAGAAAAAGCATATATGGTAAGATTACATTCTTGGATAATTTAGGTAAAAGGCAAGCAGATGATTGTTGTGTTCTTTCAACTTTCCTGCAGGTTTAAAAAATGTCAAAACTAAAGAGTTGGAGAAAAAAGTGGCATGGCCTCATTTCCACAAGGTAACATGCACGACGATGTCCACTGCACCATTAGTAACCGTGAATAACTGGGTGTTGCCCAAATGCCTGAACAAAATGTGTATTTGTTGGAGGAAATATTTTACAGCAATGAAAAGGAGTGTACTGAATCTATAGCATAACAGCATAGATGGATCTTAGAAAGCAGTGCTGAGTGAAAAAATAAATACCTGAATATAGGTTGCCTAATGAGTCTCATAATACCATTTGCTTCAACATTTATTTGAAAGCACACATAAGGCCGGGCACAGTGGCTCATGCCTGTAATCTCAACAGTTTGGGAGGCCGAGGTGGGCAGATCACCTGAGGTCAGGAGTTCAAAATCAGCTTGGCCAACATGGTGAAACCCCATCTCTACAAAAATACAAAAATTAGCCGGGCATGATGGTGGGTGCCTGTAGTCCCAGCTACTCAGGAGGCTGAGATGGGAGAATCGCTTGAACTCAGGAGGCGGAGGTTGCAGTGAGCCAAGATCCCTCCATTGCACTACAGTCTGGGCGACAATGTGAGACTCCATTTCAAATAATAAAAATAAAGCACACATAAAATGCGTTCACAGTTGCATATCTACAAAAGATATGGAGAGTGAATTCAAACACATCATGGCAGATATATGGAGGTAGATGCTAATGGGGTGGGGGCAGAGATCATGAGGGAAAAAGAGGGGCCATGACATGATACTGATGAAAGCAATCCATTCCTGACCACTGAACCTGGAAAAGGCTTTTTGAGTTTCAACTTACTGGATCAAATGTTTTAGAAAGGAATAAAATGCATTCATTATAAAGCTGAATCATTCCAGGCCACCACCAGGGCATCACAATACGTCTCCATGTTTGAGTCAGCAAGTCCCAGAACCCAGCTTTCCTCTTCCTCACAGCCCAGGCCACTCACAACTGTGTGCTCAGAGTTCTCCCCCTCCTCTCTCACTCCTAATCAACCCCAGGTTTCCCAAATCAGAAGCTTGCTTGGAAATTGCCTTGTGCCACTCACTAATGTGCCCTACCACCACCCCCAGACACACACACATCCCACAGCCCCTTTTCTTCTTAATCATGGTAACCTAGCATGGGGTTAGAGTTAAGGCACAGTTAAGAATGTATCTTTGGCAGGTACAACTTCAGCCGTTTGGGGAGGATGCACTTTCTTTTTGGGGACAACTTCTTTGAGAGCCTCTGGCACTTTAAAGATACTAATAATTTTACATTTAGAAGTTACAAAATCAGTACAAACAGGAAACACATTTATACAAGAAAAGACATTTTTCCACCCCACACAGCATGGGTTACCACGGTTAAGAAGAAATCATTCTCAGCCAGGCAATGACCTTCTTGCAGCCCTTCATTTTGAAGTGAACTATGGCCAAAATAAGAACAAACCCGGGGGTCTAAGGGTGCCCCTCCACAGCAGCCTTGCCCTGGGCTGACACCAAGGAGGCATGCACTACATGCATATACGGAATAAATGAATTAATGAATAAGTGAATGAGAAAGAAGGGAGAATGGGAGAAAGAGAAAGGGACAAGAGAGGAAAATGGAAAGAAAAAGATTAGGAGAGAGAAGCAGCTGACTCCGTGAGGCTATGGTGAATTGCCAGAGCCAGACACATATCCCAAATTTATTATTCCTACGAGCAATTATGATCCAGTGGGAAAGTAACCAGAATGCAGTGAAATCAGTGAAGACCACCTTGCTTTTTCCAGTATTTTTATGTTCTAGGACAAGTACAGACATTTTGCTGTGCACTCTCATTCTGATTACTCGAACAATATTTCATTAAGAACAACATACTGGTTAGCTGGGGATATGAATGGCCCACGCTTGGGAAACTTTCTGGCAGAGTATGAAACTATCTTTTCAATAACTAACAAAAATATGATAGAAAAACAAGAGATGGTCTGAATAAATGCTATAAGGAAGAAAGCTAAGTGTAAAGCTGTTCTGCTCCAGTGGAACAAGGAGTGCGGTGGTTAATAGATGATTACTTCATGGGAGCAAATGACACCATAGAAGATTAAGTAACCTTTAGCATTCATGACTAGACAATCCCTAATCAAGAATGAAGAGGAAAAAGACACTTTCTCAAAAAACGGGATCATTCGCATAATGTTTTTATATTAGCTATTTATGACCATATTTTTAAAGAGGGAATCTGAGCAGCCCTTAGGGATTATCTTACCCAACCCCTTCATTTTGCCAACAAGTTCAGAATGGCTAAATGAGCCTTTCCTCAGGCCTCATAGCCATTTAGAACCACAACCCTGGAAGAACCCCAGCCCCATTTTTACAAATGGGACCCTGTCCTCTGAAATCTGTCTCAGTCTCCCAGCTTTCTGGGGATTCAGTTGGAAAACATAAACATATTTAAAAAATAATTCTTAAGACAATAGAGGATATTTAAATATAGATCAGAAAATATATAATGGAAATGTTATTAATATTCTTAGATGTGACAATGTATTTTGCTCATATAGAAGGGTTCTTAACAAAGAAGCATTTGGAGGTGCCTTGCCATGAAATCTGCACTTTCACATTGTCCAGCAAAACAGAACAGATAGATCAGATAGATAGATAGACAGACAGACAGACAAATAGATAAGCAAATATGGCAAAATGTTGACAGTTACTAAGTTTAGATGGCAGAGAGGGGGAGTTCATTATACTATTGCTTCAAACCTTTATTTTGAAGATTTTTCATAATAATATACATACATTTTTGAAAATCACTCTTTTAAAGCATTTCAAAGTTTGAGTAGTAGTCTTAGATCTGTATACCCAGCTGCTCAGACACCCCATATGACACAGCAAAGCCAGACTTCTAAAGGAGGGAGATTTACGGGGCTCCCAGATCGTACATCTAACCACAATGACAGCAAAATCACTTCTAGAAAATGTATCTAGGGAATGGTAGAAACCAGATGAGGTTCTCCATTAGGTATGATGAAGACACCTTGGACCCATGTGTCACTGTGTGCCATTCTTCCCATAAAAGGCTAGGGTGGGGTAGAGACTGGGGCCTGCCTTCTGTATAAAGTCAGAAGAAGCCTCTGAAAAAGTATGACAGATAATAATGATTTTCCAAGAAAGACTGCTACTGCCTTTGTTTACTTCCGTATTCTAAAGAAGCAATTTCGAAACACCTGATTCAGAGTTGTATCTCTTCTAGCAAGTACCATTACTGAAAAAAGGTGTTAAAAAACAAAAAACAAAAAAAAAAACAAAAAACAAACAAACAAAAAACCTCCTCCTGAGAACCTAAGCAGGATGGGGCTAAATATTTAGGTCTTCTCCATCGTTGGCTGGCTTTGTTTTTCCTCTTCCTTTTGAGCATCTTCCTTTTGAGGATGATTTAAAGCCTGTTGCTCTCACCACTTTGACATAAACCAGAGGACCTATCTTTTCTCTGGATTCTTACCTGTGACACCACAAATTTCTTATTACTATTAAGAAATGCCTCTTGCTTCCTGATTCCCATCAATTAACTGTTCAAAGTCCAACTGCTCAGAAGGAGACCAACTTCCCAGAGGCATCTCCTTGGAGCTTGGTCCCAAGCTCCACCTTTGACAACCAGCACAGCTCCTGGGAGGGCTCTGGCTGGGAAGTAGCTCACTGTGCTTGCCAAATATGGGGAAGCTCAGACAATAAAGGTGCAAGTGAGATAAAGGACTGGGGGAGCTGAAGACAAAGGACGGGGCATCCCTTCTGGGCCAGAGGACATAGGGAAGAAGGGCCAGGGTGTCTACACCCTGACACTTTGATGGAGAAGATGAAGAGGGCATGCTCCAGGAGAAGGGCACAGCTTACCACAGGGCATGCAGAAAAGAAAGTGCATGTCACAGAGTGATGGCAAGCATGGGTGTGCAAATATGTGCAAGCTGGCATTAAGGGAAGATGTTCTTTAGATCTGAGCTTGGTAAAGTGAAAGAAGTGGTTAGTCCAACAAAAACAATTTCCTTGGCCATTTCTCCCCTTCAGGTTTATTCACAAAGAAAGCACCATTTAAGAAACAACCTGATATATGTGCATTCCCCTTTCCCAATTTACCTAATGAATAGTGCCACATAAACAAATGGTCCTTCCATCCTTTTCTTTGGAGGTGCAGTCATGGCTTAATAGGTTCACATTTTCAAGCTCAGCTTATAAACTGTTGAGCTAAACCTACAGATAGAAAATACTTCAACCAGGCGGTGGTGAGTATACCCTTGTTATGCGACATACACCATTGGCTTTAGACCAGAAGTTGATTCTCAAAATATTAGGTATGTAATCCTCACCCATGGCTACCCATGAGAATTACCTAGCGAGCTTTAAAAAAACTATGTGATGCCAGAGCTTGCCCCTAGAAATTTCCATGGTTATTCAATTATTCAGGTTTGCGAATTACTGGGAAAGGGCTATAAATTTTTCACACTTTCGTTTTTTAAAAACTCTATGAATATAAGTAACAATAAGCCACACTATATTTAAGGAAAGTATATAAGTTTTATACGTTAAAGCAGAAATAAACTACTTAAGACAAAATTAATTACTTAATAGTTTAATTAATTTTTTTTCCTCTCCAGTCTTTTTTTTTTTTTTTTTTTTGAGGTGGAGTCTTACTCTGTCACCAAGGCTGGAGTGCAGTGGCACGATCTCAGCTCACTGCAGCCTCTGCCTCCCAGGCTTAAGTGATCCTCCCACCTCAGCCTCCCAGGTAGCTGGGACCACAGGTGCACGACACAGGTGCCTGGCTAATTATGTTGTTTTTTGTTTGTTTGTTTGGTTGGTTTTTTTTGTAGAGATTGGGTTTTCCCATGTTGCCCAGGCTGGTCTTGAACTCCTGAGCTCAGGCAGTTTGCCTGCCTTGGCCTCCCAAAATGCTGGGATTACAGGTGTGAGACACTGTGCCTAGCCTGCTCCCCTGTCTTAAAGGGAGGATGTTTTAACTTTCCTCACCAATTTTATTCAAGGTAATATCACCTTACCCTGGTTCCAACAGCTACTTCAACAATGGATTCAGCTAGCTTCCTTTCTATCTTGAGTAGCCAAAGCACAGAACTTTGCAGAAAGACAATGCCTAATGCCTCACCTTATGCCTTAAATGAGGAGTTACTTATTTTCTATTTCCTCCAAGTTAAGGGAATGGTGGAAAAAAAAAAGAGTCCTTTATATTTTCATCCAAACAAAAGTCTCCTTAACTTTTTTCAAAAGAATAGACCCATTCCTCCTGACTTCTTAAGCTTCACTTTTCTAGCTGACATCTAGCTAAATGGAAATGTAGACCACATAAGACCGTCCTCTTCAGACAAGTCTCTTGGCCATAATCATAATTCTCAAATGTTTGAACAGTCCCAGTGTTTTCACTACAAACACTAACTTAGGTCAGAATTTTTTAAAAGGCTTTTATATAGGAATTGAATCAGGCTTCACAATTAAGGTGTCACCAGGTACCTATTAAAATGCATTAAATTGTCCCCTCTAGACCTCTACAGACCCCTACAAGGCTGAACCAGGAAATAAGGATGGCGTGTGGCTAAGTTTATCTATCACACCTGGTTTTAATCTATCCCATTCTGTGGGTCAAAATACCTTCCCAAACCAATCAAACTAATTTGTTCCCTCAAATGAACAAATCCATCTTTAGAGGCCGAATAAAGGATAAGAAATATTTTAAAAAAGAAGAAGAGTGAGAATCAGAAAAGCCACTATAAAATGCCATGCAAGTAATGTCAGGGTTTCATAGTTTCATTGTTTTTATCCATTAACAGATGACTAGATAAGCACAATGTGGTATATACATACAATAGAATTTCATCCAGCCTTAAAAAGGAAGGAAATGCTCACAGATGCTACAGTATGGATGAACCTTGAAAATATTTGCTAAATGAAATAAGCCAGACACAAAAGGGCAAATATTATATGAGGGGAATGGAGAGTTCTTATTTAATGGATTTAATGAGTTGCTCCTTGGAATGACAAAAAAATTTCTGGAAATGGACAGTAGTGATGGTTTCACAACACTGTAAATGCACTTGATGCCACTGAATTATACACTTAAAAATGGCTAAGAGGGTAAATTTTGTTAGTTAGTGCAAAACCTAGGAAGCTAGAAATTGATGACATTTTCCTTCAGCTGACTAATTACTACATCAACACACAAAATCTCCATTTCCTCTTTTCCTGGCCATCTAGTTTCTACCAGTCAAATAAGGTATTAAAAACGGTCTTAGGAAATCTCTCCTCTTTTGCTTCACTTCACTTTCTCCCTTTTTGGGGATAAAGCCCAAAAAATCTACCACTGACTTTCTTTGAAGTGTCAAAGTCTGAAAGGAATATGATAGGTTCACAATACGGATTAAGAAAACTCAGGAATCACTTTCACACATCTTAACAATGGGATACTCAGATGGGTAGCATGAATGCCTTTGTACTCGAGGCCTGAAGATATACCAGCCCTTCTCTCATGGAAATTATATGAGTCAGCAAAGCATATAATCATCTGTGATTTAAATAAAGTTAGGAAGCAGTGTATGATCATGTTTGAGCAGAACAGCTCAGTGCTATGGAAAGTCTGGGGAGAAAGAAAGTAGCGTCTGCAACGTCTTAACAGGGATGGAACAGCTAACGTAGATGAGGAATGAGGATTGAGAGCAAGGAGGGTATTTGGAGAACACTTACAGGGACAGAACCCAAAAAAATGATCATGTATGGGGCAGGAAAGGGACATGAAGGAGAGCCACCAAGCTAGAGTAGGGGATTTATTTTAGGAAGTAGAAAGTAACATGAAAATGGGAGGCTGATCCAGTAATCTATGTGATGAAAAAGGGAGGCTGATTCAGTAATCTATGTGGTAAAGAGGAAGTGGTTTCAATGATTGAAAATGGGTCTATTCATACGTGGTAAAAGTCCCATGGGCTGGAAAGCACCTATTAGTTACTGAATTTTGCTGGAAAATTTACAACAAAAAAATTAATACTTGTTTCATACTTGATTTAGCCTGTATTTTCAACCTTCTTGATATGATAACCTAAAAGTTTGAACATGTAAGATCAAATAACTTTATGTTTAAAATTTTGTTTTATTTTTCAAAATGAAATTCCAATTAAGTCATCCTCTACCCTGATCCCTAGTATTTACTATGAAATGCTGGGTCCCATTCCAAGCCAACTCACTGTAAGTGGTCTTTTCCTGAATAGATCATCTTCAGATCATGGGGCCTCCTATAGGTCTTCATTAGTTTATTCCAGCCCCAGCCAGCATTAGATCCCAATATCAGATTTCTCAATTTCTGGGAGCAAACATAGGTACCCGTTATTAAATTTCCAGCAACTTTAGAGTCTGTATAAAACCAGTCTGGCATTTGTGTTGTTCACACAAATGTAATTCAGTGGCAGGGGATTAAAGGCTCAAAACCCCTCACCATGCACTGCTGCACAGCAAATGTAAACCCAGGAGCTAAAACCAAATGAGAAAGAGATTCATCAAGCCAGGGAACACCATCAGCTCAACAATGAAACCTAAGGCAGATCCATTTTTCTCTTCAGAGCTCATGCTGTATATTATCATTAGGAGGGAGGTACTGAATCTTTTGCCTTAGGATCTGAATCTGTTTCCATGGTGACAAGAGAGTGGGTCTTTAAACTCCAGGACAAATGAATGAAGCATTCACTGAATCAGGCAATTTCTGGTTATTTTCAAAGCTTAGGAAAACACAGATAATGGCTGTAAGTCTTGCCAAACACTGATTTGTTTCATTTTTAAGTACAGAGGTCAATGATGGAGAAATGTAAGAGAACTGCATTCCGAACCAATATTGACCCTAGGTCAAGTATAAAATATGCCTGATTCTTCATAGGGCTTATCATGTAAAAGAAAATTATGTTGGCTTCACCTCAGATGGCACTAACACTGTAATTGCCATGAATTCAAGCAGAACATAGAAATAGGAGAAACTGGGCTGCTGTTTTTTTAAACAAGATTTTTTTTTCCTTTCAGTTCAATTGAAGTGTTGCTTTCTAAATACCAAGGACAGTTAATCTCATGCTTTCAAATGGTAACAATGAACCCAAGAATCTAAGAGAATAACTTTTTAAGTCTAGAATCCTTTTTTGGACTCCCTGTTAGACAACTTCCTATGGAGCGCAATTTGGGGTCTTGAAGCATTACATGTTTGTTTGTCAGAGTTTATCCAGAAGACCAGCACTACTTTTACAAGCTCTCTTGACTAAACTTGTCATAAAGTTGGATGGCAATGGATTAGGAAGTCTTGTCTGGTACACCACCATTTTTGCAAAAAGATGTCGACTCCATCCCTCAGCTCGTTTGATCTATTTTAACTTTAAAATATGGATCTTCCCTTAGTCAACAACAGAAAACTCTCACCAGATAATATGCCTCAAAGGACCTTCCACCGGATCCTTATCAAATTCTCTTTGGGAGTCTACTGGTAATTGTTTGAAGGACACAGTCTATTCCTTTCTCCACATGTGGTTCTCAATCCTGGCCACACTTTGGAATCATCTGAAGAGCTTAAGATGGAAGTCTCCAGAGATTTTGATTCAATTGATCTGCAGAAAAGTCCAGGCAGCACAATTTAAAAAAAAAAAAAAAAAACTTATTTTTAAGAGACAAGGGATCTCTCTGTCGCCCAGGCTGGAGTGCAGTGTCAGGCTGCATACTTTAAAAAAGCTTCCCTGGTGGTTCTGAGGCACTGCCCAGGATGAGAACCATTGATACCCAGAGACTACCAGGATGGCTAGACCTAATGAGCTCACTTTTTAAAAGCATTTATTATACAAGTTATATATGAATACATTTCTTTTTATTTAAAAAGTTAAAATATTATGGCTGGGCATGGTGGCTCATGCTTGGAGTCCCAGTCCTCCCTTTGGGAGGCGGAGGCGGGCAGATCACTTGACGTCAGGAGTTCAAGACCAGCCTGGCCAATATGACAAAACCCTGTCTCTACTAAAAATACAAATATTAGCTGGGCATGGTGGTGTGTGCCTGTAATCCCAGCTACTTGGGAGGCTGAGGCGTGAGAATCGCTTGAACCCAAGAGGCAGAGATTGCAGTGAGCTGAGATTGTACCACTGCACTCCAGCCTGGGTGACGAAGCAAGAATCTGTCTATTAAAAAAAAAAAAAGTTAAGATATTACAATTAAATCCTTCTTTGGCCACCTGCCCTGCTTCCAGTCCAGGGGCGTTCTTCCAGGACTCATTCTGTTCATTTACATACATACGTATTCACAGATATACTGGTGAATATACACATCTATGAAAATACAAATACATTTCATTTTTCAAAATAATTTTAACATGTTTCCTACTGTGCATATTGTTCTGCTGCTGTTTTCACTTAACAGTATGCCTCTGAGTGCTTTCCATGTTGTAGTTCTCTGTTTTATTACTTTCAACTACTATATGGCATTTGTATACATGTAGTACTTGAAAGTATTTCTTCTGAATCAAAGTATTTCTTTTAAAATGCCATTCCTGTAAATCTCTGCTGTCCAGTATAGTAGCCACCAGCTAAACGTGGTTACTGAGTATTTGAATGAGACTGGTATGAATTGAGATGTGCCAGAGTGTAAAATACAGACCAGATTTTGAAAACTTAATACTAGGGGGAAAATAATGTAAAATGCCTTATTAATAATGTTTTATATTGATTACATGTTGAAGCAATAATATGTTTCATATATTGGGTCAAATAAAATATATTTAAATCAATTTCACCTGTTTCTTTTTACCTTTTTTTAAACTTTATTTTTGAGACAGAGTCTCACTCTGTTGCCCAGTCTGGAGTGCAGTGGCACAATCTCGGCTCACTGCAACCTCTGCCTCCTGGGTTCAAGTGATTCTTGTGCCTCAGCCTCCCAAGTAGCTGGGATTACAGGCATGCGCCGCCATGCCTGCCTAATTTTTGCATTCTTAGTAGAGATGGGATTTCACTATGTTGGCCAGGCTGGTCTCAAACTCCCTGCCTCGAGTGATCCTTCTGCCTTGGCCTCTCAAAGTGCTGGGATTAGAGGCGTGAGCCACCGTGCCCAGCACTTTTTACTTTTTAAATGCAACGATTAGAAAATATGAAATTACTGATGTGGCTAACATTGTATTTCTATTGAATGAGTCTGCTCCAAATAATGGGCATTTAGGCTTCTTACAGTTCATCTGAAATCAGAAGAAAAAAAGTGCCACAGTGGACACTACTATACATCAGTTGTTCTCAATGGGATGCTATCTGGCAAAGAAACACTCTGGCCACAACTTAGAGGGGTAACTGGCACTGAGTGGAGGCCAGGGTTGCTGTTAAACATCTGGCAATGCACAGGACAGTCTCTCAAAGCAAAGAACTGGCTGGCCCCAAATATCACCGGTGCTGAGGTTGAGGTTGAGAAACCCAGTTAAGCATAAATCCTTGTCCACAAGTGGGAGTGCTTCTTTTTTTTTTTTTTTTTTTTTTTTTCTGAGACAGGGTCTCACTCTGTCACCCAGACTGGAGTGTGGTGGTGCAGTCTTGGCTCACTGCAACCTCTGCCTCCCAGGTTCAGGCAATTCTTGAGCCTCAGCCTCCTGAGTAGCTGGGATTACAGGCGTGTGCCACCATGCCTGGCTAATTTTTGTATTTTTAGTAGAAACAGGGTCTCGCCATGTTGGTCAAGCTGGTCTCAAACCCCTGGCCTCAAGTGATCTGCCCGCCTCAGCCTCCCAAAGTGCAGGGATTATAGGCGTGAGCCACTGCACCCAACCAGGAGTGCTTCTTAAAGGTAGATCTTAAGTCATGGAATTGCCTGTGCTTTTGAAATGTTCATACACAACACCAAACTGCCCTTCAGAGTGGATATGCCAGTGTTGTCTCCCATCAACAGGACAAGAGAATATTCAAATTAATCTTTAAAGAACAAATAAATAAATCCAGCTAGAAGAGTTTGAAAGGCTTCAATATGTCCACTAAATATTATAAGTTTGTACAACCACCAACAGGAATGACAATACAACTCTAAGTCCTAGAGTTTTAAGTAATATTTGGAAGTTTTAATCTACCCTCACCCTTTTATGAAATGTCTTTTATGATCCCAGAACATAACTCACTTTGGGTCCTGGAATTGTTAATTTATAAACTAACTGACCAGTATATCTCTCTGCTTTTCAACTGTGGCCAAAATTTGAATCTCAGGAGAGTGAACTTCAATAGTCTCAAATGCTACGCTAATTAAAAATAATAATAATTATTTGTATTTGCCATATACCCAGGGCCCCAAAGCTCTATTTTCCCAAAAATACTGCCCTTGGAATAACCTTCATGTGTACTAACTGATAACACAAGTCATGTGCCTGGGCCCAGTATCTGTTCTCAAACATACTGCATATTTATTATTTAGAGATGATCCTGCCAAACAAATCAGCAAGTAGAAATACATTATATATCTAAATCTGTTATGCAAATCCAGAGGTACACTTAATATAAAATGTATTGCTCCCATATATTTACATTTTACCTAGTCTTTAGGAAGCAAGATTATTGACCTACTCCAATTTTCAATTTCCATGTTCACAAAAATGCAAATTTTCACTAACATGATTCATGTTCCAAGGTTTTTTAATGACATATCAATATAAGATACTCTACAGCCATAACCTCTTTAGGTAAATTCTAACCCTTATCAGTCTCCTCTGCTGTGAACTTCCAATAAAGAACTAACTTTAACTATCATCCTGGAGTGAATTTGAATCCTGAATTCATTCTCAGTATGCAGTATAGCAGGCAAAATAAGATGAGAGCTACAAATAATTACAGTTAATTCTAACTAGTCACCATTTTCTTCCACAAGTTTTAAAAAAAATGCTTGTGGGGCAGTTTTCCAGGGTAAAGATATTCCGGCTGGGTGTGGTGGCTCACGCCTGTAATCCCAGCACTTTGGGAGGCCGAGGTGGATGGATCACCTGAGGTCAGGAGTTCAAGACCAGCCTGGCCAACATGGCAAAACCCCGTCTCTACTAAAAATTCAAAAATTAGCCAGGCGTGGTGGTGCACGCCTGTAGTCCCAGCTACTCAGGAGGCTGAGACAGGAGAATCGCTTGAGCCCAGGAGGCGGAGGTTGCAGTGAGCCAAGATTGCACCACTGTACTCCAGCCTGGGTGACAGAGAGAGACTCCGTCTCAAAAACAAAAAAACAAGTATTCCATTATGGCCAGCAAAAGTTTGTGATAATGTTCACCGTATCTTGTTCTAAAATGATATTTATTGACTTGCCTATGTTTGGCCCAAAAGATTCTAAATAATTTGTTTTACAGAGGTAGGGAGGAAGAGGAGGAGGAAGGAAGACTAGAAAGAAAGAGGTGGGGTGGGTGGTAAGCTCCCTGAGACAGAGTAGTCTTTCTTGTTTATCACTTTACCTGCAGCTCCCAGAGCAGGTCCTGGCTCACCTAGCATAGCTCAAATACTGCTTAAAGAATGTTAACTGGCCAGGGGCAGTGGCTCATACCTGTAATCCCAGCACTTTGTGAGGCCGAGGTGGGGGGATCACTTGAGGTCAGGAGTTCAAGACCAGCTTGGCCAACATGGTGAAACCAAAAATTTGGGGGCTCAGATATTTCCAGTGGGAATGTAGAATCTCCCTCTACTAAAAATACAAAATTAGCCAGGGGTGGTGGCACATGCCTGTAATCCCAGCTACTCGGGAGGCTGAGGTAGGAGAATCATTTGAACCCAGGAGGTGGAGGTTGCAGTGAGCAGGGATCATGCCACTGCACTCCAGCCTGGGTGACAGAGAGAGACTCCATCTCAAAAAAAAAAAAAAGAAAGAAAGAAAGAAAGAATGTTAACTATTAAAAAAGTTACCCAGGTAAAAAAGTATACAAGTTAAATCCAAATTTTGATTCAGAAATGCAAATTCGGATCTGGCAAATCTGTGGCATGGAATCTGCTGGTGGGGACGGCAGAGCCCCTCACAACAGTTAACCTGAGGAGGAAAGGCTGACTGGGCTTTCCTGGGTGCACAAGGTGGTACAGGGATGGTGAAGTCTCTCGGAATTTACAGGGGGGCACTCCCTGGGTTAGTCCTGCTCATCAACCACAGAGCTGAGGAGCAGGCTGCAGAGGAGATGGGGCTGCCTTCAGCAAACCCCCTTCAGCTGGTCTTGTGGAGGGAGCAAAGATACAATTGAGACAGTAAAGTCGCACTTCAGAAACCCCTAATGGGATGCAATTTGGAAAGAGACTGTCATGCCACGTCTGAGATCAGCAGGTGTCTCTGCTACTCGATATTTTCAGGTGGATCTCCAAATCAGACAAGTTTTTCAATGCCCAGGCAGAAAGAGCTTTCTATTTAGCCCAGCTTTGATGAGAAACCCAAGTCCCATATGTGCCTTCTCTTATTCTGTTAAAGAGCTCCGCCACCCCAGATGCATTTTAAACTGAATCTCCAGCCTCATGAATCTCTTTTGCCTTTTTTTTTTTTAAATGGGGTTGGGAAAAAAAGGTTCCCTCCCCGCAGAAGGTGTGTTGAACTTACTCTTGCTATTAATATATGTTTCAAGCATGCTCTTCCCTTGATCCTGGTTGTGACATGGTAACTAGCAAGGGGGGCAGGGGGATGCAGTCCTATTAGCACAGCAGTATAGGCAGAGAGATCATTGGCATTTGGCCAAACTTGGTAACTCAAGAAGGAAAATACTGCTGGATGTGCTGCAGCTACTCCTCTCCAGTGCTGGAGGGGCCAGAACTGTCCTGCCCAACAAGTTTCCCGAGGACCTACTATGTGTTGGGAACTGTGAAATGGCTGTGAACAAGATGGACACAGCTCCTGCTCCCCAGGAGCTTACAAAACGGTCAGAGGGAGACAACTCCACAGGAGACCACTCGGTATAGTGAGTTCCACCAACAGGGGCTGCTCCAGGGAGGAATTAAGGTGGAAAGAAGAAAGAGCCCAGGCTATGTGGGGGCTTTGGTTTCTCCCCCGGGTTCAATATTTCAGGGGCTGTGTCTGCCCCTGTAAAGTGAAAGAGAGAGCCATCTCCTCTTGGAGGAGGGTAGTAGGGATATGTTTTTCTTTTCCTTTCTTTCTTTTTTTTTTTTTTAAGACGGAGTTTCGCTCTTTCACCCAGGCAGGAGTGCTGTGGCACAATCTTGGCTCACTGCAACCTCTGCCTTCCAGTTTCAAGCAATTCTCCTGCCTCAGCCTCCCCAACAGCTGGGATTACAGGCGTGTGCCACCATGTCTGGCTAATTTTTGTATTTTTAGTAGAGACGGGGTTTCACTGTGTTGGTCAGTCTGATCTCGAACTCTTGACCTCGTGATCCGCTTGCCTCGGCCTCCCAAAGTGCTGGGATTACAGGCATGAGCCACCACGCAAAAATCATGGAAGCGAAAATGTCCACACATTTTAGGACCAAGAATTGTATTTCGATTAATTTTTGTCATTATTGTTTGTTGGAGGAAGTTAACTTTAAACTAAACAAATAAATATATATTAACTTAATTCTAACACCATTTCCCCCAATTTTAACAGCTTTATTGAAATATAATCAACATACTATCAAGTTTACCCATTTAATGTGTACAATTCAATGGTTTTTAATATATTTACTGAGTTGTGCAAGCATCACCACAATCTCATTTTAGAACATCTTATCATGTTTTAAAGAAAGAAACCCCAAAAGAAACTTTTTACCCATTAGCAGTGACTCCTTGCCCCCACCACTGCAGCCCAGGCAACACTAATCTACTTTGTCTCTTTAGATTTGCCTATTCTGGGCATTTCATATGTGGAATCATGCAATATATGTGTTTTTTGCATGCATAACTGGCTTCCTTTATTCACATAATTTTTTTAGGTTTATTTATCTGGTAGCGTGCATCAGTACTTCATTTTTTATTGCCAAATAATATTCTATTATGGCTATTCCACACATTTTGTTTATTTTTTCATCAGATTATAGACATTTGGGTTGTTTCCACTCTTTGGCTACTATGGATAATGCTGCTATGCACATTCATGTACAAGTTTTGTGTGGATATATGTTTCAATTCTTTAGGTGTATACCTAGGAGTAACCTTGCTGGGTCGTATGGTAGCTCCATGTTTAACCTTTTGTGGAATTACCACAGTGTTTTCTAAAGTCGATGTATCATTTTACATTCCCACTGGAAATATCTGAGCTCTCAAATTTTAATGTTTCTGAAATAAGAGTACAACTTATAATCTATGTGCATATTTAATAGAGTAAATTGCCCTTTTACATTCAATATAATAAGTTATTTACTGAGACCCAACTAAGTGCTAGGCATACCTTACTTAATGCTCATGTACTCTATGATAGAGGTATTATTTTATAGATGAGAAAACTGAGGTTCAAAAAATGGGCTAGAATTGTATAGCTACCACAACTGCATGGTGCTAGTAGTAGCATTTAAACCTGAGTCAGTTATCTGTCAAAATCCAATTTTCCTCCACACTCTTATGCTATTGTTCAAAGATGAGCAAAGGATAATATGTACCTTCTATGAGTTCATAATCTCTGAGACAGATAAATATATAAATATTTGAACACAAGTAAGGCTGAGATAAGTTCTCAATAAGAGGAATTTTTCTAAGTACTGTGGAGGGGTTGGAGTTAAATTTTGACAGAGGAAATCTTGAAGATATTTTGGGATAAGTGGGATTTAAGAGGGTCTTATTTGTAGTGTATGGAAGAATATCTTAAATCAATGCTCTAAGACTATGTCATCCAATATGGTGCCTACTAACCACATGTGGCTGTTGAGCACTTGAAATGTGGCTAGTTTGGTTTGGGAAGTACTGTAAATACACACCAGATTTCAAAAACTTATCATTAAAAAGGGAAGTGCTTTGGGAAGCCGAGGCGGGCAGATCACATGAGGTCAGGAGTTCAAGACCAGCCTGACCAACATGGAGAAACCCTGTCTCTACTAAAAATACAAAATTAGCCAAGCTTGGTGGCATATGCCTGTAATACCAGCTACTCGAGAGGCTGAGGCAGGAGAATCGCTTGACTCCAGCCTGGGCAACAAGAGCAAACCTCTGCCTTCAAAAAAAAAAAAAAAGGTTAAGTGCTGTGAATACACAGGCATTTAAGGACTTATTATTTTTAAGAGTGTAAAATATCTCATTAATTTTTATATTAAGTGTATGTTGAAATGATAATTTTTTTGATATATTGGGTTAAATAAACATATATTACTAAAATTAATTTCATCTTTTTTTTTCCACCAACTGGCTGCTCATAAGAGAATCTGTGTTTTCACTTCAGTGTATTTACATTGTGTAAATGTTGGTTTCTAGCGATTTCAATTGAGGAGCAACTGAAAGAGAGTGGTGGCTGAGACCAAGGATTTGGGGAGAACTCTGAACAGGGTGAATAGAAAGGCCCATGAAAAATTCCCAGGTTAAGAAGAAAAGTCAAGTAATCTTGCAAATTACAAGTTTGTCTTTATTGACAGTGGATGATTTTTTGGCCTGTGAGTTATAAGGAACTAAAAGAAGGGCAATCACAGTGACAACAAAAGTGTTTTCCAAGAAAAGATCTAAGGAAAGAAACAGAGACCTAACACGTAGGGAAGAAGAATTATAAAATGCATCAATGGAATTATGTAGACTGAGAAATAATATCCAAAAACTTATCCAGACAAATCTTCCATTCTTCCTTTCTTGGGTCAGTCCTACCTTTAGACATTTCTTTTTTCTCCTTTCTTTCATAAAATGAAAGGAAATATCATATATCCATCATAGTTTTATAGAATACATAAAAAGACACAAATTCCAAATTGGCCCCAAAAGGTATTTTAGAAGAGAAGCTTTGTTTCAATGTGTAATAAACTGATCTGTGACCTGTGATCCAGTTTTTAAAAATATTTATGTCAGACTCACAATCTGCAATTAGAAACTAAAATTAACTAGCAACAAATACAACAAATTAGTTTGAATTAGCCAAGGTAATCAAGTCTATCAAAGAAATTAAATATATTAAGCAATAATGAGCCTAAACATCATCCTATGCCTTGAAAATCTTGCAAAAACTTGGTGTCTGTGTGCCTCCTGGGGACTCTGTACATTTTTAAATCAGGTCAGGCCAGATCCAATTAGGATGCTCTGAATGCTTTGGGGTTATAGTTTAATGAGTTATAGCAATAATTTACTAAATGTTCCATTGTGGCTTCATGGAGATAATATTACAGGTAGATAGCACAGGTCAATAGAACTAGCTGATTAGGATTTGCAGAAATAAACTATGACTAATAAGCCAACAATATACTGTCGACGCTAAATATTTAGTGATATTACCTCAGCTAAAATGAGATTATAGGTCACTTTAATACTCTGCTTGAAAGTTACTTTTATCAATCCTTGAATGCTTTCAGAGAATAATCTGTTAATTTTTCTGCATCAAAGATGTTGGGTTGCAGGAGAGGGGAGCATTAAAAGTAAAGATCTAGGTTTCAGGCAGGGTGCGGTGGCTCACGCGTGTAATCCTAACACTCTGGGAGGCTGAGGCAGGTGGATCACCCGAGGTCAGGAGTTTGAGACCAGCCTGGCCAACATAGTGAAACCCTGTCTCTACTAAAAATACAAAAATTAGCCAGACATGGTGGCAGGCACCTGTAATCCCAGCTACTCAGGAAGCTGAGGCAGGAGAATCGCTTGAACCCAGGAGGCGGAGGTTGCAGTGAGCCGAGACTGCACCACTGCACTCCAGCCTGGGCAACAAAGTGACATTCCGTCTCAAAAAAATAAATAAATAAAAATTTAAAAATAATAAATAAATAAATAAATAAAAATCTAGGTTTCAGCTTCCACTAGGACACAACTGATCTGCGCTCAAGAGATAAGCTGGCTAATTTTCTCCAGGGCATCTGCAGGCTTCATGATGGTGTGACAGTGGAAGGAGGGAAGGCAAAGGATGAGCAATACACTGAGGGGAAATCTTGCACCAAAATCTCTAACCATGGACTAGGATGCTAGACAAGGGTCAAGAATCATCACAAAGTTCAAAGACAGTGGCCAAACGCAATTAGACTTTTGTACTGCTTAAGCACTACCCTTTGTTTTTATAACTTCTGTCTGCTTCTCTGTGGTTATTAGACCAGAGGTTGGGGGAAACTTTAGTGTTGGCATGTGACTAACTCCACCTTAGAGAAGAAGAGGGTCAGGAGAGAAGGTGGCATATAAGGAGCTTAGAAAAAGAGTAACCATTGTATTATTCATATGTATCTACAAGTATCTATGTATCTCTATACACCCCATAACCTCACTTTGTAAACCTCAAATAGCCACAACAAAATTTATGTTTAAAAAAAGATATGGGTATCATGCCATGCATCTGTAATTCCAGTACTGTGGGAAGTTGAGGAGAAAGGATCGCTTGAGGCCAGGAGTTCAAGACCAGCCTGGGCAACATAGCAAGAGCCTGTCTCTAAAATTAAAATTAAGCAAAAAAGAGAGAGGACCTACAGGAAACACAGTGAGGCAAGCTGCCACTGAATATAAGCAAGAGCATGACACTGAAAGCAGTCTCAGCAACAGGACAATCAAGCTGCACCTTGACGGTATTTCAAGTGTGAAGAAAAAGGCAAAGTAAAGTCTAGAGAGATCATTACTTTCAGTGGTTTACTTCAAAATTAAAGAAGTTGTTTGTGTGGTAATTTCAAATGCAATCAAGATTTGTGTTTCCTTCCTTCCCGGACTGCCATGGGTCTGGAGGGGTGATTAAATACAGACAGTAGTTTATAGCTAATGATGACCAATGGAATAAAAAATATTTCTGCAACTTGAAATTCATATATTACATATACTGTTTCTCCTTGCATTTTAAATGTGTAGGAATATGAGGATTAATGTAAATACATTTCTTTTTTCACTTAAAATGGGTAGAAACAAGGATTCTCATCAACTGACACTGTCAGGAATATTTGTTCATCTTTGAGAGGCTCATTAGGTATAATTAACAGTAGCCATCACATCAGGCAAGCTCTGGAATCTCAGTAGCTTAATATAATATTTTTCTTGCTTATTTGCACTCAGTCAGGCAGGCAACCTTCCTCCATGCTGCAGCTATGCTATCTGTGACATGTGGCCTCCAACATTGCTACAACAAAAGAAGAGAAACAGGGGAGTCTTATGTGCCTTGTCCCAGATGACACTCTCTCCTTGGAGTCACATGGCTCTAAAATAAGTGCAAGGGAAGTGGGAAAACTTGGCGAGCACTAACTGTTAGCTGCCTCACACCCAACTTTCTGTAGAAGAGTAAATCAGCCAGATGTCTACCCTGTAGGGGGGAAGTAAATAAGGTTGCCAAGGAAACTTTTCTAGAGGATAGTTTGAAATTGCTAAGTACAGCTGGAGACACAAGATAATGATTTCACGCTTCATACCCTTACTCAGTTTCCAGAGTTGGGGCTTTGACCCAGACAAGGAGCGGAAGGTAGCTGGTATGGCCCCATTTGACTTCATATCTGGCTAGAATACAAGTTTCTCAATTTCAACTCCAATGTCATGAAAACTAGACATTATTAGCCGAGCATGGTGGCACATGCCTGTAATCCCAGCTACTCAGAAGCGGAGGCAGGAGAACAGCTTGAACCTGGAAGGCGGACGTTGCAGTGAGCTGAGATCGCGCCACTGCACTCCAGCCTGGGCAACAAGAGTGAAACTCCATCTCAAAAAAAAGAAAGAAAACTAGACATTACACATTACTTCCTTCTAGAATGAAAGGTTCTTATTGAGATATCAAATTTACCTAAACTTTCCACATGAAAAAAATTTACTTCCAGGTCTTACTTGATAGTAAATGTTTATTAACGCTTGTAAATTAAAAATTACTTGAAGATTTTTTTTAAACTACTGATATCGGTCTCCTATTTCAGGCCAATTGAGTTATAATGTCTGAAGACAGGCCCAGACAATGATTTTGTTTTTAAACAAGCTGGGTAATTCTTAAAGGCAGTTAAGGTTGACAAGTTCTATTTTAGACGTAAATCCATCTCATCTCCTACAAATTACCATTTTCTATTGGTTTTAAGTCTGAAAACCTTTAAAAAGTATTAGTGCCTAAGACCCACCTCAGATATTCTGATTTAATTGATTGAGTTGTCGGGGGCTGAACTTGGGGATATTTGAAGTTCTTCATGTGATTTTAACAAGAAGACAAGTATAAGAACTGCCATTTTGTGTCAACACAGCCATCCCTAAACCTCCTCACCAGACCAGAGGTGGCATGACCAAAAAGGGGTTTCAGGAGAAGGGGGTAGAAGCTGCACCGCTGGTGCTATCCATGGTGCTGAAATGTTGTTGCAATGAATTTATTAGTAACCATGGTGAGCATTTATTATTGTTTATAATATTAACATATAAAATCTTCTATGGTTGCATGTTTTTAAATTAAGAGACATAAATATACTGCTAATCATAGAACTATATTCCTATGGATTTTCAGTTCAATATCATGGCTTGTTAAGGGAGAGAGATTGAGGGATATGGTGAGGGAGGGTCAGGGAGAAGAGAAAGACGTTGAAAGAGAGGGTAATTTGCTGTTTGTCCAGTGATCGGATAGGGCAAAAATAAAGATAGTTATGACTTGAGCTCTTGATAAATCCACATATTTTTATTTTTAGCTGATGATAGTGTACCGAATACTGAATAATTTTTAAAAACATCTAAATTTTTACATCCCATCTAAAAAATCGAAAGCATAGTGTTTATAGTTTTGTTTTTCTAAGAAGATAGAGTGACTTTTTTGAGGAAAAGCCTATTTCAAGAGTAACATCTTCATCTTATGCTATATAACAATACTACCACTGAAGAGTTTCAGTTGATGCATTTGTGTAGCTTCATAAAAAATGGGTTAACATGGTGTCAGGGAACTCTAATGATTAGATATGGCCAAGAGGTTAATGTTTCCCACCTTTCCCTCCACATTCCTTACATCATTATCACAATTAAGTTGCCCAGTCAGTAATTTATTATTTTAGGTCTGAAAACCTATACTCATTTCCTCAAATTTTACGGAGATGCTCTATGTTCCATGATTCATCCAGCAATGACTTGGTAACAAACGGTTAAAAGGTTAAAAAAAAAAAGAATGCTATACACCTTTCCCAATTTATGAGTGTTATCAGAAACACAGCAAATATTTTCCAGGGTAAATGACATACGACATTATGAAAATATGAGCCTCATATGCTAACCTGAAAATGTCAAATATTTGAACCCCACCTTATCAGCAAATAGCTCAGAAATTTATGCCTCTTCCTTGCTAACCTCTAGCATTTTCCATGAGGTAGTAGTATGTGCATGCACAGAAATCTAATAAAACACATGGAAACACCCTTTGAAACAGTTATACTCCTATTTTCTGCAAGCAATTAAAAATTAAGGGCTTTAGGCTAGACACCAGAGGTGCTTGCTAATATGCAGATCCACAGAAGAGTTTGTGGGGAAAAAAGTCTCTCATCCCAAATTAAAATTACTCAAGAATTCATTTTACTTACAACCAAGCTAAATGAGCTTGGACACCTGAATTTACTGCTTTGGGGGAAAGGAGAGTAAGTTACTGCCCTGTATTTTCTTACATACTGTACATTCTAAAGAATGAATTCCAGATCAATCCTATGTTCCCCTAAATGAAAGTTCAGAGCTTTACCAATTTGGTTAGTATAACAATAAAATAGAGTTCAGCTCTCAGAACTGGCTTTATCCTCCATCTATATCGATATTTAACAAGTGGGTCTCATAAACTCAAGTCTTAGTGGATTCAGGTCAAGATGCTTTCAAAAACAAACACATCTGATCATCCTACAAGGGTGGGGCAGCCCTCCCTCTAGCACTGTCATCAGTGAGACATGACTTCTGTTCACCAAAGAGACTTTCAAGAGACAGTTTACCATCAACACATGGAGAATCATTTTAGCACAGCCTCCTTAAACTTCTGATATTCCCCATCTGCAGATTAAACACTCTGAGAATCTTCCTGTTTACTGACCACTTTCAATGAGGGCTCTGTAGAATCGAGAAGGAGGATGACAGAAGGAGTTGCAGGAGGTACTTTGGAATTGCTCTTCCCATCAAATGGCCTCAAAACTTCTTCTCCCAGTAGTCATGTTTTTTTTTAAGGAAGTGAACAAAGAAATCATAAATACTCCTATCTCACCATTTAAGAGTTAGTATTACTGCAGTATGAAGATACTCATCATCAGAACCCACAGACAATAGGTCAAGGGTCGTGGAGTGAAACCATGAATGATCATGGCAACAAGATTAAGTCTTGGCCAGGCGCGGTGGCTCATGCCTGTAATACTAGCACCTTGGGAGGCTGAGGCGGGCAGATCACGAGGTCAAGAGATCGAGACCATCCTAGCCAACATGGTGAAATGGTGAAACTCCGTCTCTACTAAAAAAATACAAAAATTAGCTGGGCGTGGTGGCACACACCCGTAGTCCCAGCTACTCAGAAGGCTGAGGCAGGAGAATCGCTTGAACCTGGTATGCGGAGGTTGTAGTGAGCCGAGATCGTGCCATTACACTCCAGCCTGGTGATGGAGTGAGACTCCGTCTCAAACAAAACAAAAACAAACAAACTAAAAGATTAAGTCTTGCTTGCCTTTTATCTGAGGATCATTGGGCCTGCCCTGCATCAGTGGCCCTGTGATTTCAGTCTCTCACATAACTCTAGAAAACTCTATTATATCTAGGGCCAATGACAGTTTTATATTGCTTGAAAAACTTGTTTAGAGCTTGTTTGATATTGTGCTTCCAATATGAGTCAACTATTGGAATAGATACAATATTGAAAAATATCAATCTGGAACTAGAAAAGGACATGTTTAGTCACAGGTTGCTACAACCTTGAGATATAGATGAGCACCATATGTCTTAAAACTCATAAAATTTAAAAAATTGAATGAAGATACAGAAAATATTTTCATGCAAATCTTTTCATAGCCTTGGTTTAGAGACTGTCCTTGAAACATTTATCCCACTTAAAACCTTAACCTCATACTTCCCATATTGTAGTTTGGTTGAAACCTCATTTCCGCACAAATTTTGTCCCTATGAAGAGGTAGGCTTCAAATACAAAGAGGATTCATTACTGGAAAAGGGAATGAACCAGCTGGGTAAGAGGGGCAGAGACTGTAAGTGCACCTAGAATACTGAGATCCAGTCTTCATTAATGATAAGGCCTTCCACTTGATGGGCATCCAAAACACAGACTTGTGGGCCTAACCAATGCTGTGGCCCTTATCTCGGACTATAAGGTGATGCTGGCTATGACATCTGGGCAACTGCTGGGCCACTGCCTCTGCTCTATTCTCCAGGCCATTTAGCCATGGGAGGCTGGCAGTGAGCTGCCCGAGATGGGATGAGGATGTCTCTACCCAGGATCTCTGAGATCTAGGGCATCAGTCCCACCCTATGTCACACCTATAAAGTTGGAATACTGGAGCATGTGACTGGCCCTCAGGCACTGGGAACAAATAAGGGGCCTTCACTCTAAGGCTGGGCACAACTGAATGTGAAGGAGCAGAGCAGGTGGAGTTGACAACTGTCTTCAGATGAGAAGACATTGCCAACAAACACCCATACCCACAGGCTACTGGGAATAAATGCTCTCTGCAGGGCGCGTATGTGTAGGGAAGGGGTTGCCTCAAGTCCTGCCCTTCCCCAACAATAGACAAAGATTTGGAACCAGAGACCAGCTGCTTGTCCGAGCTGATACTGGTTCTGGTTTCATGATCAGTCAATGACCTTGAGGCACATTCTTTTAATTTCCCCAAAATCTAGTTGCTCCAGTTTTATAAAGTGATGTTAACTTTGCAAATTCAAAGGAAATCTTGATGTCTGCAAGTCCCTGGTCTTGGGCTTTTCACAGACCCATTGTTCTTCCTTCAGCCATTTAAGGTTACTTTCTATAGGCATGCCAAATAGACTCTACATTTCCCCCCATATAGACATTTCAACGACAGTCTCACCAAGATGCAAAAATGGGATCGATTTCGTTTCCCTTAGGTCTGCTGACTCATTTATTTAAGTCAATGGCAAGTCCTAATTTGTTCAATTGTGAAGTGCTTGGACAGAAATTACTGCTATTGTAAGAGTGAGTTTTTACACTTTCCAGTGATGCCCCTTCCTTGCCACCAATCCCCTTGCTAGTTGATTCATTTCTATCCTTCTCCACATTCCTCTTGGGAGCACACTTGAATCTAGTCATTTATTCATTCAAAATCTATTAAGAACCTATTATGAGCCAGGGTTTTGGGAATTTTTGCCTTCTTCTGGCAATTTTTAGGTGGGTTGGAAATATTCCCGGCCCACTTGTAGCTTCCTTCCACTCTCATTTAATATATAGCACATAACCAGGGTGACTGTATGTCCTGGTTTGTCTAGAACAGTCCTAGTTTGTGCCCATTATGCAAGCATAACTCTCAATAGTGCCCACTTGGGTCACAAACCACACTGGGTTGTTGCTGCCACTGCCGCCATAGTGCCAGCCCCTTGGGTCTCTGCAAGGCCAGGTGATGCTCCAGAATGGGAGATAAGCTGATTTGGAAGCAAACTGAATCCAGCTTCATTCAACATTACTACCAGTTATTTGATAAAGATACAACCCGAATAGGTACAATTTACATTGACGCGTCATGCCTTAGGTGGGAAGGACAGCAATGACAGGGGAAAGCTGCCATTGTGGAGAAGTTGTCTAGCCTTCTGTTCCAGAAAATCCAGTACAGCATCACAGGCACAGGACAATTAGCCCACACCAGATAGCTGCATCATCAGCATGGTTGTGGGTGAGCTTAAGGTAGATGAAGACCCCATCATCGGGTTCCACCAGATGTTCCTATTAAAGAATATCAGTGAAGCTTGGGTTTGCACCAATGACATGTTCAGGCTTGCCCTGCTCACTTCGGCTGACCTCCTCTCAGCCAGGCACTCACACTGTTTCCTCCTCACACCTCTTCCCAATACTATTCGTACTCCTCCAGATGCTCCAAATATCATACACAAATGAGCAGGGCCACGATGGGAGTGTGCACAGTGTGCTGCTGCCACCAAGGTGTTGTGCATGATGTTTGGATGCTAGACTAGTTGCACCTGATGAGAGAAGTCTGTATTGTACCAGTGCATGCCTCAGTAATACATGTGCATGCAAGTAATACAAAAGGTAATCTTTTAAAAGAATCTACTGACGAGTTGCTCTAGTAACCCAAAGAAGTGAAGGAAAAAGCAGCTGCCTCACTGCCCATTGATTTCTTCAGAAGTTTCAATGCTTAAAGATACAATAAAGGCACACACACACACACACACACACACACACACACACAATAGTACCCACCTTTACTCAGACTATCTCAGTTTGAATTATAAATGACTTGGTCACCCTAAAGATAACTAGATCTATCTGCAGTTCTCATAGACTTTTTGCAGGGTGTGTTTACGGGCAGGGAGATGTGGGAGTGGAAGGAGTCCCATTTACCGGGACCACATGAAACCTTAGTTATGTGCTAGGCTGAGACAGGCTGCAAGAGGAAACCATGAAGCTTGCTGCCATCTTGTAAGAATTATGTTTGGAATCAGTTCTTTTCAGAGGGAGCTAACAGGTTGACAGCATAGAGTCCATAGCCAGACCTCCTGGCACCACCATTTCCTAGCTATGGGCAAATCTTCTAACCTCTCTGTGCCCTGGTTTCCTCATATGTAAAATGAAGATAACCATAGTACCTACATCATGTGGTTGTAAAGATAACGTGAGTCAATGTACCTGGCACATCCAAACTGCTATGACATGTTTTCTGCCACACATGATTGCCCTGGATTCAGATCCAAGTCCGAGACAACTACACAGTGGCCGGACATAAGGGAGGTCAACTTTCAAGGGAATTTTGGTGCAAAAGACTCTGGTTCGGACATTGGTAAAATTACCCCAATCGGATCCTTTTAGGAAGTAAATGCTTGATAAACAAGGCAGGTCACTGAAGTTGTATCTCAAGTTTGGCCCAGTCACAGAATCCTTAGGACCCAGGGTAGCTGAATGCCCAGAAGAAACAATCATCCAGTCCACATTCCTGTGGATGCTTCTCATCATCTCTCATCATCCAACTTCATCTGTTGGTGGCTCTCCTCTGCCACCTTAAATAAATACAGGGAGGACGGGCCAAGCTTGATTCACAGAGGAAGAGGTGCATGAAAAATCTGGAACCTCAGAACCGTGACATCAACAGGAAGCTTCCTATTCTCAACTCTTAAATTGTAACACCCTTCTCTTCAATCACAACTTCAGCTCAATCCAGCTCCCTGAAGCTCATAAACACCCTGGGCTCCTTGGAGCCTCCATTGTTTCACAAATTATTTTTTCTCCATTTTCATTTTCTTTCATCCACAACCTGGATCATGTGTCCTATCATTGTAATGCCCTTTCAGCAACACTTTACTTTCACCTCCCAGTATTTGTCCACCCAAGGCAAGAACGCTTCCAATCCTGGATTGATCCCACTTGGCACAAGAAAACCCCAAAGGAACTGCAGAATATTTTAGGTTTGTGCTGCTACTCAGTTATAAGTTCACAACTTCAGTGGGCCCTCAGTGGTGTGCTTTCCTTTCTGTGGTGTAACTCACTAGCCTTCCACCTTCATCCCTATCCTCTACAACTTTACCAACCTCTCCCCCTCCCCTACTGCTTTCCACCAGGCAGGTAAACCCTGCTTGAGAAACACTGACCGCCAGGATAGAGTCCAATCTCCTTAACTGCTGTCCACCTGCCTCCCCTGAGATCTTGTCCATTACTTTGAACTTACAGTTTGCCATCACTCAACGACAATTTGCATGCCCATTTTGCATAAGTGGTTATATCTATCTGAATTTTTTTCACTTCTCTCCAGTCCACCAGATAAATATTTCTGAACTTTTCAAACACAACCCCCTTCACTCCCTCATCCCAGCTGCCACAAGATTTAATCATTTGTTCCAGTCATATGACTTGACACCTCCTGTCATCGGTCTGATATACAGACTGATAGCAGGCAATCACAGATACATTGTGCAACACCTCCTGTTGTTGCCTACGTATCTGTGCTTGCCTAACATAGGTCTGTATATCTGTATTTGCCACAAGACATTGAGCTCTGTAAAGTCAAGGGCCTGGTCTTGCTCATCTTTCTCTGCTCAGGGAACTGGGAAGTCTTCAGGAGACACTCAAAAACCATTGACTGATTAATGGAAACCTCACTCTGACTGGCAAGGCTTGATTTTCACACCTGTACCCAGCTATGTTAAATCAAGATCCCCAGTGATGAATGCAGTGCTAGCATCTGAAATTGTCGGTCAAACTGCAAATATAACAGAAGGCAGTGCTCAGACACTTCCCAGCAGCACTCACTGGTGCAAAGCTCAGAGGTCTTGGGATAGGCACAAGAACTTCACCCTATCTCTAATTGGGCTAATTCTCCCCCAACAAATGAGATAACGCAGTCTTTGTTTTGTGAATCTGATCAGGAAATGCAAGCCAGACATTAAAGACTGAGTTCGGATATAAGGGGCTGGGAACAGAGAAGAAAACAATCAAGGAAGACAAGAAAGCATTAAATTTACACCCGAGGTCATGAGAGCTTCAGCTAAAAAGGCAGATAAATAGCAAGCAGCTGGGAAATGTGGAAAAGCTCTGGCAACAGAAAACCCCAATTCAAGGAATCTGGACTCCTCTGACTCTAGATTCCAAAACAAAGGATTTCTCTGGAAGTTCATGAAGTTCCAGTAAAACTGTTTGGAATTTTACTCGTTTTATGTTCTCCTTGATTAAGAGGTTGGGACTTTTTAAAACTCTTTTCAGATGATTTCTGTTTGACTCTTTACTGACCTACTTCTGAGTGTATGTGTGAGAGACACTGAACAGCCTAACTCCTGTGTCTACAAGCTTGAGATGAGATCCCCATCATCTCTTCTCCAAGCTTTCAGCCCTCTAACCGACTCCCCCACTCCAAAAAATCCTTGATCAGCCCCTAAACTAATGTTTCTAAAACTTTTCTGTGCATACCACCTGGGGATCTTGTTAAAAATGCAGAGTCTGACTCAGTACATCTGGGGTGTGGTCTGCAAGTCAGCATTTCTAACACACCCCCAGCCAAAGCCATTGCCTCAGCTCGGAGGACCACTGCTGGAGTAGCAAGGTCCTACTCCTCCACTAGTGGACCCAAAAGATGTCACCCAAGGGACAAACACGATGCTCCATTGATCTGCAGGAATAAAGTATCTGAATTTTAGGTTATATTTGTCTAAAAATATAAAATCTCAACAAACACAGCTAACCTCACTTGGTCTGTCAGATGACCTCCCAACAGAGAATGTGTGAAAAGGAATACTGAGACAAGGGCAAAAATAAAATTCTGCAACTCAGAGCAGTAGACAGCAGTGGACTCACTTGTTCATTCCCATTCAGTTTACTGCCTAAACAGTGCCAAGAAACTGCGAAAGGTAACATTAAGAATCTACCTCTACCATTCAAAGGTGGTCTAGCAGTTCAAAATGATAATAAAGATTATTTGGAATATAGGCTTATAGTCATCTTTAATGATGACCTTGATAGTATATTGCATCTGAAAATAGTATATGCTTATGATTTTAAAGTAATAATCCCCAATTTGAAGAGTACATATGCAAACATTATTTTACTGATGGGGTGTGCAATCAAAGTTTGGAGACCACTGTTCTATACCACTAGCTTGCCTTTCCTTTCACCAGAGAATAAACATCCCTAGCCTCTACCCTCCCAACCCATCCTGTCTCCAGTCCTGTGACTTACCCCCCACCCCCCACCACCCCAACCAATATTTCAGCTGAAGTGGTAGCAGGAAGAGCCAGCAAGCCCAAACTCAGATGATGCCAAGGGGCAGGGAGGTGTTACAGGAAAGTGGTCCAGATCCAGACCCCAGGAAAGGGTTCTTGGATCTCATGCAAGAAAGAATTCAGGGTGAGTCCGTAGAGTAAAGTGAAAGCAAGTTTATTAAGAAAGTAAAGGAATGAAAGAATGGCTACTCCATAGACAGAGCAGACTCAAGGGCTGCTGGTTGCCAATTTTTATGGTTATTTCTTGATTATATACTAAATAAGGGGTGAGTTATCCATGCCTCCCCTTTTCAGACCATATAGGGTAACTTCCTGATGTTGCCATGGCATTTGTAAACTGTCATGGAGCCGGTGGGAGTGTAGCCATGAGGACAATCAGAGGTCACTCATGGCTATCTTGGTTTTGGTGGGATTTAGCCGGCTTCTTTACTGCAACTTGTTTTATCAGCAAGGTCTTTATGACCTGTATCTTGTGCCAATCTCCTATCTCATTCTGTGACTTAGAATGCCGAACCATCTGGAAATGCAGCCCAGTAGGTTTCAGCCTCATTTCACCCAGCTCCTATTCAAGATGGAGTTGTTCTGGTTCACACGCCTCTGACAGAGGGATCACAGAATCTTAAAGAGGGAAGAGTGCGTATGAGACCAGAATATGCCACCCCAAAATATGACCATAGGAGACCAGAATATCCCATCCCAAAATATTCCTTTTAGGCATAAGAATTATTTTGAGCTGATTATTTTGAGAAACTACAGACACAGAAGTTCCAAACACAGAGTTGAAGTTTCCTTTTGTAAGGGAAATTTATATCTACAAAGAAAATCTCCATTTGTAAGGGTGTCTCCCTCTCGGTACCAGGAAGAGAAGGATGACTCACTATAGTCTCTTATCAATGAAGAAGGCACAACTTAAAGCTGCATAACAAACCTTACCTTTCTTTACCATGCTTTTCCTGGGTAGCTCCCCATAACTGGACTTCCCCCAACACCCTTGTGACCATTTCTCTGACCATTACTCCAATGGCATGATTCCAGCCTCCTGGCTCTCATCTCTGAATGTGACCTGCTTTGCCTATATGCCTCTGTAGGTATGGAGCACAAAGTGGAATTCCTCACCTAAAGTGTGGTATGACCAGCACAGAGCAGCACAGGATTCTCACCTCCCTTTTCTCAGATAGTATACCTCTACTAATATTGCCTGTGACGTCTATCCAATAAATCCCCTAAATGTTTTTATTGGTGCTTGTCCCCTGCTACATCTTCCTCATTTATAATTCCAGAATTCCCTCTTGGGCTGCGGGAGGTTTTTAGACCTTTATGTTGTTAGATTTCATTTATTATTATTTAGTATTACCTTCTTATGCCTGTAATGTATTATTGTTTTTGCCTTCCCAGAATGTTTGCCCTTCTGTCTGTAACAGTATTTCTATTTATTTTCCAGGCAGTCTTAGTGGTGCTAACAATCAAGTGGCTTGCCTTGTTCTGACCTGAGTGTTCGCCAAACACTCCCCAGGCTACAACAGCCGCGCTCCCCTCTGAAATCAGGACACAAGAATTGAAAGAAACTGGAACAGATACATCACTTACCCCTGGCATCCAGAACCCCAGAGCATCCTTCCCACAAATTGGTTATAACAAATTACCACAAACTCAGTGGCTTAAAAGAGCACCAATTAGGGGTCTAGCATCCAAAATATATAAAGAGCTCTTTTTTCATACATATCCATACTATATAAAGATCTCTCACAACAACAAAAAGATAACCAGCCCAATTTTTTAAAAAAGGTCAAAAAATGGAAATTTCCTCAATAAAGATATATAGTCAACAAGCATATGAAAAAATGCTTGACATCATTAGTCATTAGAGAAATGAAAATACAATTCAGAGTGAGGTGCTACTTCACTCCCACTAATAAAGTGGCATAGTTGTCTGGGGTAAATACCCGAGGTTTGTTGTCCCACACCAAGGGAATCAAGGACACGGACACTCAAGAAGTAAGTTTAAGAGCAGAGGCTTAATAGGCGAAAGAAAGAGAACAGCTCTCTCTCCTGCACACAGAGGGGCGGCCAAGTGGGCCTTCTAGTCCGTGGCAAAGTGCACAGATGAGCTTGAGGCGGCGGTGTCTGATTTACATAGGGCCCAAAAATTGGTTGGACCAGGTGTGTCATTTACATAGTGCGTGAAGAAGCTGGCCACCCCACCCTAACCTTTTATTATGCAGATAGGTTCTCTACCTGGCCAGCGCCATGTTGCCTGTTCCTTTACGGTACCCGTAGTTGACCGAAAAAGGAAGATGGAACCTCCATGTTGAACACGCCTGGTCCCCCAGGTAGCACTTTCCTATTGGCACAGCTGCAGGCATTCACCCGTGCAAGCTTCCAACTTGCTTACCTATATGTCTGCAGCTCGATTTTACAGGCTGGTTTTTTTTTTTTTTTTAATAGAAAATAAATGATTTGGGGGCTGCTTTTTATTAAAGGAAAATCTTACTAAGGACTCTCTTACCTTCACTATCTGACTAAATAATTTCTTTCTAGCTCCTGTTATCATTTGGATAGCTATACTTAAAAAAAAAAGAAAAGAAAAGAACAAGTGTTGATGAGGATGTGGAGAATTGGAAACCTTATGCATTCCAGTTATTTGGTGGGAATGTAAAATGGTTCAGCTGTTATGGAAAATAGTTTGGCAGTTTCTCAAAAAGTTAAACATAGAATTACCACATGACCCAGCAATTCCACTTCTAAGCATATATACCCCCAATACTGAAAGCAGGAACTCATATTAGTATCTATACTCACATGTTCATAGCAGCACTATTCACAATAGCCAAAATGTAGAAACAGCCCAAATATCTATCAGTTGATGAATAGCTAAAGTTATTGTGGTATTTATATACAATGGAATATTATTCAGCCATAAAAGGAATGAGGTACTGGCACATGCTACAACATGGGTGAACTTTAAAATATTTGCCAAGCAAAAGAAGCCAGAAGACGCAAAAGTCACATAAGATTGGATTTCTATGAAATATCCGTAGTATGAAAGAACACAGATTGGTGGTTATCTGGGGGAGGTGGGACAAAGGGATGGGGAGCGAATGCCTAGTATGTATGGAGTTTCTTTCTGGGCTGATGAAAATGTTTTGGTCCTAGATAGAGTGTTTGCATAGTACTGTGAATGTACTAAATGCCGCTGAATTGTTTGCTTTAAAATGGTTGCTTTTATTCAGTGAATTTCACTGCAATTGAAACACATGCACACAAGCACACGTATACACACACGAATTTATTCTCTCATAGTTCTGGATTTCAAAAATCCTAAAACCTAGGGGTTGGAGGGCTCTGTTCCTTCTGGAGGCTCTAAGGGAGGCTTCATTCCATGCCTTTTTCTGGCTACTAAAGGCCATCTGCCTTCCTTGGCTTTGGCCCCTTCCTCTATCTTCAAAGCCAGCAGTGACTTCAAATTCCTGTCTCAGTGATGTCTGCTTCAGTCATCACATCGTCTTCTCTGACTCTGGCCCTCCTGCATCCCTTATTATAAGGACCCTTGTATTACATTGGTTCTACCTGAATAGTCAAGAACACTCTCCCGATTTCAAGATCCTAATCCCATCTGCAAAGTCCCTTTTGCCATGTCAAGTAACATATTCACAGTTTTCAGGGATTCAGAGGGGGACATCTTTGGGGGGCTATCACTCCATCCACCACACCCTGACACCCCTTCAGTGAACTCCTTTTCTTCCTTCAGTTAGCCAGTGTCTGTTGCTTGCAACCACAGAACATTAATTGATAAAATACTTCCTGTTTTTCAGCACTGTATTTTGAATGAAGAATGTGAAAGTAACAAGCAGGACTTGGTGATTTCTTGATCCTGATGGAGAATGACTAAGGAAATCTGCAGGAATTTCACATTTAGCACAATGCTTTCCCCAGGAGCAAGGAAGCCTGGAGAGCAGATGCTTAGGAAGTGTCTGACAGCTGAATGAGTCACGGGGTGAGAAGAGAAGGAAAGTTTAAAGCCTTTAATCAGAGGATATAGAAGCAGGGATAAGACTGAACAGAGAGGAGCAAGGAAGCAGGAAAATATATTTCATATAAAAATCTAAGTTAGAAGGCAGGTTAGCACACATAGCATAAAAGTTGCTAATCCCCCTTCTTTGTCAGGTGACACTCTCCTACTGTCAAACCTGAATCTGAGTCAGAGGTCACCTTAGCCCCAGGAAGTCCTTCTGATGTTCCCAGAGAGAATTAACAGCTTTCTCTGTTCCACAAATATATACTGGGTGCTTACTGTGTTGCTCTGAACACATGCAGTCGCAGAAAATTCTTCAAAAGAAGGAACCTGCTTTTGCCACTGTCTAAAAGTGCCTGGGACACATTGGGGGTTCACATGCTAGCCACATTTTTAAAAGCCATGGGCCAGCACAGCTAAAAAGAACTGTTTGTTTGCTTTAGACATTAGCATTCAAAGCCATCTTTATTTATATTCCATTTCATACAGACCCTTCAATGTATTTTTAAAAATCAAACTTGGAATCACAGCACTTTTGTATGCCCCAGGAATCTATTATAGCTCAGTAACTTTTAGGACCAGTTTACCAAAACCTGGCATTGGTTTTCACAGGTGCATTTCTTGCAAGCCAAACTGGCCTGACAAGGAAATAAATGCTCACTTGCAGGGTCATTTCTAGCTCTGATGGGCCAGGCCACTTCATTTCCCAGAGCCTCTTAAGGAGGAAGCTATTTGACTTTCTGCGTCAACCAAACTGTCAGTGTTACCAATTCCTTTGACTTTGACCTAGAAATTTTATTCATGCAAAATGGAGTGAGCTCGGTTTTCTTTTTTTGTTTTGTTTTTTTGTTTGTTTGTTTTTGGAAGTCATGGTTCCTGGAAGAGCGGAGAACACTCTTTGTTTAATATATCACCTTAGGGTTCAGATATCACTTATATTTCATTCTCAAAAGCCATCGTATGAGTCAGCCCTGTCTTTACAGGTACTGTGTTTGTTGAAAGGGGAGAGGGTTGTTTGCTCATCCAGGGTGGAGAAACCTCTGAGAGTAGCTGGATATTGCCTTTTTCCTCCACCCTCGGGCTATGGCCTGTAGTCAGTACACAGTGGGTAAACCGCAGGTTGCCTAAAGCAACCATGATAGCCAGAGTTGCCTGCAAAAGCACATTGTCATTTGGATGGCAACACTGGATTTTAATTATGACCATCCAGAGTCACTGCCTTCCATACCAAGACCTTGACTTCCTAAAACAACACACTATAAACTACGTCTTTTATAATCAGGGAAACATCAAATATGAGTAAAATCAATGCCTCTTCTCCCCTAAAAGGATAAGGAAACCAGTACAAAGTCAGGTTTTTGTTTTGTTTTGAGATAGAGTCTTGCTCTGTCACCCAGGCTGGAGTGCAGTGGCGCAATATCGGCTCACTGCAACCTCGGCCTCCCAGGTTCAAGTGATTCTCCTGCCTCAGCCTCCCGAGTAACTGGAACTACAGGTGCCTGCCACCACGTCCAGCTAATTTTTGCATTTTTAGTAGAGATGGGGTATCAACCACATTGGCCAGGCTGGTCTTGAAGTCCTGACTTCAGTGATCCACCCCCCTCGGCCTCCCAAAGTGCTGGGATTACAGGCATGAGCCACCGCACCCGGCCCCAAGTCAGTTTTAAGCTCAGCAAAACTCCCCATCATTTTCCTAACCTTTGTGATCAAGTCCTAAGAAATTTCCTCCTGTAAAATTAAGTTTCTAGGCTAGGGCTTTGCACTGAAGGGGACTGATGTGTTCACATTCTTGAGGGAGTACAGGTAAGATTCACAACAAAACCAGCACAATCAACCTACAGACATACGTGGTGAGCATAATTTCACATTTTCTATGTGCCACAGAATTATTCTTCCTCTTTGCTTATCTGCTGGGAAAATGGCATGGCATGGCTACCAGGTGTCCCACATATTCCAGGACAGCCCTGATTTCTTGTATTCTTTCCTGCTGTCCCCCACATCTGCTCACTCTTGTCCAAGCCATGTGAACCAGTGTCTGCTTCAGAATGAAGGGCAGATGTAGTGTAGCACAGGGCAAGAGAAGTAACCTTTTTGAAGACCCGTTCACTCATGGGACAAACAAAGGTAATACTTAGGTCACACATTAAAAAAAAAAAATAAGATTATGACAAAGTTATTAGGAAGATACTATTACTTATTAATATAAGCATCCCACACATGAGCAAATTTTCAGAGAATTAAGAAATTCTAGAATTGAAGTGGCTCTTAAACCCTTAGAAAAGCACAGGCCAAGCATCCAAATAGGTAAGGATGACATGTCACACACATTAGACATATTTTTATTTTAAAATTGCTATTACCACAGGCCAGAGCATAAATAATACAACAGACCTCTTTTGGGGGGCAAAAGATTCCACGTTCTTCTATAGGAATAAAGAACCACGGGTCACAACCTTGAAAGACTCGGCAAACTTAAAGTCATCTCATTTTTAGTGATAGACAGTGAATGTCCAGGTTAATTTCCTCTTGCCCTCCAGGAAGGCAGACAGTGCACTGAAATACTGCATTTTCAGGACGATCACACGCTGTTTCCGAGTAGAATCATCCTGATCATACCCTTCCTACAGCAGGTGTTTTCCCTACTACATAGGCCTCCCAAAGTGCTGGGATTACAGGCATGAGCCACCACACCCAGCCTACATCAAATTGCTTCTTAATATCAAGTTGTCCTGGTTGAGTTGAAGGCTCCATCCTTGTCCACAAATCTTTGAGTATCTGGTGTGAAGTTACAGGAAGATAGAGTACTAGGATTTTTAAAAAAGAATAGATTTTTCTCTCATTCTCTCTCCCTCTTTTAAATCTGGGCACCAGAGGGGCCAACTATCCAGGCCTTAGAATCAAATGTCCCTAGACTCAAATTCTGGTCCCTCCCTCTCTAGCTGTATGATCCTAGGGGACTCCCATTAGACTCAATTTCCTCAGGCGTCAAATGAAGATAATTAACAATACCTACCTCTACCTTGGTTTGTTAGGGTGAGAAGCATAGTTTATGGAAAACATTCAGTACAGTAGTATGTCATATGGTAGCATAGTGCGTGGCTCTCTTTGATCAAACATGTCTCTTAGATTAGTCCAGATTATTGTTCTATCTGGTAAATCCACTCCCTGCTCAAAAACCTTTATCAGCTCTCCATTCTAACAGGATAATTTTAAACATCCCGTCTGGCACTCAAGATCCTCTGACCTGCTTTCTAGATAGATTTCCCATAATACTTCTCATGCACCCAACAGCCTAGCTCTCTGTGAACCACTTGAGTTTCTTGTTCATGTCCAGCACCGTTTTTTGTTTTTTGGTTTTTTTTTTTTTTGAGATGGAGTCTCGCTCTGTCACCTAGGCTGGAGTGCAGTGGCGCGATCTCAGCTCACTGCAAGCTCCGCTTCCCGGGTTCATGCCATTCTCCTGCCTCAGCCTCCCAAGTAGCTGGGACTACAGGCGCCCACCACCATGCTCGGCTAATTTTTTGTATTTTTAATAGAGACGGGGTTTCACAGTGGTCTCGATCTCCTGACCTCGTGATCCGCCCGCCTCAGCCTCCCAAAGTTCTGGGATTACAGGCGTGAGCCACCGTGCCTGGCCATGTCCAGCACTTTCTTCTGTCAGCCTGGGGTGCTTGAATCCATTCCTAACATCTAAGTAGGAGGTTGTGAACTAATAACTGTGTAATTGTGTGGTGTGTGTGTGTGCTTACACGCGCATGTGTTAACCCTGATGGCATAAGTGAAGGACAGTGAATGACCATGTTAACTTGCTCTAAGAGATAAGGCTTGCTTTTATTAGTTGTCAGAAATTGGCAGATTTCACTGAAAAGTAGATTTCTAGATTCTCATAGTATAAAAGATCTGTGTAAGATCTGGTCCCTTTGGGTCTATGTTCCCAGGGAGTAACATTAAATTTGCCGGGGTAGTGGCCACCCCTTTGGGGGAGACAAGCTTTCTCCAGTTTACCCCAGTCACCACCACTCCCTATAGCACCACACCAGCCTGAATGACTCATGAAGTTATTCCCTGCTTCCTCTCTAAACATTCGAGTTTGTAATCTCTGATCTAATTCTTACAGATCTTCAACCCTTCATAAATTCTTTCTTGATTTTTCTGTGTTATAAGTACTTTTCCTTCCTCTTTTTTAGCTCCATATGTCACTGGTCTCCTTGCTGTAGGATCCTTTATCTTCTTGCTTTATTGCCCTTCCTGAAGGACAAACCACTTGACACAGAACTCATAACTGGACTGTGCCTGGTTTAGCACCAAATACAAGCAGGCATTTGATTAACACTTTTAACTGAACAAAAAAACAGGTATGTAATCATGGGAAAGTCACAGCTCACAAAGTATGCAGGCTTTTCTTCCTGGGCTGGGCTGTTTCAATGATCAATTATTCCTAGAAAAAGGCATTAAGGGAGCTGGGGTAGAGGGCAGGGGGAAGGTCTACTGTGGGGGAGAAGGAGTTGCACTTATAATAGCCTAATGCTCAATTTCAAACTTTGTCCTAGATTCATATGCAGGAAAAACAATTCTTGATACTCTAATAAGAGATGTGTTATAACTCTACACTTGGTTAGCACTTAATTTTGTTCTGTGTGTTGTCAGAGATGTTATTCCCTTAGAATCACACAAGAACCATGAGTAGCAAGGCAGTGTTATTACCTCCAATTACAGAGGTAAAAGCTGAAGCTGTAGTCTGCATGATCAAAATACCCTCCCTAACATTCCTTTTTTTTTTTGAAACGGAGTCTCACTCTATTGTCCAGGCTGGAGTGCAGTGGTGTGATCTTGGCTCACTGCAACCTCTACCTCCCAGGTTCAAGCCTCCCAAGTAACTGGGATTACAGGCGTGCACTACCACGCCAGGCTAATTTTATATTTTTAGTAGAGATGAGGTTTCATCATGTTGGCCAGGCTGGTCTCGAACTCCTGATCTCAGGTGATCCACTCACCTCAGCCTCCCAAAGTGCTGGAATTACAGGTGTGAGCCACCGCCCCTGACTTTTGAAGGCTGAAGGAGATGCAAGGCCTCCTGGGGGCAGGGCAGCCAGCTGCTGTGAGCTTGGAGCCTGACAGCAACCTGTCAATTTGCACCATCTAAGCTCTGATCAGGGCTGTCACAACACATCCTGCAAAGAATCACCATCGCTGTCTTTCCAACACATTCTCCTTTTCAGCTATGCTGTCCAAGGACACATTGGCAATGCAGAGCAAGGCTGAAAGAAAAACAAGTAGAAGTCAAATGTGCATGTAGTTTTAAAAGCTTGCTTGAAAGTGTTCTTTTTACTCTTCCCTCCTAGTGAGCACACGAGAGTCTGATCATACTGGAGCTGCCTTATATTGTACAATGAATGGTTCACCATTTAGAAAGTGCTTTGTAGAACTGCTTCCTTTTTGCCTAATGTATCAGAATCTAAGAAGCCAGTTCACAAGCAAGGCCTCATCTGCTGGATTCTCTGTAGCATAGGGGAGGTGATATGGCTGGGCAGGGAGGGGTGAAACTCCATCGTGGCACAGAGTGAATAAATTGAAAACAGTTACAGGGATAAGGAAATAAGTCAGCAGCAACACAGTGGAGCAACAGAGTCAAAAAGTCTTGAGTATAGAACTGGGAATTCAGAGGCTGGGGCAGGCCCATTCTTTAAATCTAGGCTCTTGTTTTTCCAGATAGTCAGCATTTCTAGTCAAGATGGAGACCAGGTCTGCCTCTGCCTTTTCTGCCAGGGCAGACACTTCAAAAGCCCACCAGCACTCTCCAGCCACTCCACATCGGCTCCGAGTGTGGAAGGAAAAGGCAAGTTTCCATGAACTATCTACTGCTGTGGTCTCCAGCTGGCCCTAAATAGAACAAGCACCAAAAACAAATCAAAATGAGTTTTACACCCAAAGTGTCAAGTATTTACAGGTAGTCTGCTGAGTTCTGAAGAACTTGAGCTGAGGTGACACTCGAAGCTATCAAGCTTGTCAGTTGGAAAAATGTCCTTTTTCCTAGTCTCTCTCCATTGTGAAAGGGGCCCCACGCTCAATTTGAAAGTGTAATGGTTTGGCTGTTGTCTCTAAAAGGTGAAAGGACTTGAAGGATTTATCAAGCATAATGAGAAGCCCTCTCCTGAGTTTATAACTAGAAACTCTTTCTTAGAGTGGAAGACATTAGACTTGGCCTTGGCCCTACCAGATTTGCTCAAGTTTCTGGGCAATGATAGGGCCTTCTCCGTGTGCATGGGAGAGCAGCCCACATTGAATAAGTCCATGCTCACTCTAAACACCTGTTTTTGTTTCAAGCAAGGAGAGACTCATGTTGTCTAGGAACACTGTGGGCCCTTGGGAACAGGAAATAAGTGAGCAGTATTTTGTGTAAAATGTGGGGAATTAAATGAAGCCTTTCCTGTTGCCTCGCTCATTTCACCTTTTACAAGAAACCATCTCTGACCACTTCCAAACAGTCGCACTTTCCACCCCTTGCTTGGCACTGGTTACAGAATGCTATAGGGTGGAGCTGTTTGCCATGTCTCAAGCTCATCTTAGACTATTTGCTGCTGTTGCCACATCTTTTATATTTGCATTCTCCACATCACTTGGCACAGTCCAGCAGTACAGAGCTGATGCTTGGTGAATATTTGTTAAGTTAATGTTTGGATTTATTCCTTGGCTTAGGTCATCAAGGAATTGAGGAGACTAGGTGGATAAATTATAAATGGGAATGTGCCTGCTCAACACCAAAGAGGCCATCATAGCTTCGTGAGCACAGAAGATGATTCTTCATGACAAATGCCTTCAATATTTCTTTCCAGCTCTTTGTGAATACTGAGAACCACCATTTATTGAGGGCTGCTGTGCTGAGTGCAACATACACACACCTCATCCTGTAGAAGAGGAAACCGGAGGTTATTTAACTTCTCTGAGCCCTTCCCACAGAGTTAGGAAGGGGCACCAGTGGGTTTTGGCC